>NC_000008.11:61552265-62177265 GCF_000001405.40 Homo sapiens | reverse complement strand
TTTAAGGAACATGTATACTCTTTGCCATAATGGCTATATCAATTTACATTTCTACCAACAGTATACAAGGTTGCCTTTTCTCCACATCCTAACGCTTGATATCTTTTGTCTTTTGGGTAACAGACATTCTAACATGTTTGAGGTGATGTGTCAATTTTTGTTTGGTTTGTATTTCCCTAATGTTTAGAGATTTTGAGTAACTTTTCATGTACTTTTTGACCATCTGAATATATTCTTTTGAAAAGTGTTTAAGTCTTTTTGACTATTTTTTAATTGAGTTTTTCTTTTGGTACTGAATTGCATAAGTCCTTTATATATTTTGGGTATTAACTTCTTATCAGTTATATGGGTTGGAAATATTTTTCCCATTCTTAATATTGCCTTGTGGTTTTGTTGATTGTTCCCTTTGCTATGCAGGAGACTTTTAGTCTGATGTAATCTCATTTGCCTTTTTTTGCTTTTGTTGCCTGTGTTTTTCATGTAATATCCAGAAAGTTATTGCCAAGACCAATGCCAAGATGGTTTTTTTCATGTTTTCTTCCAGAAGTTTTAGTTTCAAGTATAAGACAAAAGTATTTTAAGCATTTTGAGTTGATTTTTGTGAAATATGTGGTGAAATAAGGGTCTAATTTCATTCTTCTGCATGCGTATATCCAGTTGTCCCAACACCATTTGTTAAAGAGATTGTCCTTTCCCCATTGTGTGTTCTTGACACCTGTGCCAAAGATCAGTTAACTGTAAATGTGTGGTTTTATTTCTTGGTCCTCTATTCTGTCCATTGGTCTATATGTCTTTATTGTGCCAGTAACATGATATTTTGATTACTATAGCTATGTAACACATTTTGAGAACAGATAGTGTGATGGCTCCAGCTTTGTTCAGCGATATGGTTTGTAGTTTTCTTTTCTTGTATTTCCTTTTCCTGGCTTTGGAATCAAGCCACACAAAATGAATTTGACGGTGTTTGTTTCTCTATCTTTTGGAAGGGTATAAAAGGGGTTGATATACATTCTTTGGAAGTTTGGTAGACTTTTCCCATGAAGCCACCTGATACTGTGCTATTCTTTGTTGAAGAGTTTTTGAGAGCAGATTTAATATTTTTGTTAATGGTTTGTGCAGGCTTTCTATTTCTTCTTGAATTAGTCTTGGTAAATTGTATGTTTCTAGGAATTTATCCAAGTCTTCCAGGTTATCCAATTTGCTGGCATATAATTGTTCATGATAATCCCCTGTGATCTTTTTTATTTCTGTGTTATGCATTGCAATGTTTACCCTTCAATTTTTGATTTTGTTTATTTGAGTGTTCTCCCTTTTTATCTTAGATAAGTGTTGCTCAATTTCATTTATCTTTAAAAAAAATTTTTGGTTTTTTTTTTTTCTGTTTGTTTTTCTACTCCCTACCTTGTGTACTTTTGCTATAGTCAGCATTATTTCCTTTTTTTTTTTGCTGACTTTGTGTTTATTTTAGTTCTTTCAGTTGTAAAATTGTATTGATTTATACAGATCTTTCTTTTTAAAAAAGTTGGTCTTCAGTGCTATAAACTCTTAATAATGTTTTCACAACATTCCATAAATTCTGATGATTTTATTTGCATTTTTGTTTGTATCAAGGTATTTTAAAAATATTCTCTTGATGTTCTCTTTTACTCAATGATTGTTCAAGAGAGTGTCATTTGGTTTCCATATATTTGCAAATTTTCTTGTTTGCTTTCTATTTTTGATCTATTGTTTTATTACGTTGTGCTCTGAGAAGACATTTGGTATTATTTTAATATTCTTATATTTGCTAAGACTTGTTTTGTCACCTGACATGTGATCTGTTCTGGAGAAGGTTTCATGTGAACTTGAGAAGAATATGCATTCTGCTGTTGGGTGGAAAGTTCTGCATTTTTCTGTTAAGTACATTTGGTCTATTGTTGCTCATGGCTGCTGTTTTCTTATTGATTTTCTGTCTGGATGTTCTATTCATTATTGAAAATAGGGACCGAGCATGGTGGCTCATGTCTGTAATACCAGCACTTTGGGAATAAATTCTGGACTTAAATTTGACATGGAGCAATTCGACATAATAGAAATCTACAGAATACTCCTTGCAACAACCATGGAATATACTTTCTTCTCATCTGCACATGAAACATACCATAAGATTGACTAAGATTGACCACATGCTCAGTCATAAATCAAGTCTCAATACATTCAAATATAAATTATACCAAGCATCTTCATGAACCACAGTGAAATAAAAATAGAAATCAATACAAAGAGGAACTCTCAAAACCACACAAGTTAATCGAAACTAAACAACTTACAGCTTACTTTTGGGTAAGCAACAAAACTAAGGCAGAAATCAAAACAATCTTTGAAGCAAATGAAAATAGAGAAAGAACAGACAAAAACCTCTGGGATACAGCAATAACACTGTTAAGAGGGAAGTTTATAGCACTAAATGCCTACATCAAGAAGATAGAAAGTTTGCAAATAAACAACCTAACCTCGCACATGAAGGAACTAGAAAAACAAAAGAAACTAAACCCAAAATTAACAAAAGAAAAGAAATAACTACAATCAGAGAAGAATGAAGTGAAATTTAGGCCCCCCAAAAAACAGGCAAAAGATCAATGAAATGAAAAGTTCTTTCATTTCATCAACAACATTGATAGACCACTAGGTAAGTTAACAGAGAGAAAAAATAAAGATCCAAATAAGCACAATCAGAAATGACAAGAGTTTATTTCTGATCCCACAGAAATGCAAAAGGTCCTCAGGGACTATTATGAACATCTCTATACACACAAACTAGAAAACCTAAAGGAAATGCATAAATTCCTGGAAAGAACTACTTTCAAAGATTGAACCAGGAAGAAACAGAAATATTGAACAGACTAATGATAAATAATGAAAATGAATCCATAAGAAAAACAAAAAACCCTACCAATCCAAAAAGTCCCTGGACTAGATGGATTCGTAGTCAAATTCTGCCAGACATATAAAAACGTCCTGATACCAATCATAATACATTTATTCCAAAAAATTGAGGAAAAGGGAGTCTTCCCTAACTCATTCCATGAAACTGGTATTATCCTGATACCAAAATCTGGCAAAAACACAACAAAAAAGTAAGCTACAGGCCAATATCCCTGTTGAACGTAGATGAAAAATCCTCCATAAAATACTAGCAAACCAAATCCCGCAGCACATCACAAAGCTAATTCACCATTATCAAGTAGGTTTTATTGCCAGGATAAAAGTGGGGTACAACATATACAAATCAATAAATGTGATTTACAACCATAAGCAAAATGAAAAAACCACATGATGATCTCAAAAGCCACAGGAAAAATTTTGATAAAATCCAGCATCCCTTCATGATAAAATCTCTCAATAAACTTGGTATTGAAGGAACACACCTCAAAATAATGAGGGGTATTTATAACAGACCAAGAGCCAACATTATACTGAACAAGTTATAAGCATTCTTTCTAAAACCTGGAACAAGACAAGGATGTCCACTCTCACCACTTCTATTCAACATAGTTCTTGCCAGAGCAATCAGGCAAGAGAAAGAAATGCAAAACATCCAAATAGAAAAAGTGGAAGTTAAATTATCTGTCTTCACTGATGATACAATTATATACCTAGAAAACCATAAAGATCCTGCCAAAAGACTTCTAGATCTGTTAAAATACTTCAGCCAAGTCTTAGGATATGAATTCAACATACAAAAGTCAGTAGCATTTCTATACTCCAATAATGTTCAAGCTGATAACCAAATCAAGAATGCAATCCATTTACAATAGCCACGCAGAAAAATAAAATCCTTAGGAATACATCTAACTAAGGAGGTGAGAGAATTCTATGAGGAAAACTACAAAACACTGCTAAAATAAATCATAGATGACGCAAATAAATGGAAAAGCATTTCGTGCTTATGGATTGGAATAATCAATATCAATTAAATGGCCAGGCTGTCCAAAACAATCTACAGATTTAATGCTATTCCTATCAAATTATCAATGTCATTTTTTACAGAATTAGAAAAATATTCTAAAATTCATATGGAACTAAAAAAGAGTCGTAATGGCCAAAACAATTCTAAGCAAAAAGTATAGTTTGAGGCATCACATCTCACCAAGCTCAAACTATACTACATGGTCACAGTAACTGAAATAGCAGGTACTAGTACAAAAATAAACATGTAGACCAATGGAACAGAATGGAGATCCCTGAAATAAAGCTGCACACCTATAACCGACTGATCTTTGACAAAGTCAACAAAAATAATGGGGAAGTGATACCCTGTTCAATAAATGGTACTGGGAAAACTGGCTATCCATATGCAGAAGAATGAAACTGTACACATACCTCTCACTGTGTACAAAAATTAACTGAAGATGGTTTAAAGACTTAAATGTAAGTTCTCAAACTATAAAAATCCTAGAAGAAAGCCTAGGAAATACTCTTCTAGACATTAATCTAGGAAAATGATTTATGAAGAAGGCTCAAAAAGCAAATGTAACAAATTAAAAGTAGACAAATGGGACTTAATTATACTGAAGAGTTTCTGCAAGCAAAAGAAACTGTCAACAAAGTAAACAGACATCCTACATAATGGGAGAAAGTATTTGCAAAGTATGCATTTGGCCAAGGTTTAATACCCACAATCTGTAAGGTACTTAAATCAACAAGAAAATACAACAAATAACACCATTAAAAAGTGGACAATGGACACGAACAGACACTTCTCAAAAAAAGACGTACGAGTGACCAACACATATATGAAAAGATGCTCTACATCACTAATCACCACAGAGGTGCAAATCAAAACCACAATGAGATACCATCTCATTCCAGTCGGAATGGCTATTATTAAAAAGTCAAAAAATAACTGATTTTGGCGAGGTTGTGAATAAAAGGGAATGCTTATACACTGTTGATAGGAATGCAAATTTGTTCAGCCACCATGGAAAGTAATGTGGAGATTTCTCAAAGAACTAAAAATAGAATTACCATCAATCCAGCAATCCCATTATTTGGTATCTACCCAAAGGAAAATAAATAGTTCTACCAAAAAGACACTTGCACTTGTATGTTTATTGCAGAACTGCTCACAACAGCAAAGACATGAAATCAACCCAGATGCTCACCAATGGTAGACTGGATAAAGAAAATGTGATACATCCACATTATGGAACACTATGCAGCCATGAAAAAAGAGTGAATCTATGTCCTTTGCAACAACATGGGTATGGCTGGAGGCCATTATCCTAAGTGAATTAACACAGAAACAAGAAGCCAATTACTTCATTTTCTCACTTATAAGTGAGAAAATTGAGTACACACAGACACAAAGATAGAGACAGTAGACACTAGGGATTCTTTAAGGGGAGAGGGAGGGATGAGCAAGAGTTTAAAAAATGCTTATCAGGTAATATGTTAGCCACTGGGGTGACAGGATGATTAGAAGCCCAAACTTTAGCATCATGCAATATACTCATGTAACAAACCTGCACTTATACCTCCTGAATCTACAATGTAAAAATATAAAATAAAATAATATCCAGTCAAGTACACTATGCCTTTTGATGGAAGAGTTTAGTTCATTTACATATAAAGTGATTATTGATGTCTCACTATTGCCATTTTATTAATTGTTTTCTGTCTCTTTTGCAGCTCTTTTGTTTCTCTTTTTGTCTCTTACTGTCTTCTATTATTTGATGATTTTTTTGTAGTGGTTTGAATTGATTACTTTCACTTCATCTTTTGTGTATCTGCTATAGGTTTTTCTTTGTGGGTTTAAGGCTTACATAAGCTTTCTTGTAGTTATAAACTTCTATTTCAGTTGATAACAACTTAAATTGTATTAAAAAAAACTCTGCATTCTTACCTGCCCCATTCACACTACATGTTCAAGTCAGAGATTACTCTGATTTCATTCATTGTGAATTATTTATCAAATTTATATTCTAAATTCATTATCAAATTTTAGTATAGTTATTTTTAATAATTTAACCAAACCTTTATCTTGCGTGTTGTAAGTATTTTAGACACCACCATTACAGTGTTTATTATTCTGTATTTGACTGTGTATTACTTTGCCTGTGAGATTTCTACCTTCATATGCTTTTACATTGCTTGAAGGCCTTCCTTAAGCATTTTTTGTAAGATAGGTTAAGTAGTGACAAAGTCCCTCTCTCTTGGAAAGAATTTGTCTCCCCTTCATTTTTAAAGAGCAGCTATTAAAAAATAGCTTTGCAGGGTATAATACTATTGTTTAGCAATCTTTTTCCTCCAATACTTTGAATATATCATTTCACACTTTCCTGGCCTGCAAGATTTCTGTTGAGAAATCTGCTGATAGTCTTGTGAATTTGCCTTGTATATGATAAGTCATTTTCTCTTGCTACTTTTGAAATTGTCTCCTTTTCTCAGACTTTTCATAGTTCAATTAAAATGGGTCTTGATATAAACCTTTGTATGCTCAACCTAGTTGAGGTTTTATGGACTTTTTGAGTCTGGATGTTTATTTCTCTCCTCAGATTTGGTAAATCTTCAGTTATTAATTTTTAATTTTTTTTATTTCAATAGGTTTTTGGGGAACAAGTGATATTTGGTTACATGAACAAGTTCTTTAGTGTTGATATCTGAGATTTTGGTGCACCAATTACTCGAGCAGTGTGCACTGTACCCGATATGTAGTCTTTTATCCCTCACTACCCCCAACCCTTTCCCCTGAGTCCCCAAAGTCAAATGTATCACTCTTATTTCTGCCTTTGCGTCCTCATAGCTTAGCTCCCACATATGAGTGAGAACACATGTTTGGTTTTCCATTCCTGAGTTACTTCACTTAGAATAATAGTCTCCAGTTCCATCTAGGTTGCTACAAATGCCATTATTTCATTCCTTTTTATGGCCGAATAGTAATCTATGGTATATATGTACCACATTTTCTTTAGGTACTCTTTGATTGATAGGCATTTGGGCTGGTTCCATAGTTTTGCAGTTGCAAATTGTGCTGCTATAAACATGTGTGTGTGCAAGTATTTTTTTCATATAATGACTTCTTTTTCTCTTGGTAGATACCTAGTAGTGGCATTGCTGGATCAAACAATAAATCTACTTTTAGTTCTTTAAAGAATCTTCACACTGTTTTCCATAGTGGTTGTACTAGTTTACATTCCCACCAAGGTGAAAGTGTTCCCCTTTCACCACATCCCTGCCAACATCTATTACTTTTTGATTTTTTTTGATTACTGCCATTCTTGCAGGAGTGAGGTGGTAACACATTGTGGGTTTGGAGTTGCAGTTCCCTGATAATTAGTGATGTCAAGCATTTTTCTATATGCTTGTTAGCCATTTGTATATCTTCTTTTGAGAACTGTCTATTCATGTCCTTAGCCCACTTTTTGATGGGATTGTTTGTTTCACTCTTGCTGATTTGTTTGAGTTCTTTGTAGATTCTGGATATTAGGCCTTTGTTGGATGTATATACTGTGAAGATTTTCTCCCACTCTGTAATATACCTGTTAACTCTGGTGATTATTTCTTTTGCTGTGCAGAAGCTTTCTAGTTTAATTAAGTTGTATCTATTTATCTTTTTTTGTTTTGTTGCATTTGCTTTTGGGTACTTGGTCATGAAGTCTTTGCCTAAGCCAATGTCTAGAGGGGTTTTTCTAATGTTATCTTCCAGAATCTTTATGGTTTTAGGCCTCAGATTTAAGTCTTTGATTCATTTTGAGTTGATTTTTTTAATAAGTTAAGAGATGAGGATCCAGTTTCATTCTTCTAGCTGTGGCTTGCCAATTATCCCAGCACCATTTGTCAAATAGGGTGTCCTTTTGCCACTTTATGTTTTTGTTTATTTTGTCAAAGATCAGTTGGCTGTAAGTATTTGGCTTTATTTGTGGGTTCTCTATTCTGTTCCGTTGGTCTATATGCCTGTTTTTATACTAGTATGATGCTGTTTTGGTGACTATGGCCTTGTAGGATAGCTTGAAGTTGGGTAATGTGATGCCCCCAGATTTGTTCTTTTTGCTTAGTCTTGCTTTGGCTATGCAAGCTCTTTTATGGTTCCATATGAAGTAGAGGATTGTTTTTCTAGTGTGAAGAATGATGATGGTATTTCGATGGGAACTGTATTGAATTTGTAGATTGTTTTTGGCAGCATGGTCATATACATGATATTGATTCTGACCATTCATGAGCATGGGATGTGTTTCCATTTGTTTGTGTCATCTGTGATTTCTTTCAGGACTGTTTTGTAGTTTTCCTTGTAGAGGTCTTTGACATCCTTCATTAGGTATATTCCTAAGTATTTTATTTTATTTTATTTTTTGCAGCTATAGTGAAAGGGGTTGAGTTCTTGATTTGATTCTCAGCTTGGTTGCTGCTGGTGTATAGCAGAGCTACTGATTTGTGTACCTAAATTTTGCATCTTGAAACTTTGCTGAATTCATTTACCAGTTTTAGGAGACTTTTGGATGAGTCTTTAGGGTATCTAGATATATGATCATATCATCAGCAAACAGGGACAGTTTGACTTTTTCTTTAGTGTGATTTAGATGCCCTTGATTTCTTTCTCTTTTCTGATTGCTCTGGCTAGGACTTCTAGTACTACATTGAATAGAAGTGGTGAAAGTGGGCATCCTTTCCTTGTTCCATTTCTCAGAGGGAATGCTTTCAACTTCTCATTCAGTATCATATTGGCTATAGGGTTGTTGTAGATGGCTTTGATTACTTCAAGGTATGTCCCTTCTATGCTGATTTTGCTGAGGGTTTTAATCATAAAGAGATGCTGGATTTTGTCAAATGCCTTTTCTGCATCTATGGAGATGATCATGTGATTTTTGTTTTTAATTCTGTTTATGTGGTATATCACATTTATTGACTTACTTATGTTAAACTATCCCTGCATCCCTGGTATGAAACCAACTTGATCATGGTGGACTATCTTTTTAATATACTATTGGATTCCATTTGCTAGTATTTTGTTGTGGATTTTTATATCTATGTTCATCAGGGATATTGGTCTTAGTTTTTTGTTGTTGCTATGTCCTTCCCTGGTTTTGGTATTAGGGTGATACTGGCTTCATAGAATGATTTAGGGAGGATTCCCTCTTTATCTTTTGGAATAGTGTCAATAAGATTGTCAATGGATAGAATCTAGCTGTGAATCTGTCTGGTCCTAGACTTTTTATTGTTGGCAAATTTTTAAATTACCATTTCAGTATCTCTGCTTGTTATTGGTCAGTTCAAGGATTCTGTATCTTCCTGGTTTAATTTAAGAGGGTTGTATATTTCTAGGAATTTATCCATCTCCTCTAGGTTTTCTAGTTTGTGCCCTTAAAAGGGTTCATAGTAGCCTTGAATAATCTTTTGTATTTCTGTGGTATCAGTTGTAATGTCTCACATTTCATTTGTAATTGAGCTTATTTAGATCTTCTCTCTTCTTTCCTTGGTTAATCTTGCTAATAGACTATCAATTTTATTTATTTTCGAGAACCATATTTTTGTTTGATTTATTTTTTGTACATTTTTGTTGTTGTTGTTTCAATTTCATTTAGTTCTGCTCTGATCTATGTTATTTCTTTTCTTCTGCTGGCTTTGGGTTTGGATTATTCTTCTGTCTTGAGTTCCATGAGGTGTGACCTTAGATTGTCTATTTGTGCTCTTTCAGACTTTTTGATGTAGACATTTAAGGCTATGAGCTTTCCTCTTAGCACTGCTTTTGCTGTATCCCAGAAGTTTTGATAGGTTGTGTCACTATTATTGTTCAGTTCGAGTAATTTTT
Source organism: Homo sapiens (assembly GCF_000001405.40). Taxonomy (NCBI): domain Eukaryota; kingdom Metazoa; phylum Chordata; class Mammalia; order Primates; family Hominidae; genus Homo; species Homo sapiens. The sequence goes on along the minus strand of NC_000008.11, from coordinate 62,167,478 downwards.
TAAATTTCAATTTTGATTTCATTGTTGACCCAATGATCATTCAGGAGCAGGTTATTTAATTTCCATGTATTTGCATGGCTTTGAAGGGTCCTTCTGGAGTTGATTTACAATTTTATTCCACTGTGGTCTGAGTGAGTACTTGATACAATTTCAATTTTTAAAAATTTACTAAGACTTTTTTTGTGTCCTACTGTATGGTCTGTTTTGGAGAATATTCCATGTGCTGATGAATAGAATGTACATTCTGTAGTTGTTGGGCAGAATGTTCTGTAAATATCTGTTAAGCCCATTTGTTGTATAGTTTAAGTCCACTGTTTCTTTGTTGACTTTCTGTCTTGATGATCTGTCTAGTGCTGTCAGTGGAGTATTAAATTCCACAACTATTATTGTGTTGTCTATTTCATTTCTCAGGTTTAGTAGTAATTGTTTTGTAAATTTGGGAGTTCCAGTGTTAGGTGCATATTTATTTAGAATTGTGATATTTTCTTGTTGGACTAGTCCTTTTATCATTATATAATGCCTCTCTTTGTCTTTTTTAACTGCTGTTGCTTTAAAGCTTTGTTTTGTCTGATATAAGAATAGCTACTTCTGCTTGCTTTTTTGTGTCTTTTGCATGGAATGTCTTTTTCCACCCCTTTACATTCAGTTTATGTGAGTCCATATGTGTTAGGCAAGTCTCCTGAAGACAGCAGAAACTTGGTTGGTGAATTCTTATCCATTCTGCCATTCTGTATCTTTTAATGTTAGTATTGAGATGAGAGATACTATTCTATTCATCATGCTATTTGTTGCCTGAAATACCTTGTTGTTGTTTTTATTGTGTTATTGTTATACAGGTCCTGTGAGATTTATGTTTTAAGGACATTCTATTTTGGTGCATTTTGAGGATTTGTTTCAGGATTTAAAGCTCCTTTTAGCAGTTCTTGTAGTGCTGGCTTGGTAGTGGTGAATTCTCTCAGCATTTGTTTGGGAAAGACTGTATCTTTCCTTCATTTATGAAGCTTCGTTTTGCTGATACAAAATTCTTGGCTAATAATGGTTTCGTTTAAGGAGGCTAAAAATAACCTCCTTAACTCACAGGGTTCTGCTGAGAAATCTACTGTTAATCTAGCTTGTAGGGCTTTTGCGGAGAAATCTGCTGTTAATCTGATAGGTTTTCCTTTCTAGGTTACCTGATGCTTTTGCCTCATAGCTCTTAAGATTTTTTCCTTCATCTTGACTTTAGATAACCCAGTGACTGTGTGTGCAGGGAATAATCTCTTTTTCAATGAATTTCCTGCATGTTCTTTGAGCTTCTTGTATTTGGATGTCTAGATCTCTAGTAAGACGGGAAATTTTCTTTGATTAATTCCTCAGATATGTCTTTCAAACTTTTAGATTTTTCTTCTTTCTCAGGAGCACTAATTATTCTTAGGTTTGGATGTTTAACATAGTCTCAAACTTCTTGGAGGTTTTGTTCATTTTTAAAAATTCTTATTTGTCTGTGACAGATTGGGTCAGTTTGAAAGCCTTGCCTTTGAGCTCTGAAGTTCTTTCTTCTGCTTTTTCTATTTTATTGCTGAGACTTTCCAGTGCATGTTGCATTTCTGTAAGTGTGACCTTGATTTTCAGAAGTTGTAATTGTTTTTTATTTATGCTATCTATTTCACTGAAGAATTTTCCTTTCATATCCTGTATCTTTTTTTTTTATTATTTCTTTAAGTTGGAATTCACCTTTCTCTGGTGCCTCCTTGATTAGCTTAATAATCGACTTCTGAATTCTTTTTCTGGCAATTCAGAAATTCCATTTTGGTTTGGATCCATTGCTGGTGAGCTAGTTGATCTTTTGAGACAGTTAAAGAATCTTATTCTGTCATATTGCCAGAATTGTTTTTCTGGTTTCTTTTCTTTTGGGTAGAGTATGTCAGAGTGAAGATCTGGGATTCAAAGCTGCTGTTCAGATTCTTCTGTCCCACAGGGGGCTCCCTTGTGGTGTTCTCCCTCTTCCCCTAGGAATGAGGCTTCCTGAGGGCTGAACTGTAGTGATTGTGTTTGCTCTTCTGGGTCTAACCACCCGGTAGAGCTACTGGGCTCCGGGCTGGTACCGGGGAGTGTCTGCAAAAAGTCCTGTGATGTGATTCATCTTCAGGTCTTGCAGCTGTAGATAGATATCAGCACCTGCTCCAGTGGAGGTAGCAGGGAAGTGAAGTGTACTCTGTTAGGGTCCTTGGTTGTGTTTTTGTTTATTGCTCTGGTTTTTTGTTGGTTGGCCTCCAGGCAGGATGTGGTGCTTTCAAGCGTGCATCAGCTGCGGCCCCTATAAGGAAGATGTAAACTTGCCCTAGGGACACCTGGTTAAGTATTCAGGTTTCTCGGGTAGTGGGCAGGGCCATGGAACTCCCAAGTGATTATAACTTTTGTCTTCCACTACCAGGGCTGGTAGAGAAAGGTCAGTGGGTGGGGGCAGATATAGGTGTGTCTGAGCTCAGCCTCTCCTTGGGCAGGGCTTGCTGTGGCTGCTGTGGGGATAGGGGTGTGGTTCCCAGTCCAATGGAGTTATATTTCCAGAAGGATTGTGGCTGCCTCTGCTGAGTCATACAGGTCACCAGGGAAGTGAGAGAAAGCTGGCAGTCACAGGACTCACTCCACACCCACACAGCCCGCAGTCTTAAAGGCCAGTCTCATTCTCACCATGACCGATCCCCCAACACCACACTGAGTCTATTTCCAGGCAGCCAGTGACCAGGGGTGAGGACTTGCCCCAGACCACTAGCCTCCCTGCTGAGAAAGCAAGCAGAAAGCAATCAGACTCTCAGGTTTTTGGCATCTCAGGGAGCCTGCAGCGGTGATTCAGTTCCTTCAAAGGGTCCGTGGATTCTCTTGGCTTTCCTGGTTGTTCCTGTGGTAATTCTTGGAGCAAAAGTTCACAGTGTAAGTTACCACATGCCGCTCTGCCCGTCCAAGTGGGAGCTGCAAGCTAGTCCTGTCTCCTATATGCCATCTTAATCCTCTCTCCCTCTTTTTAAAAAAATAAGTTTGTTGCTCCTTTCATTCTCACTTCTTCTCCTGGATCCTGGATGCCTGTAGTTTGTATATTGATTTTTCTTAATGATGTCTCATAAATTTGGTGGATTTTCTGCACTGTTTTAAAATGTATTTTCTCTGATCTCCTCAGACTATGTAATTTCAAATTTGTTTTTGAGTGTGCTGAGAATTGTTTCTTCTGCTTGATTGAGTTTGCTACTGTAGCTGTCTGTGGTGGTTAATATTAGGTGTCAAGTTGACTGGATTGAGGGATGCCTAGAAGGCTGATAAAGCATTGTTCCTGGGTGTGTCTGTGAGGGTATTGCCAGAGGAGACTGACATTTGAATCAAAGGACTGGGAAAGAAAGACCCACCTCAATGTTGGGTGATCATCATCCAATTGGTTGTTAGAGCAGCTAGAACAAAGCAGGTGGAAGAAGGGGGACAGGTAGTTTGCTTGCTGAGTCAGCTTGCTCTCTCTCTTCCCATGCTGTGCTGGATGCTTGACTTCCTCTCCTCCTGTCCTTGGACATCAAACTCCTGGTTCTTCTTTCACCTTTGAACTTTGAGACTTGCACCAGCTGCCTCCCAAGGGTTCATGGGCCTTTGGCCTCTGACTGAGGGTTGCACTGTTGGCTTCTCTGGTTTTGAGGCTTTTGGACTTGAACTGAGCCACGCTACTGGCTTCTCTCTTTCCCCTGCTTGCAGACAGCCTAACGTGGTACTTTGTTTTTGTAATTGTGTCAGAAAATTCTTTCTTTCCCCTGCTTGCAGATAGACTAAGTGGTACTGTGGTAGGAGTTATTTAAAAATTATTTCAGTCAGATAGAGAGGAAAAGGAGTCCTTGGAAAGTTTTTTTATCTTTTAAAGCAGCTCCAGAAGTTTTTCAGCTCCAGAGTTTTTTTCTCTTTTAAAGCAGCCCTGGCTCTTAGAGCTGGGCCAGCAACCTTTGATATGCAAATGCAGGTCATTAGAAATTGGGTCCACACAACATGGTGATTCCCACCATTGCCCTCTTGCCCTTGACCCCATAAGTGCCTGGCAACATGCCACCCGCACATATCTCCACGTGTGTAGAACGTCATGGTATCTTGCATTTGCATATTAAAAGGCTAGGGTAGGAGGGCCAGTTTTTTCTGAGGGCTATGTGAATGACATGCCTGGTCAAACCAATCCCCTGAGCCCTATGCAAATCAGACACCCTTTCCTCCAACCTTCACATAAAACTGGCTGGTATCCACCACACTCGGGGTCTCCTCTCTTGGCTTTGGAGCCACCACCCCCCACCTCCGGTCTGTCTCTGTACATGGGAGCTTCTTCCTTCTTTCTTCTCCCTTCTTTCTTGCCTATTAAACCCTCTGCTCCTTAAAGCCACTCCATGTGTGTCCATGTCGTTTTATTCAATTCGCACAAGACAAGAGCCCTGGTGTTCCTCCACTCGTTGGAACTGTATCAGTACTTTGTTTTGAAATTATGTTGACCCAGTCCTCCATAATGAACTCATACGTACACACACACACAAACACATGCACACAAACACACACACATACATCTCCTGTTAGTTCTGTTCCTCTGGAGAACCCTAACTAATACACTTTCTGTTGTATTTTTTTTCCGTTATCATATTCTTCAGCTCCATAAATTCTATTTGGTTCTTTTTTTTATGTTTTCTAGCTTTTGTTTATTGGTCTCATTTTGTTCTTATATTATTTTTCTGATTTTGTTCAATTGTGTATCTGTGTTCTCTTGTAGCTCACTGAGCTTCTATAGCATACATATTTTGAATTTTTTTCAGGCAAATTACAGATATTTATTTATTTCACGTCAGTTGCTGGAAGTTTATTTTGTTCCTTTGGTAGTGTCATATTTCCCTGAGTCTTTGTAATCCTTGTAGACTTGCTTAGGACTTTATGGACTCCTTCAGTAAGAAACGACCTTCAGCAATACCTTCAGCATTGACGGAGGTAGGGTGTAGTTCCTTGGGTGTTGTTGAGGGGGCACATTCAAATGTGTAGTAACACTGGGTATACTATCATGGGACACCAAAAGTGGCAGTAGGATGCAGTTTCTCGTGGATCAGGCAACTGGGGTCAGTCTGCAACAGCAGCAACTCCACAGCCGATGGGGTGAGAGCTACAAATGTCTGTGTTGGCTGTGAGGGTTGTTTGGGTCCTTGGAGGTGCTTTTTGGTTTAGCAGTGATCTTCTTTTGGTGGGAAGGGACTAAGGCAGGTGGCATCTCAGGCTTATGTCAGTGGTATGCATATGCTTGGTGGTAGGGTCTGGCATTGGTGGGGGTTGGGACTGATCATGTGTGCATGAACACCTGCAAGGGCCAAGCTGTCAGCCTGCATGCAAGCAGCTGCAGCGACCAGCTGTGTCTGTATGCACAGTGGTGGGGCCTGTTGGCAGGCTTTGGGTTTGTCTGTCTGTGCATGCCCAGTTGTGGGTGTCAGGGCTGGCAATGTGCATGAATGTGGAAGAGGGGACTGTCAGTGGGGCTGGCATTGGCTACATGCAAGTGGTCAACCATGGGTGCATGAACAATGGGGAGGAGGGAAACACTGGTTGCAGGGGCTGGAGCTGGTTTCAGGCATACATGTGGTGGCTAAACTGGGTTCTGAAGCTGGAACACCTGTGGTGGCACAGGATAGAATGTTTCTGGCAGGATGGTTTAGGAGTCTGGGCAGCTGTGGTCTGTGAATGTGAAAAACTGCAGGGTCCTTGCAGCAAAAACAGTAAGGCATTCATGATGGCTGTTGAGGTCCTCATTAGTGAAGGCTGTGGGGGTTCTCTGAGGAGCAAGACACGGTGGACTGCAGTGGCTCCCACTGTGTTGATGATACTGACAGCTTCTTCCTTCTTTGCTCCTAGCCATCTCTAGATACCTTGGTTATGCTGATCTCTCCAGTGGGTGGGGTGAAATAATTTTGGTCACATGGGCAGTGCTCCAAAAACTAGTGAAGCTGGTCATTCACTCTGCCTTTCATTTCCTCTATGAAGGGAACTCATGGGCTGAGGAAATTCCTCTGGACACTGAGCTGTATAGGCCTGAGGGATGGGATGATGAAGGCAGAATGAAACTGTTCTTCCTACCCTTCTGTGTGGTTAATAGTCTCTCTTCCTTTCTCTCTCTTTGCACTACTGTGTTGCTGTAGCTTTGTAACTGGACTCTTGCACTCTCCCAGAGCTATTTTCTTCATGAAAAATGTCTAATTATTGCTTTTCGTTGGGAGATGAAGGCTCGGAACTCCTACTTTTTCATGTTGCTCATGTCAGGCCTCTCTTATTGCCTCAGTTTAAATCCCAGCTCGGGCACTGACTAACTTGGGTAAATTATTTAACCTCTTTGTTCCTGAATTTCCTAATTGGTAAAATATGGGTAATAATTTCACCTATCTCATGGGCTTTTTATAACTATTAAATAATTTAATTAATGTATAGCACCTATTGTAGTCCTTAGCAGACATTAAGCTCTCTGCAAGTGTTGATCTTTATTGGCAGGAAGCCTTGCCTCTAGGGGTAGCCATTGCCAAAATCTGATACTTCTCAGTTTTTGCTGGAGTGTTAACTGTGATAGGAGGTCTCCTGCCTTAAGAGCTGTAATCTGTTCAATTTCTCCAGAACCACATGAAGCAACTCAGCTTTTTATCAGGACTTTCCTATTCTTATTCTTGCTCTTGTTCTTGTCTATGCTGGAACTGCTGCTACTGCTGTCTTTCTGCTCTTTCTCTTTCTTCTTCTATTCTTCTCTTTGTTCTTCCTCCTTCCTCCTCCTCCTACTTCTTTTCCTACTCCTCCTCCTCCTTATCCTTCCTGTAGAATTCACTTGTAATGCACATATAAGTTAGCACAAAAAACCATATAACCTGTTATTTTGTTTCCCTCTTTCTACTATAGACTCTCATGTTTATATTTCCTCACTTCATCCTAATGATACTAAAATATCACATCTCACAGAAAAGAATGCTTGACATTCTATTAAGTCATCACTTCTTCAGATTTTGACCTTTTTTCCTCTGGACATTTCTTTCTTATCCCTTCAGAAATCTAATATTGTGAACATTATATTCTATTATAATCTTCATTAGCACTCTGAAGCCACACTCCAACAAATCAGTAAGTCATCCCTTCCCCAGGTTTCTCCACCATTCACAAGTTTAGTCATGTTTCTTCATCTGCGTCACAGTTTGCTGACAAATAGTCTTCAATTTTTCCTACTGTTTTCTAATGCCTGCTCCTAATGCACTATTACAAAGAAATATGGTTAAGGCCACAATATTTAAATGACAAGCAAGAACCATCTCAGTTCATGGAGTAAACATTCTCATACTATAAATTTTTATGTAATAAAAAGAATTAAGTTTACAGGACAAAGCTTATACAGGTTCTGTCCTTATTTACATTTTAAGCCAAAACCTTAGAAAACCAGACTGAATTCTAGGCTAGCACGTGGCTCAACAAAGTTATTACTCTTGCACACTTGAATTTGTATTAGGAACTTTGGCCTTTTTAACACTACTCCTTTAATCCCCCAAACTTTGAGAAAAGAGTAACCATGAAGCATATAAGGAAGAGTAATCCAGGTTTTCTTTTGTTTTCCTTTCATTTCTGATTTCTCCTTGGCTTTTCAAATAACAATGGTTGCTTTTGCTTAGGGTCCCTAGCAAAGAGAAATCAATACATTTATGCTAACATATGATTGATTTAGCAATCATAAGGCAAGGTGACGATGGAAGTGGAGATTGAAATGATATACCCAGGGGCCAATGAATGCTGCAGCCTCTGTAAGTGGAAGAAACAAGAAACCAATCCTCTCACACAGCCTCTGGAAGAGCTAACCTTGATGATATACTGACTTTGGTCCAGTGAAACTGTTTTTGATCTTCTGACTTCTGCAATTATAAGAAAATAAACGTGATTTTTAAGCCACTAAATTTATAGTAACCTTTTGCAGCAGGAACGGGAAATTAACACAAACTTGGGTACCATAGTGGGGTGTTGTTATAGTAATCATCTAAATAATCATAAAGACATTGTTGCTAGAGATATGGACTTTAAATGTGCTGCTGGTGAGGGTATAGAAGAAGTGAGACTTATGAAATATATTGAATATATTAGAAATATCTAAGATAGATATTTCTATATTAGAAATATCTAAGATAGATATTTCTATCTTAGAAAATGATAGAATATTAAACAGGATGCTGGTAGAAATATCATGGGTAGGGCAAATACCTTAAAATAACAAAATATTCTTAATTTCTCCCTTCTGGGCCTTGTATCATTTCTGGTATTCTTTCCATTTATACACAAGCATACATGTAATTATATTCACATAGAAATGCATAATTGGATATATTGATATTATTATTTTAAACAAATTTTTATATGTTAGATCAATTAAGAATAAGAAAAGTTTTTATTTTTCCTTCATTTATTCATTTTCCAGTGTTTTTCCTCTTTATGCAGATCACAGTTTCTGACCTATATAATTTTCTTTAACTCTGAAGATCTTTTAACATTTTTGCAAGGCAGATTTCCTGCCAACAAATTCACTTAATTTTTGTTTATCTGAGACAGACTTTATTTCTTCTTCATTTTTGAAGAATAATTTTGCAGGGTATAGAATTCTAGGTTGTTGGGTTTTTTTCCTCAATGCTGTTAATATTTCACTCTACTCCTTTCTTAGAAGTCAGGTATAATTTTTATCTTTGTTCCTGTATAGATATTTTTTTCCTCTGATGTCTTTTAACATGATTTATTTACCTTCTTTTTTTTGCAGTTTATGATATGTCTAGGTGTAGTATTTTTGACATTCATCCTTCTTGGTGTGCTCTGAGCTTCCTTGATCTGTACTTTGGTGTCTGACATTAATTTTGAGAAATTGTCAGTAATTCCTGCTTTAAATATTTCTTCTGTTTCTTTCTCTCTTTCATCTATCTACTTCTGGTATTCCTATTACATGTAAGTTATTCCTTTTGTCATCATGTCACAAGTTTTGGATATTCTGTTCCAGTTTTTTGTTAGTCTTTTTCACTTTGTTTTTCAGTTTTGGTAGTTTCTATTGACATATCCTCAAGCTCAGTGATTCCTTTCCTCAGCCATGTCAAGTTTACTAAGGAATCTATCAAAGACATTCTTCATTTCTGTTACAGCGTTTTTGAACTTTAGCATTTCTTTTTGATTGGCTCAGAATTTCCATCTTTCTGCTTACATTGTCCATCTGTTCTTGCATGTTGTCTGTTTTTTCTATTAGACCGCTTAGCACATTAGTTATAGTTGTTTTAAATTTATGATCTGATAATTACAACATCACTGCTGTATTTGAGTCTGGTTCTGGTGTTTACTCTGTCTCTTCAAATTGTGGTTTTGGCTTTTAGTATGTCTTGTAATTTGTCATTGTTGTTGAAAGGCAGACATGATGTACTGGGTAAAGAAACTATGTTAAATAGGCCTTTAGTCATGTATTAGTAAGGTGTCCAGGGAGAGGAAGCATCCTATAGTCCTATGATTATGTCTCAGTATTTTAATAATCCTGTGCCCTGGTCTGTGAAGTTCCTTTAGGCTGGGAATTTCTTTTAGGTTTTACAGGATGGCCACATGGGGCTGGAAATGTTGGTTGACAATATTGACAAATGCTTCTTATTTATTTTTTCCTACTCTCCTAGGTTTCACAGGATAGCTAGGTGGGGCTGGAGTTTGGTATTTCCTCTCTTCGAGATTGGCAAGGCTCTGACAAAAATTCCAATAGGTTAAGCTCTGGCAAAATATCTGGTTAAATAGAACAGACACAGAATGCTCTGGTATATTTCAAAGTGGTTATTTACTCCCTCCTTCTGCTGAAAGTCTGAGGGAATTTTTCTCCAGTTTTCTCTGTGAGAAGTTGGCAGAGCTCTTGATGGAAAAAATGCACAAAAATGTGGGGGCCCCCAATGACTGGGTCCCACTGGAGTCTGCGTCTCTCAAATGTGTCTACTCTGAGCCTTCATCAGTTTCTCAATCACAATTCAGGTTTTCCTCATCTGACTCTGGTTCCCTATGGAGGTTGCTGCTCATGGCTTTCTGCTCCAGTGAATTGTGATTCTTTATATCCACCTGTCTATCTCTCTTTCCAGTTTTTGAGATACCACCTTGCCCTGTGGCCTCACTTCTCTCTCAGATCTAAGAAGAGTTGTTGAGTTTTCCATTTGTTCATCTTTTTACTTATTGTTAGGATGGAATAGTGACTTCCAAACTATTTACAGGCTAGACCAAAAACAGAAAGTCTCACAACATGCTTTTTAAAGCAGCTTGGTTGTGATGTGAAAGAATGTAATAAAGATGAAAGATTTAAGGATTTTATTCCCTTATTGCTAGAGGCTTGAACTACACAGAATAAGCCAGTAGAGTGGGAAGATTGCAAGTAGAGAAAAGAGGGAGAATCACATGGAAAACCAGACTGGAGTAAACATAACCTTTAGCATGGGTGAAGACATGTCCTCAAACAGAATGGTGAAATTATCCTCTTTGGAGACTGATGTCCCATTCTATTACTTATCTGTAAAGATCCTTAAATGTAGTAAGACAGTGTCCTTCTCCTTTTAGGGCAGCTAAACTGGAAAAATAATATATTTCTAGGGATTCTTGAGAACTGCTAATAACGCATAATATTCAGAAGACAAAATTCAGAAGGCAAATGGTGCAAAAGATATTTTTCCTGGACCACAAACCACATACACTTTCAAAATTCCCTGTAACCCTTCCTGACCTATGTTATCTACATATCTGGACATTTTTTAACCTGTTTCCCCCATTTGAACTATATGACCCTTTAGCTTGACTTTTCTCCAATATTGCTATATATTGCATTATAATAACTTTTTTCATTTTGTACAAGGGGAAATGTTGGTTGACAATATTGACAAATATTTATTGAGTACCTACATTTTGATAGATAAGCCTCACATCTCTTTTTCACAGATTGAATTTAAGATTTTTCTCTAATTCATTCTTGATTTCACCAACAAGCCTGAACCTAGATCTTATACTTAGGTAGATGATAGGCAAATGCTTACTGAATTAAAAATAAATGAAGCTTCTTTAATATTAGCATGTTCATGCTTTCATACATTAACTGTCAGAAACAATAGTTAAGAGTACGAAGCTTTTCTCATGAATAATGGCACCCACTTAATCCTTATACAAACTCATGATGTAGATACGGTTACATCTATTTTACTGTTGAAGGAACTTAGCTTTAAAAAGCTTAAATAATCTACCTGAAGTGACACAACTAATAAGAACTTGAATAACTTGCCAACTCTACTTACTTATTTTTTAACTTTCACCTTCTTCCATTCCTAGAGTATGCTGACTGTTCACATAAACCCTTGACCTTCCACCATCACGTGTCATCAGATGTCAAGGTCAAATATTAGGCAAAATGAACTTAGAGGATGAGTAAAAAGAAAGATTTCACCTGTAGATAAGTAAGTTGTGTAGTCACAAATAATACAGTGGTATTATCAGAATAAAATCCTAGAAAAGAGTCTCTGTTGGTGAAGTCCCCTTGTAGTTCATGAAGCACTGATAGGCATAGGAGCCTTGGCTCAGCTTGTCCTCATCTTCTTAAACATAGTGTTTGCTGAGATGTGTGTGGGATGCCTATATGTGTGCATAACCCATCACCCAGATGGCTCTTGACCATAATTTTGTCTGATTTCTTGTCATGGTTCATCTCTTGCATTCTGTTTTGGCTCTGGTGTTTACACTGCTCACAAGTGTCTTGGAGGGCTGCACCAAGACCATTTAGTCGTTTAGCTTACTATAGCACAAGCACTTTGTGGAGTTGGGACACTTGACTGAAAATCACGTACTCCATCCCTGAGAAGTAATATTTTCAGTTTATTTCACAGAGACTACAGTTTTTCAAATTCAGAGAGGGTGTCTATTTCCATAGCAGAGGTAATTTATTCTAGTTACTTAAGATTCAAATCTAAATCCGTGTGCCATTGGTAATTTAGGGTAGATATAAGGAAAAATTTCCTAAGAGCTTTATGGGTTATTAAACGTCGAAACCTACCACAGACAAAAACAAAAAGAACCCTCTTCCTGCTGAAGTATTTAAATATGGGATCAATGAACATTATCCAGGGTGGGCTGTAGTCGACCTATAGGGATACAAAGATGTGGACTAGAAGACTTCTCAAGGTCTTTTTCAGGGCTCACATTCTAAGATTCATACTTTAAAATCGGTAATATTTGTTAAGAAAAATTATCTTATTACTTTGTGAAGAGAGAAAACATTAAATATTCTAGAGGCAGTGATAAGCATTTATAGTGTACTAAACCAATACTGCTGCTTTAGAAGATATTTACAAAGTTTCACTGATTGTGAAGGTTGTAGTTCTTATGGGTTGAGGAACTACAGTTTTTAATGTAACACTGAAAACTCATGCAATGAGAATGGAGAAAATCCTCCCCAAATACTCACATTCATTTGTTGTGTACATTCAATAAAGAGGAGATAGGTTAGAAATCTTCCAAAATGCTGTCTCTGAATTCATAGTAAAAAAGAATCTAAAGATATAAATGGCTGTCAAAAACTGTACCATGCTGTTGGAAAATGGCACATAACCTATTTATTTTTCTATACTTATAGATTATTTTGGCAGGTATCCACTTAGTGTGGTTGTGTGCCAAAACTGGGAATTTGAACAACAAAAATGCATTTTTTTTTTGATGAGCAATGTTGATTTATTGTCTGTTTAGCCTCCAAAAGGCTATTTAACCCAATGAAGGAAAATAATGCTGCTTTAACCTTAAACATTAAACATGAATTAACTGGAAATAGATTTTATGTGTTGCATGTCTTCATTTCAAATATCAGGGTTGGAGGAGGTAGAAGAACATTTATATAGAAATGCCTCAAACAATTTCTGGGCATTTTGACAGGCTTTAATAGTTAGTGTGACATTGGGAACTAGTTATAATTTCATTTTAACATGTTTCACTTTTTTGTGGATAGATACATCTCTATTCCTAATTTTTCACTTAACTTTGATGGTATTCACATTTCTAATTAGTTATTGAATAAATAATTTCTGAACATCAAATGTGTATCAGTAACTGTGTTGGCTGCTGGCAAATAATAGTAGTGAAACAGACGAGGCCTTTGTCTACATGGAACTTACAATTCACTAGGAAGGACATATTGTCCAGATAACCACAACAGAGGATTGTTGGAAATGTTCACACATATTTTAGGCAAGAAAAACCTGCAAAGTGCAAGACGGTGTGGCAGAAATTCAGCGAGCAAAGTGGAAAGTTGCATGAGATGAGGCTGGAGTATGGGCTCTAGAAACAATAAGGACATGGATGAGTATGAAGCAGAGTATGTTGTTTAGCATACAGATAAAAGAGAAAGGAAGAAAAAGAGAAAACGGGGACAAACCCATACATTTTCCTAAGTAGGTTGGGTCAAGTTAGAAGAAGAAAAGAAAGAAATAGGCTGTATATGAGAAAGAGATGAACTGATTTTGGAGAGTGGAGGAGCATGAGACAGCACAAAACTGTACAGTCATATACTGGTTAATGACAGACAGGGATACATTCTGAAAAAAATGCATCGTTAGATGATTTTATCATTCTGTGAACATCACAGAATATACTTACACAAACCCAGATAGTGTAGCTTGCTACACACGTAGGCTAGATTGTAAAGCCTATTGCTCCTAAGCTACAAACCTGTACAGCATGTTACTGTACTGAATAAGGTACACAATTGTAACAAAACAGTAGTTGTGTATTTAAACGTCTAAACATAGTAAATGTACAGTACAAATATGGTATAAAAGATTTTTAAAAGGTACACTTGTATAAAGAATTTATCATGAATGGAGCCTGCAGGACTGCAAGTTACTGAATTTTAGGTGAGCCAGTGAGTGAGTGGCGAGTGAATATGAAGGCCTAGGACATTACTGTACACTACTGTAGATTTTATAAACACTGTACACTAAAATTATCTAAGATGTTTTCCTTCAATAATAAATTAACCTTAACTTACTATTATTTTGTATTTTATAAACTTTTTAGTTTTTTAAACTTTTTGACTTTTTTGTTATAGCACATTTTAAAACAGATACATTGTACATCTGTATAAAAATATTTTATTTTTTATATCCTTATTTTTTATCTAAATTTATTTTATTTATTTATTTATTTATTTATTTATTTATTTTGAGATGGCATCTTGCTCTGTCGCCCAGGCTGGAGTGCAGTGGCGCGATCTCAGATCACTGCAAGGTCCGCCTCCCAGGTTCACACCATTCTCCTGCCTCAGCCTCCCTAGTAGATGGGACTACAAGTGCCCACCACCACACCCGGCTAATTTTTTGTATTTTTAGTAGAGAAGGGATTTCACCGTGTTAGCCAGGATGGTCTTGATCTCCTGACTTAGTGATCCGCCTGCCTCGGCCTCCCAAAGTGCTGGGATTACAGGCATGAGCCACTGCACCTGGCCTATTTTTATTTTTTTACTTTTTAAACTCTGTTAAGACCAAAGACACAAACACACACATTAGCCCAGGCCTACGCAGGGTCAGGATCATCAGTAACACTGTCTCCCACCTCCATATCTTAGTGGCAGGTGTTCAGTGGCAATAACGTGCATGGAGCTGTCATCTCTTATGATAATAATATTTGCTTCTGGATACCTTGTGGAGGACTTCTCTGAGGCTGCTTTACAGTTGACTATTTTTTTTTATAAGTAGAAGGAGTACACTCTAAAACAATGATAAAAAGTACAGTAGAATAAAGACATAAACCAGTAACATAGTTGTTTATGATCATAATCAAGTATTATGTACTATGCATAATTGTGTGTGCTATGCCTTTGTAAGACTGGCGGTGCAATAGGTTTGTTTACACCAGCATCAGCACAAACATGTGAGTAATGCCCTGTGCTATGATGTTACAACAGCTACAACATCACTAGGTGTTAGGAGTTTTTTAGCTACATTATAATTATATGGGACAACTGTCATATATGAGGTCTGTTGTCAACCAATATATCCTTATACAGTGCCTACCTGTATTTTTTAAAAAGGCTTTTATGTTGGATATGCAAACTTCCAAAATTAGAGCTACTAGTACCTTGGGTGCAAGCCTCCCAATAATTTGTATGTCTGATTTATACTGAGACCTCAGATTATGCAAATAAACATTGAAGGAAGAATAAGATAACACTCCTTCCATCAAGTGTGGGGCCTATTTTCTCTCCGTTTGTATCTGGCCTGATCTGTGACTGACCATAGCATGTAGTAGAAGTAAATATCTCCCAATGAGAGCCAATTCTTTGGGAAAAAAAAAAAAAAAAAAAAGATTAGTTTTTGCCTTTTCCCTTTAACTCCTGATGCAACAGGTACCTTTCAGGAAAATCCAACAAGCTACCTTTCCAACAGACTACCCTTCAAGTAAAATCCTGATCCAACAGACTACCCTTCAAGTAAAATTATGGTGGGTAGGAGAGGGTGCAGGAGGGTCAGGAAGGGAAGGGCTCTGAGGCTACTTGAAGAGGAAAAGGGGCGCAATTAAGTCTAATGTTTACAACATCCCCTGCAAAGTAAATGAAGCTAACTTGGACCCTCCAGATATGTCTCCCCATTAGATATACACCACTAAGTGACCCAGTTGATGACATATAGCGCGGAAGAATCATGCATCTGAGCCCTGCCAAATTCCTGACCCACAAAATTGTGTGAGTTAAGTAAATATTTGCTATTTCAAGCCACTAAGTTTGGGTACTTTGTTACGAAGCAATAGATAACAAAAAGAGTACTTGTGACCAGAAATGAAGTATTTCAATACAAAAATCTGAAACTGGTGGCAGATGCTAGAATGGCCTCAAGGAGACTGTTAGGGAAAGCTAGAAGAGTTTGGGGACATCATTCGTGAATACTTGAAAGACAACGAAGAGAACATTGTTACAACAACTGAAGAAAAGGGGACCCTAGTCATGTAGTATCATAAAGTTTGGCAATCCTTATGGCTAGAAGTAACATAGGAAATACAAAATTGTACCTAACTAATGAACTCAATGATCTAGCTAAGGAGATTTCAAGACAGAATGCTGAAATATTGACTATTCTACCTATGGTAAAATAGTCTAGTTTATAATACAATATAAGAAGAAAGGTAGGGACTGCCTCATTTTTTAACATAACTTGGAGGACATATAGAATGCACAGAAAAGTCTTTCTAGCCAGCAAAATATTCTGAAAGTCAGAAATGTCCTTAGAGCAAAAATTAAGCCCAAGGCAGTAAGTCTAGAACTCTGGAAAAGATTGAAGTCAAAATGAGGCTGTAAGGCCCCTTGTTAAATACCACAGAAATATATAAGGGTATGCCTTACAGATTCTTTTGGTTAAGCAATAGTATTTTAAAGAATATTAAGAATTTCTTTTTCCAAAATACAAAATGCTTAAGTCAGGTAAGTTTCTGTCTTGTGAAGTAATATGAGTGTGGCCTTTGTCTAATGGAATGAAATATAATTTGATATATTAGATAACTATAAATTTTTAGATTTATACTCTAGCTGAAAGACTATCAGCTTGATCTAAAATAGACATGCACAGTACAAAATGAAAAACAAATAGTATTTATTCTCTTAACCTTCCATAGGCAGGAAGTAGGCTGAGAAGGCTACTCAACTGCAAAACTGATGCATTTCTTAATAGGAAAGGAAGGATGACTCAAATCCACAGAGTGAATACAAATACAACTGAGAATATTTTTCAGGAACCAGGGCAGGGCCCTGATCAAGGAACTGTCAACATGTAACTGGCTGGATTCAGAGCTGCTATGAAGAAGTCTGTTTTGTGGCTCTTATTTTCCCACATTTCGAAGGTTGCCCTACCTCAGTTTCACATTTTATGTTTGGTGTAGGGGAGTGTAGATGATTTGTCTCTTTAGTTGACTGGAACCCCTCTTGAGGAGATTCATAACATGGTCCTGATTTAGATAACAAGATTCTGGACTTTGTGATGATATGAAAGTCGAATGAGACTTTGGGTATCATGGAGGAAATGAACACATTTTCCATGTGGCATAAATATAAATAATTTGTGGCTGTAGGAAAGTTGGTAGCAGAGTAATGATGTCAACAAATTCTCTGACATTTCTCCCATTGGGTGGTTGGATTTATTTTCCTTCCCATTGGACTGAGAGTCCTCTGAGCACATGGCATGGTGGGATGGAGTGAGAGTGACATTATGGCAGTTGCAGGGCTAGATTTTAAGAAGATTAGAAGTCTCTGCCTTTATCTCTTAAAGCTCTGAGCTACCATTTAAAAATCTGATTTCCCAGGTGAAGACACCATATGGAGAAGACCTAAGAATACATGGGTAAGGAAAGGAGAATTTGAACTAAGGAGCCCAGCTGCAGCCAGTCTTCCAGATGTCACTCTCCAAGTACAAGGCATGAGAGTGAAGTTATGTGAACAATGTCAGTCAATGTCAAAGGGAGAAAACCACCCAGCCAGGCCTGCCCAAGTTCTAATCAACACAATCATGCGATATAATAAAATGCCTTTCATTTCAAGTCACTATATTTTGAGATAATTAGTTTCGCAGCAAGAGATAATTGGCATGTCTCCCTAAGAAATGGAATTAGAAAGAATTGAGAAGCCTGAATGGAATGTGTATATTTACATCAAGGGAAGTAATGACTGAATAAAACATAGAATTTTTGATATTAGGAATAAAGATAGATCTTTGGTGAGAGGATACAATGACCCCAAGGTATCAAGGAACATTTACATGTTTATGATTCACATAACCAAATAGCTGAGGACTTAGGTTTCTGGCTAACTGTGTGAGTAATGAGTATTGAGACATACAATTTATGGGTGTATTCATTTTCATAAGAACTTTCAGGTGGTCATGGTCCTGGATGAATTTGGGGAATAGGTTAGGTAGCTTTGTGGGAGTTCAGATTCTAGAGTGATGGCCCTTGTCTTGTGATTCAGACTTCTCTCTCAGAGCCTTTCTCACACTTGCTAAAAGTTCTTAATTATATCCATTCATTCAGCAATATTCATTGCGTTACATGCCTATTTGAGTTTATTAATTATTTTGTTAAGCAGGTTTTCTGATGCTTTTGTTCTCCTTTTGCTCCTAGAGACATTGAAAATTATAATGTTGTCCCAAATTTTACAAAGGCTTTGCTTATTATTTTATAGACTTTTTCTTGAACTTTTGTCTGACTATGTTATTTGACAAGTTCTGTCTTCAAATTCTGAGATCCTTTCTTATGTTTGATCCAGTCTATTGTTGGAGCTTTCAGGTGTATTTTGTAATTAATTTGATGAATTATTCAGTTCCAGAATTTCTGTTTGGTCGTCTTTTACACGTCTGTGTCTTTGGTAAATTTCTAATTCATATTCTTAATTGTTTTCTAATTTCTCTATATTTTTTACACAATTCTCTTGTATCTCTCTGAGCTTCTTTAAAATCTTTATCTGGGATTTTATAAAGTCCATTTTGATTAGGATCTATTGCTGAAGAATAATTGTTCCTTTGGATGTGTCATACTTCCTTGCTTTTTCATGTTTCCTGTGTCTTTTCATTGATATCCATGCATCTTGCATAACAGTTGTTTCTTCTAAATTTTAAAATTTTCTTTCATAGGAGAGGACTTTTTCAGAATATATATATATATATTTTGGAATAAATATATATTTGGTTGGGTAGGGCATTTTGCTTTGATTTTGGATGCATGCAGTAGTGTTCTCTCTATATGATTTATTTAGCTGTAAAGAGCATCAGTGATATCTGTGATTTTTCTAGTAGCTTAGGGTGCAGTTATTAGTAGAAGCTGTGGTAAAGTTTTATTGGGGATTATAATGCCAAGTGAGCCAGTCTTCAGGCCCTACTGGTAATAGCATTGGGTTGAGTATGCTTGTCCTTGGGCTCCAGTGTGGCATATGCTGGCACCAATGTCAGTGAGTTCAAGCAACCTGATTCTTGGGGCTTCAGGTGACTTACTCAGATGTCAGTAATGTCCGTGGTGGTCCAGGCATGTTGGAGGGTTCTTGGGTCCCTTAGCAGTGGATTTGATATGAACAATGGCAGTAGTGGTGGTGGAGTAACCTACTGGCACCCAAGAGGTTCTATTGGTGTTTGTGGTAGCTGCAACAAGTTTAGTGGGCCATTCACCTTTTCTTGTTGGCGGTGCATGTGGATGAGTGCCAGCTGTGTGTTATCAGCAGGTTTTGTTGGCCTGAACCCAGACCCTGGGGGGAGTACTTAGATGCAATTGGTGGTGGACTGGGCTGGGCAATTTCTAGGCCCCTGGGTGCACAAGTACTAGGGAAATGGGACAGGCCAGCAGACTTGTCCTCTTGCACCCTGGTAGTGTATTCAGGTGCTGGTAGAGATAGGCAGAGGCAGAGTGGTCCCCAGGAGACTGGCAAAATGCTCAGCAGTAGGCAGTGGCAGCAACACTGTGGGTTTTCAACCAGGTGGAGTGAGGTTATTCTCAGTGAGGACAATGTAGGGAGGTAGCTGTGTGATGCTTGGTTTCCTTGCCCTTTGGACCCATAGCAGCCCACAGCAGTGTTGGTGTGATGTGTCCTCACGGCATGTGAAAATGCCCAGCCTCCCCTCTTTCTCCTTGGTCAAGCAGTGGCAAAAGCAGCAACAGCCCTGGCTCTAGGGCAGGACACAGACTTTTATAGTTTGGGCTCTTGGAATAACACCAGCTGCAGGCCTGAGATTGGGGAGGGTGGAGCCATTCTCGAGGAGAGCTGTGTAGGTGGTTAGCTGTGGGGATTGTGGTTTGTTACCATTGAAGGCTGCAGCTGTGGGGGCATTTGTCCTTGCAGTGTAAGAAGGTGCCCAGCCTTCTCTCCCCCTCCCTGGTCTGGGGCAGCAACAGTAGCATCAGCCCCAGGATAGGATTTAGTTTTGGGGGGCTTAACTTTCAGAATGGCAGAAGGCTGCTGCTGGTCAGGGTTTGGAAGTCTGTGGAACTCAGCATGAATTACCTCTCTGGAGTAGTTCCTCTGTGCAGTCTCTGGGCAACTCTCTGTATTAGTGTTGAGGCCTGCATGGATTGAGGGATTTTCCAATAGCTAGGATTGTGAAAGTTTGCAATGGGAATGTGGAGCTCTGGGGGATTCTTACCTGCGCTTTCCTAGCATCTGGGCACTTTTCTCAGTTCTCAGCCAATCCCAGCCAAGCAGGCTGCCTACCTTCCCTCTTCTTATTTACTTCCCATTGCTTCTCTATTGGACTGCAGTGTTCTGGCTTAGATGATCTATTTGAAGTGTGAATATATACGTGCTATTTTGGTTCTTCTCTGTGGAGGAGGTGCATACAAGCTGCATCTAGTCAGCCATCTTGAACCACCTCCCTCAAAAGATATATATTTTTATCATATATTCTGTTTGTGAATATGTTAAGTAATAAGTATAATAAATGTGTTAACATGCCTTAAAACACCTTCACATTCAATGTACACCTTGACTGAATGATTTTGTGACTTATAGACTTCTAGTTCCATGATTTTTCCACATAATGTTATTGTTTGCCATCAACAGTGTGGGTAATGCAGTTATTTCTTGAACTAACACATTAAATAATTAATGCCACTTTTGGGGCCCTTGAATGTCCCTTTCATGTGTGAAGAACAATACAATTGTTGGACCCTTACATCGAGATTGTCACTGAACACATGTGATTACCAACTTCCAGTACCCTCCCCTCTCTCCACATTTTTGTCTGTACCTATCGGAACCCCAGTGGAAGGTAAGGCTCATTTTTTTGTCTGTCATGAAAATTAGGGGATGTAATTGGTCATTAGGCTAAGTGTCCTTTAACTATGCCAAGTCTAAAGACAATTGCTAGAGGACACTGTTGCCTCTCTGTACATACTGACTTTCAGAGTCTCAATTCTGGTTCAGTTATGAAAACCTTTGCCTGTTACCAGCAAAATGAACATTCTCTGATTCATGCAAAATACCTGGTACCATGCTTGGCTGGGATCAGAGGCTGCATAGCTTTTTTCCCCCTGTGTTCCACATTCAAATCATATTTACAAAGTACTTTCATCAACTAATACTTCTGTGTATTCATTTTTTTCTGTTACTTTGGATGATAAATTATTTAATCATCTTCC
Source organism: Homo sapiens (assembly GCF_000001405.40). NCBI lineage: Eukaryota > Metazoa > Chordata > Mammalia > Primates > Hominidae > Homo > Homo sapiens. The sequence continues at coordinate 62,146,316 of NC_000008.11, read as the reverse complement.
AATCTGCATTAATTGTGCTATCTCTAGGGATGTTAAAACATTTGTTTAGTGACTTGTGGGATATGCTAATATATTATCCTTTTTAATCTTAGTAAATACCAACAGTCATATCAGAGAGTAGAAACTATGTTTCATCTCCAGAAAGAGAAATTTAGTCAGTCCTTAGGAAGGCCCAACCCTAGGACATATCATTGTCTGTTCCTTTTTCCCTCAGGCTATCATTCAATCCTGATGCTTCCTTTCCTGAAATTGTAACACAGAATTAAATTTATTTTAGAGAACTTAGAAAACAATAAGAAAAAAAGATAACATTTATCTCCACAGAAACAAGCAGTGTTAACATGATGATATATATATTTGGCTTTATTATGTAGGTATGTATGTTTGTATGAATGTGTTTGCATATTAGTGCACATACAAAAAATATAGCACACATATTTTTTCTTAGCTTCACATTATTGTCATTGTCTTTACCAAAATTACTTCAAAAACGTAAGTCAGTAGGGGTATAGTAATTCATCCTATTGATCTAACATAATATATTTAATTTACTTGGTAGCAATGTCTTTATAACAGAAAGCCAGTGCACACAGCACAAAATGCTTTACCTATGTATTTGCACCAAAAGCCTTAATTTTTTTATTTTTTAATCAATATTTCCTATATTTAGAAACTGAAAATCACCCAATATATGGGTAAAATTTTACCGAGTTAAAATACTCATCACATTTATAATAGTAAATATCAGAAACATTTAGCTATAACAAAAGTTTAAATATTATGGAGCTTCAGTGGTCAGCTACTACTATCCTGGGTCCCATACACTATTGTTAACTCAAGGGTTTCTCTCCTGCAGTTCTCTCTGTATCTTGAATCACCAAATTACTGTTATTAGTATAAAACCTATTAGTATAAAACATACTTTAATATTTTTTCACATCTCAAAATGTACTTCATCCAGTAAATCACTTATAACCAGAATGTTTACAAACCCTAAAAATCAGTAAGGATAAGAGAGCTAAGCAAAAAGAAAAGCTGGCAATTGACACATTCTAAAAGATACTACATCTGGTCCAATTGGCCGATAAACATATGATCTCATTGGCCATCAGGAAAATGCAAATAACAACATTTTTTATTGAAGCACTTTATAAGCATTTCAGTTGCTATTTTTGCTAAAACTTAGTTGCATTTTCATTTCATTTTATCAATTGTGAAATGTTCATAGGTTTCCCATTTAGATTCTGACCATTGTCAGAATTAAATAGCAGTTAGGATGGCCAAAGTATTCTAAATATTTTTTACTGAGCCTGTGAGTGGAAATAAAGAGGACGTGATGAACTTCCACTTCTCACCACTGCCTCCCATTAATTAGGCTTGTCATGGCCAGGTCTCTTATATTGTTTCCATTATAACCAGAGAGGAAAGAGCCAAAAGCCTTAAAGAAAGTGGGTTTAGGAATTCGCGGAGGAGCGGAGAGGTGCGGAGCCTCTGCTGGGATCCACGTCTGCTGAGCAGCTCCAGGAACATGACTGCAGCGGTGACTGCGGGGAAGTGACACGGGCACCGGCCGTCCCTGGGAAAGCCGGGGTCCCCGGAGTTACAGCTCCCGGAGCTCTGGCGGCTGCTTTACCGGCTAAAGAGATCCCGGAGGTCCTAGTGGACCCGCGCAGCCGGCAGCGCTATGTGTGGGGCCGCTTTTTGGGCAAGGGCGGCTTTGCCAAGTGCTTCGAGATCTCAGACGCGGACAACAAGGTTGTGTTCGCGGGCAAGATTGTGCCTAAGTCGCTACTGCTCATGCCGCTCCAGAAGGAGATGTCCATGGGAATATCCATTCACCGCAGCCTTGCCCAGCAGCACGTCGTAGGATTCCATGGTTTTTTCGAGGACAACGACTTTGTGTTCGTGGTGTTGGAGCCCTGCCGCCGGAGGTCTCTCCTGGAGCTGCACAAGAGGAGGAAAGCCCTAACTGAGCCTGAGGCCCGACACTATGTTGTCTGCGGCAAATTGTGCTTGGCTGCCAGTACCTGCACTGAAACCGAGTTATTCAAGTTATTCACCGAGACCTCAAGCTGGGCAACTTTTTCCTGAATGAGTATCTGGAGGTGAAAATAGGGGACTTGGGACTGGCAACCAAAGTCGAATATGACGTCCCAGCCCGTCTCCCCATCACCTGCCTCACGATTCCACCGAGGTTTTCCATCGCTCCCAGCAGCCTGAACCCCAGCAACAGAAAGCCCCTCACGGTCCTCAATAAACACTTGGAGAACTCCCTGCCTGAGCGTCCCCGGGAAAAAGAAGAACCAGCAGTTTGAGAGACGCGTGAGGTGGTCGACTTCCACCTCAGTGATATGCTGCAGCAGCTGCACAGCGTCAGTGCCTCCAAGCCCTCGGAGGGAAGGCTGGTCAGGCAAGAGGAGGCTGAGGATCCTGCCTGCATCTCCATCTTCTGGGTCAGCAAGTGGGTGGACTATTCAGACAAGTAGGGCCCTGGGTATCAGCTGTGTGGTAACAGCCTGGAGGTGTTCTTCAATGATTGTAACAGCCTGCAGTACATAAAGTGTGATGGCACCGAGTCCTACCTCACCGTGAGTTCCCATCCCCATTCCATGATGAAGAAGATCACACTCCTTAAATATTTCCGCAATTACTTGAGCGAGCACTTCCTGAAGGCAGGTGCCAACATCACGCCGCGCGAAGGCGATGAGCTCGCCCGGCTGCCCTACCTGCGGACCTGGTTCCACACCCGCAGCGCCATCATCCTGCACCTCAGCAACGGCAGCATGCAGATCAACTTCTTCCAGGATCACACCAAGCTCACCTTGTGCCCACTGATGGCAGCCGTCACCTACATCGACGAGAACCGGAACTTCCGCACCTAACCACCTGAGTCTCCTGGAGGATTAAGGCGGCTGCAAGGAGCTGGCCAGCCAGCTCCGCTACGCCCGCACCATGGTGGACAAGCTGCTGAGCTCGTGTTCTGGCAGCAACCGCTTCAAGGCCTCCTAATAGCCGCCCACCCCTCCGGACTGATGCCCTCCTGACTCCTACCTGCACCTGGGGCCCACATTGGTTGGCTCCCGCAGTGCCATGTCTGCAGTGTGCCCGCGAGCCCCGGGGGCTGGGCAGACCTGCATCATCCTTGAGGGTGGGGGTTGCTGTGTAAGTTATTTTTTGTACATGTTCAGGTGTGAGTTCTACAGCTTTGTCCCTTTCCTCTCAACCCCACCATATGAATTGCACAGAATATTTTTCTATTGAGTTCGGGACTGTCCTTTCCTTGGCTTTATATACATTAAACAGATGGGAATCTTCTAAAAAAAAAGAGGGGGGCGTTTAGTTTTTTTTTTTTTTATAATCTAGGCATCTTAGAAGGATAAAATATTAGAGACAAAGAGGGGAGTTAAAAGATCTAAATTGTTTGTAATTACGTTAGCCACTGGAAAGTATAGTCTGGCAGTCTTTTCAGTATAGAAATAACCTATTATTTGCCTCACGGAGATGTGGAAAGTGAAGGTATACAGCCATGGCTTGACAGACATCACTGCTCACTGGATACAGCAGGCCTAATGCAGGTTACATCTCGTGTTTAACTTTTTTTTTTTTTTTTTTCTGGTGGAAAAGTCCTCCAGCTCCTAGACTAGATTTTATGAGGAGATGCTTGCAAACAGAGAAGTAAATCAGCTGAGAAGAATAATCATATGCAGCTCCCACCTTTGGGTGACTGATAATGAGCAATGTAGAAAACTAAGCATCTGTAATTCTTCAGAAAGGGTGGATTTGGAAGGGTAATTATACTGTGAGGCAGGGTGAAAAAAAATATTCTGTAATGAGGAAGGAAGCTGGAAATCTTGGACTAAAACTGAGAAAAAAGTGATAATCTATGTTAGGTCACTAGGACCTATCTCCATATTCCTTGGCTAACATTGAAAGGAGCCCTTTTTAAAAAAAAATATTTATTTATTTATTTGAGACAGGGTCTCATTCTGTCGCCCACGCTAGAGTGCAGGGCCGTGATCTCGGCTCACTGCAGTCTCGACCTCAACCTTCTGGGCTCAAGAGATTCTCCCACCTCAGCCCCTTGAGTAGCCGGGACTACAGGTGCACATCACAACCCCTAGCTACTTTTTGTTTGAATTTTTTGTAGAGATGGGATTTCACCATGTTGCCCAGGCTGGTCTCAAACTCCTGAGCTCAAATGATCCTCCCATCTCAGCCTCCCAAAGTGTTGGGATTACATGCATGGGCCCACTAGAGTGGGCTGCAAATACACAAGCCTTGTTTAAAAAAATCAAAAAGTTCTTCTAAAGTCATGAGCAACACTGTTAAGGAGTCCACCCTTGTTTTAGTACAACTGAGGGTTAAAGTAAGAGATGAGGCCAGTATTATTTTTGCTCTAAAATAACAGACAAGATCATGTTGCTTTTATAAGGGTTGTTTTTTGTTTATCAGGTAATCTCCAGAAGAGTAAACTGTCTTTATTCCAAAATTATATAACCCCTGCCCTAGTCAATGTTGCCTTAGCATATAGGAATATCAAAGGAATCCCAAGTATCTTTCAAACACTTACTGTTTGATTAAATTTATCCAGGAGAGAGGTACCTTTCATCAATAGAATTATCAGCCAACCTCTCTCTTTTGTTAAACTGCCAACTATTGCATGACCTGTATTTTGATTCATAATTACACAGGCAAAGACCATGGATTTTTGCATTATCTATTTTGCTACAAAAAGACATAGAAAGGGCCAAAGATCCATGAAGGCCAAATAAAGGATTAAAACTATTAGAACTAGGGTATGAGTTATTTAAATAGTTACTCCTAACATATTTTCTGCTAGTCAAGAAAAACTAAAAGTATATTTAGCAAAAATAAAAATACAATATAAAGACCATAATTAAAATAAACAAGAAAACAGAGAAATGTAAAAATTCAGACAAACTAGAACTTGCTAAAAATAAACCCAAAAAGTAAAATGTAAAAAATTAAACAAAAAATGTTCAAATGGTTGAAATATACTTAGGACATTTAACAAAAGTGTTAAAAGTTTAAAAGATACAACAATATAATTAGATAAAATAATGCAAAATGGATTTAGTCAAAGACTTGAAGGAGAAAAACAGACTAAAAAGTAAAAGTTAAATGTACAATGACAATATTCTAAGAATTAATAACATGCCTTGGTAGCAATGTCTTTATAACAGAAAGCCAGTGCACACAGCACAAAATGCTTTACCTATGTATTTGCACCAAAAGCCTTAATTTTTTTATTTTTAATCAATATTTCCTATATTTAGAAACTGAAAATCACCCAATATATGGGTAAAATTTTACCGAGTTAAAATACTCATCACATTTATAATAGTAAATATCAGAAACATTTAGCTATAACAAAAGTTTAAATATTATAGAGCTTCAGTGGTCAGCTACTACTATCCTGGGTCCCATACACTACTGTTAACTCAAGGGTTTCTCTCCTGCAGTTCTCTCTGTATCTTGAATCACCAAATTACTGTTATTAGTATAAAACATACTTTAATATTTTTTCACATCTCAAAATATACTTCATCCAGTAAATCACTTATAACCAGAATGTTTACAAACCCTAAAAATCAGTAAGGATAAGAGAGCTAACCAAAGAGAAAAGCTGGCAATTGACACATTCTAAAAGATACTACATCTGGTCCAGTTGGCCGATAAACATATGATCTCATTGGCCATCAGGAAAATGCAAATAACATTTCACAATTGATAAAATGAAATGAAAATGCAACTAAGTTTTAGCAAAAATAGCAACTGAAATGCTTATAAAGTGCTTCAATAAAAAATATTTAGAATACTTTGGCCATAGTTTCTTAATATATGTCTTTTCTATGACCTAGCAATTTGATTCCCAGGTATAAGCCCCATGGAAATTCATACATAAGTCACCAAAATCCATGTACTAGAAAATATATGACTAGTAACTAAGAAATTATCAATAGCACATAATGGCACTATGCATAATCATCCAAAATTGTGAGCTTTTCAGATTCCCTTCAACGCTATAATGGATAAATAAATTATAGTACATATATCGAGACAATAGAAAATTAAATAGCAGTTAGGATGAAGAACCTATAACTACTCGTAACAAAATGAATAATTCTCTCAGAAAATAATACACAGCAAAGGAAACCAGAAAGAAAAGATTACCTAACCCTCTAGTGTTGGACTGTAGTATAGGGGTTGCCCTTTTGGGGGTAATTTTTGAGTGCATGGAGCACTGGGGGCTTCTGGGAATGTAGTAATGCTCTTTTCTTTGTTCTTCAGGCTGTTGAGTTTCTGAAAATTCATCAAGAGCTATATTTAAAATATGTGCACTTTTAAAAGTATGTATGCTTAAATTAAAAGTGAAAAAAAAACACTTGACCCCACAGTGCCCTCTAACTACCACATGTGCATCTGACCTTTTATAATAAGCCTTCTTAAATGAGTGTTCTGTACTTGCTCCATTTACTGTATCCACTTTCTCACACTGTTTTCTTTGTAGATCCCATGTCAATAGGCCCTTTGTGCTGGCTTTTCAACAGTGAGACTTTTCAAGGCTGCCTGAACCAATGGTTAGCTTTCAGCCTTCAACTTAATCAACCTCCCAGCAGCACTTGACATATTGATCTTTTCCTTATTCTCGAAAAAATTTTCCCCTTAGCTTTGTGACACTACATTATCCCCACTGGCCACTCCTTTGTAGTATCTTTTTCTCAATATAACATAAAATCAGGCAAATAGCATAACTACAGTTCAGAAAATACTACAAACGTCAAACTCACTGTAAGTACAAAAAAAATTGCCGATTTTCAGCAGAACCATCTCTCAAATTTTGTATAAAGGTGGGGCTGGGGGTGGATGCTGGAAACACTACTGAGGAAGATGGAATGAGAGAAGAAAGGGCCTACGACTGACTTAAAATCACCCCCAGAGAGGAAACATCCACTGTAAGTGTGAAAATACTGGAAAGTATGTCTGGTAAATCAGTGCACTGGCTGCAGAAAAGGGATATAATAGTGTGTGGGATGCGTGGTGACTGAATTGAGAGGCAATGCTTTCAAAGAATAAGAGTACAATAAAGGGAGAGGCATCCTTTGGAGAATGGAAGGAGAAATGGAAAAGAAGCAAAAGGGAAAATATTGTGATCCTGCTAGAAAAAAAAAAATAAAATCCAGGGCATTTAGTCTCTTCTCACACTAACCAAATAAACAAACTAAACAAGGGCAATAATTAAAGATGTGCAGTCTACGGCCACTCCACCCTGAACGCCCGCCCGATCTCGTCTGATCTCGTAAAGATGTGCATTTGCCAACACTGACCTAAGAAGATGCTCTTGATACAGGAAACTTGTAACTCAACCTGCTGGCATTCTGTCCACAAATTGCATAAATGTAAACAGTCTTCATCTACACAGTTACTACAAAAGAAAAACAGAGTGAGAAGCAGGCATTTTACCTGATGAAAATTATCTCTCAAGAAACCAACCACAAAGCAGAAGAGTCTAACACAATATTTCAAACTAAATTAAATAGTCTCAGACAAGCAATTGTGGATATATATAACAAGAATAAGAAGTTCATATATTAAGGAAGAAATGAAATGAAAGTTGATTGAATTCCAAGAAGGAGCAGGAGGAAGCAGATGAGGGAATGAGAGGGGATGAGGAACAGGGAGCGGGAGAGAGAAGACACAATTTCATCAGCAGTGGTGACTAAATTATTAGGAACCCAAGGGAAAATATGCTTGAACAAAAACTTAATAAGGGACATTGGAGAAAGGTAGGAAATTACCAAGAGAGGGAAAATGAGATATAATAAGAAATAAAATGGTGAGAAGGAAAGTAGCTAAATAAGTAGAAAGCAGGCTAATAGCAAAAAGTCATATAATATGAAGTCTCTGACAACAAAAAACAATAATAAAGCAAAACTAGTATGGAATTTTTTAATATAAACATTCCTGGAAATAAAATAAAGACTTTTTTTTTTTTTTTTTTTTTTTTTTGAGACCGAGTCTTGCTCTGTTGCCCAGGCTGGAATGCAGTGGCGCGATCTCTGCTCACTGCAAGCTCCACCTCCCGGGTTCACGCCATTCTCCTGCCTCAGCCTCCCAAGTAGCTGGGACTACAGGCACCTGCCACCATGCCCGGATAATTTTTTTGTATTTTTAGTAAAGACTTGGTTTCACTGCGTTAGCCAGGATGGTCTCAATCTCCTGACCTCATGATCCACCTGCCTCAGCCCTCCCAAAGTGCTGGGATTACAGGCATGAGCCACCGCGCCTGGCCCAGACTCTTTTTAAATATGGAAGACACCTAATAGGTTCCTGAGCACTTTTCTTGAAATGTCTGTGGAAAAATAAAGTTGGAAGGAATAAGTCACAGCAAATGACATTTGGCAAAATCGTTAACACCTACTGGAGAGAGAACCAAAGACCATCTTACCCTATTTACTACTGCTAAGCTATGGTATCTGTTTGCTTACACACTAACATCACTTCTAGAATTAATCTACTTTGGCATTATTTATAAATTCCCAGGATGTGTGTGTGTGCCTGTGTACCCATCCAGGACCTCCATTTCTCTCCCTTGGTCTTGATGTCAAATGACATCAAGGGGACTCCTTTACTTTAAGTTTCCCTGAATGAGTAGTGAACTTTTGAATTTCTTGCCCTCACTGGCCTTGGTGAGGTGTGTTTTGACATGGGATACCCTCAAAGGAGAGAGAACTGGCAAGGTTAGACTTTAGCAATGGCCAGCCCCAAGAAGTATGTTAATAAATCTGTAAGACTGTAATGATTTAAAAAATCCTTACCAAGCAAATCCTTTTGACTTATAGGCAAAAAGATCAGTAATTTAAAAGGACAAGATAATCAGATTTCTTTAAAGCAACATAAAAAGCAAAACAATAATATAGCAGCATTTTCATGGAAAAAAAAGTGAATCAAATATTTTACATTCAGCAAAACTACCATTTAGGTATCAAGGCTGTGAAAAAAATGATTGTAAACATTCAAGAACCCAGGTTGTGCAGTGCTCACAGTTCTTTTTGAAGAATCTATCAGAGCTTTAAAACCAAGAGATGACTGGGGGGGAATCATCAGCAAAAGATATCATGATGAGCACTTATTTATTGAAGTGTAGAACTGAGATTATGGCTAAAGTGGGGAAGAAGGTGGAATAATGGTGAACGAGTGTTATGTATTTTGATAAAGTAAAAATAATGCACTAAAATAATGGAAAAAAGCAAAAGAGGAACATGGGATAAGCTCACTGATTTTTATACAGGCAATAGTCAGGAGTCAGAAGATACTATTAAAAATCAACAAACCTAATAGTAAATGTTTAGATAAGAAACAAGATACTGAAAACATTAGAAAGTAATAAGTAAAAAAGTAACCACTAGAAGAAAATACAAACTATTCTAAATACCAAATTTAATTTAAAATGTAAAAGAACAAAGTAAACCCAACTAATGCAGGAGACAAAATAAATATAATATAATACAATAATTATACAATTATAATTATATAGTTATAAGAAATATAAAATGGGTTATATTAGTCATTTCAATAAATGTGAATTGGTTTAACTCAATTATTAAAAGAAAACTTTGAGTTTTGCTAACAAAGAAATACTAAGCTATAATTCTGGACATAAGATATCTAAAAAAATAGGAAAGCTCAAGGATATATCAGTCAAATGCAAACAACAAGAAAGCAGGATTTGTGACCCTGTTAGGCAAAGTCAAGTCAAATAAACAAACAAAAAATTAAGTAGGAGAAAGACACTTTTTATCATAAAAACCACAATTCCTAATAGAAGTAACAACTATGACTATCTACACACCAAATAATATTTTACATTGCTACCTTTACAGAGGAGAAACTACAGGAAATTAAAGGAGATGAAAAAAGATGAAAGAAGAAACAGATAGAAAGACAGTAATAAGAGAAGACCTGAATATCATTTACAGTATGACAGACTGAGTGTTTAAAACAATAAGGATATAGAGGACCTAAATAACATAATCAATAAGATAAGGTACATTGCATAAGTATAAAACAAACTGTACACCTACTTAACAGAAGATGCACCTTTATTTCCAGTGCACATGGAATATTAAATATTGATCATAAATTCCATGAATGATTTCCTGAGCCATAAGAAAACATCTGTAGCTGGATAATATAGAGGTATTATGAACAATACTTTCTGACTGCAATGCAATAAAATAGAAAATACTGACACCTCTATAATTTACTTTCACTTAAAAATGTACATAGAAAAGAAAATCTATTTTTAAAACCCTTGAAATAATCTCCATGAATGAAGATAATTCAAACTAAAATACAAAATATCTTAAAATAATGATAAAATAGACTACATATTATATACATTCAAAGCAATTCTCAGAAGAAAACTAATATGTTTAAACCATTATAGCAATAAAATGTAAAGTATGAAAATAAATGAACTATCTTTTTTCACTTTCTTTTTCTTTTTTCTTTCCTCTTCTTCCCTTGTCTCTTTTTTTGCTTCCAGACTGATTCACTGCAAGCTCTTTAGTGGGGCAGAACAAGGCAGATGACTATTCTACAAAGGGAAGGCAGCCATGGTGGCCCAGAGTCAGTAGTTGGAGCTGCTGGAATGAGGATGACATCTAGACAGAAGAGAACATTCTCCACCTAAAGCAACCAGGGCTCTTTGAAGAAGTGACTGAATCCAAGGCTGGGACATACAGCATTTGTGTGTGTGTACCAGAAAGCATAAAAGCACTCAAATAATAATGGGGACATGTCAAAAGGGCACAAAAGCCAGTGTACTACAATATAAGCATCACATAACTAATGATAGTAGCATATTTCAGCCCACTTATTAAAATAGGAAACTATGATTTTATATTGATGTAAATAGATAGACCTAAAATTTGTTTAGTAACTGAATTGTACATATTTTCAAAGTTTCTGCCCCTAAAATTATTAATTATAAAAGAATAAGTACCTGTATAATTTGAGTGTAGAAAAAAATGTTCTAAATAACACTGAAAAATATAAGGATAATAAAAGAATAATCTATAAATTTAATCAAATAAAACAAATAATAGAGTACTTTTATATGGCCAGATCACCATAAGCAAAGTTAAAAGACAATTTACAAATTGAAAGAAAATACTTTGCAGCACACATAGCAGATAAAGAACCAATATTAATAATACAAGGAATATTTAAAACCGGGGGAAGAGAAACAAATTTCTCATATTTCTATATATGAACAAAAAGATAAAGAATTTACAAAGAAAATATTTAAAATGATCTTAACACATATATTCACTTTCACTTATAATACGAAAAATAAAATATAACTACCCTGGATCTATTACTCAGCTCTGGAACTGGCAAAAATTAAAGGTTTCACAACCCAATTTATTGGTCAGATGCTGGAGAAACACAAGAATAGGAGAGAAGGAGTGAAATAGGGAGAGAAAGGGAGAAGAGACATTGAGTGAATGATAAATCATATGGGACAAAACGTAACAAATGGTGAAGCTTGGTAAGAAATCTTGATAAGTGGTGTACAATAGTTCTTTGTACCATTCTTGTAATTCTTTCATGTGTTTGAAATAAAGGAACAAAATAAAATGTTGAAAAAACTAACAAAACCATAAAAACCCTAGAAGAAAACCTAGGCAATACCATTCAGGACATAGGCATGGGCAAGGACTTCATGTCTAAAACATCAAAAGCAATGGCAACAAAAGACAAAATTGACAAATGGGGTCTAATTAAACTAAAGAGCTTCTGCACAGCAAAGCAAACTACCATCAGAGTGAACAGGCAACCTACAGAATAGGAGAAAATTTTTGCAATCTACTCATTTGACAAAGGGCTAATATCCAGAATCTACAAAGAACTCAAACAAATTTACAAGAAAAAAACAAACAACCCCATCAACAAGTGGGCGAAGGATATGAACAGGCACTTCTTAAAAGAAGACATTTATGCAGCCAACAGACACATGAAAAAATGCTCATCATCACTGGCCATCAGAGAAATGCAAATCAAAACCACAATGAGATACCATCTTACACCAGTTAGAATGGCGATCATTAAAAAGTCAGGAAACAACAGGTGCTGGAGAGGATGTGGAGAAATAGGAACACTTTTACACTGTTGGTGGGACTGTAATCTAGTTCAACCATTGTGGAAGTTAGTGTGGGGATTCCTCAGGGATCTAGAACTAGAAATAGCATTTGACCCAGCAATCCCATTACTGGGTGTATACCCAAAGGATTGTAAATCATGCTGCTATAAAGACACATGCACACATATGTTTATTGCGGCGCTATTCACAATAGCAAAGACTTGGAACCAACCCAAATGTTCAACAATGATAGACTGGATTAAGAAAATGTGGCACATATACACCATGGAATACTATGCAGCCATTAAAAATGATGAGTTCATGTCCTTTGTAGGGACATGGATGAAGCTGCAAACTATCATTCTCAGCAAACTATCACAAGGACAAAAAAAAACAAACATCTCATATTCTCACGCATAGGTGAGAATTGAACAATGAGAACACTTGGACACAGGATGGCCAACATCGCACACCGGGGCCTGTTGTGGGGTGGGGGAGGGGTGAGGGATAGCATTAGGAGATATACCTAAAGTAAATAACGAGTTAATGGGTGCAGCACAGCAACATGGCACATGCATACATATGTAACAAACCTGCACGTTGTGCACATGTACCCTAGAACTTAAAGTATAATAATAATAAAAAATAAAAAAAGAAAAAAAAACTAACTTTTAAAACTGAGTAAATTTAACTTATAGAAAATAAAGTTGGAGGATGAATATGCCATAAGTTAAGGTGTTTATAAAGAATATACAATATCAGAATGCAATTTTTTAAACCAGGATTACATCTCTATTGGAAAGAAAACAACTAGGTTTGAAAAATAAATTGAAAAATAGAATTGTTGACAGTAATATATTAGGTGACTTTTTGCCTTTCGCCTTTTCTCCAGTTCCCAAATTATTATACATTAGCATGTTCTGCTTTTCCAATGGAAACAGAAAATTTCAGTCAGGAGCGCAGTGGCTCACACCTATAATCCCAGCCCTTTGGGAGGCTGAGGCAGGAGGATTGTTTGAGGCCAGGAGTTTGATACCAGCCTGAACCACAAAGTGAGACTTCGTCTCTACACAAAAACAAACAAAAATTAGGTGTGGTGGTGCACACATGTGGTCCTAGCTACTCAGGAGGCTGTGGTGGAGGGAGGATCACTTGATCCCAGGAGTTCAAGGGTGAGCTGTAATGACGCCATTGCACTTCAGCTGGGCTACAGAGTGAGACTCTCTCTCTAAAAAATGAGAAAAGAAAATTTCAAAAATATCGTTGGTGTTTTTATGTTGCCCACTAGCAGTTTACCCTGTTGTATCATCTTTGGTTTAAGTACGTGCACCTGGAATGGCAGGGAAAGTGAATGTAGTGGTTTTCCCTGTTCACTCGGCAGAAACAGAAATTGTATGGGCATATCTGACCTGTTCTTAGCCCTTCACCTCCAAGCTCTACCTGTGAGGATCCTTCATTTTCCGTAGATGAAAAGGTATCCACGTGTCTGGTGTGGAAAGATGCTCTGGAGAAAACGAAACACTGATGGGGAATTTAGGGGATTGCGGAAACAATAAAAAAATATAAAAGATCAATTGATTCAATCAATTGATCCAAACAGTGTGGATGCCAGGCTGGCCAGCCCCTGAGTGCTAAGAGAGCACAGAGGCCTTCACAAAGCACCTGGTCAGGGGCATGCTGGAAATGATTCATCAGGAAAGCCCATCCTCTAACTGCAGCTCAGCGCATTTATCTCAACACAACAACCTTATTAGGAAAATCGCCCCTGTCCTCTGCAGGGTATCTTGACTTTGTATCTAGTGATTCTTCAGGCAAAGACTTTCTTTTAGGGAGATGGTTGATAACATTGGTTCTTTGAGGATATAGTAATTTCTTGAAGAACCTCCTGTTTTAGGGGGTAAAAATTTCTTTAAGTTTTACATGCATATCTTACACTGCCTAAAGAAAAAGACTTGGTTGCGAATATGTAGGCACGTGTGAACTAAATGAATAAATGGGACACACACACATGCACAAACACACACACACGATGCATTTATTTATTTTTCCCCCCAATGGCTAGAAGTTCTCTATTTCTGAAATGCAAAGAGTGTATTTTATCTGTTTATATTTGTGTAGAGACCACTTCTACCTCATATGGCCCATAAGCCCTAGCTTAATGTTTTCTTACCTTCTCTTCCGAGTTTTAATCACATTTTCATACCTTTCCCTGCTTTACTTTAGATTACCAAGTGTGACATGAAAGAATTTACTAATTCTCTGTAAAATAGTGTTAAGTCTATTTTTGTGTGCATTTGGATGTGAGATTGGTAATGTATAAGGTTCACCTAAACTCCTGGCAAGTTCAAAAGGCTTCCTAGAGCCTTAAGCTTAAAGTGATGCTATTAATTTTGCATCTTTATTTTTGCTTTTGTTTGATTTTCAAGGTTATTTCAAGGTTGTGGTAAATTGTTACTTTTGTCATAGTGCTTGTAATTCTGCAGGGGGAAAATATGAAAAAGTAAAAGAAAAATGAATGGCTAAGGTTAGGAAAATGTATATAATAATGATATATTTAGGTGAAGAAAGCTTAAGTTGTTGATTTACTTAAAAAATCTGTTGAATTTTTATCTGTAATATTAGCACACACATCAAAGGCATACTGTTTATATTTTCAGTTTTCTTAGTGTTTAGAAAAAAACTTTCATTACCTTTATTGTTGACAAAGTGTGAATGAGTAATGTAACAATTATAATGGAAATTCAAAAACTCTTAAAAAAGTCAAAATATCTAAAGTATTTATAATATCTTATGTGGTTCATAATATACAAAGCAGGACTATTCTTAGCCTGACCTCTAGTGTTAACAGAAAATAATTATGAAGTTTGACAATATTAGACCAAAAAAAAATGGGTAAAACAAAATACGTAATAATATTTTGTTCATAATGAGATAATTCATTTTTAGTCAGTTAAACTGCAAGCACAGACACATGAATCCAAAGGGTGTTCAGAGATTATTTAACACCTTTATTTCTTAGAATGGAAATCTGAGGCTGACAGCTTTTAGGATCATAGAATTAGTCTGAATTTGTTTACAAAGCTGTGCTTCAGTTTTTCACCTTCTCCATTGGCCATAAGCCAGTTTTACAATTGTGGGAAGACAATTTGCGCTTTGAAAAAAAAATTTTTTTTTTTTTTTTGAGTCTACATCTCATTCTGTCACCCAGGCTGGAGTGCAGTGGCTTGATCTTGGCTCATTGCAGCCTGGAACTCCTGGGCTCAAATCATCCTCCGGCCTTAGCCTCCCATGCCTGGCTAAGTTTTTTTTTTTTTTCCTATGGATGGGGTCTTGCTCTGTTGCCCAGGCTGGTCTCAATCCCCTGGCCTCAAGCAATCCTCCTGCCTTGGACCCCCAAATCCCCGAGATTAACAGGTACGAGCCACCACATGCGGCCTTAGTTTTACCTGTTAATTCCTGTCGTCACCATCCCCTGAGCACTGCTGCCACTAAGACATGGATATACTTCTTATCTGTTCTGAAATTGTCAGTCAGATTCAAGTTACTCAAACAAATGGTACCACAGAAAGAGCTTGGGGAAAAAAATTATTCTTTATTAACTCAGTCCAAATTTAGAGTTGTCTGACTGTTCTTCAATCAACCAAAACAACCTCTTGTAATTATCTATCCGTTTACAAGACATTCCTAAATATAGCTCTTATAATACAAGCCACTCAAGGGTTTCACTCTTTTTTCTAGTAGGAAGAAATCGTTTCTTATAGTAGAAGCCTCTGAAGTTTTGCATGGAGTATTTCACCTTGTGAAGTTATCAGCTAGGGGATTACTTTTTATCCATAATGTGGATACGTCCTTGGCAGACAAAGAAAAGAGGAATTGTGAATTATTTGCTTACTCTTAAGATCTGGGGTGTCCTGTTCTTCTGGTCTCCCTTGTCCTTACACATTATCCTTGTTTTAATTCCTCAAATCCGCACTCTTAATTTTTTTTCTTATTTACAAAGTTTTTCACTTCTTTTGATCCTGAACTCAGTCAGTTTGTAAAAGCTTTTCCAGTGGTGATTGTCAAGCTTTAGGTATTAGATAACTCAACTTTGCTTCCTATTATAAAACTAATAAAGACATTTGCTTCCTAAGCCAGAAAATTGTCCCAGGGCATTCTGATGTACTTTTAATGAGATATAACCTACAGTTAATTTTTTTAACAGAAGTTTAAGTAGCTCATGTTCCAATTACCACTCAATTTCTTACTTTGGGGATATTTATAAGCTGATTTTAAAAGGTCATGATTAGAGGTAGCCTAAATATTACTGGTTTTAAAATAACACAATTCTTAGTTTCATAAATGTTTGTTCTCTTGTCTGTTAGTGTACTGATCGAAACATTTGAATGCAAAAGTACCTTCAAAGATGTTGTCAAAATAAACTTGGAATAAGACTGCAAAAATTTTGATGGAGCAACTGCCAGTAATGTATGCTGTATGTAAAAGCTAATTTTTGCTCTGTTTAGAAGTTTGATGGGATTAAAGAAACATTATGGGTGACAAAGATAATGATAACTTCTGAGTGAATGCTAACTCTTACACTGCAAACTATGGTGGACTCAGACACTCTGTTCTTGCAGACGCCTGTCATCCCTTCCGCGTAGCTCTCCAGAGCTCCTTGATTCCAACACGTTTTCCAAAAATGGGGTCTAGTAACCTAATTACTTTATGAACTCATCTAATAATGTTCTGATAAATTTCCCTTACTATTAATATTCATTTCTGTTGCTTGCATTTATAAACCCTAACTGACTCAGGTTAACAACAGTACAGGTGAAAAAGCCCATTAGTTAAATAAGAGAAAGCTGGAATTCGTTCCAGGCAAAAAATAAGGCAGTTGGTAGTAACAATTCCCATCAGTAAACCTGGGGAGGAATATAGCACTCTGTGGAATGAGGCAACTATATTAGTTAAGTAAATTCCCACTTGTGCTTCTCCAAAATCAAGTTCCTATTTATGGTAAGACTTTGGGAGATTGCAATGCTTCTGCCATAAAAATTAAGAAATGTTCCATACTCCAGAGTAACAAATGTCAAGTCAAAGCCATGAGTCAATTGAGCATTAGTTTCCTGGAAGCAAATCAAAACTAAAAAATAAATTTCAGGTCTGGGCAATGAAAGTCTCTCTTGAGCCACCATAATAAATGGTTTCAGTTCTGTCTCAATTCCCAGTCCTGAAATAGTTAAATCCAAGAACTTGGAAAAAGGCAGGGTGGGCTGAAGAATGAACCTTGCAATGTATCCACTATGTATGATGACCTGTGAAGCTTTTCCTAGCCATACTCAAAGGACTCTAAAGCCACCTACTAGGGTAATTCTTCAATGGAATAAAAATATCAAATCATTTAAGAACTATCAGGCACCATGTCTCACCTAATTCATCTAATTCCTGGAACCCCCAAACACTGCTGCATACCACCAATCTTATTTGGGTCTTATGGGCATCAGGAGAAAACTGGACTTTTCACATTAGCCTTCTGGAAAAGCTAAAGGGCTTCAATCCCATTTTATGGTTGTTTTTACAGCCCCTGAATGCATATTTGGAATTAACATCTTTAGGGGAAGGCAGCATCTCTACATTGTTGTCTCTGCTGACGGATTAAGACCAAAGGTGTACAGAGCCAGTGGGAGGTTCCTGGAGCTCCCTATCTACCAAACAGCAACACAGCATGCATCTCTATATCTCTGTTGTTAGGGGATACTGTAGGGGGTAGGAAAACCATCAAAGACTCCAGAGATTTACACGTGGTAATTTCTCTCACATCCTCATTTAATTATACAATTTAACCAATGAAAAGTGAACAGGACCTAAAGTAGCAAACACTTTTGATCTTTGTTTACCTGAAAAGACTGCCCCCTTTGCCTTGATTCTTGAGAGGTAATTTCTCTGCACATTGAATTTCAAGGTTAACAGTCACCTTTTTTTTTTTCTTTTAGCACGTCAGAGATATTCTTCTTTCTTCTTTCAACTGCTGTGGATGCCTTAGAGAAGCTACTTGTTAGTCTAAAGGCTGTCACTTTGATTATCTTCTTTGGTTTTCTACAGTTTCACTAAGAGTCTTAGTATGTATTTCTTTTTATTTAAATTGCTTGGGCTTCACTGGGATTTTGAATGTAAGGATTGAGTTCCTTCATCATTTCTGGAACATTCTAAGCCATTATCTTTTGTAATATTACTTCTGCCTCATTCATTTTTTTCTCTTCTGCAGAAGTTCGTGTTTAGACTTTCTCACCCTGCCTGTTAGCTTGTTAACCTCTTCTTTATTTTAGATCTTTTTGTCTCCTTAACCTTATTTTAGATCTTTTTGTCTCCTTATTCTTATTTTAGATCTTTTTGTCTCCTTATCCTTTATTCTCATTATCTTCTGATCTGTCTTGATATTTTGATTTCTCACTGATTTTTTTGTCAACTCTATCTAGTCGGCTCTTAACATGTTCATTGAATCCTTCATTTTAGTTAATTTGTTTTTTAAAAGACTTCATTTTTATATGTACAGAATAATTGAGAAACTGGCAGAAAGAATCCCCAGATACCTCACACCCAGTTTCTTCTACTACTGACATCTTACATTCCTAAGTTGCAATGACTTAACGAACCAACATTGATACATTATTATTAACTGAAGATCATAGTTCACTCAGATTTCCTTAGATGTCACCCACTGTCCTTTTTCTGTTCCAGGGTCCCATCCAGGTTATCACATTACATTTAGTTGTCATATCTCTTTAGGCTCCTCCTGGCTGTCATGATTTCTCTGATTTTTCTTCTTTTTAATAACCTTAAGAGTTTTGATCCTTCTCTTTCTTCTAAAGGCTTTGCAAGATTTAAATCTCATATAGCCAATCAATCTCTTTGTAACTTCTTTTTTTGTTTTTCATTCATTTCTGTCGGTTCCAGTTCCTGGTTCTCATCATTCCGCTGTGGTCTGAATATGTCCCCCAAACTTAATGTGTTGGAAACAATCCTCAATGCAACAGTGTTGAGAGTTGGGGCCTTTTGGGAGGTGTTTAAGTCAAGAGGACTTCACCCTCAAGAATGGATTAATGCTGCTGTAAAATGGCTGGATACAGGGAGTTGGGCTTTCTTGCCCTTTCATCCCTTCCATTGCCTGGGAACATGGCATTCCTCCCTGCTGTAGGATGCAGTAACAAGGCACGATTTTTTGATCTTGGACTTCCAGCCTCCAGAACTGTGAAAATGACTTTCTTTATAAATTATTTAGTCTTGGATATTTTTCTACAGCAGTACAGGTAGTCTAAGATACATTCCTTTTACGAAACAGGAGACTCCCTTCTGCTTTGATTCTTGGCAACTTCAGTATACATGTGGCTGATCCTTCCCACACACTGGACTCTCAGTTGCCTGGTCTGCTCTCCACGGGACCTTTTCCACCCACTGTATCTTAGGCACTCACTCTCATGGTCATGCTGGGAACTTGTCATTGCCAAGCACTGTAGAACAAAATGACAGCTTCTGCTCAGCTCCTAATCTGTGGCACTATATAAGGGCTATCAGCTTCCCTTGTCACCAATAGAAACCTGTACAACAGCAGCCCAGGACTAAGTGCCCTAAGACATTGAGAATCCAGACTGGATTAATGGACTCCCTTTACTTGGAACATAAAAAATGGAGCCACTGGGTACCTTTTCTTCTTAATAGAAGGAACCAGAGGAAGATGCCTATTGAGACTGTTTGTACCATTTATACCTTTTGCTATCTTAATGTGAACTATAAAATCGACAAACTTTCTAATACACAGACATATACTCTGCAACCACTAAAAATAAACCAAGAAACTGAAAATAAAAATAAAGGGGAATGAAAATTTTCATGTTACTAATGAAGATCCCCGTGTTACTAATAAGGATTCCCATGTTACTAAAACCAAATTTTTAACAAAGTAACAGCTCCCAGTAAAATCAACTCTTGAAAAGTAGTGATTTGAATTTACTTTTTGAATGCAACTTAAATGATATTGACTGGGTTAGTGTGTTCAAAGTAGGGTTATGAGTAGTTAGGTTATTTTATTTTAAATTCTGAATGAAAGTTATTGTCAAAATGCAAGGGATTTTGTTTATCCTAGCAAAAGAGCACTATTTGCTAATTATAGTCTTAATGTTAAATTACATCCTTTTTCTCGGCAGCAGTGAAGTAATCAGATGAGAATGCCATGCTTCTATTAAGCATTTACATTAGGACTGTCTAATTACACCAGCATTTGTTTGATTAGCACTGGCAGATATTCTGAAAGGCTGTGGAAAAGGCAGTTACTGTTTCATAGGCAATGGACATCCACTTAGGACCACTCAGCATCAGTGCAGGGCAGTGTTCATGTAGATCGAGACATGGGCTGGGTGCTTCTCAGTGTAATTCCTTATAATAGATCATCTGAGCACCTGCAGTGAAGGTATTTATTCTCCATCTGCCTCAGGAAAATACTGCAAGAACTCACAAAGGATTCCGAAAATTTTGTGCTTTCCTCAATTAAGTACTATGAAAACAGAAAGTTATTTAAGTTATTGTAATCAGCGTTGAAAAACTGTCCACATAGTTTTTTTTTATGCCAACTAACTGCACAATTCCTCGGCCTTTTATATGAACACAAAAAGATGATAGTTGAGATGCTATGAGATTTTACTGTTGCAAGCCCTGGTGGTTGAATTGAAGACAACTTGGTAGTCATTGTCACTCACAAAGGAGTGAGGCTGGCTCTCTTCCCTCTTTTTCATTTCATTCTGCCATGCTTGAAGGGTTAATCATGGGCCAGACAAACAAAAGACGGGAGAATTTGGGCTGTTTAGGTAACATAGTACACACACACAAAGATAAGGTTCCAATCCAGGTTTAGTCTGGCTCATTTTCAGCTGCCCTGCCTGAGGCTTAAGATTCTTGAATAGTAAGCTTCTTTCTCAGGGGCAGGGCATCCCTCAGCGTTCCAGACTTTACTCTGCTTAGAATCCACTTGCTCTCATCCATTTTCCTAAGAGCTGTACTTTTGCTTCATACCAGGATCCTCCTCCTCTGACAAATAAATTGGTTGGATAATCTGCCTGATTTTTATGGAAAATTCTTCCCCATGAACCTACTATGTGGGTCACACCCTCTGGGTTCCATGTAAGCACAGTCTGTGGAGGACTGATCCCCTTCTCCTACACCCACTTCCCACCGAGCCTGACCAGATTCTTGAGACACAAAGGGCCCAGAGATCTGCACTTTGTGGAAGGAGGTTCAGATAAGACCTATATGTAGAAATATTTCACTGTCGGACTTTCAGAGGAAAATGTTAGTTGATAATAGTTGCACTAACATTCCGCAGCACTGCTCTAAACACAAAACTCATCCTCTTCTCTAAGCCCCTTTAGATTCTTTCATGCCATATGCAGAGAGATCATTCTTGGCCTTTCCATCAGAAAATGCTTAGAGTTGACATCAAAGAGGATCTTTAAGACTGATTTGTTGTGGTAGTGGTGGTCTTAATTTATCATTCTATAAATAGCTTCCTCCTTTGCTTCATTCTGTAGCCATCCTTACGATCAGAAAGCTCTTTGACGTTTATTTGCCATGGATGGTTTCTTTGTGTTTCCATTAATTTTCTAGGTGGTATGGAATTAACAGCCATTTCAAGCGCCTGTTGTGGGAACAGCTGTTTTCTCTTTGGGGTCCAAGTTCCAGAGTCATCCCAGTCAACTTCCTTTACAGCAGCTGCAGCTGAGGTAGATTTCTGCTTGATCCATTTTATTACTGCAATTTTTACAGCTGCTATGCCCGGGGCAGCACGGCTTTGCAGGTGACTGCTGTGGCACTTATTCATGCCAACTGTTCTTGCTGGTCACCTGCTTTGCCTGTAGGCTGTGGGCTCTTTCCTGAATGTTTGATAGTAAAATGAGACTCGAATGCAGCTCAGACCTGATCTCTAACATTTTCATGTGGTCTCAAAGACTGACTATTGCTCTACTGAGAAGGGATAAGGCTGAGAAACTTTCCTGGGAAAAATGAGCATGGCAATGATCTAACTATAGGGAAACCACACCTCTGTGCCAATGGCATAGAGACATGGGAGGGTCATGGCTTGACTTCCACTATGCCTCAGTCTATTTGGTACACTTAACTTTGATTAATTGTTCATTCTGTTACCAATATACTCAATGATTCTTAGGAAGAAACAAACAGGTATATTCTATAAGGATGATATAAATATAAACATTTTATTTCCTTGACTCTGGAATTCTGTTGTATTCTATAAAGATAATATTTCTGATAAAGTTCTCAATAAGAGTCCTGACTATAGAACAAATCAAATTTTATAAAATATAAATGAGAGAAGCAAGATTCTCTCTGCTATGAGTTGAATTGTGTCCCCTGGAAAAAAATATGTTGATGTCCTAATCCTCTAAACCTTAAAATGTGACATTATTTGGAAATTGATCATTGCAGATGTAGCTAGCTAAAATGAGGTCATCCTTGAGTAGGATGGGCCAGGAATTCAATATGACTGGTGTCTTCATAAGAAGACAGCTATGTGAAGACAGGGACATGGTAGAATGCCATGTGGAGAACAAAGGTTGAGATTGAAGTGGTGCACCTACTGGCCCAGGAAGGCCAAGGTTGGAAGCAAAAAATCAGAAGCCAGCATGAGGCAAGGGAGCATTTCCTTACAGGGTTTAGAGGAAGCATGGTCCAGCTAACATCTCCATCTTGAACTTCTAGTCTCCAGAACCATGAGATGAAAAAATTGCCATTGGTTTAACCCAACCAGTCTGTGGAACTTCATTAAGGCAGCCCTAGGAAAAGAATACACTCTCCTCCTCCCCAGGCCCAAAAGCCAAGCCAGAGCAAGTGCTATTGCAATCAGTGGTCAGTGCCTGTCTACTCATGGTCACCAATGCAGCTTCCCAGAACTGACCTCAGGGAAGTAGCACTGGGTGGGAGTGGGGCAGGGGGTGGGGGGCAGTGCAGCAAAATCCCACAGCTAATAGTTACAAAGGTACATAGGAACACCATTGCTCCCATCCTCTAGGAGTTCAGTATTTGCTATGAAACCAAGGCTAGAAAAAAATACAAAGAGTAGGATTGTAGAGTCAAACGGATCTGGGTTCTAATCTGGGCTCTGCCACTTTCTGGCTTCTGATCTTGGGTACAGTCCAGAATCATTTTTGTCCTCAGTATCTTCATGTTTCAAATGTGGTGGTTAATAATATTTATCTTTCAATGTTGTTATAGAATTTGATTATATGCAAAAGTATGTAAATTAGTCAAAATTACTTTTAACATAACTATGAAGAGTTCAAATCATTTATAATTTATGAAACCAAATGTATCCATTAACATTGATTTATAGCTTTGTTGAAATGATTCTCTTTGCCTGCCTGAAGCTTTATTCTGAACTATCTCCTTCTCTTCCCTCATAATTACTAATAGCCCATTTTCCCCTGCAACAATACCTAGGTGTTACCTAGATCTCCTCAGTTTTGACCTGGTTTTTTGGCCAGGGATCTGTTCTCAATGGACTCTGCCTGTGATAAAGCCAGGTACAAAGGTCATGATGAGAAACCCTAAAAAATTGAGAGATTACAGGACTCTCTGGATTGTTCTGTTCTATAAAAGAATAATGACAGTAACAACTGCCATTGAGTGCAGACGATGTGTCAGACATTATAGTGAGTTTTATTTTCATCGTCTCCTTTTATTCTTAAAACAAGCTGGTGAAATATTATTATCTTTGTTTTTTTGATGATTAATTTAAAGCTGAGTTAGTTTAGGTTGCCCAAGTATACTCCAGTAGAAAGTGGTAGAGTCAGGATTCTAATCTAGTTAACTCTAGGTCCAAATCAGGCTTTTAACCACTATATTAGTCTTTCTAAAATGTTTTTAAGCAAAACATTCCTTATTATTAAGATATTATTAAGATATTAAAAATTAAAATGTTTCCCAATCCCATTTGTCATAACATTATTTAGGTTACTAATAAACAAATAGATAAATCCAGTTGGTGTGGTTTAAGCTCAAAACTCTAGGGCATGTAGAACACAATAAAAAGCACTCTCTTTAATAGAAACTGCTTCTCAGGAATTTCTTTGAGGAGTATAACAAAACTACATAATTGTTATATGATATTTAACACAATAGAAATGGAAGAATTGGTGGGTCACGATGCCATGTTGTCTGGGCTGTTTTCTTACCCCTGAGTTTAGTCATTTTAGCCAAGATCATGGTGACATTTCTCGTGACAGCTGAAGTCCTCTCCACCCAACTACCACAGAGAAAGTGAATGTGGATCATTCATCCTCTGACTGAGTGAGCCAACAGTCAAGAGACTGGAGGAAGCAAGATGTAGAGAAGGAAAGTCATTCAACACATTTTGGTGTTTGTTTGCTTTGGGGATTTCTTTTTTCACAGACTGTTCTTGCTATCACATTGAGGCATGAAAATAGGGTCTGGAGGCAGAGAACATAAGGCCGATTACACTTCAGCTATGACAGGAAAAATCCTCTCCATAGGGTATAGGCTGAGTAAATGACTTTGTAACTTTATTTCATCCTCTTCATTTACATAGGGCATCCCCCATGTAGAGGGTATTTAAACTCCCAAAAATTCTGTAATGAGGCTTTTGAACCTCTATGCTTTGGCCTGCTCCCACACTGTGGAGTGTACTTGCATTTTCAACAAATCCCTTCATTCCTTCCTTGCTTTGTGCATTTTGTCCCATTCTTTGTTCAAGACGTCAAGAACTTGGACACCCTCCACCTTTAACAACATAACCACACACACATGCAGAGGAAATCCCACAAATCATCTGCAATAATAGAGCCACTGCTCAGTTGTAGTATACCCACACAAGGATGGCTCTGTCTCCGACTCAACTCATGTATTACTGTAGATTCTCAGTTGTCTCTGCTATGTGCCCTTGTATAACAAGGATCTCTGTTTACCATTACTACTTGGTATGACCTACTTGGGCATTTTCAACATTGTGCATAACTCTTTCCTTATTCTGTTGTTTCTCAAGAATTTATTTCAAACTTTATTTTCATTTTTACTGCTTTTTCTCAACCTCAGCATTACTAATATTCAAAGATGAAACGACTTGGTTTTGAAGCTGAAATTTGCTGATTCTCTTCTGGGAAATGTCAGTATACTAAATGTAACTACACCCAATACATTCAGTCCTCTGATTCTTGGCAAGGGTACAGAGGATCTAGCAGTTTCTTTGTTGATTGCTTAAAAAAGCCCTTTTTAAAAAATCTGGTGATCATAGCTGTTTTTGCAATTACTTTCTAGAACTATGTTGGTTCTCATAGTCTTCAGCTTAGCAGAACTGCTGAACCTCCATCTTAAATGTCAATATTGAGCAAAGAGTGGGTCAAATGATCTAAAGTCTAACAACTCATGTGCAGATTCACTTCATCTTTTACTCTCTAATTTGTTTAATTTAAAGAGATGTTCATAGACAAGAGGTAAAAAGAAAAACGGACAGACATGGGTGATAAAGTAACTAAAAAATGAGGTAAGATTATAACCTAGAAGAGGCACAGGTTGCAACCTTCTTCCTGGGATTCAGTTGTCTAAACATTGTTGATGCTGGTGACAGCCAAACTAAGCATTAATTAAGATGTGTTAAAGCTGGAAGGGGTAGAGGGAAAAAATGTGCATGATAAAACTTCAGTGTTTTTAACAGCTTTAGAGCTTCAGAATTGTTTGATTATTTTTAAACTGTAAAGCTAAATCTTTTGAGAAATATTAATACTAGAAGCTGCTTAAAATTTTTTTTCATGTACCTTGAGTGGGAATTATTCTAAACTGTCCTGCTGTGCTTACTTATAATCCACATTTGCTCTGTAAACAATCACAGCTGATTGCTTGAAAAGTAAGTATCAACCTGGATTCCAAAGTAACTAAATTGTTTTGTATGAGAAAATAGTAACCTATGAAAGAAAATGTAGCTTGGATCCTCTACCACAAACAGTGGATTTCTTACCATTCTTCTTGAGGATCTTGACCTTCCCTACCTCTTGCATTTTTCTCCCCCTTTGTCTGTCAAAACCATTACAAGCTCTGCTTTTCTGAGAAACCTTTTTAGGCTGCTTTAAACACAATGGAGCTTTTACTGTAAGCAATGACAACATTTTGCACCTCTGTTCTAGCACTTACCATGTGTGCCTTGCAGAATATCTAATTGTGGATGCTCCTGCCTCTTCCATTACATTATTGAATACGGGAATAATTTTTTTATTCAACTACGTATTACATTCAGAAGGTGGTACAGTGCTTTGCAGAAAGAAGTTGTAAAATGAATAGTGGTGCTTTGACTTCTGAAATGGTGGCATAAACAACTTCATAGACTTGCACCCTAGTGAAACAAAATACTGGTGAAAATTATTTTAAAAACCACATTTAAAGTCTCTGCAAATTATCTTAAGAATATACAGCAGTGAAGAAATATTTTTTCAGGAAATTCTACTTAATTTTAGTAAGAAATGTATCTGTAGCACTTGAGCTACGTCCCAAATTCTCCGTCCCCACAATTCCCCTCATTGTGATGGGAGCTCTACTACAAGCAGTGCCAAGATAACAGTGCTCCCTCTCTCCAAGCTCCCAGTCATGAGATCGAGTATTTCTGCAGGGAGGGCAGCTGCCAGGATTTCTTATCCTCCCCTAGCTCTGGATTGAAGACATTTAATTCCAGGTGAGTGTAGCTGAGAAGTAGGGACACCTTTTCTCCATCCATTCCTCATACATTTGACTAGGGCTTTATTCCAGGTATGGCAATCCAAGAATAGTGGGTCCCAATCACCTCCACCCCAGCTCACTCACAGGGCTTAGGTAGCACTATTAGGAAAGGCAAAATGCAAAGACCAGAGTGTACTTCCCTCACCCAGTGCCCTGCTCATAATGCAAGGATTCTACTCTAAGGAAAGGGGGC
This sequence comes from Homo sapiens, assembly GCF_000001405.40. Classification (NCBI taxonomy): domain Eukaryota; kingdom Metazoa; phylum Chordata; class Mammalia; order Primates; family Hominidae; genus Homo; species Homo sapiens. The sequence continues at coordinate 62,119,188 of NC_000008.11, read as the reverse complement.
CACTGTCCAATCCCCAACTAAGGAGCACTGGCCTCAAAAAGATATTGCTCAGGGGAAGAGGCAGGCCTTATAACAGAGGCTCCAAAACTCTTCTTAAAAGAATTTACTTTATTTACAACAGAGTGTAAAAAATTTTAAATCTAATATCTCTCTCAAATGCAATGGCTATTTTGAAGGTAAGCAATTAAGAGGAGATTGATAATCCATTAGAAAATAAGCTACATTGAAAGTCAGCTAGTTTACCAAAGACAACCAGAAGAAAAGATAAAAGGAACCCTTTTGGAATAAGGATAAAATGCAAAATCTATTCCTGAAAAAGTGCCCAAACATCACACTGTGGAACAATTTATGCCCCTAAGTGCATTGTCTAAAACAATAGAGAAATCATCCAACCATTAGTGTAACATAAAATCTTGGTATGAAACTAATAGAAAAAAAAATGGCTTAACAGAGATGAGGAAGATAGAGCCCTGCTAAAACCACTCTCATTCTGGAGTGACTTTGTGCAGTTCCATGGCTGCACCCTCTTTAGAGCAACATGAGGGGCTTTCTGCTGTGCAGAAAATAGACTTTGCTAAAATAGTCACAAGGCAAACAACAAAACAAATAAATAAGCAAACAATAATAATAAGCTCAGAAAGGAAATCAGTATTCAGAGTTTCTATAATATAATATAATATCAAAAATGTTAAATTATCATTAAAAAATTAGGGGAATGCAGATTAAAAGAAAAATGAACTAATAATATACAGGGGAAAACAAATCAGTCACCAAAAACTGTCTGTGAAAAGACCTAGATGTTGGGCTTCACAAAGTTGCTTTAAAGCAGCCACTAAAAATATTTTCCAAGCACTAAGGGAAACTATGAATAAAGAAGTAAGGGAAGATATAGTGACAATGTATCATCAAAAAAAGAATATAAATAATGAGATAGACATTATTTTTTAAAAAACCAAATGAAAAGTTTAGAGTAGAAAAACACAATACCTAAAATAAAACATTCTCTAGAGAGGCTCAATGGTAGATTTGAATTTTCAAGAGAAAGAAGCAGTAAATTTGGAGATAGATTAATGGTCATTATTCAATCTAGAGAAAAAAATGAATAAAAATGAGCAGACTTAGAAGAATGTGAAATGCCATTAAGCACACCAACAGACATGAAATGAGAATACAACAAAGAGAAGAAAAAGACAAAGGAAAAATATATTCAATGAAATAATGGATGAAAGTTTCCCAGATCTGATGAAAAACAATAATTCTCATATTCAAGAAGCTCAGCAAGTTCCACATAGGATAAATGGGCCCACCAGCTTCCATTTACAGCAGATTCAACTCCATTCTCACGACAACAGTTTCAAACCCAGCCCTTCTTGCCATAGACAGGGGCCCAATGTACCCCTGCAGAGACCTGCTGAGAATCACACTGATCTGACCCACCAGGACAGTCTTCTGGACTCATGTCCCTGGCCAGTTTTCCCACAAAGCCTCAGTAAACTGCTTTTATCTTCCCCAGATACACGTGGGCCAGCATGGAATCTATGTGAGACCTATGGCAATCATGGATTTAGAGCATCCTCTCATAACGAGATGGCTGCAGTGGTCATAGGCTCAAAGAGAAACAGTGAGTTTGATTTAAATCCCTGAAAGGTCCTCTACAGAAAAATAGGCATACAGAAAGCCAGACTGCAAAGACTAAAATAAATACCCAACCCCTTAATGTGCAGGCATAGTCAAACACCCACAAGCATTGAGAACATTCAGGGAAATATGACCTCATCAAGAGAATCAACAGGAGAATTTATCAAAAAGAAGGAAGAACCTGTGAACTTTGCAACAGACTATTTGAAAATATACAATCAGAGGTGAAAAAAGAAAGAAAAGAAATGAATAAAGATTACAAGATCTACTGGATATCAAACAAACAAATATTTGAGTTACTGCAGTTAAAGAGAGAACTGAGAAAGATGATTTAGTAGAAAGTTTATTCAAAGAAACAAAAAAAAAAAACCTTTTCTAACCTGGTGAAAGATACAAATATCTAGGCACAGGAAGGTCAGTGGTCACCAATCAGATACCACATAAATAAGAATAGTCAAAGACATGATTAAAGTCTCAACAGTCAAAAACGAAGAGAGGATCCTGAAAGCAGTGAGAGAAAAGAAGCAAATAACAGGAGATTTCTCAGAAGAAATCTTGTAGTCCAGGAGCAAGTGAGAAGATATAGTGCTGAAAGAAAACCCTGTCAACCATGAAAACTGTACCCAGCAAAGCTACTTTTCTGAAATGAAGAGATTAAAGGCTTTCAGAGTCAAACAAAAGCTGAGGGTATTTATTGCTACTAGACCAATTTTATAATAATGCTAAAATTTCTTCAAACTGAAAGAAAAGGACAATAATGTTACTGTTACACTAATATTGGAATCATGGCATGTAAACCACTTATATCTTTACTAAGAAAACTAAAAGACAAAACTATTAAAAATAATGTTATTAATTAGTTAAGAGAAGCAATGAAAAATTAAATTTGTGACATTAAAAATTTAAAATATGGGGGAGAAAGGATTTAATGTGTATAGATTTTTTTGTTGTTGGTTGGTTTCTTCTTTGTTGCAGTCAACATTAAGTTGGTATCCATTTAAATAACTTATTATAATTATAGGATGTTTTCATAAGCATGATGATAACCACAAGATAAAAATTGTAAGAGATACACTAAAAATTAAAAAAAAACTTAAACATACTATCAGAGAAAATCATTAACCACAAAGAAAGACAATAAGAAAGGAAGAAAGAGAGGAGTCTCCAAAATAACAAGAAAACAAGCAGCAAAATGGCAGTAGTAAGCCCTTGCTTAACAGTAGGATCATTGAAAGTAAATGGACTAAGTTCCCTAATTAAAAGACACAAAGTGACTGAATGGATTTAAAAACAAATCCCAAGTATATGCTGCCTACAATAAATCTGCTTCATTTATAAGGACACACATAGACTTAAAGTGAAGGGGTGGAAAAAGATATCCTACACAACTGGAAACCAAAATCGAGCAGAAGTAGCTACACTTATATGAGAAAAAACAGACTACAAATCAAAGACGGTAAAAATGAGTAAAGAAGGTTACTATATAATGATAAATGGGTCAATCCGGTAAAAGGATATAACATTTATAAATATCTATACACTCAACACTAGAGCTCACAAGTATATAAAGCAAACATTAATAGACTTAAAAGAGGAGAGAGAGACTGCAATACAATAATAGTAGGAGACCCTACTTTTAGCAATGGACAGATCATCCAGGCACAAAATCAACAAATAAACATCAGAGTTAAACTACTGTAAATCAAATTGACCTAAAAGAAATGTATAGAACATTATTTCATTGAACTGCTGCATAATATATATTTTTCTCATCAATATATGGAGCATTGTCCAGGGCAGGCCGTATTTTAGATCACAAAACAAGTCTCAACAAATTCAAAGCAGTAAAATTTATATCAAGTATATTTTCTGACCACACCAGAATAAAACTAGAATTTAATAACAAAAGAAACTTTGGAAAATGTGCAAATACATGGAAATTTAAAAAAAAATGTTTTTAATGACCAATGGGTCAATTAAAAAGAAACTTAAAAATTTTCTTGAAACAATGAAAATGAAAACACAACATACCAGAACAGCAGTATTAAGAGGGAAGTTTATAGCAATAAATGCCTATGTTATAAAAATAGAAAGACTTCTGATAAACAATCTAATGATGCACCTCAAAGAATAACTAAAACAAGAACCAAACCCATAACTAATAGAAGGCAAAAAATAATAAAGATCAGAACAGAAATAAAAGAAATTGTGACGAAAAACAGATACAAAAGATCAAAGTAACTAATTGTTGGTTTCTTTGAAAAGATGACATTGACAAATTTTAGCTATACTAATTAAGAAATAAAATAGGAAACTCAAATTAATAAAATCAGGAATGAAAAAGAAAACATTACAACTGATACTATAGAAATACAAGGGATCATTAGAGACTGTGAACAAGTATACATCGATAAATTGGAAAACCTAGAAGAAATGGATAAATTCCTGGAAACACACAATCTACTAAGATTGAACAATGAAGGACTAGAAAGCGTGAACAGAGTAACCAGATTAAAGTATTAGTAAAGTTATTAGTAAACTAATAACAAGTAACCAGATTAAAGTATTAGTAAAGTCGCCCATGAGGAAAAGTCCAGGACCTGATGAATTCACTGCTGAATTCTACCAAACACTTAAGGAAGAACTAATAGCAATTCTACTCAAACTATTTCAAAAAATTGAAGACGAAGTACTTCTGAACCCATTCTGAGTCCAGGATTTGCCAGATAGCAAAACAAGATGAGGACACAACAAGAAAGAAAACCACAGGCCAATATCTCTGATGAACAAAATACTAGGAAACTGAATTCAAGAACATACTAAAAGATCATTTACATGATCAAGTGGGATTCATCCCAGGGATGCAAGAATGGGTTCAACACATCCATATCAGTAAATATGATACCTCACATCAACAGAATCAAGCACAAAACCATATTATCGTTTCAATAAATGCTGAAAAAACATTAACTTCAGCATCCATTCATTATAAAACCTCTCAACAAATTGGTCATAGAAGAATCATGCCTCAACATAATCAAGGCCATATAGGACAAACCCACAGCTAATATTATACTGTATACATGGAAGCATTTCTATTAAGACCTGGAACAATACAAGAATGTACACTTTCACTACTTCTTTTCAACATAGTACTGGAATTCCTAACCAGAGCAAGTAGGTAAGAGAAAGAAATAAAGAACATCTGTATTAGTCCATTCCCACACTGCTATAAACACATACCTGAGACTGCGTAATTTATAAAGAAAAGAGGTTTAACTAATTCAGTTCTCTAAGTTGTACAGGAAGAAAGCTGGCGAGGACTCAGGAAACTTAAACTCATGAGAGAAGGCAAAGGGCAAGCAGACATGCCTTCACATGGCCAGACCAGGAGGAAGAGAGTAAAGGGGGAAGTGCTTTTAAACAACTAGATCTCCCCAGAACTCACTCACTATCACAAGAACAGCAAGGGGGAAGTCCGCCCCCATGATCAAATCACCTCCCACCAGGGCCACCTCCCACACTGAGGTTTACAATTCAACATGAGATTTGGATGAGGACACAGAGCCAACCCACATCAACATCCAAATTGGAAAGTAAAAGTCAAGTTAGCCTTGTTTGCAGATGACAACATGCTATATTGGGAAAAACCTAAACTCCACCAAAAATCTCTTAGAATTTATAAACACATTCAGTAAAGTTGCAGGATACAAAATCAACATTAAAACCCAGTAACATTTATATGTGCTAACAGCAATCAATCTGAAAAAGAATTCAAGAAAAGAATCCCATTTACAAGGGCTACAAAAAAAAAAAAAGAATCCTAGGAATAAATTTAACCAAAGAAGTAAAAGATCTCTACAAGAAAAAATATACAATACCGATGAAAGAAATTGAAGACAAAACAAAACAAACAAATGAAAAAAGATATCCCATGCTCATTGATTGGAGGCATCAATATTGTTAAAATGTTTATAATACCCACAGCAATCTCCAGATTCAATGCAATCTCTATCAACATACCAATGACATTCTTCACAGAAACAGAAAAAAAAAGTTCAGCTAGGTTGCAGGAAACAACATCAACATACAAAATCAGTTGTTTCTATATACTGGCAATGAAGAGTTAGAAAATGAACTAAGGAATAATTTCATTTACAATAGCATTCAAAAGAATAAAATACTTAAATAGGAATTTAACAAAAATATTGTAAACCATATTTTCCAAAAACTGTATTTTGTGCAAAAAAATTAAAAATTACATAAATGGAAAAGCATGTTCTTGGGTCAAAATAAGGCTTAATATGGATAGAATGGCAATTCTCCCCTAGTTAATGCACAGATTCAATGCAATTACTATGAAAAGCCCAATTAGCTTTTGTGGGAAAATTTACAAGTTTATCCTAAAATTTACATGGAAATGCAAAGGACTCAGATTAGCCAAAGTAATTTTGAAAAAGAAGAACAAAGTTGGAGGACTTGTACTTTGTGATTTAGAAACTTACTACAAAGCTATCCTAATCAAGACAGTGTGGTCCTCTTATAAAAAGAAACATACATAGGTGGAATAAAATTGAGAGTGAAGAAATAAACTGTAACATTTATGTCCAGTTGAATTTCAACAAAGGGACCAAGGCAATTCAGCGAGAGAAAAGAATAGTTTATAAACACATAGTGGTGGAACAAGTGGATATCCATGCACAAAAGAATGACTTTGGAGCCCTACTTTATACCATACACAAAAATTAACTCAAAATGGATCATGACCTGAAATGTAAGAACTAAAACTATAAATTTATTAGGATAAAACACAAGATTAAATTTTCATGATCTCAAACTAGGCAATGACTTCTTAGATATGATATCAAAGCATATGTGAAAAAAAGAAGATTGATAAATTTAACTTTATTGAAATTAAAAACCTGTGTACTTCAAAGAATATCATTAAGAAAGTAAAAAGACAATCCACAAAATAGAAGAAAATATTTGCAAATAATAAATTTGATAAGGGACTTCTATAGAATATAAAAGAACTCTTACAACTCAATCATGAAAATACAATTAAATTAATTTAAAATGGGCAAAGGATTGGAATAGACATTTCTCTGAAGAAAATATACAAAGGAGCAATAAGCATATGAAAGGATGGTCAACATCATTGGCCATCAGAAAATGCTATCAAAACCCCAAGGAGATATCGTATCACACCCACTAGGGTGGCCATAATAAAAAAGACAGATAATAACAAGTGTTGGCAAGGATGTGGATAAACTGTTACCTTCATACACTGCTAGTGGGTAAACACAATGGTGCAGCCACTTTGGAAAGTGGTCTGGAAGTTCCTCAAAAAATATTTTATGTATATTTATATATTGACTGCTGGTAATACAGCCTATTAAGAATACATGATATGCATTTAGGGGAGAAATTAACTCTGAAATGAAGCCATTCAATAAGCATTCTGTGATGTAATAAGGTAGCACAGATTAGAACTAAGGACATGGTGGGGCCAACTCAAACAGCCACTTAGAGTTGTTATAAAGATTCCAGCTGCAAATTCCTTTGGAACTTATTTATTCTTAATTATTTAGGAATAGTCAGGAAAGAAAGAAGATCAGTCTGCCTCTTTACCTTAAATTAATTCTAAGAGGAATGTTGTGAATCATCTAAGAACTCCACTCCCAGAATTGTGCTCTTACTTCAAATTCTTTAAGGCAATTCCATTTTCACAAATTATTCCATATCAATTTGTATGTCTCAGAAGTGTAAGCACCTATACAGACTTAGAAAAGATTAATAATTGACACAAAAGACTATATTCATTCGATTCCAGTATCTACTGCTGAATTATACTGTATTCTAGTACTAGTGGATTTTCACACCATATTGCCAATTCCCCCAAAGATGTTTGTTTAAACTCATTGATACAATAAAATGAATTAAAGAATTCCAGTTATACTTAAAAGAACGGAAATATTAAGTTACTGGAATGTCTTAGATGATAATTTAAAACTATTGAAATATTTATATGGTATATATGACTTATAATTGGGTAAAATGACGAAATTTATCTGTAACTACAGAGTTACATGCCACATATTTTCCCCAAATTTTGTAATGGGTATTTTGTTAAGATGACAACCTCATGTCACTTCATGTTCAACTGATCTGGGCTACTTTTTGTGGTAGTAAAAATAAAAAACAGAAAGAGAAAACAGAAACAGTTATACACCAATGAAACAACAAAAAAGGAAGATTCTGGCTTTTTTGTTCTTGTTTTTTTAAAGGGGGAGCCTATTCCTTTCATGAATCATATTCTTTCCTTCATGCTTCAGGAGGAATTGGTTATGGCTTGCAGCACTGGACACATCAAGGGTATAAGCGTACACCTCAGGTGTGACACAAGCCATATCTTCCATGAGGACATGAACTGTATTTTCTCTGATCTACATACCAGTAATGGGGAGTGGGGTCAATCTCTTTCATTTCATAACCTTCTAGCATTTCTTCACCATCGCAGGTATGTATTGAGCCTCCGACATTCTCACCAACATTGGACATCAACAAGTCAACAGATTCAGTAAGATGGGAATCCTCAGGACATTGCTGTATATAGAAGGACTTGATCTCCAAAGGAAATTGACACAGAAAGATTAGTTCATTAATGGTGTCTGTCTTCACTCTCTCAGGGGCTTCTGGGATATCTTCTCCAAATTCATAAAAAGTTCCATGTTCTTTCTTTATATTGTGTTCTTTCAGCCACACAATAGTGTCTGAATAGTTTATCCTTTTGAAAGGCTGTTTGTGGGGCTTAAACTTCAGGTTGAGGTCATACACTTTGCTCACTACAGGTGACTTTAAGACTATCTACTATGTCACAAGCCAAGTCCTCCAGTCAGTTCAGGAGGTCCTCACAGGTCATGAAAAAGCACTTGGCTTCCATATAAGCGTATTCAGCCAGGTGCCTTCACGTTTCAGACTGTTCTGCCCTGTATGACTGTGCAATACAAAAAACATCTCCCAGGCTATGGTAGTTCATTATCACTCCTATTACTATCACTAATATTTATTTCCCTGATTCTGCAAAACAAAATACCATAATTTTTCTATGTTAATAGTTTCTTCTCAGTTTGCCATTAAAAAGTTATTTAATGGTGCTGCTCGATCTTAATGGCTTATAATACTAGACAAGTCACCAAACTTTCCAGTTTCTTTATCTATAAAGTTGTTACAGGTAGTTAGTCATGAGCAGGGCAGGAGACAGCTCTCCCTCAAACCACTAAGAATATCAGGGATGGTTCAGCAATTACCACACTACCTCTCTAAAGCTAGGGAGAGACAGTCTCCTGATAATCCACAGCTGTTAACATAAAAGTGTTAACTGAATACAATTGCCAGGGAGAAGAAACTTCCGGGTCATGTGCATTCAGAGACAAAATGGCAAAGCGTGACCTTCCGGGTACACTCTGTGGGAAAAAAGGAAGACAACCTCAGATGGGCGTATGTACAACTTCCTAAACACACTGCACAGGCTCAGTTCCCAAGGGTAAAGAGGGCACTGCACATGCAGGAAGCCCACCCTAAGGGAAGAATCACGGGAAAAAGGTGAGCTTATAATGCCCTAGGAATAGGATTAACCTTCATGTGCCCCCTTGGGTCTCTTGCAAGTGCACCTTACTTCCTTTCTTGTTCTAAACCCTTTTTAAATAAACTTCCACTCCTATTCTGAAACTTGCCGTGGTTTCTTCTTCTGCTTTATGCCCCTCAGTCGAGTTCTTTCTTCTGAGGAGGCAAGAATTGAAGTTACTGCAGATGTGTGCAGACACGCCATTGGTAACTCAGTGTAACTCAGATACCTTTCACTGGTAACAAAGTGAGGCCATTAATCTTAACCTAGTCATCTTAATTTAGTTTCATCCTAATGTAGTCAATCACAGATTAACTTTATCAAATTCAGTAATTTCTCAATGAAGTTTTTAAACTCCACAAATTAAAAATTTTGCCACCCACCCCACCTTCCCACTGTTCTTCAGAGTATGTTTTGTTCCTGGTCTACATATCCTGGCAATCCCTCTGTCCTCTGCAGGCATCCACCAGCAGTGGTCCTCAAACTTAAATCTGCAGCAAATTTCCCTGGAGGGCTTATTAGAACAGAGACTGCTGGGCCCACTCCTAGAGTTTCTGATTCAGTAGGTCTGGAACAGGGTCTGAGAATCTATCTCCCTTTCTTACATGATACCAGCTTATGCCGATTCTGCTGGTCAGGGAACATGCATTAAGAACCACTGCCCAAAGGCATACTTTGCATGTACTGCTCTTTTCTTTGTTGAGACTATTGCTGAAGACAATTCAGTAGGTCAGTGCCACACCCAAATCCTTTGTAGAGTCATGGGAGAATTTCTTAGGCACTCTACTTTCCACGGACACAGAGGATTCCAGGAACTGGTATTTTCCGTTTGCCTCCCCGTGGCTAGCCACTTTTTTTTGTATATTTGTTACTGCAACCTCTGCTGCAACTTGATGTCACTAAGGAAATGGGACCCAGGTCCCATGTACTTTTAGACTGTCTTCCACCTTTAAAAAATGTTGAAGGGATCTTTTATTCTCACCTCCTCCCATTGGGGCATTGACTGGAGGAAGAAGAAAGCAGATTACTTTTGTCCTCCGGAGCTAAATTCCTCCCTCCCATGGAGTTTCATCTTCTCTGAAGAAACTAAAAGTACAAAGATGGCAAGAAATTCATCCTTTCTAAAAATTTTTCCAACTTTTATTTTAGATACAGGGGGTACATATACAGGTTTGTTACATGAGAATATTGTATTATGCTGAGGTTTGGGGTACAGATCCTATCACCCAGGTAGTGAGCATAGTGTCCAGTAGGTAGCTTGACAAAACACACCCGACTTCCTTCCTCTCCTCTCTAGTAGTCTTCAGTGTCTATTGTTCCCATGTGTATGTCCAGTTGTGCTCAATGTTTAGCTTTCACTTGTAAGTGAGAATATGCGGTATTTGGTTTTCTGTTCCTTCATTAATTTGCTTAGTATTATGGCCTCCAACTGCATCCATGTTGTTACATAGAATATGATTGTATTCTTTTATATGGCTGCATAATATTAGATGAAGTATATGTATTATATTTTCTTTCCAATGGCCAATCCACCATTGATGGGCACCTAAGTTGACTCCTTGTCTTTGCTACTATGAATAGCACCACAATGAACATAGAGTGCATGTGTCTTTATGGTAGAATGATTTATTTTCTTTTGGGTATATACCCAGTAGTGGCACTGCTGGATCAACTGGTAGTTATATTTATAGTTCTTTGAAAATTCTAAAACCTGCTTTCTACAGGGACTGAACTAAATTACATTCCACCAGCAACATACAAGTGTTCTCTTTTCTCCAAAACCTTGCCAACATCTGTTATTTTTTGACATTTTAATAGCAGCCATTCTGACTGGTATGAGATAGTATCTCATCATAATTTTGATTTGCATCTTTCTGATGATTAGTGATGATGAGTATATTTTTCATGAGTTGATTGGCCACTTGTATGTCTTCTTTAGAGAAGTATCTATTCATGTCCTTTGCCCATCTTTAATGGAGTTATTTGTTTTTCTCTTGTTAATTTAAGTTCCTTATAGATTCTGGATGTTAAATCATTGTCAGATGGACAGTTTGTAAATAGCTTCTCCTGGTCTATAGGTTGTCTGTTTACTCTGTTGGTAATTTCTTTTTTCTCTGCAAAAGCTGTTCAGTTTAATTAGGTCCCAGTTGTCAATTTTGGTTTTTGTTGCAATTGCTTTCGGGGACTAATCCAAAAATTATTTGCCAGGGTCAATTAGGAAGGGCATTTCCCAGGTTTTCTTCTAGGATTTTTATAGTTTGCGGTTTTACATTTAAATCTTTAATCCTTGAGTTAATTTTTATATGTGGTGAAAGCTAGGGGTCCAGTTTCCTTCTTCTTATGGCTAGCCAATTATCCAAGAAGTATTTATTGAATAGGGAGTCATTTCCTCACTGCTTGTTTTTTGTTGGTTTTGTTGAAGAGCAGATGATTGTAGGTGTGCAGCTCCATTTCTGAGTTTTCTATTCTGTTTCATTGGTGTATGTGTCTATTTTTGTACCAGTACCCTGCTGTTTTGGTTATTGCAGATTTATAGTATAGTTTGAAGTCAGATAGTATGATATCTTTGACTTTGTTCTTCTTGCTTAGAATTGTTAAGTTATTTTGGGTTCTTTTTGGTCTCATATGAACTTTAGAATAGTTTTTTCCTAATTCCATGAAGAATGACATTGGTAGTTACACAGGAATGGCAATAAATCTGTAAATTCCTTTGGGAGTATAGCTGTTTCTACAATATTGCTTCTTCTAATCCATGAACATGGATTTTTTTCCCATTTATTTGTATTGTCTATGATTTCTTTCAGCAGCATTTTGTAGTTCTCTTTGTAGAGATCTTTCACCTCCGTGGTTAGATGTATTTCTCAGTATTTCATTTTCTTTGTGGCTGTTGTAAATGGGATTGTGTTCTTGATTTGACTCAGCCTGGATCCTGGATGTTAATGGTGTATAGAAATGCTACTGATTTTTGAACATTGTTTTTGCATCCTGAGACTTTACTAAATTCATTTATCAGTTGTAAGAACATTTTGGTGAAGTGTTTTGTGTTTTCTAGGTATAGAATCATACCATCTATAAAGATAGGTAGTTTGGCTTCTTCTTTTCCTATTTGGATTCCTTTAATTTCTTTGTCTTACCTGATTACTCTGGCAAAGACTTCCAGTACTATGTTGAGTAGGAGTGGTGACAGTAAGCACTCTTGCCTTTTTGCCCATTCAGTATGATGTTGGCTGTGGGTTTGTCATACACGGCTCTTATTATCTTGAGGTATGTTTCTTTGATGCCTACCTAGTCTTTTGAGGGTTTTTATCATCAAAGGATGGTAGATTTTATTGAATGTTTTTTCTGCATCTATTGAGATGATCATAAGGTTTTTGTTTTTAATCATGTTTGTATGGTAGATCATATTTATTGATTTGCATATGTTGAATCATCTTTGCATCCCAGGAATAAAGCCTACTTGATCATGTAGGCTTGGTAATTATGGTGTGCTGCTGAATTCAGTTTACTAGTATTTTGTTGAAGATTTTTGTGTCTACATTAATCAGGGATATCAGCCTGAAGTTTTCTTTTTTAATTGTGTCTCTGCCAGATTTTGGTATCAGGCTAATGCTGGCTTCATAGAAAGGGAGAAGCCCCACATCCCCAAGTGTTCAGAATGGTTTCAGTAGAATTGATACCAGTTCCTCTTTGTGCATCTGGTAGAATTTTGCTGTGAATCCATCTATTCCAGGGCTTTTTTGCTTGGTAAGTTTATTATTATTATTATTATTACTGATTCAATTTCTGAATTTGATATTGGTCTATTGGGAGTTTCAATCTCTTCCTGATTCAATCTTGGAAGATTTTCTGTTTCCAGACATTTATCCATTTCCTCTAGATTTTTTAAGTTGTGTGCATAGAGTTGTTCATAGTAGTCGCTGATGATCTCTTGTAGTTATATGGAATCAGTTGGAATGTCACCTTTGTCATTTTTTATTGCTCTTATTTGGATCTCCTGGGTGTTTTATTTTCCTTTGTTAATCTAGCTAGTGGTCTATCAATCTTATTTATTCTTTCAAAAAAATTATTGGTTTCACGTATCTTTTTTATGGATTTTTGTGTCTCAATTTCTTCTCTAATTTTAGTTATTTCTTTTCTTTTGCTAGCTTTGGGGTTGGTTTATTCTTTTCTTTCTAGCTCCTTTAGATATAATGTTTGTTGTTAATTTGAGATCTTTCTATTTTCTTGATGAAGACATTTAGTGCTATAAACTTTCCTTTTAACACTGCTTTAGCTGCATTCCAGAGATTTGGGTAAGTTGTGTCCTATTTTCATTAATTTCAAAGTATTTTTTGAATTCTGCCTCAATTTGGGGGTTTATCCAGGAGTTAATCAGGATCAACTTAATTTTCATGTATATTTGTAATTTTGAGATATCTTCTTGATACTGATATCCATTTTTATTGCATTGTGGTCTGAGTGTGGTTGACATGATTTCAATTTTTTTTAATTTGTTGAGATTGATTTATGACTGAGTATGTGGTTGATCTTAGAATATATTCTGTGTGCAGATGAAAGGAATGTATATGCTGTGTATGTTGGGTGGAGTGTTCAGTAGATGTCTATTAGGTGCAATTAGTCAAGTGTTGAGGTTAAGTCCAGAGTTTCTTTGTTAGTTTTCTGCCTTAGTGATCTGTCTAAGACTGTCAATGGGGTGTTGAAGTCTCCTACTATTAGTGTGTGACTGTCTAATTCTTTTCATACAGTAAGAAGAACTTGTTTTATGAATGTGGGTGTTCCAATGTTGGGTGTGTGTATGCTTAGAATAAGTCATTTTGTTGGATTGCACCCTTTATCATTATGTACTGCCCTTTTTGTTCTTCATAATTGTTATTGGTTTAAAGTTTGTTTTTATCTGATATAAGAATAGTGACTCTTGCTGTTTTTTGTTTGCATGGTACATCTTTCCCCATCCTTTTACTTTGAGCCTTTTGATATTGTTACATGTGAAATGGGTCTCTTGAAGAGATAAGATGGTTGGGTCTTGTCTTTTTATCCAGATTGTCACTAACGTCTTTTAAGTTGGGCATTTAGCCCATTTACATTCAGGGTTAGCAATGATATGTCAGATTTTGATTCTCTCATTGTGTTGTTAGCTGGTTGGTATGTAGAAATGATTATTTATCACAGACACTGTTGCTTTATAGTGTCTGTGAGCTATGTGCTTAAATGTGTTTTTGTGGTAGTAGGTGTTATTCTTTTAATTCCGTGTTTACCCCACTACTTTAACTTTGTTCCCATTTGCACCAAAAATACTTACTGGTGGCACTTGCAGCCACAGCGTTTACCCTGAGATAACTTTGCCAAAAGATCTCTCACTTTTATTACCATTTTTGCATCATTTTAATATATTGTCTTTGGAAACAAAATACATCATGCTATTTATAGCATTCTGTTTTTAGTAGTGGTATTTCCATTTACAACATATAGTAAATTCCAAATGCTGGAAATGTCAGATCCTAGAAAATGTAACATTCCTACATATGATGTTAACATTGTTCTTGAACAGTCATTGACCAAAGATGTATTTGATGAATCTGATTTTTTCTGAAGTAGATGATTCTGATGATTCAGATGATTCTGATGTTAGTTCTGTTTAGAAATAACTCCAAGAACAGTTTTTATATTGTATTTTCACATTGAAAATCAGTCAAATTTGCTTCAGCCTCAAAGAGCATGTTTATGTAAAATTAAATGAGCAGTGGCAGTGAGCGTCACATTTTTTTGTTGTTGTTTTTTCTTAACCAGAAAAGGGTTAGGGACTTCTTCTAAGGTTGGTCTAGTTGAAATGAATTCCCTCAGCATTTGCTTGTCTGAGAAGGAATGTATTTCTCCATCACTTAGGAAACTTAGACTGTTGAAACATAAAATTCTTGGTTGTAATTTCTTTTCTTTTTTTTTTTTATGTAGGCTGAAAATAGGCCCCCAGTCTCTTCTGGCTTGTAAGATTTCTGTTGAGAGTTCTGCTGCTAGCCTGATGGAGTTTCCTGTGTATGTGACCTGATGCTTTTCTCTACTGCCTTTAAGATTTTTTTTTTTATTTTGTGTTGACCTTGGTGAATCTTATGACTATGTGCCTTGGAGACAGTCATTTTGTTTAGTATCTAGTGCAGGTTCTCTGTATTTCTTGAATTTGTGTGTCAACCTCTCTAGCAAAATTAGGGAAATTTTCATGGACTATATCCTCATATATATTTTCCAAATTGTTTATTTCCCCTCCTCCTCTCTCAGAAATGCCAATGAATCATAGATATAGTCTCTATACAATAATCCTTTAATTATGTGAGGTTTTGGTCATTTTTTAAAATCATTTTTTTCTTTATTTTTATCTGAGTTGATTCAAAGCACTGGTCTTCAAGCTCTAAGATTCTGTCCTTGTTTATTATCCTGTTAATATTTAGATTGTATTATGAAATACTTGCAGTGAATTTTTTTAAGCTCTAGAAGTTCAGTTGGTTCTTACTTAAAATGACAATTTCATCTTTCAGCTCTTTGTTTTACTGTATTCCTTGGATTCCTTATATTGGGTTTCAACTTTCACCTCAATCTCAATGAACTTCCTTGTCATCCAGATTCTAAATTTTATGTCTGTCATTTCAGTCATTTCAGACTTGTTAAAAATCATTGCTGGGGAGCTAATGGACTCACTTGGAGGTAGGAGATACTTTGTCTTTTTGAATTGCCAGAGTTCTCTTTTGAATTGCTCATTTTTTCTCATCTGGGAGGGTCAGTGTTCCTTTAACTGTAGTGTAAGTTGAGTATAGTCAGTTGGCTTTCTTTCTGGATGTTTTCAAAGGGCCAAGGCTCTGTACGTGGTCTTTATTTGTGGCTGAATTATTGCCCTTGGTTTCATTGGAGGGTGTATTAGCAAAATATTTTTGATATTGTAGTTTGAGCTGTGGTCCAGTAGATGGAGACTAAGAGTAATGGCCAGTAGATACGCTCTTAGCCACGTGGCTCTCTTGTATTTCCTCATAGTAGCATGTGCTCTGTGATGCAGTGGGGAGAGAGATCTCTTCACCAAGTCCTTTCCTGGGCCTTGAAGGACCCCCTTCTGATTCCTGACACTGTTCCCGCATTTCTTTTATTAGGTGTTACAGGCCATGGGGCTCTCTCAAGCAGAGGCCTTGGCAGGGAGATAGGCCACACCCTTTCTGGACCAGCCCTGTGGAAAGATGCACACCCTGCTCTTGTACCAGCCCATGAACATGCATGTCTTACCCTTCTCAGTACTCTGAGAATGTGGGCTTCTTCCCCACTTGAGTGCCAGCAACAGATGTTGTCTCAGCACTCATAAGCTGCATGCCTCAGGCCTGGGACTCTAGGATCAGCTGTGGCTTTAATAGTTACAGACAAAAAGTAAACATAAAAGTCTATCACTGAGTCTGCTAGGACTTTTTATTGGGTTTGGTAATACATCACACCCTTTAGCTCCTACAGTATCAGCCGTGGCACATTTATACGGCAGAACTAATTGCTGGGTCTGTCCTGAGCAGTTTGTTTAGTTCAATAACACTAAGGAAGCTCTTGATGACCTGGAACTTATTGTCTTAGGAACCCCTTTATTAGCTTTATCTTTAACCATTAAACAACTAGTCAGGCATAAATGGAACATGGTATGGGAGAACTTTCAACTGGGTAACTAACTCCTCCTAGGAAAACACTTCACCCCTGCTGCCAGGAAACTATTCCCCAAAAGATAAGCTTCATATCTTCGTATTAGGAAAAGTTGACCAGGCAATAGCAAATTCCTCCCTCTGCTTTAAAAGCAGGGGAAAAAGGACCATACCTGGGAGATCTCAAATACTGTAACACCACACATGTAATCGCTGAAAGCTCAAAAGTTTGGAGAAAGAAAACGCTATAGGGAAGATCTAAGAAAATTGGAAGCCCTATATGGGGGCTTTTAGAATCTGGCCTTTCTTCCTGCTTTGGAAGTCCCAATGGGAATGGTAGGCTCTGGATAACTGCCTTGACACATGGTACTATGATGTAGAAAATAACACATAGGCTTCCCCAAGCATGTCCCTTCATGTAATTCCAGACCCTTGTATGATGTTTGCTAATACTAGTGGCCTGCAAATTTGTAGGCAAACAGGTGATGTCTGGGCTGTCATCCCCTGCCACAAGAATTATCTTAGATATTGGCCAGGACATATTGTGTCTCTAATCTTTCAAAACTCCATATGTCATGTGGGTCCTTCTCATTTAGCATGTAAAATTCCAAATGGCTTCGTGAGTGATTATCTGAGTATGGATATCCCTATCCCAAAGATGCTCCTATTATATACAAAAATAGAAAGCTTCTAAGAGATGAGAAAGATTTATCTGTGTTTTTCATAAGTAACAACTTAGAACTGTCCCTTTGAGGGACAGGGCTGTATTTCCTTTGTGGATTTTGGCTATACTTAATCTTCCCTGGTCACTGGAAGGGAACCTACACTATAGTAGCAGTGGTCCCAGATGTATTATTTTAAAATTCCACTAACATGGCAGCATCACCTGGGGACATCCCTAACTTAGGCTCTTTTCTAGAGAGTGCACTATCTCAGATACACTGAACAAAGATCTATTAGTTCCATGCCCTCACATGGAGATTTAACTGAAAGAGAAGACTGGGGAAGACATGCACATGACAATCCTATCTTAGAAAAGCCCTGGAAAGGGGATCTATAGCCAGAGGCCTTTTCTGGTTTGCTCATATTCTTCTCCTTGAAAGATCAGTACTTAATATTTCCATTATGATGCAACAAAGGTGGAAGGCAATGGTAGGAGCCATAGAAGCACAACAGTAATCTATAGACTCTTTAGCCTCAATAGTAGCACAAAATAGACAGGCCCTAGATTACCTTATGGCTGAAGTACGGGATACATGTGCACTTTTTTTTTTTTTTTTTTTTTTGAGACAGAGTCTCACTCTGTCACCCAGGCTGGAGTGCAGTGGTGCAATGTTGGCTCACTGCAACCTCCACCTCCTGGGTTCAAGCAATTCTGGTGTCTCAGCCTCCCAAGCAGCTGGGATTATAGGTGCCTGCCACCAAATCTCGTTAATTTTTGTATTTTTAGTAGAGATGATGTTTCACCATGTTGGCCAGGCTGGTCTTGAACTCCTGACCTCAAGTGATCCACCTGCTTGGCCTCCCAAAGTTCTGGGATTACAGGCGTGAGGCACCATGCCTCTAGCCCCAGGTGGCTACAATCCCTCCTTAATGGATTCCGGTCTTCTTTACAGTACTGGTTAGCTCCTTTATTAGTCCCCCTTTTGCTCATGTGTTTTCTACTAATATTTGGACCTTGTATACTCAATACAATAACTTGAATTGTTTCCTCTTACCTAGAAGCTATTAAAGTCCAAATGGTGCTGCAAATGGAAGCACACATGGATATGTCGTTCTTCTGAGGACCCTTAGATTGACCCCAGGAGGAAACCTAGTTGCTGTTCTCCACACAACGCCCCTCTCCAGCAGGAAGTATTTAGAAGAGTCATTGTTCAACACCCCCTAACAGCAGTTAGGGTTTCCACTCCTGAGGGGGGGAAATGATACAGGAGATAGAAAGAAATTATTTAGGCAGGTAGTGAGGGGAATAGGGTCATTGGCAGAACTTCCCTCTAACAAAAAGCAGCAGTAGAAATTACTTCTTTTCTATCAAAGAGAAGCCTGAAAGATCGAACCGCAAACATAGATAAGGAAGCTGGAAGCTTGCTCAAAGGGATGCTGGCAGCTGCACCAAACAATGGACTACCTGGGGCCAGGCATGTCCATCACGGGGCCTCCACGTTCTCTTTTTTGTTTTGTTAACATGTGTACAGTAAGAAATAAATGACCAACATGGAGTACCTCAGGCTGAAAACCCACTTGCATAATAAAAGATTGGGGTTGGGGCTGCCAGAGATTCATGCCCTATGCAGATGGCACACCTGGTCCTAACCATTTTTTCATGCCCTACGTAGATCAGACACCACCTCCCCACTAGCTCATCTATAAAATCCCCTGCATTTCACCATGGATTAGCAAACTATTATTTCCAGGACCCCTCTCTGTAGCAGAAAGTTATTCTCTTTCTTTTGCCTATTAAATTTCTTCTCTAACTTCATCCTTCGTGTGTGTCTGCACCCTTGATCTCCACAGCTGTGAGACCAGAACTTTGGGTGTCACCCCAGACAATGAGGCCACTTCAGCTTCATCTTCCAGACATGTGGGGTCAGGTTCCAGGTGCACTAGGGAATCCAAAGTGCCTCCAGGCTGCTGGAAACGTACCCAGATGGACTAAAGCACCAAGGCTGGGCAGCAGAGGCTGTGCTATGTACACACTTCTGTGGGTTGGCCAGGCAGGGGCCCTGGGAGAAGCAGTCAGGCAGTAGGGCCTGCAGAACAGACATGGTTCCACATGAAAGTTGGCCTCACTTTCTCCTGCCCCAGCAGTGATCTGGGGCTAGAGCTTTCTGGAGGACCTAGAGCTTCCTGAAGGAGCTCCCTGGAGGGAGATGGGGATCCCTGGGGGATTGACACCTGTGGCTGCACTTTGCAGAGCTGACACCTACATAAAGTTCCCCAACTCCAAGCTGGCTGAAACCTACTCTTCAGGCAGATCCCCTGCCAGACCAAATGTCCATGATAGATGTGGGGTCCCCTGTAGCTAGGATCCCAGAAGTCTGTGGCGAGAGTAGGCTGTCCCACAGTCCCTTCACTCACCCCTTCCTCAGGAGCCATTCAGGACTAGGAACCAGCCCCAGAATTTTTGTATCCTATGCAGAGTTCCCAGTTTTCTCCCTCTTCAGCTTCAGTGACTACATCACTTCTCCATCCACTCTCAGTGTTTTCTCTACAAAGATCTGTTCAAATTATGTTTCTCTACTCAAAATTTTGGTCTCTTTCAGTGGGAGTGACATGTCATAAGGTCCTAATCTCAAACTCCTTTCTTATAAGGAGTCAGTCATAAGGTCATAATCTCAAACTCCTTTCTTATATCATTATGCATTCTTCTCAAACATTTGTTCTTATTTTTTCATGCATTTAGCATTTTGGGGATTCGGAAATCTTTCTTCCAAGAAAAGCATAATTCCTAAGCTATTAAAATTGATGCTTAAAATGTTATCTGATATTGCATTTAAGGCCTATTTTACAGATTAAAAACTAAATTTACATTTTTAAGATTTTATATTATCTACTCCTGTGAAGGGATTAGCCTCAATTTTAAATCTAATTTTAATTATGAGAAATCCACAAGGGGTGGGAACAACTAAATCATCAGTTCTCTTTTAAAAAGTTAAAATTTCAAGATAATCAGCTTGCTTACATTTGGTTTGTATTTTTGTGGAATGCCATGTTTGCCATCTTTGTCCTTTTGGCCAAAATTTACTGATGCCCACCGAAGTAAAAAAAAAAAAAAAAAAAAAGTACCTCTATGGGCCATTGCTCAAATTTCTTTTGTCATTTTAAGAGTCATACTCAGGAGGTCTAATTATAAGGATGTGAAAGGTGTCATAATCCCTTCTCCAGAGATGACCACTTGGATGCTCAGGTTGCCATGCCTGTCATGCCTGAACAGAGGGCTCATGTTCAGATTCTCTCAGTTCTACCTTCAGATCTATTTTAGTCACTGAACAAAGAGCCTGAGGAAGCCAGAGCTTGGAGGTATTGCTTTTCAACAAAGTTACCCTGAATCTAATTTGGCTGCACTTTGTGTATTTAAAATATAAGCGTTGTCAGTTGAGCATAGACTATTATGTGAATTAATATATACATTTAAAAAATAATAAACAGGACTAAGATCTAGTGGAAAAATAAGCTAATCTGTCCACTGCCTACATTCTTTCTAATATAGGAAAATGACAGACCAAAGCTAACTGGACAGAGAATTAATAGCATGATCATGAGATGAGGAATGCTTACATAAGAAGAGACCTCAAGGTTACAGCGTTTCAAAAAAGTAATCTGTTGATAACTAAAACTCAAACAGCATATATTTGCATGTAAATAACCACAGCACATATACATGTATGTATATGTCTATATATATAATCATTTGTTTCCTTTTGTTCCCATTTGATTATATTAATAGCTACAACTCATTAAGTACTTACTATGCTTTAAGCCTTCAATGATGTGTCCTTTATATATTATGTGATATGATTTAGCTGTGTATTCACTCAAATCTCATCTTGAATTTTACCTCCCAAAATCCTCATACATCATGAGAGGGACCCAGGGAGACATAATTGAATCATAGGGGTGGGTTTTCCCATGCTGTTCTCATGATAGTTAATAAGTCTTATGAGATCCAGTGGTTTTACAAAGGGCAGTTCCTCTGCACATGCTCTCTTGCCTGCTACCATGTAAGACACGACTTTGCTCCTCCTTTGCCTTCTGCCATGATTGTGAGGCCTCCACAGTCATGTGGAACTATGACTCCATTAAACCTCGTTTTCTTTAGAAATTACCCTGTCTCAGATATTTCTTCATAGTAGTAAGAAAATGAACTAATACACTAAATTAGTACGAGTAGAATGGGGTATTGCTATTAAGATACCCCAAAATGTGGAAGCAACTTTGGAACTGGGTAACAGGCAGAGGTTGGAACAGTTTGAAGGGCTCACAAAAAGACAGGAAGATATGGAAAAATTTGGAGCTTCCTAGAAACTTGTTGAATGGTTCTGACCAAAAAATCCAGGCTGAGGTAATCTCAGATGGAGATGAGTAACTCATTGGGAATTGGAGCAAAGGTGATTCTTGCTATGCTTTAGCAAAGAGACTGGTGGCATTTTGCCCCTGCCCTAGAGATCTGTGGAACATTGAACTTGAGAGAAATGATTTTTTTTTTTGAGATGGAGTTTAGCTCTTGTTGCCCAGGCTGGAATGCAATGGCACTATCTCGGTTCACTGCAACCTCCGCCTCCCAGGATCAAGCGATTCTCCTGCCTCAGCCTCCCAAGTAGCTGCAATTACAGGCATGTGCCACCATACCCAGCTAATTTTGTATTTTGTTTTTTTTTTTTTAGTAGAGACAGGGTTTCTCCATGTTGGTCAGGCTGGCCTTGAACACCCGACCTTAGGTGATCCACCCTCCTCGGCCTCCCAAACTGTTGGGATTACAGGTGGGAGCCACAGCACCCGGCCTATGGAGATAAATGATTTAGGGTATCTGGAGGAAGAAATTTCTAGCAGCAAAGTGTTCAAGATGTGACTTGGGTGATCTTAAAAGCATTCAGTTTTATTCATTCACAAAGATATGGTTTGGAATTGGAACTTATGTTTAAAAGGAAAGCAGAGCATAAAAGTTTGGAAAATTTGCAGCCTGATGATACAATAGAAAAGAAAAACCCATTTTCTGGGGAGAAATTCAAGTCAGCTGCAGAAATTTGCCTAAGTATCAAGGAGCTGAATGTTAATTGCCAAGGCAATGGGAAAAATGTCTCTGGGGCATGTCAGAGGTCTTCACAGAAGCCCTTCTCATCACAGGCCCAGAGGCCAAAAAGGAAAAAATGGTTTTATGGGCCAGGTCCAACATCTTGCTGTTTTGTGCAGTCTCAGGAATTGGTGCCTTGCATCCTAGCCATGGCTAAAATGGGCCAACGTACAGGTCAGGCCATTGCTTCAGAGGGAGCAACCCCCAAGCCTTGGTGGCTTACATGTAGTGTTGGGCCTACAGGTGCCCAGAAGTCAAGAATTAAGGTTTGGAGATGTCCACCTAGATTTCAAATGCTGTATAGAAATATACAGATGTCCAGGCAGAGGTGTGCTACAGAGGAGGGACCCTCATAGAGAACCTCTGCTAGGGCAGTGTGGAAGGGAAATGTGGGGTGGGAGCCTCCACACAGAATCCCTGGGGCACTGCCTAGAGGAGCTGTGAGAAGAGGGCCACTATCCTCTAGACCCCAGAATGGTAGATCCATCAATAGCTTGCACCGTGCACCTGGAAAAGCTGCAAACACTCAAAGCCAGCCCATGAAAGCAGCCAGGAGTGGGGCTGTATCCTGCAAAGCCACAGAGCAGCCCAAGACCATGGGAACCCCCCTCTTACATTAGCACAAGCTGGATGTGAGGCATGGAGTCAAAGTGGATCATTTTGGAGATTTAAGTTTTAATGATTGCCCCACTGGATTTCAGACTTGCATGTGGCCTGTTGCCCCTTCATTTTAGCCAATTTCTCCCATTCAAAATGGGTGTATTTACCCAATGCCTGCACACCCATCATAACTTGGAAGTAACTAACTTACTTTTGATTTTACAGACTCATAGGCAGAAGGGAATTTCCTTGTCTCAGATGAGACTTTGGAGTGTGTACTGTTCGGTTAATATTGAAATGAGTTAAGACTTTGGGGGACTGTTGGGAAGGCATGATTGGTTTTGAAATGTAAGGACATGAGATTTGGGAGGGCCAGAGACAGAATGATATGGTTTGGCTGTGTCCTGACCCAAGTCTCATCTTAAATTTTAGCTCCCATAATCCTCATGTGTTGTGGCAGGGACCTAGTGGGAGGTAACTGAATCATGGGGTTAAGTTTTCTCATGCTGTTCTCATAATAGTGAATAAGTCTCATGAGATTTGATGGTTTTATAAAGGGCAGTTCCCCTGCACATGCTCTCTTGCCTGCCACCATGTAAGATATGCCTTGGTCTTCCTTTGCCTTCCACCATGATTGTGAGGCCTTCCCTGCCATGTGGAACTGTGAGTCCATTAAACCTCATTTTCTTTATGAATTACCCAGTCTAAGGTATTTCTTCATAGCAGTATGAAGTGCACTAATACATTATGTCTGTAAAGCAGAGATTATGATCCAAATTTTATAGATGAGGAAACTGAAACTCCAATGAGTAAAGTAAATTTTAGTCTGGAAAGTAGCTAATCATGGATTCATATCTAGATTTGTTTAAATTCAGAATTTTCATAACATTGTTAGTTAAGATTCTCCAATTTATCTATGGTTTTTTAAATTAAAACATGTATTCATTCAAATGTTCTAAATGTGATATGGTTTGGCTGTGTTCCAACCCAAATTTCATCTTGAATTGTAGTTCCCATAGTCCCTGCATGTCATGGGAGGGACTTGGTGGGAGGTAATTTAATCGTGGTGCGGTTACCCTCATGCTGTTCTTGCTATGGTGAGTTCTCACAAGAGCTGGTGGGGTTTGTTTTGTTTTGTTTTTTTGAGATGGAGTCTCACTCTGTCGCCAAGGCTAGAGTGCAATGGCATGATATCTGTTCACTGAAACCTCCCCCTCCCAGGTTCAAGTGATTCTCCTGCCTCAGCCTCCCAAGTAGCTGGGACTACAGGCATGCACCACCACACCTGGCTAATTTTTATATTTTTAGTACAGACAAGGTTTCACCTTGTTGGCCAGGCTGGTCTTGAACTCCTGACCTCAAGTGATTCACCTTCCTTGGTTTCCCAAAGTGCTGGGATCACAGGTGTGAGCCACTGTGCCCAGCTTATCTGATGGTTTTATAAGAGGCTTTTCCCCCCTTTGCTCAGCATTTCTCCTTCCTACAGACATGTGAAGGAAATGTTTGCTTCACCTTATGCAATGATTGTAAGTGTCCTGAGGCTTCCCCAGCCATGCTGAACTATGAGTCAATTAAACCTCTTTTCTTTATAAATTACCTTGTCCCAGGTATGTCTTTATTAGTAGTGTGAGAATGGACTAATACAAAATGCTAGTAGGATGTCATGGGAAATTGAAGAAATTACCCTCCAAGCCAAGAGAAAAGCCTAAGGCTAGAAGAGCCTCATATTTGAAGAGCACAGAGGCATCCAGTGTGACCTGAGTGTTCTGAATACAGAGGAAATAAATGGAGGCAGTCAGGGAGGTGGCTGGAATTAGATTGTGTAGGGCCGACATTGGATTTATTTTAAGTACAATAGGAAGCCACTGGAATGTGATAACCAGAGGCTTGATGTAATCTAGTCTAATCTATTAAAGGATTGCTGTCTAGTTCGTGATAAATGGAGCCATGACCTTGGTGTCAAGAAATTGTCCTTGATACCAGCAAGGCCAATTTGGAGGTTATTGCCATTCTGAGATGAGAAGCAGTAATGACTTGGTGTTTATTTGAGATAGAAAGCAAGTAAAATAGAAACATTTTCTGGTAGTAGAGGCAAGAAAACTTGGTGTTAATATTATCAAAGCAGATAATAAGAAATTGTTACTGGGTTGTAGTAATTATCTCACTGATATTTAAACCCTTGGGTTTATTGGACTGGGTGGCCGATGTTTGGGTAAGAAGGAAATGAGAAGTGTTTTTAATATGGGAGATACCTTAGCATATTTATAAACAAAAACAGTGATAAACAAGGACAAAGCTTGCACTTATGGTCACGGTGAAGTAACTGATACTGGCCGTGTTTTCTCTCCATTAACAACTAGAAATCTGGTTGCATACCCAAGAAGCTGGCTCTGATCCACACTAATAAAATTGTAAAAAATACAAGGCTTTAATGATTCTAGGATACCCAAAAGTAGTGTGGTCAAAGCAAAATCCAAAAGTCTTTTAAGGAAGACCAAAAATCTAACAATGTAGCATTCTCAAGTTTAAGTACAGAATTAAAAAATACTAGACGTGTGAAGAGCACAAAATAATATGACCCATAACTAGGAAAGACAGAGAAGGATAAATGATGGACAGGTTGCTGAGGAGCTAGGAGGACATTGGACCCTGAGCAGAGATGGAAGAATTAGCCTTAAAGATATGACATGAAAGATTAATAGATTCTTCCCTTCTACTAAAAGTAAAAGATTTAGAACAAATCACAATTAAGGCCAGTTGGCAGTAGTCAATTGGGATAGTTTCTTCATGACAGGATCTATATTTTTTCTATGAATCAGGTATTTGCTGACAGTGATTTGAATAATTACTCTAGGAATGGGGAGAGAGAATGGGCTCGGAAGTATAAGAAAATTGCCGGAGAATGCTGGTGTTCCATTTAAAGACTAGAAAAATAAATTCATAGAGGCACTGTTCTGCAGAGGCATAGGCTTTCCTCAAGTATGGAGAAGGAAATTGTGTGATTAGTCCAGAGTTGGGACATGGAGCCCCAGAGTAGAATAGGTCATTCTGTCAACACTGAAACCCAAGTGGAACTTCCATGGAAAGTAATACTATAAGCCAGCAAGAAAGTTTTTAGTATATAAGGGGCAAAGAAAGGAATAATAGAAATAGATATAAGAATTTAATGCAAATTGAAAATAAAAAAAAAGAAATGTAGATGATTAACAACAACAACAAAAAACTTTAACCAAAATGCTCAGCAAAAGTATTGATTTTTTTAAATTACAGATGGTTGTCTTTCTAGTCCTCTTTTCTTTATAAATGAAAGCTTAAAAAATACAGCAAAAATATTCTTATGGATCTAATGTTATGCTATCAAATTAAAAAGAGTATCTAAAATATTGTTATTTACTGAAATCATGAGATGTATCACTGTCTTATGTACATTTTTACATAAATAAATTATTTTGCACATGTACCCTGTGCCCTGAGAAAAACTGGACTTGGCAACTGATTATTTCTCTAAATCCCTTTATGAAACTCAGTAACAAGCATAAGTAATTAGTTATTTAATCTTAAATATAAATATTATGCAATATATCATATTATGAAAATCTAATAAATGTTAAATAGATATCATGGCTATTTTCTTGATAATATCCCCATAATATAATTATTTAAGTATAGTTTAAAATAACTAAATTTTATTCAATTATTTGGGAAAATAATCAAAAAAACACATAAGTTTTTTGCTGGGTTTGGAATTTTGGAAATTTTAAATATATTTTATTCTTTTTTAATCTGATTTATTTTTCATATATCTTTCAGCTAAAATCTAAGTCTTACTTTGATGTTTAAGAATGTAAGTATGTATTTTCAACAAAAGTTAAAAACAATTTTTTTTACATCAGCAATTTGCATTGCAATGCTGACATTGCTAGGTATTCAAGTTCATGATTCCTTGGAGAATGATATTTACATTTCTGCATCACTAATTAGACAATAGGAAATAGTTTGCATGAAGGCTTCATTAATGCAAAACAAACTCATCCTACTTTCGCATATTTTGTATTTATCTTACTTTCACATATTTTAATATTTATAACAATATGCCTTAAATTGTTCACATTTCAGTGTCAGTAAAATTGATAGGTGGAACAAGATTTGACTGTAAATAAACAAACAAGACATTCACAGTTTTTCACAGGCTAATCATTGGGGAATCACAGGTGTTTCTGTGATGAAAAGTACTGAATAGGGTACATACGCAAGGGGAACAATCACAGTAGACTTGATTGCTTGAGTACCAAATGTTGCTGTCTGGAGTAAGGACACAATTAATGTGGAATCAGTTTTCAATATGACATTTCATAGACATTTAAATATATTTCCCACAGGCAAATCTCATGGCCAAATAATTTGCAGGAGAAAAAAAGGACAGTTATTCTCACTATGTTCCATTTAACAAATAACACATTTTGCATCTACTCTGTGCCCAGCACTGTGCTAGGAGCAAAGAATATAAAGAAAATTTAAGACCCAGTGTCTTATTATAAAGCAATTACAGTTGTAGGAGCTTATGGACTAAATTTAAGCCAATTTGTACAACATAGGCAAATAATTTTTCATTCATTATGGTCTGCAAATTCAAAAATTAGAATAAAATTATTTGAGTTGTTTGATGAATACTTTTGTGAAGGTGGTCAAATCTGATTACACATTCCCAAAAAACTTTACACTGGGCCCTGAACTGTCTGAACTTCTTAATAGCGATCGTCATATTTAGTTTTGTGTTTGGCATATAATAATGATCTTCCTGCTTAATTTGTCTATGGCAAGGGCATCTTGCACATAGTAGAATATATATAAATTTGGCTAAACAAATGAACAAGAATTACTCAATATTGATGTTTTAAATTATTCTTCTGAGATATTGGTAGCATAATACAAAATGATTTTCTTATGTAAATGGAAGGCAAATTACAATGATCTGAGATAAAAAGTAATTACTAAGAGCCCTGGCTGGTATGAATGAATGGTTTGATTGAATCTGACTACTTTACCTTTCATGAAGCATAATTTAGCATATCTGCACCTGAATAGAAGAGAAAAAATTAAATCGATTTATTTCAAAGGGATAATTATGGAAGAGTTCACAACTGAAGTAGTCTCGCTAGTGGAAAAAAAAAATGTCTTCTGAAATTTGTGAAATGCTCAATATCTTGTGGAAGAGATAGTGTCATTTGACCCAGGATTTGCCTCTTTGACTAGCACTGAGCCATTGCATAATTCATTCAATGTGGGTCCTAACTGTTGGATTAAAAACTGTAGCAGGAATCCTCCATTCATCAGCAATCCTTTTATTTACCCCAGTTGTCACCTCACTGTTGTGTAGATGTGGCTTAGTTGTAGCCTGGGTTACTTCAGTTTCCATGTTTTGATCACTGTGTAACAGAGAGCATTACCTACTTAACACTCTTCCAGACCCCTCCAGTCTCTCATGATAAAGTCTATCCTTTTAACAAAGATTAGCTTTTTCTACCTTCCAGCCTCCACTCTGGTCCATGCTTCTCTTTACACAGCAATGCTGCCCCTCTTTCTGTGTCTCCAACAGACTCAGCTCCCTCTCAATTCTGGGTCTAGTCATTCCATAATCCACCTTTCGAGAAAACTCTTACTCATACTCTGCTGGTGGAATTTCTTGCTGTTCTTTGAGTGTCATTTTACATTATTTCCCTGAGGAGAAAGTGACCACAGGCTACAGATGGAAGACAGGTACTATGCCTACCTTAATGAATCCATACCAGTAGAAAAGAAAACTCTAGCCTGTAAATTTCATTCATTCTGTCAACCACTCACTCACTATTCAACAAATATCATGGATCATCTATTACATGTCAGACATTGTTCTAGAGATGGGAAATGCAAAAGCAAGGTAAGGCAAAGCTTCTTCCCCCCAAGGCTTACACACTTGTAATTAATAGTCAATTGAGACCTAAAGACAAAAGACAATTTCAGAAAGTGATGAAAACTACAAAGAAAATAAATCATGGGTTAGGAATAAGGATTCTTGGAGGAAATTTCCTCCAAGTTGGGTCCTATATAATGAAAAGGGGAAACCATGCCAAACTGTGAAGAAAGAGCATTCTAGTGAGAGGAAACTCAAGTGCAAAGCCCCAAGATGGGGTGAACTTAGCATATCCATGGGAAAATGAAAGACCAGTGTGCCCAGAAAATAGTGAAAAAAATGGAACATTATGGCTAATAAGAACTGAGCTTAGTCAGGAACCAAATCGTGTGACATATTGCATGCCACGGTTTGCAGTTGAATTTGACTTTAAATCCAAAAGGAAGCTTGAGGATCTGGAGTAGGGGAGGTTCCTATCCTTATTTAGGCTTTGGAAAGATTACACTTCAACTAATAAAATCTAGGAGGAACAAGAATAGCAGCAGAAATGATGATGGCTTGACCTAAAACTTAGAGTGATAATTGTTAGGATCCAGGATCTGATTTGAAAACTAGAGTCCTAGAGCCACCTGATAGTTTGAATGTAGAAGGAGAAAGAAAACGAAAAATTAATAAGTATTTATTAAAGTTGATTTTATTATATCCCTTTAACAGTGATTCAAAGAAGAATTTTAGATCACATCATGGTTTCTCAACCTCAGAATATAGATATTTTGATCTGCATAATTCTTTGTTGTAGGGACTGTCTTATGCTTTGTAGGATGTTTAGCAGCATGACTGGCCTCAATCTACTAGATACTAGTAGCACTCTTCATTTTGACAACCAACAGTCTCAACATTGCCAGATGTCCCCAGGGGCAAAGTCTTCCATGGTTGAGAAGCTCTGGATTAGATACATAAAATAATCCTTAATTTGTAATAATATTACAAATATTAGACAATATTTACCAAGGAAAGTAGTATTTTCTTTTCTGAAAACTTTCTGATGATAAGCATATTCTCTGAATGACTTTTTTGTAACTTTTTTGAATGAGAATCTCTTAAAATGCATTATTCAGCAATAAACATTTATTATTTTGTTTAGAGCAAGGAATCTGCATTAGACTGGAAATAAATCTTCCTATGCTGTTCACTATCTGGGGTTAGTGAAGATTTTAGTACAACGCTTCTCATGTTTTTTTTTTTTTTTTTTTTTACATGTAAAACCCTCAAAGCACTTAGATCAATGCCTGGCATATAGTAGGCACTCAATAAACAGTTGTTGCTGCTGTTGTTGTTGTTATAATTACCCAGTCAGAGAAAATTACTGTGATCTTTGGGGGAATTCCATAAAGAAAAATATTTTCTCCTCTCGAAGAATCATACCTGTACTCCCAATGAAATAACAGTAATATAAGAGCTAATTGGATTGACCGTGTTTTATTTCAGGGTCTCTGTCAGAATGAGATAAGTCACAGTAGAGAGTCTTATCTAGAGGCTGTTCTAGATCGGTCTCAGATGGATGAGGGACATTTCTGCCTATCCTCATTCCCTTTCTCTTCTCAGTTTAGAGACATTTCTACAGTAGGATGATTAGGAATGCAGTGGGTGGCTACTATCCCATGTCTTTGGAAGGCGTGTAGGATCTGAATCCTCTTCAGAGATAAGGGGTATGCAAAAGCTAAACAGTGACATTGATTAGTCTTTGAACTCACGATAGACTTAAGAGATGCATTTTTGTAGCAAATATCACAGTAAAAACTAGACTATTCACTTTATAACTCAAATGAGTCATGCGATCCAGTCTCAGAGCAGGGTTATGGCAAAGAAGACAGAGACGAACAACTGCAAACAACAAAATAGCTCAGGAAGGCCAGGTAAGGTGGCTCATGCCTGTAATCCCAGCACTTTGGGAGGCCAAGGTGGGTGGATCACTTGAGGTCAGTAGTTCAAGACCAGCCTGGCCAATATGGTGAAACCCCATCTCTACTAAAATACAAAAAATTAGCCGGACATGGTGTTACACTCCTGTAATCCCAGCTTCTTGGGAGGCTGAGGCAGGAGAATCGCTTGATCCTGGGAGGTGAAGGTTGCAGTGAGCTGCGATCATGCCATTGCACTCCAGCCTGGGCAACACAGTGAGACTTCATCTCAAAAAAAAAAAAAAAAAATTAGCTCAGGTATTCTTTCTGGTTTTCACTTGTAATGAATATAGACATAGTTCATATCAATACTTAACTATCTTTCCTTTCTTTTTCACATAAATCTCTTATACCTCACATCTTATATCTATCTCCTCCAAAGTTTCTTCCCCAGTCCAGTTCTACCCATCTCTTTTCTTCTAGTGTCCTCTCTCATTTTCAGTTTGCAACACAAAATTCAAAAGAATGAATTTTGTAAGTAAGAGAAAAAAAAAATAAGTAGGGAAGGCCAGTGTACTCACTGACGGACAAAAGGCAACAAAATATGGATGGATCATACATTAACGTATTTTGTCTAGTTTCAGCAGTATATGATTTTGCCACACTATTTCCTTCTTTCCTAAATTTATTCTCATGCCTTAGATTTATCATTTGTGTGTCAATTCAAGGATCAACTGGTACATTTATCCACTAAAATCCTAATACTTTCTCCACTTGCTCCATTGCCCTGGCTTTCCAGTGCTGTTCATCAGCCTCAGGTTAAGTAGCCTTTGTCCATTCACTTCAGGTCACACTGGCAAATTCTCTATGAGTTATGGGCCAAACGGTTTTAACACAAATTAAATTGCTAATATAAGTATGCTCAGGTTATGTTAATATTTGGTATAATTAAACTTATTTAATTTATCTATGTCTTCAACTACTCTAAAGACCCATCATTTTTGCCCTCTGCGTATGCTCATCTCCACCTCTATGCCATGATACTTATATGCTCTTCCTTAGCCAACCCCTTCATCATTTTTCTTCTATCTACCACAGTTTCACTGAGGTTTAAGGCTTAATTCAAGTATTTCCAATGATGCCTTCCTGTTCTGTTAATGCACACTAACTCCTCTATTCTAACAAATGAAGCATTCATAATTTATATTATACAAGATGTCACTTGACTATAAATTAGTTTGTACTAATTAGTAATTGTTTCTACTTTATAAGCCTCATTTCCTCCATAAGATTGCAAGATCTTTAATCAATGGGACTCATAAGAGTTCAACTAGAAAAGATTTATCTTAGTCACCACAAATAATAAATGTCATTTTGATGTCTTTCTTAGGGAAGGTATACTTATCCTCATTCCATGTCTCCTAATGCCTAGTACTTAAGTGGGTACATACAAGATACCCCAAACTACATGTTGACTTGACATGGCAAATATGTAAATAATTTTATTACTTATACTTTTAATAACGTAAAACATAACAAAAAAGAGGAATGGTGTACCCTACTAAAGATTGTATTTGCCTATAACATATGAACTGTGTATCTGAGATCTTAGTAGGCAGAGCTTTATATAATTTTCAAAAATACATTAAATTTTAAAGATTTTTAAAAAATTGATGCTGAAGACATTTTTCCTAATCAAGAAAAATGAAGCCAAAAGTTGCTCAAGGTAAAATTTAAGCAGTAGTTTTTAAACTTTGTCATGAATGAGAATCAATTGGAAAGGTTGGCAGATAAATTTCTGAGCCCATCCTCAAGAGTTTTTGATTCAATAGGCTCGGGCTGAAACCCAAGAATTTGCATTTCTAACAAGTTTTCTGGAGATACAGATGCTGCTGTCCCTAGAAACGCACTTTGAGAGCTGATGTGTGAAGCATTCCTCCCTCTAAAGAGAAAAGTCATCTCCTTCAGTCACACCACTGCCATGTTCGAAGAAGAAAGGCAAAAATATCCAAGGAGATACATATTCATGATCATTTCCTTCAAGGCAAGGTATTCAAACAAAGGGAGGCTAATTTTCTCAGAAAAACAGGAGAGAAGGTTGTTTTCACTGGCTAAAGAGTACTTATTAGAGTGACCAAGAGGCCTCAGCTTCATTTAAGTCTACCCAGATGTCCCCATTCCAAATCTTAGGGTCTCACACTTTCCCAATGATATCTTCACTTTCAGATAAAAAACTTGACAATACTTTCAATCCAACTTGTGTTGTAGCTCTGCAACTTTCACCATTAAAGTCTGTATTTGTTTTTCAGAAATATTATCCCTGTGGCTTCATAAATAAGAGATTCTTCTTGGGCTACTAAAGAAGCTCTGTGCTTTTCTGGTCATTAGATAAGAGGTTGCACAGTTGAGTTTGTCATTTTCTTGGAAAGAATCCAGTATAGTCAGAAAAATCCATCTCATGTAGCCATGTGTTGGAACTGGCTCATACCAGTTAGCAGAAAATGATACAAGCATCCCTTCTCATCTCCACGTTCAGTGGCATCACATTCATAGCTTGATATTGGCCATGGTGGGAATCTTTAGACCAAGGAAATTGGCCATGCCTACAAATAATGTTTCATTTTTTAAAAAAGTAATTAGTTGTTATATATTTACCAGCTTAAAACTGATTTCATGACACTATTTTTATCATCAACATTTCTATAATAAGACTAATCACAGAAACCCTATAGTCCTCAAGACCTCTACTTGAGAAGGCACTTCCTTGAAATTAACTACAGGTGATCACTCATCATTCTGCATCATCATAACTAATGGCATCACATTTCCCATTGGCAAGGAGCTGGGATTGTGCTTAAGCTCTGAGACATCATGAAGCCAATACCCAAGCCCAATCTTTGAGAAACCATTTCCTGGACCACTCTCAATAAAAATTTATAGATTAGTCAGCATCCAGTCAGGAGACTGGTATTACAGCAGTTATTTTAACAGAGAATTTTATAAAGTGAAGAAAGTCATTGGTAGCTTGATGGTGATGGCATTGAATCTATAAATTACCTTGGGCAGTATGGCCATTTTCACAATATTGATTCTTCCTACCCATGAACATGGAATGTTCTTCCATTTGTTTGTATCCTCTTTTATTTCATTGAGCAGTGGTTTGTAGTTCTCCTTGAAGAGGTCCTTCACGTCCCTTGTAAGTTGGATTCCTAGGTATTTTATTCTCTTTGAAGCAATTGTGAATGGGAGTTCACTCATGATTTGGCTGTTTGTCTGTTATTGGTGTATAAGAATGCTTGTGATTTTTGCACATTGATTTTGTATCCTGAGACTTTGCTGAAGTTGCCTATCAGCTTAAGGAGATTTGGGGCTGAGATGATGGGGTTTTCTAAATATACAATCATGTCATCTGCAAACAGGGACAATTTGACTTCCTCTTTTCCTAATTGAATACCCTTTATTTCCTTCTCCTGCCTGATTGCCCTCGCCAGAACTTCCAACACTATGTTGAATAGGAGTGGTGAGAGAGAGCATCCTTATCTTGTGCCAGTTTTCAAAGGGAATGCTTCCAGCTTTTGCCCATTCAGTATGATGGGAATTTTTAGATAATTACTGAGAATGGTTTTAGTAATACTTATATAGATGAATAGAATGCTGTGAAATTATAATCAAGAACATATAATCTGATGTCACATTTATTAATAAGCCTTGGTTTTGGGGGAGACTGTCTTTGATGAAAAATACATAAACATGTTTTTTGAGTCTTATTTTAATGTTTTGTCAAGAGCCAATATAATGAAACCTTGGACTGAAAAATGATTTCTGAAAAAAACCTGTGTCTTCCACCTAAGACTATTTGCATTAAATATTTCCGTAATATAGAACATATGTCTCCCTGATTACTGAAAATGGAATACTGCATTATTTATTTATTTATTTATTTGTTTATTTATTTATTTATTTTTGAAACGGAATCTTGTTCTGTCGCCCAGGCTAGAGTGCAGTGGCGCTATCTTGGCTCACTGCAACCTCTGCCTCCCAGGTTCAAGCGATTCTTCGGTCTCAGCCTATATAATTTAGACATAG
Organism: Homo sapiens; assembly: GCF_000001405.40. NCBI lineage: Eukaryota > Metazoa > Chordata > Mammalia > Primates > Hominidae > Homo > Homo sapiens. The sequence goes on along the minus strand of NC_000008.11, from coordinate 62,084,000 downwards.
TTAAATCTTGTGAAAAAATTATTTCAATTTCTACAATGTTTGGGTAGCTTTTGGCGATGTAGTTTTCCTATATTGACATCTAAATATGTATCTTTTGGGTTAAAAGTTTAAACAATAAAGCATTCATATTATCCCAGTTTTTAAACAACCACTAAATTAAAGATAAAGAAAATAAAAGAAAAAGAGCCCTGCATATATTTAAAAAACAGTATTTAAGGCACTAATTGAGTGAAAAGAACTGAAAAGAGATATTCAGGAATCTTTCTTTTTCAGATCAAAGCAAATATATTATTGCAGAGAAGTTTTAAAAAAGAATTTTGATGTCAAGTAGATCCACGTTTAAATTCTGGCTTTCCCATTTGCATGTTATGGACTTACTTAGGTGTTCTACTTAAATCTTCAAGTTTTTCTGTTGTTTTTTGTTTCCCTGTAAACTGGAAATAATACCTGGCTTCCAATGCACCATGTGCTGTATTTGTTACCTAGAATGTTCTTCTGTTCTTCATCAACCACTTCACCCGGTATCCTATAGTTTGCAGTTTTAGTATTACTTCTTCAGCAAAGTCTTCCCTTATCTCTTGAACTCATCCTTTACATCTTTGACCACAATGGGAATTAATTAAGGATGATTATTGTTTAATTTTTCTCCCCATCATTAGTCTGATTTTGAGAGCAAGGGTCACTTCTGTGTTGATAATGGCACCACCTTAGTAGATACTCAATATATGCCCATAGGATGAATGAATGAATATCTTATAAAGCACCTGACTAAAGGAGAAGCAAAAAAGTGTATTCATCACTTGTATTTCTATATTATAATTAATATAATTTACAGTGAAATTTTTAATAAAATCTGCCATAATGTTACTTTGTTCAGTGATTTTTCTTTGTTCTACAGAATTAGAAACTATAGGATAAACATCAAAGGGCAAATTTTATTACATCCTCAGGTGAATATGTTGGGTTTTATTTATCTGTAGTGATACATGGGAGACTTTAGAGCAGGAAGTTTCCCTTCCTACACAAGAAAAAAAATGCTGATATCCTCTTTTGTTTCTATTCAGAATTCAATAATTTTAAAGCAATCCATATTTGGCTGTACATATGATCATTAACACATGGCACATGATCCACTTAGCATGTTCATTCTCCTTGCCTGAATGGCTAGCAAACTTATCACAGAGGGTTAAAGGTCATAACACAAAGCATCCAGGTGGCCAAAGATCATCTTTGTTTCAAATTATACCTTTGTTCCAGCTCTCTGGAATTATGAAGGCCATTGTCAATTTGTTTGTGCCTGTGCAAATTGACCTGGCATCCACTTAGCCAGAGCAGTATTTGCAAAAGGACAGGTGACTATTCTTGCAAGACCACCTCCCTCAGGATCCTTGACTTTTACCACACAAAGGGTTTATATAAAAAAGTTGCACAGAAGGGTTAAATTTTCTCCTTGGCGGTGCCAGGATCACTGCCCTAATGAAGATTGAGGATAAATAATGTGAGCCTCTTTAAAAGTATTAGGATCCTGACATATGCAGCATTACTGAAAAGAAAGGAAGCACTGGTCACATACCAAGTGTTTTTTCCCTCAAAAAAGTCAAAAAAATTTATTGTAAAAATTTGAGAAAATATAGATAAACATAATGACACTATCCACTAATAACCATTGTCAATAGTGGTTTTTAGTACAGATCTGTTCAGACCTATTTGAGACGTGTGTGCATGTGTATGTGTAAACTTATAAATAAGTAGATTAAATTTAAGATCTTCTCTACTTCGTGGATATAAAATAAATATAAAATATGACTACTGTAATATTTTATGAACATCCTTCTATGGTATTATAAATTATTCTGTGATATAACTTTATTGATTATGTAATATTCTCATCTATTAAAAAAATAACCTAGTTGTTGGGAAAATTACATATTAACTCTATCATTGATCGTATCTACAGTTTTACTTCTTTACACATAAAACTCTGGTATTCTATATATATCTGCATATACAACTGATTATTTTATTGCAAAATAGTTCTGAAAGCATAATTTCTTAGTAAAATGTATACAAATCTTAAGTGATATTTGTGACATTCAAAAATGTTATGTATTCAAGGATACACATATTGCCATACTTGCATGCAAAATATTTACCAATTTCTACTCCTATTAGTGTTGCTAAAAGATAAACTTTAAACACATTAATTTCGTTTTATTACACTTTAAGTTCTAGGGTACATGTGCACAACATGCAAGTTTGTTACCTATATATAAATGTGCCATGTTGGTGTGCTGCACCCATTAACTCATCATTTACATTGGGTATATCTCTTAATGCTTTCCCTCCCCCCTCCCCCCACCCCACAACAGGCCCCAGTGTGTGATGTTCCCCTTCCTGTAAACACATTAATTTTAACAGAGTTTATTTGAACAATAAAAGGATTCATGAATTGGGCAGCATCCTGAATCAGTAGATGCTCATAGAGCTCCACCTAGCAATGTGGCAAGGCACTATTAATAGACAGAAAAAGGAAGTGACATATAAAAACAGCATGATTAGCATTTGCCTCACTGGGGAATGGTATGATGAGGCATTTGCCGTATGTGGACACAGTCTGACCAGTGGGCAGCATGTGATTGACTGAAGCTTGGCTACTGTGATTGGCTGAGCCTTGGTTCTTTGTTACAAGAATATACTCTTAAATTAGGGTACAGTTATGTACACAGGCAGCTTTGGGCCAAATTTAAGTTAATTTAACAATATGTATAAAGGGATCTGTTCCCTGGCACCCTCTCAAACACCAATTACTTAGCTTAACATTAAATACATTATGCTTCAGTGGTTCAAGGAAAATGTCCGATGCCCCAGGTCTTTGCTCTTTGCAAAAGCGGTCAGTTTGGGTAACATTGCCCCACCTGCTTTGAAATAGAATTTAATTTTTTGAGGCAACTGCCAAAGCATCCAAAGGACTTTCTCTTCGTGGATGTCTTTCTCCCTCTCTGAATTTGCCTGTGGATGTAGATCTTCTGAATTTCTCTGTTTCATAGCTAATATGTTGAATGGTACAATGTGTTTTATATTTATACAATTTATTGTTTACAATTACCTTATAACATAGCTACTATTACCCTCGGTTTTCAAATGGGAAAATGAGATGGAGTGAAGTTAATTACGTTATAGCTTATACGTTTTGCAGCTAGTAAGTGATAAAGCTGAGACTCGAACAAAGTCGGTTCAGACATTAAAACTTTTTACACTATTGGTGGAAATGTAAAATGGTGCAGCTGCTATAGAAAACATTTTAATGATTTCTCAAAAAATTAAAAATGAAATGACCATATGATCCAGCAATGCCGCTTCTGAAAATGTATCTGAAAGAATTGAAATCATGATCTCAAAGAGATATATTCATTCTCATGTTCATTACAGCATTTTTTACAATAGCCAATATATAAAAACAATTTAAATGTCCATTAACAGATAAATGAATAAAGAAAATGTGTTACATACTATAATGGAATATTATTCTGCCTAAAAAGGAGGGAAATCATGCCACATGTGACAATACGTATGAACCTGGAGAACATTATGCAAAGTGAAATAAATCAATCGAAGAACAAATACTGTATGATTCCATTTATATTAAAAAAAAAAAAGATAAACTCCTAGAAACAGAGAGTAGATTTGTGGTTGTCAGGGGCTAGGGAGAGGGGAAAATGGGGAGTTGCTATTTAATGAGTATAAAGTTTCAGTTATGAAAGATAAATAAATTCCATCAATCTTCTGTATAGCACTGTGAATATATTTAACACTGTATTGTACATGTAAAAATATGTTAAGAAGATACAGCACATGTTAAGTGTTCTTACCACAATTAGAAGAAAAACACATCAAAAAACTAAGCTGTTCTAGTCCCAGAATGTCTACTCTTCTGCTCTGTTACATGTCTACAGAAAAAAGGGGTGATGAGTGGGAATTTTATATTATTTATCTAGGAAGTTTTTATTTATATAAGTAGAAAATAATGAACTTACGTCACTAGTCAAAGATATACGCAGGTCAAAAAGTTTTTTTTTTTATTATACTTTAAGTTTTAGGGTGCATGTGCACAATGTGCAGGTTAGTTACATATGTATACATGTGCCATGCTGGTGTGCTGCACCCATTAACTCATCATTTAGCATTAGGTATATCTCCTAATGCTATCCTTCCCCCCTCCCCCCACCCCACAACAGTCCCCGGTGTGTGATGTTCCCCTTCCTGTGTCCATGTGTTCTCATTGTTCAATTCCCACCTATGAGTGAGAATATGTGGTGTTTGGTTTTTTGTTCTTGCGATAGTTTACTGAGAATGATGATTTCCAATTTCATCCATGTCCCTACAAAGGACATGAACTCGTCATTTTTTATGGCTGCCTAGTATTCCGTGGTGTATATGTGCCACATTTTCTTAATCCAATCTATCATTGTTGAACATTTGGGTTGGTTCCAAGTCTTTGCTATTGTGAATAGTGCCGCAATAAACATACGTGTGCATGTGTCTTTATAGCAGCATGATTTGTAGTCCTTTGGGTATATACCCAGTAATGGGATGGCTGGGTCAAATGGTATTTCTAGTTCTCGATCCCTGAGGAATCACCTCACTGACTTCCACAATGGTTGAACTAGTTTACAGTCCCACCAACAGTGTAAAAGTATTCCTATTTCTCCACATCCTCTCCAGCACCTGTTGTTTCCTGACTTTTTAATGATTGCCATTCTAACTGGTGTGAGATGGTATCTCAGTGTGGTTTTGATTTGCATTTCTCTGATGGCCAGTGATGGTGAGCATTTTTTCATGTGTTTTTTCGCTGCATAAATGTCTTCTTTTGAGAAGTGTCTGTTCATGAAAAATTGTCAATTGAACTGAGATTACAGAATGTTCAGTAGGGATATAATAAACGAGGTGAGCTTAAACTCAGTCTTGAATAATGAATGTGCTTACCAGGCAGGTGTGGTGCAGTGCCAATAGATTGACAAGGGCCTTTCAAATGGAAGGGCAGTTGAGCAAAAAGCATGAGGTGTGAAGCAGATGATTCACCCACTGTTGCAATTGCATATAGCTTACATTGACCTTATGGGGAGTGGCTGTCTAGTTGTTTGCCTTGCTTTTCTATGCCAGGCTAGAAGTAATGTTTTCTACTTCCTATGCATAGATTTCAAAGGCAGAGGTAAAGATTTTTTCCAATTGTCACTTAATGAAAATTTCCCAGGGAGAGACAGATTACTCCAGACAATTGTCTGGTAAATGAATGAATTCTGTGTACAAGTATATGGATTTCCAGTTTAAATTTTAAAAATCAGGAATGGAAATGTCTGTCCTTCATTTGATTTGGGTGTAGATCAAAGGAACACATTCTACTTTCTCTAAATGTTTTTAGAGTTACCAATTATGAAAAGTTTTTTTCTGAATAAGCCAACATTTTTATAAAATTTATTAGTATAACCACTTGAAACAGAATTATGAATGGACATAAATGCATCAAACAGTCTGTTCTTGCAGTTAAATATAGCTTACATATAATTTAAAATAATTTTTTTTAACCTGTGACAACCATATTTTATATGCCTGGGGTTATATTGAACTGATTTGTGCTAAATTGATTGAGACATAAAACTTAGAGTAAAGAAGCATGGCATTTGAACTTGTGAATTCTGAAATGTGAATGGTAAGAAAATGCTTAATTTCATGTATATAGGCCTATTGACAGATAGATTGAACGATAGCAAAATGAAATAAATGACATCTCTGTGTTTTCTCTACCTTCTGCTTTGGTCTGAAAAGCATCATTCCTGTAGTAATTGATATTATCATACTCAAACATAACAAAGCCTTTGAAAAACTACTCTGTTAACCTACAAAAAGGGGAATTTTTTTCTGCTGCCTTGTTAGCAATCAATGGTAACAAAGACAGTAAAAATGCCTTAGAGAATGCTTAATTATCTTTTTGAGGTCCTCTGAGAACAACAGAAAGAAAGGCTTATAAAAATGAGTTAATTAACTTGTCCTTAGAACTATGCTCATCCAACCAAAGTATAACTAAAATACAGTTAACTTGCTTTAAGGTATTGGATATATGAGAGTTGTTATGCAAGAAGAAGAAATTAAGCAATATAAAATATTTTAGAACCAACTAGCTACCTTACCTCAATTGGTTCCCTTAAAACCTCTATTTTAATAATTACTCCTTATTTTCTCTTTATCAATTGTTCTTTCTTAGAAGGTAGGCAAATTGCTCAAAATCATCCACACGAATGCACAAAAGTGATCTCTGTGTTACAAAGATACTCAGAAAAGCTAGACCATTTTGATGGTTATTTGCAAGTCTGAAATAATCACAAACTACTGAATAAATGTCCCTCTACATATTTTATTTAATTTCCCAACTCAGTATTGCTTTTTTAATAAAGGAAAACTCAGTCAAAGTCCTCTTAAATCATTTTGAGGGTCTTAAATTAAAAAAGTATGCGTTACTATAGAATTACTTTAGTGAACTACTTCTAAGTAAGAAGAAAGAATTATCCCCTAGAATACATTCCGTGACACTGATGTAAATTGAGGGCATACACTTCAAAATAGCCTAGGAAAGATATGTTACAGTGGGATAATTTTTTATTCCTTGTAATACTGCACATTATATTGTGTTATTCTATCTCTGATCTTTTCATGGGGAATAGCCTAACTGAATATTGACTCCAAAGATTAGATTATGTCTCAACATGACAAATGCAGCAATAAAACTATGAAAGAATGACTATTATGTTCTTTGCTATTGCTACTTAGAAGACTGCATGTGTTTTAGACTTTCTTGGCAGTCTTATCTCCACAGTGTTTTGTATTTGATCAAGGCTCAATACCAACCACTATAGAATCCCCTAAGTTTCATGTGATGGTTTGGTACACATGGAACTGGAGAATTAAATAGCTTTCAGTGAGAGACATGCAAGCTAACCACTACCCACTCTTACAGCAGAGTGGTACAATCCCAACTGGAATAAAACTTATAATATGATGGAAACCTTTATATTTTTGAGAGTTTAATAAATAGTAGTAGTACTGATTTCTACTTCCAGTAGGAGACAAAAAGATTAAGGAGGCTGCTCTTCTAAAATTTTTATAATGAGAATATGCAAGAAAAGCTGTAAAATCACAGGCAGCCTATTGGAATAACTGGTATCAAACTTTACCCCTTAGTATAAACAAGTAGTAAAACCATTTGAAACAATGTAAGAAACAGTTGATTTTATACATTAGACAACAGGCAGTGCAGGACTATAATCACTGAGAAAATTAAAGAAAACTAAGAAGTTTATAAATCACCTGAGGTTTTATGTAGAGGTACTTTTAGCATCAGAGTATAGAGTAGACCATGAAAGTTTTGCTGAATTATGGAGACAAAAGTTGCATTTTGATGGGGCCTGGAGCTGACTGTTTTAGGGCAGAGTATTGGAGAGAAGGCAATTATGCTGAGAAAGACATCCAAAAATCTGCGTAGAGTGCCACTTAAGTTTATTGCTGATCATTAATTTCTTCACATATAGAGTAAATACCTTGCAGCCAGGAAAAGACATATTCTGTGTTACAGCGAAACAATTACCAGAGCTCACCCACAGCTAGAGGATGTTCAGGTTACAACCTGCTATAATGGAGATGTTCAGGTTACAACCTGCTAGAAATGGAGATGGACACTCAAGGCATTCAGTAGAAAAACCAGGAGCACGATGCCTCAGCAATGAGATTAATCTATATTTAGAATATACCTAGTCCTTAATAACCCTTAAAAGTTTTAAAAAGAAGCTCCTAAAGGACTAAGCTGCTCTAAAAATAATTTGACTATCAAAATAAACTTCAAAATTTTTTAAAGAAAGGTAAAACCACTTAGTCAAAAATGTGATAGACAAACTAACCAGAATCCAATTAAAATGCATTAGAATTTGAAAAACACGAAAGTATTATCTATAGGTAGAAGAAATATAAGACTATAGAAATAACCAAATATGATAGAGAAGACAGAATCAAGTGAAAAGGACTCTAACATAGGAATTACAAACAAAAAATATTTTAGCCAAAAAAACAAGACAGGCAGAATTTATGAATATGAATAAAATATTACTTATAAACAAGAAAAATATAATAAGGAAATTGAAAAATCCTCAATATGCTTAACAGGTTATTAGATACTGATAAAAATGTTTGATAAACTTGAAGACATAGCAAAAATTAAACAAGTGGACATAAATAGATAGGTGGGTAGGTAGAGAGAGAGAGAGAGACAGAGAGAGAGAGATACACAGGGATAAAAACCACTTTAAAAACTAAACAAGACTGCAAACACCTATTGAAAAATATAAAACAGTCTAACAAATGTTTAATTAAAGTCCCCAAAATGAAAGAAAGCGAAAAATATTTGAAGAAATAATGACTTGATACTTTCAAAATTTGATACAACTACAACCTTAAATGCAACCACAAAGGGACAAAAATAAGACTTGATCCCAGACTCTTAATCAATGCAAAAACAAAAAACAAGCAAACAAACAAAAACCAGGAAACAATGAAATGGTATTAAAAAAACTTTTACATTTTAAACAAATTTTTTAAATAATTGTCAGCCTAGAGTTCTATGTCCAGCAAAAAACATCCTTCAACAATAAAGGCAAAATAAAGACATCTTCAGACAATGAATGAAATAAAACCTGGATAAATTTACACTGAGTGGAATTGCATTACAATATCTGCTGAAGCAAGTTATTGAGGCTGAATAAAAATAAGACATTTTGGATATACACAACTAATTAGGAGCACCAAAACTGGTAAATATGTAGATAATCATAAATATTTTCACTTTAAAAAATAAAATATAATTTAGAGTTTTAAAATAACAACAATAAATTGTGTGGTTTATAATACACGTAGAAGTAAAATGCATACAGAAAGGCAGGCATAATATGAGATAACGAAACTAAATTGGCAGGTAAATACATGAGAAGGTATCACATTATTTACAGATTGCTTACTATGTTAAAGGTACTGTTTTTAACTATAGTATTACCACTGCAAACATACAACACAAAAGACATCGTTACAAGGCAACAGAGTAGATGAAAAGGGATACTAAAAATAATCATGCATTTATAAGATAGAAGGAGAAACAAAGAAGACATTGGACAGAAATAAATAGCAAGATGGTAGATTTGAATTCTACCATACCAATAATTATGTTAAATATACAAGCTGTTTAAGTTAATTAAAGTTAAATTATACAAAACATCCGTTTCTAAGTTGCTCAAACCACATTTCAAGTGCTCAATAGATGCATGTGGCTTATGGCTGTGGTTTAAGACAGTGAAGATATAGAACAATTATATTATCATAGAAAGATCTATTGGACAATATTCTGAACACTTGAAGTAAAAGGCAGAGGTTACCACGCTGGGGAAAAACCAAGTCTAAACTACGTATCATGCAAGAAAAACACTTTTAGTATACAGACATATAAAGTTTAAAAGCAAAAGTATAGAAAAGATATACCATGCAAGCACTAATTCTACAAAAGTGGAAATGCCTGTGTTAATACCAAAGTGGAGTTCAGCAAAAAGAATAGCACCAGGGAAATGATGGATATAACATAATGATAAAAGTTTAGTTTTTTAATAATAAAGAAAAATAATGGTAAAAATGTATGCACCTAATAACAAAACTTCAAATTAAATGTTCAAAAATTGGCAACAAAAAGGAGAAATAGACAAATATACACACTTACAGTGGTAAGCTTTAACACTCCTGTCTTATTAACTGATAAAAAAAAGTAGACAGAAATATCATTGAGGATCTACAAGACCAGATATCACTGTCAACCAATTTGACCTAATTGACATTTATACAAACATTTTGTCTAGGGCAGAATTCATTTTTTTAAGTGCTCTTGGAACATTCATCAAGAAAGAACATACAAAGGCTATAAAATTACATCTGTATATTTGAAGGGATTGAAATCTTACAAATATGTAATCTAGTAACAATAGTACAAAATTAGAAATCAAAACAAAATAAAGATATTAGGAAATTAAATACTTCTAAATAAAACCTATTCAAAAGAAATCACAAAGAAATTGGAAAATACTTGAAGTAAAATGTAATCAAAGCAGCATAATTTGTGAGATATAGCTAAACAGTGATTAGAGAACTTTATAGCTTTAGTTGTGTACGTTAGAAGATGTTGCGGGAAGTCAGGGACCCCAAACGGAGGGACCAATTGAAGCCATGGCAGAAGAACATGGATTGTGAAGATTTCATGGACATTTATTAGTTCCCCAAATTAATACTTTTATAATTTCTCATGCCTGTCTTTACTGCAATCTCTAAACATAAATTGTAAAGATTTCATGGACACTTATCACTTCCCCAATCAATACCCTTGTGATTTCCTAAACCTGTCTTTAATCTCTTAATCCTATCATCTCCTAAGCCGAGGAGGATGTATGTCACCTCAGAACCCTGTGATAATTGCATTAACTGCACAAATTGTAGAGCATGTGTGTTTGAGCAATATGAAATCTGGGCACCTTGAAAAAAGAACAGGATAACAGCAATGTTTAGGGAACAAGAGAGATAACCTTAAACTCTCACCGCTGGTGAACCGGGCGGAACAGAGCCATATTTCTCTTCTTTCAAAAGCAAATGGGAGAAGTATGGCTGAATTCTTTTTCTCAGCAAGGAACATCCCTGGGAAAGAGAATACGCGCCTGGGGGTATAGGTCTATAGATGGCCCCCCTGGGCGTGCGCATCTTTTATGGTCTGTAGACCGTAGGGGTGAAATAGACCCCAGTCTCCCATATCGCTCCCAGGCTTATTAGGAAGAGGCAATTCCCGCCTAATAAATTTTGGTCAGACTGGTTGCTCTCAAAACCCTGTCTCCTGATAAGATGTTATCAATGACAATGGTGCCCAAAACTTCATTAGCAATTTTAATTTTGCCCCAGTCCTGTGGTCCTGTGATCTTTCCCTGCCTCCATTTGCCTTGTGATATTCTATTACCTTGTAAAGTACGTGATCTCTGTGACCCACGCCCTGTTCGCACACTCCCTCCCCTTTTGAAACTCCCTAATAAAAACTTGCTGGTTTTTGTGGCTTGTGGGGCATCACGGAACCTACCGACATGTGATGTCTCCCCCGGACGCCCAGCTTTAAAATTTCCCTCTTTTGTACTCTGTCCCTTTATTTCGCAAGCCGGCCGATGCTTAAGGAAAACAGAAAAGAACCTACGTGACTATTGGGGCAGGTTCCCCAATAAGAAATGAAGAAACTTTGGAATAAATGATGTAAATTTTCACTTTAAGCAGTTGGAAAAAAAGAGCAAGTAAATCTAATATAATTAGAAGGATAAAGAATAAAGAAAAAAGTCACATAAGGAGGGAATATTATAAACAATTTTATACAAACAAATATAACAAATAAAATAAAACAGTTACTTGTCTGCCAATGTTTTATAGAAGCATTATTCACAATAGCCAAATGGTGGAAACAACCTAAGCTTCCGTCAGTAGATCAACAGATAAACAAGATGTGTCATATACATCTTGCTTTGTGGAATATTATTTCACCATAAAAATAACAAAGTTCTAATACATGAATGAACCTTATACTGAATGAAATAAGCCAGGTAAAAAGGGCAAATATTGTTTGATTCCACTTACAGGAAGTAAGCAAATTCATACAGACAGAAAGCTAGTTAGAGGCTGGCAGAGACTGGGGAGAGGGGCAGTAAATAGGAAATTGTTGCTTAGGATAATGCAAAATTTGAGAAATAAATGTGGTGATGGTTGCATAACATTGTGAATGTAATTAATGCCTGTGAACTGTACACTTAAAGTGGTTAAAATGGTGTTATGTTTTATATGTACCACAATAAAAAATAGTTTTAAAAAGTGAAATATTTTTTGAAAACAAATTACCAAAACACACAGAAAGAAACAAAGAATTCTATATCCAAATGGCTTTATCAATTTGTATATTTAAGGAAGAAATAATATCTGTCTTACATAAACATTTTCAGGAAGTAGAAAAGAAAGTATTTTCCAATGCATTTCATGAGGACACCATTAAATTGTCATTAAAAAAAAATAGCCACCCAGCTAGGTATGAAGTAATATCTCATTGTGGCTTTGATTTGCATTTTTCTGGTAGACAATAGTTTTCCATTTCCTGGCCCTCTCCCCAGCCCCTGGTAGCCTCCAACCTACTTTCTGTATGTTAGTGACAGCAACCAGCTTTACATAACCTGTGTCCATTTGTATGTCTTTTTTGGAGAAATGTCTGTTCAAGTCCTTAGCCCATATTTAAATTGGATTACTCTCTTTTGTTATTAAGCTGCATCATTTCTTCAAATATCTTTGGATATTAAACCCTTCTTAGATGTAAGTTTTGCAAATATAGTCTCTCATTTCATAGGCTGTCTTTTGTCTTTCTGTTGTTTCCTTAAGGCCATTTGACTGTTACTGTTCTTAGTCAAGTTCTGTTTCCTTATTGATCTTCTGTCTGAGTGTTCTATTCAGGATTGAAAGTAAAGTATTGAAGTCTACTACTATGATTTCATTGCTGTGTACCTCTTCCTCCAGTTCTGTTAATGTTTTCTTTGTATATTTACGTGCTCTAAAGTTGGGTGCACATATATTTATAATTGTTATATCTTCCTGATGTATTAACCCTTTTTCATTGTGGAATATCCTTCTTTGTCTCTTGTGACAGTTTTGACTTAAACTTTATTTCATCTGCTATAAATATAGTGACCCCTACTCTCTTTTCAATCTCATTTGGAGGTAATATCTTTTTCTATGCCTTCATTTTCAGCCTATATGTGTCCTAACACCTAAAGAGAGGTTCATGGAGGCAGCATATAGCTTAATTCTGATTTTTTGTGGGTTTTTTAGCTATTCAACTACTCTTTGTCTTTTGATTAGAAAATATTTAAATTTTTATGGAAAAATATTTATTATTTACATTTTGTTAGTTGTTTTCATTTAGTCTTGTAGTTGTATTGTCTGCCTTTTTTTTCTCTTGTGTCTTCCTCTGTGTTCTGTTGGGTTTTTTTAATTGATGTGCTTTGATTCCTTTCTATGTTCTGTAGGGTTTTTTTCTGTGGTTATTTTGGTACTTACATAAGATATCATAACAGCCATGACACCTTACTTTTGATCACATGAAAAAATAACACTTTAACTCCTCCTTCTCTCATTTTATGTTGTCACAATTTGCATCTGTTCATATTATGTGCCTTTAAACATATTTTGTTAGTTATTTTAATAGTTTTTTCTTTTAGCTTTTGTATGTGAATCAAAAGTGATTTATCCACTGCCATTACAGAAAAATAATATTCTGCATTTTTCTAGATATATATACCTGTACCAAAAAGTTGCAAATTTTTTTATGCTATCGTGTTGCTGTATAGCACTCTTTAAGCTTAAAGAATTCCCTTTTGCATTTTTTGTAAACAAGTATAGTTGTGATGAATTCCCTCTGCTTTAGTTTGTCTGAGGAATTCTTTATCTTTCCTTTATTATTGAATGACAATTTTGTCGGGCATAGTAATTTTGGTGACAGTTTTTTTCTTACTGTACTTTGAATAAATCGTCCCTCTACCTTCTGGACTGTAAAGTTTCTGCTGAAAAAAATCTATTGATAGTATTGTGGAGTTTCCATTGTATCTAACCAGTCATTTTTCTCTCACTGCTTTCAAAATTCTCTCAGTCTTTGACTTTCAACAAGTTGATTATAATGTGTTTTGGTGTTGATTTTTATTTTTATTTTTTATTTGATGACTTTTGAGATTCTTGGATCTGGATGTTCATTTCCTTCTTCAGATGTATGAAGTTTTCATCCATTATTTCATGGAATAAGATCTCTGGTTCTTTCTCTTGTCTCTCTGAGATCCCCATAATATTTATATTGGTCCCCTTGTTGGTATTCCATAAGCCGCTAAAGCTTTCTTCACTCTTTTGCTTTTTTTTCTTTTGTTTCTCTAACTGAATCATTTTATAACTTTTCTTCAAATTTGCCAGTTCTTTCTTCTTCTTGATATAGTCTGCTCTTAAACATATCTGGTAAATTTTTCAGTTTAATTATTATATTTGTAAGCCTTCTAATTTCTGTTTGATATTTCTTACATATAAATTTTCTATATCTTTGTTGAAATCCTCCCTTTGTTCATGCATTCTTCTCTTGACTTCAGTGAACATCGTTATGAAAGTTATTTTGAATTCTCTGTCAAGTAAATCACATTACTTCATTTCATTAGAGCTAGTTTCTGGGGATTTATCTTACCCTTTTGTTTGAGGCATCTTCTCTTAATTCTTCATTTTTCTTGATTTTCTGTGATTATATAAAGCAAGCACCATTCCTGGTCTGCAATACTGGAATTCTACCATACACATAGTTCTATGTTTTTATTTTCTCTACAGGGGAAAGCTGAGAGTTGAACCTTTTTAACTGATTGTTCTGTACTCAGGAGAGGAAGAAGTTATTGTGTTTATAAGCCCAAGCCCAAGCTCCTATCTCCATTCTCCTCCAAGCTGGATACACCTGTCTGAGATTTAACACTGGGAGGACAGAGGTCAGTCCTCTGGGAAGCCCCGTTAGGAAAGTCAGGGCACTGGATGCACAGAAAAACTCCCTCTATCTTTTGGGAGAAGCTGCTAGCTTGGGAGCTCTTTCTGATCATATGGCACTGATTTGATAGGGGCAGGGACTCTGGTGCACGTGTGTCCCAAGTGAGTGGGAAAACTCAACCCCATGAATCAATTACCTCCCACTGGGTCCCTCCCACAACACATGAGGATTATGGGAGCTAAAATTCAAGATGAGATTTGTGTCAGGACACAGCCAAACCATATAATTCTCTCCCTGGCCCCTCCTAAATCTCATGTCCTCACTTTTCAAAACCAATCATGCCTTCCCAAAAGTCTCCCAAAGTCATAACTCATTCTAGCATTAACACAAAAGTCCAAGTCAAAAGTCTCATCTGAGAAAAGGCAAGTCCCTCTGGCTTGTGAGCCTGTAAAATCAAAATCAAGTTAGTTACTTCCTAGATACAATGGAGTAAAGGCATTGGGTAAATACACCCATTCCAAATGGGAGAAATTGGCCAAACAGAGGAGCGACGACAGGCTCTATGCAAGTTCAAAATCCAATGGGACAGTCATTAAACCTTATGGTTCCAAACGGATCTCCTTTGACTATATGTCTCACATCCAGGTCATGCTGATGCAAGAGATGGACTCCCATGGCCTTGGGTAGCTCTGCCCCTGTGACTTTGCAGGGTACAGCCCCACTCCCGGCAGCTGTCATGGGCTTCCACTGAGTGTCTGCAGCTTTTCCAGGCACATGGTGCAAGCTGTCAGTGTATCTACCATTCTGGGGTCTGGAGGATGGTAGTCCTCTTCTCACAGCTTCATTAGGCAGTACCCCAGTAGGGACTATTTCTTCTGCCAGATACCCAAAATCATTTCTCTCAAGTTCAAAGTTTCCCAGATCTCTAGGGCAGGGGCAAATATGCTGCCAGTCTCTTTGCATATCAAGAGTGACCTTTACTCCAGTTCCCAACAAGTTCCCCATCTCCATCGGAGACCACCTCTGCCTGGACTTCATCATCTATATCACTATCAGCATTATGGTTAAAGCCCTTCAACGAGTCTCTAGGATGTTCCAAACTTTCCCACATCTTCCTGCCTTCTGAGACTTCCAAGTCTCTAGGAAGTTCCAAACTTTCCCACAATTTCCTGTCTTCTTCTGAGACCTCCAAACTGTCCCAATCTCTGCCTGTTACCCAGTTCCAAAGTCATTTTCACATTTCCATGTATCTTTATAGCAGCACCCCACTCTCTGCAGTACGAATTTACTGTTTTAGTCCGTTCTCACACTGCTGCTAATAAAGGCATACCCGAGACTGGGTAATTTATAAAGGAAAGATGTTAATTGAATCACAGTTCAGCATGTCTGGGGAGGCCTCAGGAAGTTGATAATCATGGTACAAGGGGAAGCAAACATGTCCTTCTTCACATGGTAGCAGCAAGGAGGTGAATTAGTGCTCAGAAAAGGGGGAACCCCTTATAAAACCATCAGATCTTGTGAGAACTAACTCATCATCATGAGATCAGAATGGGGGAAATCATCCCCATTATTCAATTATCTCTACCTGGTCCTTCCCATGACACTTGGGGATTATGGAAACTACAATTCAAGGTGAGATTTGGGACACAGCCAAACCATATCATTGAATCTGGATTACATTGAGTCTGTAGATTGCTTTGGGCAGTATGGACATTTTAACAATACTGATTCTCCCAATCCATAAATATGGAATATTTTTCCATATGTTGGTATCCTCTTCAATTTCTTTCATCAGTGTTGTATAGTTTCATTATAAAGATCTGTCACATCTTTGGTTAATTCCTAGGTATTTAATTTTATGTGTATGTGTGCTTATCATAAATGAGATTACTTTTTAAATTTATTTTTCACATTGTTCACAGTTGGCATATAGGAATGCTACTGTTTTTTGTACATTGACTTTGCATCCTGTAACTTTACTGAACTTATTTATCAGTTCTAATAGTTTTCTTGTGGAGTTTTTAGGTTTTTCCAAATATAAGATTATATCACATGCAAACAAAGTTAATTTGACTTTTTCCTTTCCAAATTGGACACTCTTTGTATCTTTCTCTTGTCTGATTGCTCTACCTAGGACTTCCAGTATTATGTTGAATAATAGTGGTGACAATGAGCATTCTTGCAATACTCCAGATCATAGGGGAAAGGCTTTCAATTTTCTTCCTATTCAGTATGATACTAGCTGTGGGTCTGTCATATTTGGCTTTTATTATGTTGAGGTATGTTCCTTCTATACCGAGGTTTGTTTGTTTGTTTGTTTGTTTGAGATGGAGTCTCACTCTGTCACCAAGGCTGGAGTATAGTGGCACGATCTTGGCTCACTGCAACCTCTGCCTCCCGGGTTCAAGCAATTCTCTGCCTCAGCCTCCTGAGTAGCTGGGATTACAGGCACCCACCACCACGCCTGGCTACTTTTTTGTATTTTTAGTAGAGACAGGGTTTCACCATGTTGGCCAGTCTGGTCTTGAACTCCTGACCTTGTGATCCACCCGCCTCGGCCTCCCAAAGTGTTGGGATTACAGGCGTGAGCCACTGCATCCAGCCCTGAGTTTTTATGGTATTTATGATGAAGTGATGTTAAATTTTATCGAAAGTTTTTTTTAGCATCAAGTGAAATATCACATGATTTTTATCCTTCATTCTGTTCATATGATATATCACAATGATTGATTTGCATGTGTTAAACTGTCTTTGTATCCCAGGGATAAATGCCACTTAGCCCACTTAGTCATGATGAATGTTCTTCTCATGTATTGTTGGATTTGGTTTGGTAGTATTTTGTTAAGGGTTTTTGCATCAATATTCATCAGAGATATTGGCCTGTAGTTTTCTTTTTTTGATGTGTCTTTGTCTGGTTTTGGTATCAGGGTAATATTAGCCACATAGAATGAGTTTGGAAGTATCTCCCCTCTCCTATTTTTCTGAATAGTTTGAGTAGGGTTAGTATTAGTTCTTTAAATGTTTGGTAGAATTCATCAGTGAAGCTTTTAGGTCCCAGGCTTTTCTTTACTGGGAGATATTTTATTACAGCTTTGATCTCATTACTTGTTATTGGTCTGTTAAGGTTTTGGATTTCTTCCTGGTTCAATCTTGGTAGGTTGTACGTATTAGGGAATTTGTCTATTTCTTCTAGATTTTCAAATTTATTGACATATATTAATGGTTGCTCATAGCAGTCACTAATGATCCTTTGATTTCTATAGTATACATTATAATGTCTCCATTTTCATTTCTGATTTTATTTACTTCAATCTTATCAAAATTCTCAACTTAACACTATTTGCATAAACAAACAAGTAAAAAGAAAACTAATAAAAACTCTATAACTTAACTTCTTGGCTCTGCTTTTTAATGGCTTGCTGTTTATATTTATATCTACTTGTACTGACTATGTCTTAAAAAGTTATTATAGTTATTATTTTTTTATTTTTTTATTATACTTTCTGTTCTAGGGTACATGTGCACAACATGCAGGTTTGTTACGTATGTATACATGTGCCATGTTGGTGTGCTGCACCCATTAACTCGTCATTTACATTAGGTATATCTCCTAATGCTATCCCTCCCCCCTCTCCCCACCCCATGACAGGCCCCAGTGTGTGATGTTCCCACTCTGTGTCCAAGTGTTCTCATTGTTCAATTCCCACCTATGAGTGAGAACATGCGGTGTTTGGTTTTCTGTCCTTGCCATGGTTTGCTCAGAATTGATGTAGTCATTATTTTTTATTGGTTCATTGTTTAGTCTTTCTAGTTAGAATAAAAGTAGTTTGCACACCATACATACAGTGTTATAATATTCTGTGTTTTTTTATGTATTTACTATTACCGGTGAGTTTTGTACCTTCAGGCTCTTATTAATTGCTCATTAATGTCCTTTTCTTTCTGATTAAAGTACTCACTTTAGCATTTCTTGTAGGACAGGTATGGTATTGATGAAATCCCTCAGCTTTTATTTGCCTGGGAAAGTTTTTATTTTTCCTTCAAGAAAATATACTTTCCTTGAAGTATATTATCACCAAATATACTATTCTAGGGTAAAAGGTTTTTCCTTTAGCACTTTAAATATGTCCTGCCACTCCCTCCTGGCCTGTAAGGTTTCCACTCAAAAGTCTGCTGCCAGACTTATTCAAGCTTCATTGTATGCTATGTTTTCCTAATTTTTTTTTTTTCTACTTTCAGGATCCTTTCGTTATCCTTGACTTTGGGGAGTTTGATTATTAAATGCCCTTTAAATGTCTTCTAAATCTGCTTGGTGTACTACAACCTTCTTATACTTTAATGTAGATATTTGTTTCTATATTTGGAAAGTTTGCTGTTATTATTACTCTCAATAAACTTTCCACCCCTATCTCTTTCCTGCCTTCTCTTTAAGGTGAGTAACTGTCAGTTTTGCCCTTTTGAGGCTATTTTTTTTCATATCCTGTAGGTGAGCTTCATTGTTTTTTATTCTTTTTTTGTCTCCTCTGTGTATTTTCAAATTGCCTGTTTTCCAGCTCACTAATTCTTTCTTCTGCTTGATCAATTCTGCTATGAAAGGAGACTGATGCATTCTTCAGTGTCAGTTGCATTTTTCAGCTCCAGAATTTCTGCTTGATATTTTTAAGCATTGTAATCCTTTGTTAAATTTATCTGATAGAATTCTGAATTCCTTCTCTGTGTTATCTTGAATTTCTTTGAGTTTCCTCAACACAGCTATTTTGAATTCTCTGTCTGAAAGGTCACATATTTCAGTTTCTCCAGGACTTGTCCCTGGTACCTTTAGTTCCTTTGGTGAGGTCATGTTTTCCTGGATGGTCTTGATGCTAGTAGATGTTTTTTGGTGTCTGGGCATTGAAGAGTTATTTATTTATTGTAGTCTTTGCTATCTGGGTTTATTTGTAGCCATCCTTCTTGGGAAGGCTTTCTAGATATTTAAAAGCCCTTGGGTGTTGTGATCTAAACTGTATGTGCTTTAGGGGCACTCCAAGCCCAGTAACACTGTGGTTTTTGCAGACTTGTAGAAGTACAACTTGATGGTCTTGGACAAGATCTGGGAGAATTCTCTGGATTACCAGGCAGAGAGTCTTGTTCTCTTCCCTCACTTTCTCTCAAACATATAGACTCTCTCTCTCCTCTGACCACCTAAATCTGGGGATGGGATGACACAAGCACCCATGTGGCCACCACCATGAAGACTGTGCTGGGTCAGACCTGAAGTAAGCAAATCACTGGGTCTCACCCAAGGCCTTCTGTAACCACTCCCTGGCTACTCTATATGTTTGCTAAAATCTCTGGGGCTCTACAATCAGTAGGCCAGCTAGGTCTATGTTCTTCCTTTTAGGGTGGTGAGATCCCTCAGGCACTGGGTGGGTCCAGAAGTGCTGTCCTGGAGTGAGGGACTAGAGTTAAAAACCTTAGAAGTCTACTTGGTGTTCTATTGTACTGTGGGTGAGCTGGCACTCAGACCACAAGACACAGTTCCTTCCACTCTTTTCTAACTTTTCCAATGGCAGAGGAGCCTCCTATCATAGCCCTCACCAACCCTGGTCATAAGGAGTACTGTCAGACCACTGCCAATGTTCCCTTAAGGCCCAAGGGCTCTTCCATCAGCTTGCTGTGAATGCTGCCTGGCCCAGGACTCGCCCTTCAGACAGTGGGCTCCCTTCTGGCCCAGGAAAGATCCAGAAATGCCAGGTCCTGGGTTTGGGGACCCCAAGAGCAAGGTCCTGGGGTTCAGTACCCCAAGAGCCCACTTGGTGCTCCATCCCCCTGTGCTTGTGATGGCATCTAATGTATAAGACAAAATCCTCTTTACTTTACTCTTTGCTTTTCTCGAGCAGAAGGAGATTTGCCCTGCAGCCACCATAGCTGGTAATGTGCTGAGTCTCACCTGAAGCCAACAAGTCTTAGAGGCTCATCCAAGTTCCTCAATGTAGTACCTTGGTATCACTGCTGGTCCTTCAGGGCCCAAGGGCTCTTCAGTTAGCAGGTGATGAATGCTATCAGGACCGGGCCCTTTCCTTCAAGGCAGTGTATTCCCTTCTGCCCCAGGCCAGGGTGTGTCTAGAAATGTCATGTGAGAGCTATGGCCCGGAACAGAGGCCTCATGACTCTGACCAGTGCCCTATTCTCCTGTGACTGAACTGGTATCCTAGATGCAAGACAAAGTCCTCCCAACTCTTCCCTCTCCTCTCCTCTAGCAGAAGAAAGGGGTCTCTTTTGGAGCTGTGATCTGTGCAGCCTGGGGTGAGGGTGATGCCGTCTCCCTTTGCTGCCATAATTTGTGTCTCAGTATGTCATGTCTCCCCCTAACACCCCAACATGTGCTGTAGCCCCCTGTGGCAAGGTTTGCAGTCACTCAAGTTCCATTCAGTGAGATTGGTGATTCCCCTAGGGCTAGGGCTGGTTTAAATGCTCCCTCTGTTGGTGGGTGTCAGCTGAGTTTGGTCCGATTTTCCTTTCTGCTCTAATGGGACAGCACTGAGCTCAATGCCTCACAATTGCTGTATTCTCCCTCCTCCAGTGCCCAGAGAGGCTCTCACGCTGCTGCTGCCAGGGGGTGGGGGAAGGGTGGCATTGTGATTCAGGACTATTTTTCCTATCTCTTCAGTGCCTCTTTCAGGGATATAAAGTTAAATCTACATACTGTGAGTCCTCATCTGATTTTTGGTTCTCATGAAGGTTTTTTTCTGTGTAGATAGTTGTTAACTTGGTGTCCTATTAGGGGGATGATTGGTGGAGCTTTCCATCATCTTGCTCCACCTCTGAGATCTAGGGCTTTTATTTTTTTGGGAGATTTATTTTGTGCCTTTGATTGAGGCATATTTTTCTGTTTCTTTGTATGCCTTGTGCTTATTTGCTGAAATTTGGGCGTTTGAGAAAACAGTCATTTCTCCCAGCCTTTATAGGCTGCCTTCATGCAGGGAAGACCTTTACTAATAGGCCCAGCATAGAGGCCTTGAGTCTTCTTGAACCTTTTCTGGGGACATCTTCCCGGGCCTGTATGGGTGATTTAATTCCAGTATATATGACAGATTTTAAGTGTTTTGATTTCCGCAAGAATCTCACTTCTGCTTCTTCTTAGAAGCCTTAGGATTTCTACTTTGTTACTCTGCCTGTAATCTCTTGCCTCTTGGCCCTGTGAGACTGCCAATCCACTGTAGCCCTAACGTGCCATGGAGACTACTGCTGTTTTTAGTGTCTTCTAATGTGGCATCCAAGCCATGCCACCAATCCATCAGTACTAGGAGTCTTGTGAGACAGAAGCCAGTCTCTCAGGTAGCCCCCATACAAGCCAGAATGTTAAATGCATTTTCCACTCTTTTCTTTCCATATCAAGGGAGGAGCTGGGAGTTAGGTTGCTTCCACCCAATCACAGTGTACTGCACTCTGAAGGAATGGGGCAAATACAGGCAAAACGCCAGGTCATTTCCTACTGTTTAAATGCATTTTTATATTGATGTTAGCTGGGATCCTGCAGCTTCTTAACTGGTTTCTAGGGTTTTCCTAAGAGTATTTTGATCCACATATATTTTTATTAATTTTATGTCTTCGTGAGGAATAAGAGCCTGGAGCTTCCTAGTCCACCATCTTGCTGACCCACATTATTTTCCTATGCATCCTTATTTTCCTGTAAAATTACTACTGCTACTACTACTACTACTAGTACTAATGAGTTAGAAAGTTGAGTGGTACCATCATTAATTGTAAAATTTCAGAGAATAGAAAAGCTTTATAGCTTTCTCTTGGCACAGATTAAATACATTAAAATAAACAAATAAAAAAAGGCCATTAGGGGAAGGGTACATTTAAAGTGTTCAATAATACGTATAGAACAGTCACTCTAACAGGACTGCCTATAGGACTGTAATTTACCTTCATCCTTTGTACCATGAAAAAGTTTCTCTTGTATGGAAAAAAATTATAAAGAATTTAAACATACCTGTTTGGAGAAAGAAAACTTAGACCTGATTTTCCAAAATATCTTCATGTTTAAAATATATGTACAGCTTTGGTATATGTGTGAAATTTCTTAGTTGTGCAAATATATTTAGGTGTTTCATTCACTAATGGTCTTTACTTACCATTATAAATATGAAAAGACTAAAATGATTAACTGATTATTTTATTTCATTTCCAGAACATGTTTGAGATGCTGCAGGAATAAATTTACTTATATTACTGTACATTTCCATTGGTCCTAGGAGAGCACAAATTACTACCTCCCTTTATATAATCAGTACAATATTTGAAATATCAAAGTTAGTCCTTCACAATAATACATAATGACCAAAACATTGCCAGACTAACTATGTAAGTATGTACAAACTGAAAATAATTAAAATATCAGGAAGAAGATTTGGGTGAGTACATAATGGCACATCCACCAGGTGAGACAAATTTAGTAATCTAAAAAAGACTTTAGGAAAATATTATCTTTGGAAAATGCTATAAAAAGAGAAGAATGCAAGTAACATATACAACTAAGAGATTATCTATATAAGCCAAATAAAAGAAAACTAAAAACTTTATAAGAAAACTAACAACTCTATAACTCTTGGGAGTAAGTTACTTTTTTTTTTTTTTTTTGAGATGGAGTCTCTTTCTGTCACCCAGGCTAGAGTGCACTGGCATGATCTCGGCTCACTGCAACCTCTGCCTCCTGGGTTCAAGTGATTCTCCTGCCCCAGCCTCCCGAGCAGCTGGGATTACAGGCCTGTGCCACCACACCTGGCTAATTTTTGTATTTTTAGTAGAAATGGAGTTTCACCATGTTGGCCAGGCTGGTCTCGAACTCCTGACCTCAAGTGATCTACCGCCTCGGCCTCCAAAAGTGCTGGGATTACAGATGTGAGCCACCGCGCCCTGCTGGGAGTAAGTAACATATGTATAAGGGTATGTGGAATATGAGTCATTCTCTTTTTTTTTCTACTTTGCTGATTTTTACAATTTTCTACAGGAACATATCCTAATTACTTTTATAATACAAAAGTTTCTAAATTCGAAACATATTGTAGGTTCCAAGAGCAAAAGCACACTAAGAGCCAACGCAGTACATCTTACAAAAGTGGCTGCATCTGGGTCCACGTTCCCCATTCCCCCACTCAGCCATCCCACTCTGCCATTTCTCCCTTCCTGTCAGCCCCCTTATCTGTGCTTCTTTCTTAAACTTTCACATTTATCCTTGTATGTGTCTATGGATCCTATCTTTGTTTGCAGAAAATAATTAAATAAATTGTATTAACTATTTTGCAATTAATTTTTTCCAGAACAGTTTTAGATTTCAGAAAAAGTGAAGATATTACATACAGTTTCTAAAACACTCTGTATCTAGTTTATTTTATTTTTAACGTATATTAGTATGGCAATTTGTTAGAATTAATGAATAAATATTGATACATTATTATTAACTAAACTTCATGTTTGACTCAGATTTCCTTAGTTTTTACCTAATATCCTTTTTCTGTTCCAGGATCTCATCCAGGGACACCACATTATATTTCATCATCATTTCTCCTCTGGCTTATCTTGGCCATGACATTTCCTCAGACTTGTCTTGTTTTTGATGACACTGACAGTTTTGAGGAATTACTGGTCAAGTATTGTGTAGAATTTGTTTGATGTTTTTCTTACAACTAGACTGACAATAGGAGGAAGGCACAAAATTAAAGTATAATTTTTATTACATTGTTTCAAGGGTACATGTTAGCAACATGATTTATCATTGTTGATGCTGAGCTTGATCATTGGCTAATATAGTGTTTGTCAGGTGTCTCCAATGTAAACTCATTTTTTTCTGTCTTCCTTTACATATTACATTAATTAAAAGAAAGTCACTAATGTTCAGCACACACCAGAGTGGAGAGTTATGCTCCAGCCCCTCAAGTACAATTACATAAATTATTTGGAATTCTTCTGCATAGAAATCGATCTCCCTCTCATTTATTTATTTGTGTGTTTATTCATTCATCTATTCATTTATTTCAGTATAGACACTATGTGCTTCAAAATATTTTATCTTAGTCTGTGGCTTTTAATTTCATTCCCTTAATAATATTTTTCATAGACTAGAAGTTTTTTTGTTAATATTAATACAATTCAAATTATCCATTTTTCTTTCATGATTTGTGCTTTTGATGTTGTATGTTAACACTCATGGTGAAAACAAGGCCATGAGACTTCCTCCTATATTTTCTTCTATAAATTTTATAATAATTATAATATTATAATATAATACAATTATAAGTTTTATAATAATTAGGGTTACAACTCATATTTAATCCATTTTTGTGAAATATAAAGTCTATCTCTAGAATTTTTCTCTCTCTTTGAATATAGTCATCCTATTTTCCATCATCATTTGTTGATAAAACTACACTCCATTGAATTTCATATGTCTTACATAAAAAATAAGTTGATAATATTTGTGTGTATCTATTCCTTGGTCCTCTATTATTATCCATTTATTTTTGTGCTTATTTTTTTGCTAATATTATGCTGTCTTGATTTTAGTAGCTTTATAGTCTTGAAATTAGGTAGTGTAAATCCTCAACTTTTTTTCTGTAGTGCGTTAAATATTTCAGTTCTTTCACTTTTTATGTAACTTTTAGAATCAGTTTGTCAATATAAAAAATAGCTTGCTGGTAATTTGATTGAGATTATGTTGAATATATTTGATCAAGTTTGGAAGTATGGACACCATAAACAGCACTGAGTTTTCTAATCTATGAACACATTCTTAATTCATTTAGATAATGTTTTAATGTTTTTTCCAACAGATTTTGTAGTATTCCATGAATAGAACCTGTATAAATTTTGTTAGATTTATATCTAATATTTTATTATTTTGGTGCTACTGCAAAAGGTATTTAAAAAAATATTTCAAATTCCAATCATTCATTGTTGGTATATAGGAAAGAAATTTACTTTAGATGTTAACCTTTTATCATGGGATGTTGCTACACTTGCAATTAGATCCAGAAATTTTGTTGATTCTTTGGAGCTTTATACATAAATAATGATGCCATCTGTGAACAAAGACACTTTTATTTCTACTTTCCTAATCTGAGTATCTCTTCTTTATTTCTCTTACTTCAGTATCTTGGAATTCTAGTACAATGTAAAATAGGAGTGGTAACAAAGAACATTTCTTTCTCATCCCTAATCACAGCAGAAAAATATTTATTTTCTCATTATTAAGTACAATGTTGGTTGTAGTTTTTTTTTTTTTTCTTAAGAATGCTTTTTTATCGCCCAGCACGGTGGCTCATGCCTGTAATCCCAGCACTTTGGGAGGCCAAGGCGTGTGCATCACCTGAGGTCAGGAGTTCAAGACCAGCCTGGACAACATGGTGAAACCCCGTTTCTACTAAAAATATTAAAAAAATAGCTGGGCGTGGCGGCTGGCACCTGTAATCCCAGCTACTTGGGAGGCTGAGGCAAGAGAATCGCTTGAACCTGGGAGGTGGAGGCTGCAGTGAGCTGAGATCGCGCAATTAGACTCCAGCCTGGGCAACAAGAGTGAAACTCCACCTAAAAAAAACAAAACAAAAGAATTCTTTTTTATCAAACTGAGGATGCTTCACTCTATTCCTAGTTATCTGGAAGGTTTTACCATGAATAGATATTGAATATTGTCATAACATTTTCTGCATCATATGATGCAATCTGTAATTTTTCTTTTTGGTCCTGTTGATAGGTAAATTCTATTAATTAATTTTCAAATGTTGAACCAGCTTCACATAACGGTAATAAATTTCAATTCCTTTTATGCAATGTTAGATTCAACTTGCTAACATTTTATTGAGGAATTTTGTATCTATCTTCATGAGAGATACTGGTCTTCAGTTTTATTTCTTATATCTTTATCTGGCATTCATATTAGCATAATGGTAGATGGAATGAATTTGAAAGTGTTCCCTTTGCCTCTATTTTCTGGCTGAGATTGTGGAGAATTGATATCAATCCTTCCTTAACTATTTGGTAGAATTTAACAGTAAAACTATTTGCGCTTAGTGTTTTCTTTCTTTTTTGAAAGATTTTAAATTATTGATTCAATTTATGCAATAAATACACATCTATTCAGATCTATTTCTTTTTGTGTGCATTCTGGTAGTTTGTGTTTTTCAAGCACTTGGTCCATTGCATTTGTCAAGTTTAGGGGCATGGAGTTGTTTATAGTATTCCTTTATTATTTTTTAAAAATTCCGTAAGATTATTAATGCTAAACCCTCTTATATTTTTGTTATTGCCTGTGTCTTTTCTCCTTTTTTTTTTTTTTTTTTTTTTTGGTTAATCTAGCAAAGACTTACCATTTTTTTTTTTTTTTGGCCTTTCTTTTAAAGAACCAGATTTTGGGTTTATTGATTTTCTCTATTGCTTTTCTGTTTTTGTTTTCACTAATTTCTGCTTTAATTTTTAATACTTCTTTTCTTCTATCTGCTTTAAATGTAAATTGCTCTTCTTTCTACAGCTTTCTATGGTGGAAGTATAGATTATTGATTCCAGCATTTTTTCCTTTTCTGATTATGCATTTAATGCTATAAATTTCTCCCAAAGCATTGTTTTTGTAGCATCACACAAATTTTGACTAGTTGTTTTTTCATTTTAATTTACTTCAAAATATTTTGAAATTTTTTCGGAGACTATTTTGACTCATGTTAATTAGTTGCTTAAACTTCATATATCTGAAGCTATTTCTGCCATCTTTCTGTTATTGATATCTAGTTCAATTTCATAATGTTTTGAAAAGACACTTTGTATGATTTCTATTCTTTTAAATGTGTCAAGTATATTTTAAAGGTTTCTATTCTTTTAAATGTGTTAAGTATATGATCCAGAATCACATCTATCTTGGTGGATGTGTAAGACTGACAATATGTGTATTCTGCTGTTGTTCAAGAACATTGTGTACAAATATCAATTATGTTCATTTGATTCATTGTGTTATTCAGGTCAATTATATTTGTAAATATTTCTTGTCTGTTTTACCTTTCAATATGGAAAGTGTGGTATTTAAATCTCCAACTGGTATAATTAAATTGTCTATTTCTCCTTTCGCTTCTATCAGTTTTTGCCGCACATATTTTGACAATCTGCTGTTTGGTGCATACACATTTAGGATTGTTAGGCTTTTTTGGTGAATTGACACCTTTATCATTAGGCAATGCCACTCTTTAGCCCTGAAAATATCCCTTGTTCTGGAGTCTTATTCATCTTAAATTAATATAGCTACTCCAAATTCTTTAGATTGTTGTTATTGCAGAATGTTTTTCTCCATCTCTTTACTTTGAAACCCTCTGAAACTTTGTATTTCAAATGAGTTTCTTGAAAATATATAGTTGGGTCTTGTTTTTTATTATAGATTTCAATAATATGTCTTTTTTAAATTTTATTTATTTATTTATTTATTTATTTATTTGAGACAGAGTCTCACTCTGTTGCCCAGGCCCGAGTTCAAGCGATTCTCATGCCTCAGTTTCTGGAGTAGCTGGGACTACAGGAGTGCACCACTGCGCCCAGCTAATTTTTTGTATTTAGGGTAGAGACAGGGTTTCGCCATGTTGCCCAGGCTGGTCTCAAACTTCTGAGCTCAGGCAATCCACCCGCCTCGACCTTACAAAGTGCTGGGATTACAGACATGAGCCACCATGCCCAGCTGACAATATGTCTTTTAATTGGTGTTTTCAGATCATTAACTTTTAAGGAATTTTAAAAATACTTGGCTTAATAGTTTCTAACCTTCTATTCATTGCATTTGTTCTTTGATTTCCTCCTTTTGCCTACCTTCTCTGATTTTAACTGAGCATTTTTATGATCGAGCTTATCTCCTCTCAACATAACTTTACTTTTTTTTTTTACAATTTTTAATGGTTTTTTTCTTGAATTTGCAGTATCTATTAACACAAATCCATATTTGACATAAATAACACTGGGCTGCTTTACATATTACACAGATAACTTAGGATACTCCACATTCCTCCATCCCATCCCTTATTACATTGTTGCCATTTATTTTACTTTTCCACCTGCTGTAATCATCTAATACTCAGTCGTTATTTTTACTTTAAAAAATCTTTTAGATGAATTGAGAATTAGGGAAATATACTTTATTTTAGCTTCATTTATTATTTATTTGATGCTCTTTTTCAATGGAATTATTTGCGTTTCTGACTGTGTAATTTTCCTTCTTTCTGAAGGACTTCTTTTAACCACTTCTTGCAGACCAGGTCTATTTTAAAGAATTTCTTCTGTTTTTGTTCGTCTGAAAAAGCCTTTATTTCTCCCTTAATTTCAAAAGATAATTTCCCTGGATATAGAATTCTAGGAAGTAATTTTTTTCTTTCAACACTTGAAATAATTTACTCTCTTATTACTTGCATGGCTTCTACTGAGAAATCTGCTGAAATTTTCATTTATTTACTTATATTTTATTTACCGGGGTAAGTAGGTCTTCAGTGTGAGGTTTTGTTAATCTGGCTAGGAGTGCATGTTTACTACTTACTGTAGCCTTTGGAGTAAGAGATTTCATTTTCTCCACTGTCTTGATTTTTGTCTTCCTTGTTGCCTTTGGGCCTTCTCACAGACCCCTTCTTGGGTAGAATTTGCATCTTGCAGCTGAGCGAATTGCTACTGTTACTGTGTCTGAGTGCTGTCAGTGGGGTGATAATGCATCAAAATATCTTTGACAACATTTGCCTGAAAATACTCAGTACATCCTACTGAGAAGCATTTCACAATGCTGCAATGCTGGGAAGAGAAGCATTCTACAATCTTAAGCTTGAATCTCAGTCTTTTAGTAGGACTGTGTCACTGGGATGTGGCCTTCACTAGTGTGTCTTAGCTTTCCTGCCCCCTTTAGGTTAGATAGGAAAGCAAGGGCAGACTGGAGTTAGAGAAATGCCCTTTTCAGGTGGAGTAGTTATTGAGAATGTTTTGGTCATATTTTAAAATGGTTACTCATCCCTTCCCACTGCCTGACTTCACTTTAGGAAGTGCCACACAACCAACACCAGGAGTCCTTCTGCTGTGATAGATGATTGTGGCCATTGTGGAAAGGACAATGTTTGTTATGAAACTGTTGTTACTTGATGTTTCCAAGGTTTCCTATCTTTAGAATACCAGAGAAGGGCTGAGGCTGTGGGGACTAAAAACAGACTAGGGTGGCTGTGCTACAAAAATTAAACTGTTGGATAGCCCAAATTATATTGTAGAGGTAGACACAACCTTGTAGAACATACTAAGGAAGCTTATTGGGAAACTCTGGAAAGATTTTCAGTAAAAAAAGTGAGATCTTCCAATGTGCTATGGTCGAATGTGACCCAACAGTTGAAGAATATACAAGATTTTTATTCAAGGTCCACTATTTTTAAAGATGTATTCTCTTTCCACAAGGAAGGCTCTCTAAGTGCAATGCAGTATTCATAAACCTAGTAATAAGGCAGGAGTGCATTTGGAAAGACTATTAGGACAATTACCATGGAGATCCAACTGTCCTGTTAATATTATTTTGACTCCTTTCAGCCCAACCTCTTCAGTTCATAAAAAGACTAAACTTTGCAATGTTTGAGCATAAAATCAGCCCATATTAAAACACAAGCACCACTGCATGTCTATCCAATCTGTTTCCCTTGCAGTTCTTTTCATGCAGCTTTCAAACTGAAGAAAAATATATTCTGTATACAGAGTCTATCTCCCTCACCCCATACTATCTAGGTAAGACATGGAAGTCTCCATTCACTTCAGTCTAACTCAGAAACATTAACACTGGCTCTTATTCATACTGATTCAGATGTTGAATATACTGAGTATTTTCAGGCACATGTTGTCAAAAGATATTTTGTCACAGTTCTCTCATAAATTTGCATAAAACAATCATTGCTACTGAAAAAGAGGTACAGTTAACAAAGAAACAATTTGTGTTTGCCCTTCAAATCTGAAAATATACCTATATTAAGAAAGAATTGTTTCTTTACTGCATCAAAATGCTTTTAACATTTAAAAAGTACTTTTAGGTGGCTCATGCCGGTAATCCCAGCACTTTGGGAGGCGAAGGCGGGTGGATCACTTGAGGCCAGGAGTTCGAGACCAGCGTGGTCAACATGGAAAAACTCTGTCTCCACTAGAAATGCAAAAATTAGCCGAGCATGGTTGTGCATGCCTGTAGTCCCAGCTACTCAGGAGGCTGAGGCAGGAGAATTGCTTGAACCCAGGAGGTGGAGGTTGCAGTGAGCCAATATCACGCCACTGCACTCCAGCCTGGGTGACAGGGCGAGACTTTGTCTCAAAAAAAATAAAAATAAATTAAAAAAAAATTGTAAAAACATTCCAACAAAATTTTTGCATTTAATCTGAACACACACACACACACATGCACACACACACACACACAGATATTGTAGGTTTAGTTTCCAGATCACCACAATAAATTGAATATTGCAATAAAGTGAGGCACATGAATTTTTTTATTTCCCATTGCATATAAAAGTTATGCTTGCACTACACTGCAGCCTATTAAGTGTGCAATAGCATTATGTCTAAAAATAATGCATACATTGTTTACAAATATCTTATTGCTAAAAAATGCTAACAATCATCTGAGCCTTCAGTGAGTCATAGTCATTTTGCTGGTGGAGGGTCTTGCCTCAATACTGATGGCTGCTGACTGATCAGGGTGGTGGTTGCTGAAGGTTGGAATGGTGGTGACAACTTCTTAAAATAAGACAGTAATAAAGTTTGCCACCCTCATTGACTCTTTCTTCACAGAAAATTTCTATGTTATTTGCAATGCTGTTTGATAGCATTTTACCCACAGTAGAACTTCTCACAAAACTGGAGTCAATCCTCTCAAATCCAGCTACTGCTTTTTCAACTGAGTTTATATAATATTTTGAGTCCTTTGCTGTCATCTCAACAGTGTTCACAGCATCTTTGCCAGGAGTAGATTCCATTTCAAGAAACCACTTTCTTTGTTCATTTACAAGAAGTAACTCCTCATCCTTCAAATTTGATCATGAGATTAAAACAATTCAGTCTCATCTTCCGGCTCCATTTCTCATTCTGGTTCTCTTGTTATTTCTTTCACATCTGCAGTTACTTCCTCCACTGAAGTCTTGAACCCCTAAAAGGCATCCATGAGTACTGGAATTAACTTCATCTAAACTTCTGTTAATGTTGATATTTTGATATTCTCCACGAATCATGAATTTCTTTTTAATAAACAAATCTCTATGCTACTAGGTACAATAGCATGGAAATTGAGAGAACACCAAAGGTAAGACTCTAAAGAATCTATGTATAAATAACACATTATTGAATATTGACTGTTAAAGGTACAGAAATCATTTTCTATACAATTAACATTTTAGGAAGTCTGTATGATCTTGCGCCAAAAAGGAAAACTGCAGTTAACATGAAATTATGCAGAAAAATTTAGTTTCTATTGCTATGGTTTTAATCTCCAAATTAATTAGCATAGTTAACCTATAAAACCTCTGAAGGCCCACCCTACCAGAGCCCAGCCAAACTGCAGTTTTTCTTTAATGTAAGCCTATCTTTGTGTTCATTAAAATGCTTTCTGATATTGGTGATTTTTAAAGGCCTCTCAAACACTTCAAATCTGTGGATTTATGGAGCAGCATTAGCCAGCAGCCAGTTTCTATTCCCTGGCAGAGCTTTGAAACTGAATTGTGACAGAAGCATTCAACATTATCGGGGTAGTGGTTAGGGAAAGTCCAAATCTCTGCCAGTCCCAAATCCATTCAGTTGTCATTTCATTCAAGAGAATTAAATCGTTTACTGATTACACATGATAATAAATGGTACACAAATTTCTTTCCCATCTATAATTTTATCTGGTACCATTATTCAATTTAGATATATTGCGTAGGATGTGCCAACAATCATTTTTATAACCAATAATTCCATGATTTTGCTTGGGTAATCTCTTTTAATGGTGAACTTCAGGTCACAACAGTAACTATCAGTTCAACTACACCAAGGTTTCTGAAGACAATGGCTTCTCCACCCAAGCAGGTTATATTTAAATTCCAAATAGAACCTGGCATCACCCTGAAGGAATTCTAACTTCACACTGTTGGGGAAATTTACCAAGACAGCTTCAGAGTAGACTAACTTTACACAGCACATTTTTAAAAAAGACATTTATTCAGCATCATGATCGCCCTATTACATTTAGCAATCAACAGCGTGGGAGCAAAAAAAAATCGATCATAAATGTTTTTAATGGAATCTAGCACTAGCATGATGAATCTCTTCTGGAATTGAAGAGATTTAGGGACTACTCTGAATTAGGCTTTGGCTTAAGGGAATGCTATGATTGGTTTGATCTATCCAGACCACTAAAACTTTCTTCATATCAGCAACAGGTTGTTTTTCTTTCTTATCATTCATGTGCTTACTGGATTATCACATTTAATTTCCTTCAAAAACTTTCCTTTGAATTCACAACTTGACTAACTGGCACAAAAAGCCTACCTTTCAGCCTGTGTTGGCTTTCAACATGCCTTCCTCACTAAGCTTAATCATTTCTTGCTTCTTTTTTGTTTTTTTTTTTAGACAGAGTTTCACTCTTGTTGCCTCCCCAGGCTGGAGTGCAATGGCGTGATCTTGGCTGACTGCAACCTCCTCCTCCCAGGCTCAAGCAATTCTCCTGCCTCAGCATCCCAAGTAGCTGGGATTATAGGCATGTGCCACCACATCTGGCTAACTTTGTACTTTTAGTAGAGATGGGGTTTCACCATGTTGGTCAGGCTGGTCTCGAACTCCTGACCTCAGGTGATCCTCCCACCTCAAGTGAGAGAAGTCCAACTCCTCCTTTCACTTGAATACTTACAGGCCATGATAACATTATTAATTGACCTAGTTTTTATTTGCTACATATTAGTGAATGGGAGGATTGAGGAAAGGGAGAGGGACAGGGGAATAATAGCTGGTTGGTGGAGCAGTCAGAACACAAACAACATGTATGAAGTAAGTTCGCTGTCTTATATCTGCATGGCTACTGATGCTTCAAAACAATGACAGTAGTAACATCAAAGATCACTGATCACAGATCACCATAAGAGATACAATGATAATGGAAAAGTGTGAAATTTTAAGAGAATTATCAACATGTAACATAGACATTAGAAAAAAGGTGCCAGTGGACTTGCTTCATTCAGGGTTGCAGCAAATCTTCAATTTGTAAAAAATGCAGTGTCCATGAAGTACAATAAAGTAAAGTGATATAAGACAAGGTGTGCCTGTATATATAAACTTTCTCCTTTGCTGCCCCCCAATTCTCCTCTAAATGGCATATGATCTCTTTCCTTTCTTTTTCCCATGAAGCGAGAAGAAAACTGGGATAAAACTTATGCATCTGGTAAGTATTTAAAAGGTCACAAGAAGTCATAATTCTTACTGTAACAATTTTAATGGATAATTTTAAATGTCAGTTTAAAAAAAATTATTAGAAGTCTAAAGATGCAAATAATTTTAAATGAACCAAACTCCAGAGAGAAATCAGCACTACCTAGAAGAGAAGAAACTGCTAGTTAATTTTATGCCTGCAGTTATATCCTCTGTGGACAAAGGATATAATTTTCCATAGACAAGGAATGTTTATAATTTAAGGAGAAACTTTTAATGGACACATATTGGGGGGCAAGATAGATTCGATTCCAAAAAGTCCCAGAAAAAAAGTACATCATCATCTGTTCGCCAAGTCTTTCACAGACAGACTTTAAATACATGGAAGCATACTAAATATTGGAGCCAAACCAGAAGGCAAGGTAAGAACTCCTGAGTTGCATAATGCTGGACAGATGGTGGCTGGAGAATTCACCAGTAACCTCAAAATCTGCCTGTAAAGCATAAAAAGTTCTAGAGATTCTCATAATTCTTAAATACTAAGTCCTTCTGAAATTAGGAGTCCAGATCTCACCCCCAAAGGATTTGAAGCCAGGGGTAAACTCAAACACAAGCTGCAACCCATACCAGATCTAGTTCAATAAGAACTTAGATCAGGTCTGGCAGAAGAAGGGGCTTTCTCTGTTCCAAAATTATTTTATATATAAGATTCAACATACAATAAAACATAACATTATATGAGAAACAAAACAAAATGTAAATATCAGAAAACTATGACCAAAAAAGGTTATATAGCATAGAATCAAAACTGAACCAAGCATGAATTTTAACAGGCAAACACATTAATATAACTACTTTAAAGACACCTCAGAGATGTTGCCTGCATGACCTCCAATGCACTCACAGAACAAGAGGCAAAGGGTTCGATTCTCACTGGTTCAAAGTGCTTAAGCGCAAACTCTAATCAATTATTAACTAATTCCTCAGCTATACTAACCAAGAGTAATATCTAAGCTTCTAGGTTTACAAAAAAAACAAAAAACAAACAAAAAAAAACAAGAAAAGAAATAACTTAGCAGAGACATGAGTGGCTGCATATTAAATAGGAGACAGAATTAGTCCAGGCAAGGGTAAAAATAAAGAAAAAAATTAAGTAACAACAAAATAATCTCATTTGGGGAATCAGAATCTGTTATCCAAAATGTCATGTCTTATTTTCAACAGAAGAGAAGAAACAGGAAAGCACGCCTCATTGACATGGGGAAAAAAGCAGCAAGCAGAAACTATCTGTGAGGGATCTCAGATGTTGGACTTAGTACACAAAGAGTTCAAAGCATCCATTATAAATATATAGAACTAAAGCAAAGTGTATTTTTAACAATTAAAAGTAAGTATAATGACAATTACTTATTAAATAGAGAACATTAGTGTAAACATAGAAAGTATAATTACTATTACATATGTGTACATATATGAACACATATATGAATCCAATGGAAATTCAGTACAATCATTTAAATGAAAAAGACACTAGAGGAGCTCAACAGCAGATATGAACCATCAAAAAACAACAACAAAAACACACTGAACTTGAAGCTAGATGAATAGAGACTGTCGAGTCTGAAGAACAGAAAGAAAATTTAAGAAAATAAGCAGAGCTTTAGAGATCTGTTGGAACAATTAACATATTGATAAATACACAGTGGGAATCTTAGAAAGAGAAGAAAGGAGGCCGGGCGCGGTGGCTCACGCCTGTTATCCCAACACTTTGGGAGGCCGAGGCGGGCGGATCACGAGGTCAGGAGATCGAGACCATCCTGGTTAACACGGTGAAGCCCCGTCTCTACTAAAAATACAAAAAATTAGCTGGGTGTGGCGGCGGGCACCTGCAGTCCCAGCTACTCAGGAGGCTGAGGCAGGAGAATGGCGTGAACCCGGGAGGCAGAGCTTTCAGTGAGCCAAGATCACGCCACTGCACTCCAGCCTGGGCGACACAGCGAGACTCCGTCTCAAAAAAAAAAAAAAAGCAAAAAAAAAAAAAGAGAAGAAAGGAGAAAGAAGGAAGGAAAGACAGACAGAGAAATAAAACAAATAGTTTTTTTAAAAGCTAAAACACTTCCTAAATGTGAAGAAAAGCATTAATCTACACTTGTAAAAAGCTCAAGAGACTCCAAGTAGAATAATAGTCAGAGTCAAACATTTCAAATCTAAAGATTAAGAAACAATTCGGAAAGCACAAGAACAAGGCAACTGAATATGTACAAGAGAATCATAATAAGATTAATAGGTGACTTCTCTTGAGAAACAATGAGGAAAATAGAATGACATATTGAAGAGAATGACCTATTAAAAGAGCTGACAGGAAAAAACTGTCAATCAAGATTATTGTATTCAATAAAACTATCCTTTGATGATGAATAGAAATAAAGTTATTTCCAGGTAAACAAAGAGTGCATTGCTAACAGATCTGTCTTATAAGAAATGCTAAAGAAAGACCTTCAAGTCAAAGGAAATACAAGAGGGTAACTTGAGTCCACACAAAGAATTACATTTCACAGATAAAGGTAATTACCTAAGTATATTATCTATCTCTCTCTCTCTATATGTGTGTGTGTGTTTCCAAACTGATTTTTTAAAAATTACATAAAACAATATTCATAAACATTGCTGTGATGCACTTAAAACATATATGTCAATAATACCACAAAGGTAGAGGGAGGAAATGGAGCTATATAGAAGCAAATTTTCATATTATCATGGAATTAAGTTATTATTAATCTGAATTAGATTATAATGAATTAAGATCTCTTGAGGAAACATGAAGTAACTAAAAAATGTAGTTTAAAGAAACCAACAAAGGAATTAAAATGATATGCGAGAAAATAACACAAAAGAGAGGAGGAACAGAGAAACAAAAGAGACATGGGATATATAGAAAACAAATAGAAAAATGGTTGCAGTCAGTCAAACCATATCAATAATCACATTAAATGTAAATAGATTTTACGCTTAATGGTGAATGCTATCTCCTTAAGATCAGGAACAAGGCAAAGATGATCTCTGTCACCACACCTATTCAAAATAATACTGGAAGTCCTAGCCAATATAATAAGGCACATAGCCAATGAAATAAGTCAAATAAAAGTAAAATTAAAGAAAGGGAAAATAAAAGAAATGAGCACACAAATTGGAAAGGAAGCAATAAAACCTTCTTTATTTGCAAATTACATGATTATCTCTCTTGGAAACCATAAAGAATCTACACACAGACAAACAAACCAAGTTAAACTCCTAGAACTAACACGTGAGTAGCAAGGTCACAGGATACAGAGTTAAAATACAAAAGTCAATTATGTTCCTACATACCAACAAGAAAAAACAACACATCTTAAACTTTCACCAAAATATAATGAAGCATTTGTGTATAAATATAACAAAATGTGTGTAGGATCTGTGTGCTCAAAAGTATAAAACATTGAAGGAAGAATTCAAAGATGATCTAAACAAATGAAGAGAGATTTTGTGTTTATGGATTAGAAGGCTCCATATTATGAAGATGTCAGTTTTCCACAATCTGACCTGTAAACTTTTTTGATCAAAATCCCAGCAAAATATTTGGAGAGAATGTGGTTCTAAGATTTATACAGAAAGGCAAAGAAGTTAGAAGAGCTGAAATCATTCTGAGAAAGATGAATAAACTTAGAGGAGTTAAATTATCCAATTTCAAAATTGACCATAAATCTACAGTAATCAAGACAGTGTAATATTAGCAAAATAAGTACATAGATGAATGGAAAAGAATGGTGGTGGGTCCAAACATACACACACACACACACACACACACACACATACATTTTCAGCTTATTAACAGAGGCAAAGACAATTCAATGAAGAAATAATGGTCTTTCAAACAAACGGTGCTAGAACCATTAGATATCCACATGCAAAAATATAGACCTTGATACATACCTTACATCTTATACAAAAATTCACCCAAAATGGATCGTAGACCTAAATGCCAAACATAAAACTGTAAACTTGGAGGAAAAAAAGCATAAGAAAAATTGCGTAACTTTGAGTTTGACAATGAGTTTTTCAATATGATAAAAGCTCTACCCACAAAAGAAAATATTACTAAATTGCACTTAAACAAGATTTTTGCTTTTTGAAAGACATTGTTAAGAGATAAAAAAAACAAGTTAGCTGGGTGCAGAGGCTCCTGTAATCCCAGCATTTTGGGAGGCCCAGGCAGGCATATCACTTGAGCCCAGGAGTTCAAGACCAGCTGGGGCAGCATGGTAAAACCCCATTTCTACAAAAAAATACAAAAATTATCCGGGCATGATGGCACATGCCTGTAGCCCCAGCTACTCGGGAAGCAGAGATGGGGGGATCACTTGAGCCCAGGAGGTTGGGGCTGTAGTGAACCATGAACCCTCCACTGCACTCCAGCATGGATGACAAAGTGAGACTGTCTCAGAAAGAGACAAAAACAAAATCAAAACCAAGCTACAGATTAGAAGAAAACACTTGCAAAAAACATGTCTATAAAAAAGAACCTGTGCCCAGAATATATGAAAAACTCTTAAAAATTCAGTAATTGCTAAACAAATTAGAAATGTGTCAACAGTCTGAATAAACACTTAACAACATATGGATAAGCAAATGAATAGATGCTCAACATCATTTGTCATTAGGGTAACACAAAACTACAATGAAATATCACTACACACCTAATAGAATTGATAAAAATAATAATGAAAGACAATGCAAATTACTGGGGTGGGGGCGAGGGGTTGTAGGGCAACAGGAACTCTCACTGCTGGTGGGAATACAAAACAGTATTTGTACTACTGTATTTGTACATTGTGTCTATATTTAAGACAGTATTGTGTAGTTAAAATTTTGTTAAGAGAATAGATCTCATTTTGAGTGTTCTCACACAGTTTAAAAAATACTCATGTATCTGCTCACTTACCCAAAAACATATTACTGGAAGGATAAAACAGAAACTAAAGAGATTGATTGCTTAAGCGGGTAGGTGAGAAAGGAAAAAATGACAATTGATTATTAGAAGTGAAAAGGGGGCCGGATGCAGTGGCTCATGCCTGTAATCCCAACACTTTGGGAGGCCGAGGCAGGGGGATTGCACGAGCTCAGGGGTTCGAGACCAGCCTGGGCAACACGGTGAAACCCCCACCTCTACTAAAATACAAAAAAATTAGCCGGGCGTGGAGGCCTGCACCTGTCATCCTAGCTTACACGGGAGGCTGAGACAAGAGAATCACTTGAACCTGGGAGGCGAAAGTTGCAGTGAGCCGAGATTGTGCCACTGTACTCCAGCCTGGGCAACAGAGGGAGACTCCCTCTCACATATACGTATACAGTTGGTTCCAACTTATGATGGTTTGACTTAATAATTTTTCAACTTCATGATGGGCTTATAAGGAAGTAACCGCATGGTAAGTCGAGACGCATCTGTATGTAGCTTATAAGGAAGTAACTGCATGGTAAGTCGAGACGCATCTGTATGTAGCATGTGTGGGTGTTTGCGCATATGTGTGTCCACAAGCATATGCGCATGCAGGTAGAATATATTTCCTGGCTCTGTCCACTGAAAAGCACTAGGAGCAATTCCACCTTTGTTGGAATGATAAATCAGTTATATTATGGTCCAGATCTTGGTTTCTAAGTACAATTGTCCAATAAAAGGAGCCTGAGCTCCTTGGAGATCTAGTCAAGTCAGTTCTAGGGCTGGAGTGGGAATATGCAAGGCAAGCCTAGAACATCTTGTAATGCCAGCAAATAAGGAGGCACTTGAAGAAGCAAAGGCAATGGTCAAACATACACGGAAGCCAACTGGAGGGAGCTACCGTTGGCCAAAGCTGTAACAATGTAACCAATAAAATAAGTATGATTGTATTGTGTTATAACTCATAGAATCAAATAAATTTCGGTGAGTCAATAGATATTCACAGGAAATGAATAAATAATAAAATTGAGAATAGATATTTCTTCTTTACAAAAGAATTCCGATTGCAAAGTGTAGAAGAAATGAGGGAAATACAGAATTGTAAAATACAAAAATGAGGAAAATTTAAAATTAGGAAAATACCACAGTAATAATTGTTAGAGGCAAGATTCACATATGGATGCTAAAATCCATGGGGACAAATTTATAAAGAAACAAGATATTAGTATTATATTAAAATATTTCCCCATGACATTAATTACAAAAAAAAATAGTAACTTTAGAGTGGAGAAACCTAGCAGACATCTTCTTATCTTAGAGACTGAGGTTAACATCCCTATTAATAAGACATATGGACATCATGCAACACCTGACATGATTCACTGGGAAGAGCAAGCATCACTTCCGTGGTATTCTTGCCGAATACATAACCCCAGTATAATTATAAGAAAACATTAGACAAACTTAAATTGAAAGGCATTCTGAAAAATAACTGACCAGTACTCATAAAAAGTGTCAAAATCATGAAAGAAAAGGCGAGAATGAAGAACTGTAACAGATGGGAGGAGAATAAAGAGACAACAATTTATTGCATTCTAGGGTCCTGAATTTGATCCAGGAATAGAAAAAAGGAACATTAGGGGAAAAACTGATTGAATTTGAGTAATGCCTGTAGTTTAATTAATTGTTTTTTTTTTTCTTTTTTTTTTCCAATGTTAATTTCCATTCTGACAATTGGACCATGTTTATGTAAGTTGATAATATCAAAGGAAACTGGGTGAAGGGTGTATATGGAATTTCTGTACCATTCTGCAACTTTGGTATAAGTCTAAAACAGATCTTTTGGCTATAACATAGAAAGCTATGTAATAAATTAAATTTTAAAAGCAATTTCCAAAGTAGAATCTATAATGCAGTTGCTTCATGTATAAATAGAAAATTGACTTGAACAACCTGAGTTTGAAATGTGCAGATCCACTTATGTATGGACTTTTTTCTTCTCCCTCTGCCACTGCTGAGACAGTAAGACCAATCCCTTCTCTTTCTCCTCTTCTGTCTACTCAACATGATGATGATGAGGATAAAGAATGAAGATGAAAACTTTTATTATTATTCATTTTCATGTAATGAATAGTAAATATATGTTCACTTCTTTATAATTTTCTAAGATTTTATCTTCTCTAGCTTACTTTGTTATAAACATATAATATATAATACATATAACATAGATGTTTTCATGGACTGTTTATGTAATTGGTACAGCTTGTCAACAGTAGGCTATTAGTAGTTAAGTTCTGGGAGATTCAGATGTTATCTGGGGATCTTGGACTATATAGGGCCTCAGCACCCTTAACTTCTGAGTTCTTCAAGGATCAACTTCATATATACATTTATATATAAATGTATACACATACATTTATATGTAATGTATATTTATGTTTATATTAACATTGATATATGTATATAAAAACGCTGTAACATTATATTCTAAGTTGTTGATTGTTTTTTTCTTATTGGAATAGAAGAGTGGGTAACCAAAGAGGTCATATTTGGTCAATATTTATATATTTTATATTTTTCTCTCATGCTTGAGTTTTCGTAATAGGGATAGATTCATTTTGGACAAAACAATAAAGGTATTAGAGTTTTATAAAAAGGAGACATTTGAAAAATATGTGAGTAAAAGCCAACTTTAGAAACTAAACTTACTTTACCCATAGTCCATTAAATGCATGCCTGATTTCCCAAGCCATAGCTCCAGCCAGCCTGCTGCATTCTAATTTATATCCATGTTTGACTGGAAACATCAACAAATAAGGAAGGTATAAAATATTTAAAGCCCAGGCAGCACTTTGGACTGTCAGAATGATCTATTCACACATGCAGCACTGTGCCATGCTTTCCGGTCATTGTTGCCTATTTATGTTAGCTATAACTACAGTGCTCTTTCCTTGTATTCCATTTAGGACTGCCATAAAGCTAAGAATACACTTTGATACATACTTAAAGCTTATTTTATTCTCTGCTCTTCAGATCATATGCAAATGATTTAGAGTGGCAAATTATATTCTGTCAGGAATAATTTTTAAGTATTAAAACAGCTAGAAAATACTTTGCAATTTAAGGGAGAAAGCTACATTTCATGTTAAATTCCCCCTCCATGCTTATTTAAATCTTGCTGATGTCATGTCTTGCTGAGTTGTCAGAAAGAACTAAACTTGTGGTTATTCAAACTTCTAATGAGTCGCACAAGGTTTCTCAATTTCTGTATGGACCACAAGTAAAGACATCACTGCCCATGTGGTCCTTGTATTCCGGGACTGCCACCTGTCAATCATGCAGTGACATGACTTTGACTTAGTGCATCTCAAAAGGGATGGGTATACACAGTATCTTGAAACAGGATCTCCAGGAGATACAAAATAATGTAACTTTAATTTCAATCTTCTTTGCATTTAGATTTCTAGTGAGTTGGTATGCTTATGAGGTGTTTCATGCGGCAATTATATCTTGCTTTGGATTTCTGTATTTTTCAGTCCTTCCTTCATAGTTGTGTCTCACATCTGCCATGACACAATTTGGTAATTCATGAAGAAAGTCATGGTGCTTCAAATAAACTAAAGCTGTGAAACCATATTAGAGTGGCATAGTAATGTTTTCTCTAAAAATTTAATCTGTAAAATCACTCTCTTAACTAGAAAATTTATTGAATATATCATTATCTTCTTCAGTTCTGAAAAATGATTTTTTGGTATTGTGATTAATTAAAGCCCACTTATGCCTAGTGTTCCATTATTGGAACGCTAAGCATGTGGGAGTTATTTATATCCTCCTGCTCAAGGTCATCACCAAGGTCTGATTTTTCACTCATGCAAAAATTCAAAAAATTGCTAACTCTGGCATAAATGAGTTAATTTGAGTTAAGGAAGGTATTACTGGGCATTGAAAGTGCTAACTGGTTGTACCTGTTACAAAGGAATAATATATGGATTAGCAGGAACATAAGAAAAGTGATGTGCTAAAGATGAGTTCCTGGATAACCTCAATAAGTCAGCAAAAAAAAGTGCTATTTTAAGTTAGGAACAAACTTAATTTGAATCCCAGGGCTCCATGCCAAATCCATTACTATGACATGCTTTAAAAATGTAAATTTAAAGGATTTTTTATTTGGAAAACTGTTTAAGGATTTGGAAAACTTCTGGAGTACCTAGGTTCAACCAGAGTATTTCAAACTAAGAATGGGAATTTCTGAGGATTTTTACATTCAGGTTGTGGTTTTGACCTTTTTTGCTCCAAATTAGAGACTGACAAACTTTTTTTGCAAAGGGACAGAAGGTAAATATTTTAAGCTTTGTGGCACTATGGTTTCTGCCTCAACTGCTCACATCTGCCATGCAGAAGAGCAGCCATGAGTGATATACAAAGGAAGGGCACAGCTGTGTTCCAACAAAGCTTTGTTTACAAAAACAGGGAGCAGTCTAAATCGTCCCACAGAACATCACTTTGTATACCTTCCTAATAAAATACTGCTGAATCAGAAAAAAAATGTTTTAATGGACAGCAATGGAAAATTAATGGATATAAATGAAAGAATTATTTGCAAACTGAAAAAAAAACTATGTACAGTCATGTATCACTTAATGATAGGGATACATTCTGAGAAATGCATCTTTAGGTGATTTCATTACCCTGGGAACATCATAGAATGCACTTACACAAACCTAGATGATAGAACCTACTATACACCTAGGCTATATGGTATAGCCTATTGGTCCTAGGCTATTACTGTACTGGACAGCATATTACTGTACTGTATACTGTAGGCAATTGCAGCATATGGGAAGCAGTTGTGTATCGAAATACACCTAACATAGAAAAGGTACGGTAAAAGCACTACATAAGAGATAAAAATGATACAACTTAAAGGACATTTACCATGAATTGAGCTTGCAGGACTGGAAGTTGTTCTGGGTGAGTGAGTGAGTGAGTGAATGTGAAGGCCTAGGATGTTACTAGACATTACTGTAGACTTCAAAAGCAATGTATACTTAGGCTACAGTACATTTATTTAAAACTTTTTTCTTCAATATTAAATTAACATTAGATTACTGTAACTATGTTACTTTATAAACTTTTTATTTTTTTAACTTTTTGACTCTTATAATAACACTTAGTTTAAAACATAAGCATATTGTACAATTGTCCAAGATTATTTTCTTTATTTATCCCTTCTTTCTATATCCTTATTATACAAGCTTTTTTGATAAGAACATTTTACTTTTTTTATTTTCTAAACTATTTTGTTAAAAACTAAGACACAAACACATTATCCTAGGCCTACACAG
Source organism: Homo sapiens (assembly GCF_000001405.40). NCBI lineage: Eukaryota > Metazoa > Chordata > Mammalia > Primates > Hominidae > Homo > Homo sapiens. The sequence continues at coordinate 62,039,632 of NC_000008.11, read as the reverse complement.
GGTCAGGATCAGCAAGACATCACTAAGGGATAGGAAGCTTTCAGCTCCATTATCATCTTCTGGGACCACCATTGTATATGCAAACTCTTGTTGACATAAAGGTTTTTGTATGGTGCATGACTGTATATGCTTTATAAAAACATCTTTGAAGTCACATAATCTCCAAACTGATGACGTTACTAAAATAATTAAAGCATTCCACAGTTTATCTTTAGAAATAAAATGCAGACATTAGAAGTGATCTAGTATGACATGTATACATTACATTTAAGTTGTTAGCCATTCAGATGGTTAGACCTGCCCAGAGTCTCATAGGTAGTAAGAGCCAAGCTACAATCCAAATGTTATATCCTCTGCTCTTGTCCTCTTTGTATATAATAATGCTACCATTTAAATGTTAAACTAACAGCTTTGTGGTGTCTACAGAGTATCTTTGTGGTATCTACAGTATTTATACTTTCTGGCCTTTATGGTTAAACATCCAGGGAAATGTCAATTACATTGAAAGATGTGCACAAATGAATTAACAAAGCACTTTTGTGACTTAAGGAAGGCTGGCACTTTCCCTTTCACAAGTCTTTTCTCCAAAAATATAAAAAATACAACTCAAAACACACTAAAGACTATAGTTATTAAAGAGAACTGTCATTAAAGGTTAAGTATAATGATTAAAGAGAACAAATTACAAGCCTAATTCAAGTAAAGGATTTTGCCTCCCAGGTAATGTTTGTGTCCAAAGGCAAAGATACATAGAAGAAAAATGTAATATTATTAAACAAAGTAAAGCCAACTTTATGACTAAAAGCTGACTACCAAACTATGCCACAGGCTTGCCCACATTCAAGGGTAGAAGGAATAGAGTCTATTTCTTGATGGGGAGTGACAAGACCACATGGCAAAAAGGCACATGGGGTGAAGGATGTTACTGCAGCCACCTTTGGAAAATGCACGCTGCTACAATTCACATGCCTGAATACACAATTTAATTACTGCCACATGGTAACAGAGACACATTTGTGAATTATCTATCGTAACAATTTAAATCAATGGAAATCAAAATTTTCAAAAAAAGGAGGCTATCTTTCACATTTGAAAATGTAATGAGAATATTTTTAATAGAGTAATTTACCATGTAAAGATAAATTTTAGTTTCTTTTGAAAAATTTTTAATTTACATTGTATCCACTTGGGAAAAAATTAGGCAGATAAGATATAGTACATTCAAAGAGTAAAGAGAGAAGTTAACGCCCTACAGTGATTATCTTGAGAATATTTGAGGTCAAATTAATAGTACTCAATATTCTAAGTTTGTAATATGTCATTACATTGCCACTACTCTATCTATTGTCATCAATATAAAATCTTCATATTTGTTTTATAATTATATGCTTTAAATGTATAATTATTATAATTTAACCTCTTTATAAAGATCTAACAGCAAAGTATCATAACTATTTAAATGCATGTTAATCAGTAAGAAATTACTTAAGTAAAATAAGGAAATTAACACAAGGGTAGAAAATAAACTTCTGCAGAAGAATAATTTCAGAAACTATATCTCCAACAATAAATAATAAATGCAACTAATTTAAATATTTCTTCCTTCCCATTCAGATTTTAGATGTGGCCAGAATTGGTCCAATGCACATTTTTATTTGTTTATTTATTTTCTTAAATTTTTAATTTAGAGACAGGGTCTCCCTCTGGTTAGAGTGCAGTGGCCTGATCATAGCTCACTGCAGCCTTGAACTCTGGCTCAAGCAATCTTCCTGCCTCAGGCTTCCAAATACTTGGAGCTACAGGTTCATGCCATCATGCCCAGCTATTTTTATTATTATTATTATTTCTTGTAGAGATGGAGTCTCACTATGTTGCCCACAGGGGTTTTGTCCTTGTTTTGTTCACTATGCCTGGAAGTCAGGCTCTTGCTCCTCTCTCCCTAAGTTCCACAAAGGTCAGAGATTCTAGGTGGCACTTTCTTTGTACAACTTCCATATATGTATAAAAAACTGCATCACTTAAGGAAGGCTGACACTTTCCCTTTCACAAGTCTTTTCTCCAAAAACATAAAAAATACAACTCACAACACTCTAAAGGGAACACATATTTTCACAGAAAAATAATTGAGGCATTTATGACCATAATAAATAAATATTATGATTAAAAATGTTATAAGAACAAGGACCTGTGTAACAAACCTGCACATCCTGTATATCTACCCCTGAACTTAAAAGTTAAAGAAAAATATTAAAAAAAAAGGCTCTATCGATTATAAATCCCTATACGCATTTTAATATATGCTGAAATACTACTAAGTTGCAACTCCTTATTTAATCAGTGTATAGATTAAATACTGTATGTCAAAAATACAATTTTCTCTGTACTAAATCTAATCCACATTCAACCAGAAAGCTAAAATCAGCATTTAACATAAATTACCTGTTATTTCTATTGCTTCAAATCTATAAGAGTTTGGCAAAACTCTTACAGGAGTGTCATTAACAAGCTCCTAATGGAAGCTTGTGCTTAGATCTTCATTTTCAGTCACTTTCTTGGCAACAAGAAGATAGTGAAGATTCTCAAATGTGTTTCTCCCATGGAGAGAGGTGTTTTTTTTGTTCGTTTTTGTTTTTTGTTTTTGAGACGTAGTTTCATTCTTGTCACTCAGGCTGGAGTGCAATGGCGCAATCTCCACTCATTGCAATCTCCACCTCTTGGGTTCAAGGTATTCTCCTGCCTCAGACTCACAAGTAGATGGGATTACAGGCATACACCACCACATCCAGCTAATTTTTGTATTTTTAGTAGAAACAGAGTTTCACCATGTTGGCTAGGCTGGTCTCAAACTTCTGACCTTAGATGACCTACCCTCCTCGGCCTCCCAAAGTGCTGGGATTACAGGCGTGAGCCACCGCTCCTGGTCGAGAGAGTTTTTAAAAATAAAACTGACTCAAGATTTTTTTCTTTTCATACTTGCTTACTTAATTATTCAAGATCGCAGTACAGTCTCTTAGTGTTTTACTGGATTCCTGTGTTACTAAGAACTAGTTATGTGACTTCAGAAAAATCGTTATATGTATACACTTAATATCTGACATTTTCTTAACATATATTTGAGATAGCCTATAACCCTTAAGTTAATTGAACAGACAGAAATAAAAATAAGGACATTTTAAAAAGAGAAAGAAAACATGGTAACCAGGAAAGCGGCAATAATTGGCTGTCGGTTTTAGGGAGAAAAGTTTAACCCCTTGAGGTCTCAGTTTTCTCACATGGAGAGGTTGATTTATATCAGCAAAGGTGAGTAGATCCTCCTGTATGAGCCAAATCTGATTGGCCAGGAGAGGTTGCTGCACTGTTTTGTGGATGGTTCTGAGATCATCCATAGGCTCACCAATGTGGAATGCCCACATAATTCCATGAGGTCTGCCAAAGTCACAGCACCAGGAAGTGGCAACATGTGTGCCATTTATTGCCCATTTCTTGACAAGATTATGGCCATTAGGGATTTGTTTAAGTGTCTTCACTGTTTTTGCATAATTTCTCACTTGTAGTGACAAATTCTTTGCAAATAATAAAATATCATCTATTGTGCATACTCACTGACACCACTGGTTTGAATTAGTTTCAGTGAATGTATTCCCCTCATTGCTCTTTTTGGAGGTCTTCAGAAACTTGAGTGTGGTCTCTAATTTCATCCAGCTAGTGCCTTGCAGAGGAGGAAAATGTTAACCAAGTAATTGTACAAATAACTGTGTAATTGCTATTGTAATAAGCTCTACCAGGGAAGAGTATAATGCACAGCAAAACAGACCAGGCCTATTCCTGCAGGTCCAAGAATTGCTGCTGTACCTTACCAACTGGAGGTGGAGGACACAATATTTATTCTCTGACTCCACAGGTACTTCCTCCCCTGTGTGAAGTGTTAGTGAATATTTATTCTTTAACATATTTCAAGCTGCTATTAGCTTATCAGACATCTGCTTTATTGAAATACTGGACAATATTGTTTTATTGATTGTGTACCTACTGACAGTAACAATATGCAAGCATGCATTATTCTCATACCACTACAGCTTTAATAGTCTGAATGTAATACTGAAAATAATTTACTGCTGTATACGTATGGCAGTTTAGATGCTGCAATAGTTAGAGCTGCCAGGTTGGAAATGTACACAAATGAGTCATCTATAACCTTTGCAAAACTAAGCTGCTGTATCAAGATGCTAAGAGAGCCCAAGCTTCTAAAAAGCATCAATAATCTGATTACTCTTCGCAGCTAAAGTAAACGGAAACAGTTTTCTAAAATTAAAAACTAGAGTTTTTTACATTTCTTAGTATAGTTAATGAAAAGGAATGGATTAGGTTTTGCTAACAAGTTGACTTATTGCAATGTCTAGACCTTGCATCCTTCAGGTGATGTAAGATTTAAACATGAACTGAATGGTTTATAGGTATTCAGATACAGAAAATATTTATGCCAATAGCTTTTTGAATGAAGTTATCTAATATTTTATATTATGCAGGAAGTAGTCTTTGAACAATAGAGAATTTTCAAGAAACATTTTACATATGTAGTTTATTTTATTTATTCATTTTGGCTGCTAGGGAGCATTCCATTTAATTGATAAAATGGTTTTATTTATATTAACCCATGTCGGGGTGATTACCTTTTTTATAAACTTTTACACTCTTATATGCCATGCTGTGGTAAAAATTCTTGTATACATCTTGGGAACAACTAGTTTCTCTAGCATGGACACCAAGAAAACCTCAGAAATGAAGTTTAAAAAAATAGGTACAGTAGAACACAATTGAAATAAATTTTTATATTACTAAATTTTTTATAGTTATAGTTTTTATTGAAGAGAGTTAGCAAAGTGCATGGGAATGATTTATTCTAGCTTCAGGATGGCAGTCACCTTTGGGAGTGAAGGAGGGCAAAGGAATTAGGGTAAAGCTTAGCTGTATTCTTATCTTTTCTTCTTTAAAACTAATAAAACAAACAAGAAAAAGTGATAAATGTCTGTTTGATTTTGGTGGTAGCTATATAGGTGCCTGGTTTACTGCGGACTGTACTTTTCTATTTGCTTGAACATTTCATAATTGTAAAAAGCTTTAAACATGTTTAAACAAGTTTAAACAAATTTCTATAAAACATGTTTAGAGTACTCTATCAAACACAAAAATTCTGTATCTATTCTAAGTGCATTAGAGTCACAGATAAAAGGATCTATCAATGCACATATCTAATTGCCTCATATAAAAGAAGTTAGCTATAAGTTTTAAAATTGCAGCCATGAAAAAAAAATGACATACAACAGGAAGGTTTACATAATTAAAAAACTAAACAGCACTCTACAGTAAGTCCTCACTTAACAATGTGGATAGGTTGTTAGAAACTGACTTTAAGTAAAATGATATAATCAAACCAATTCTACCATAGGTTAATTGATATAAACAAAAGTTAAGTTCCTATGACATATTTCTGGTCACAAAAGCATCACAAAACTTCTAAATAAAGACGAGAAACACTTTTAATATTCAACATGAAAATAATTGTGAGCTATCCACCAATTTAAGAGACATTAACTTAAAAAGTAGATATTATTTACCCAATTTTTGGTGAAGCAGTGACAGCACTCATAGGGATGAGGGGTTAAGTTAGAAAATAAATGTTTACAAAGAAAAATTGTCAGGAGCACCTCCTTTTACCAAAAAGTTCAAAAACAATCACAAACATGGGAGGCTTGTGGAGTGCTTTCAGACTGCATCATTTATTGTCATGCATTTGTGTGATTAGCATAGACTTTACACATTTTTGCCTTACAATCATTTGTATTCATTCATTTATTCATTTTATAAGCTTCTTGTTCTAGCTCAGGGCTGGGTGACCAGAGTGTGTTTCTGCAGCCTAGGGCATGAGGTGGGAACCAGCCCTGAGCAGGACACTGTCCCATCAGGGTGCACTCACACCCACATCCCACTCACTCACACTGGGGCCATGTAGACACACCAATGAACCTTACAGGCACAACTTTGGGATGCAAGCTGAACCTGACCCAGGGAAAACCCATGTAGACATGTAGACATGAGGAGAACATGCAAACTCCTCACAGACAGTGGCCTGGCAGGAAATTGATTTTTTTGTCCCCATCAACATTATAATGAAGCAATGAAAAACAAAATGACTGTATTACAAGACCTGCTGTACTGTTGAGAATAGTATCCCCCTCAAACTCATGTCCACCTGGAACCTCAGAATGTGAGCTTGTTTGGAAATCAGGTCTTTGTGAATGTAATCAGTAAAGATTAGGTCATATTGGAATAGGATGGGCTTGAATTCCAAAGACTGGTATCCTTAAACAAAGAGAGCATGCACAGAGACACAGTTATACACAGAGTTAAACAGCCACGTCAAGATGGAGGCAGAAACTGGAGTGATGTAGCCACAAGTCAGGGAATGGCAAGGATTGCTGGCCACCATCAAAAGGTAGGAAGAGGCTAGACAGGGCTCTTCTCTGGAGCTGACAAAGGCAGCATCGATCTGTCAACACCTTCACTTGAATTTTCAGCCTCCAAACTGAGAGAATCAATTTCTGTTGTTAAAGCCACCAAGTTTGTAGTACTTTGTTACCGCAGCCATGGGAAATAAATACAGACTTTCTCCCTCAACTCTCTGGTGCTTGGGGCTGGGGAAGCACACGGGAATCCTCAGTGTCCAAGGGAATCAGGTAACAGACCCTGAGAGGTCCCCTCAACCACAATCCATCTCATTTCCAGGAGTAGTAGATTAAATTACAGTCAGCCCTCAACTGAGGTGAAAAGGAAGCTGTGTCTTTCACTTTACATTAAATCAGAAATGGCCCAGGGATAAAATAAAAATAGAATCAGAGCTCTTCTGGTGAGAAATGCACAGGAGGTCGGCTCATGAGGCAGAACACTCATGCAGTTGGATTGGATGTCATAAACCTGGATTTGAATTTTCAGGGACTCAGTTTCTTGAGTTTGAATATATTTTTGTGGAGATTTAATGAAAAAAACATGGGTAAAGATTTTGGCACCACAGTAAAAGATTCCTCCCACAACCATAAAAGCCAAAACAAAATTATAGATGAGATAGAGAGGAGATAAGCCAGTCTGGAATATTTATCTGAAGGTCTCTCTTAGAAGGATTCAAGAAAAACTCAATGTCGGTTGCTTCTTCTGAACTTGGGATGCAAAAATTATCATTCATGTTGTTGCTACTCAATGGATCCTGAGGACATTCCTCCAATTTTCAAGATAACCATTGCAAGTGGCTGGTATGTAATTTGCTTCAGTTATATAAGCTTACAGGAAGCCGGGCTGTTCAGATGCTGTCCCATAAAGTCATCCTCATTCATGTGTTGCCACTTGTGGGGCCCTAATAAATAAATAAGTTAACATAACCTGAAAACAAACCAGGCTGGCAGAACAGAGACTTAACCTGGTTTGCATCCCTTTTGTGTGGAAAAAAAACCACAGCCACTATGTTGCAACTCCAGAAATGGAAGGCAGGCAGGTTGCTAAGAACAGCAGAGCATTTCTTTTGGGCACCTTGAGAGAAAAGGACTGGCAGTTAAACATTACCCCAACATATTCTTAGCAAACAACACAAACTCACTTGCTCATCGTCCCTTCCAGCATGACCTTATAAAACTTCCCTCCAGCCCCTGACTCTTTGCAGACAGCCCCTTCTCTGCTGTGCTGCCCATTGCTTTCTTACAACCTATCTTTGTACTTTCTCTAATAAACCTGCCTTTGTTTATTCATGACTGTCTTGGTAAATTCCTTTACCACCCAAGACAATGCCAGCCCCAGCTAGTCACACCCAGGACACTACTGACCAGAAATACCCTGGTAGCTTTACCAAGGCAGAATTAGAGTGATGTCTTTCCTTGCTGGTATTTACAATGTAAGGCTCCTTTAATTTTTTTTTTAATCCCAATACAAATCTTCAAGTAGGCAATTTTGAAATTGAAAAAGAACCATTTAGGTAGGCATACTCTATCTGCTGATACTCTTGCTAACTGCTGCCCTTTAATTCTTCTATTGTTCAAATTAAATACCTTGCAGCCTTTCAGAAACTGTGAATCAAGTTGCCACATCTTCCTACTGCCAGAGCAGTTAATTAGCTCCTGGCAGATCTGAATGTCTGAGAAGATTGCAAGGAGGATTTATAATTGTCCACTGAAGTACACCAAATTACTTAGATGTCTTTTGCTCAGCATTTACAATTTCTACACCATTTAGATTTTCAGTTATCTGATAGAAAATAGAAAACTTTATTTGTTTCACATTCCTGATGGTGTCATCATCATAATTCTTTTAGCTGGATAAAAGGGAAACAAACGTTGGACCTTATTGAAGCAAAGAGCTCTAAACAAATCTGAAGACTTCTCTAAGGAAAGTTTATAGCACAACATTTATTCTGATTGTTACTGATAACTTGAAAGGGGCCAAATTTGAGGAATTTACTGAAAAAGCCTTCTTTGTATCCTTTGACAGCAAAATACAGATTATTATTTTTGTACTTATACTAACATTCATAAACCTCAACAGTTTTTGAACTTGACAGATAAGTTCTCTGATCATTTTTCCTCATACTTCTTCTCTGTGTATTATATGCCGATTAAATAGGACTTCTCATGATTTTTTTCTTTCAAATTATTTTCATCTTTAGCAGTCCAACTCAATTTTTGTCTCCTCTTGGATCCTTTCTGAACTTACTACTGCTTTTTCTTTTTAAACTCCTTTGAAATTCTGTGATGCGTAGCATATGCACTTGTCATTCATCACCTCTTATTTTCAAGCTAGTTTAGTATTACAGCCTCAGTCAGACTTCTCAGCTTATGGAAAATAGAAATAATGTCTTCCTGTTTTCTCCTAGGAATATGTTATTTTATTTTTCATAGGTGAGTTTAAAAAAATCCATCCTGTATTTCTTTTTGTTTTTTTTTTTTTGTTTTTTTATTTTTGTTTTTGTTTTTTGAGACAGAGTCTCGCTCTTTCTCCAGGCTGGAGTGCAGTGGCACAATCTCGGCTCACTGCAACCTCTGCCTCCTGGGTTCAAGCGATTCTTCTGTCTCAGCCTCCCGAGTAGCTGGGATTACAGGAACCCACCACCACGCCCTGCTAATTTTTGTATTATTAGTAGAGATGAGGTATCTCTATGAACGCCAAGCTAGTCTCGAACTCCTGACCTCGTGATCTGCCCACCTCGGCCTCCCAAAGTGCTAGGATTACAGTCATGAGCCACTGGGGCCTTTTTGGTTTTTTGGGTTTTTTTGACATGGAGTCTCACTGTCACCCAGGCCAGAGTGCAGTGTCCTGATCTCGGCTCACTGCAACTTCTGCCTCCCAGGTTCAAGCTATTCTCCTGCCTCAGCCTCCCATGTAGCTAGGACTATAGGAACGTGCCACCACACCTGGCTATTTTTTTCTATTTTTAATAGAGACAGGGTTTTACCTTGTTAACCAGGATAGTCTCGATCTCCTGACCTCATGATCTGCCCTCCTCGGCCTCCTAAAGTGCTGGGATTACAGGTGTGAGCCACCGTGCCTGGACACAATACTGTATTTCTAAAGGCCATCTATCTACCTAGAGTGAATTATGTTTCTTTTCTAAAAGGTGGAGGCTTTAAAAATCTTTTTCACTATTTATTTAGCCTAAACCCTTTAGTACTTCCTTGGGTCCTGTATCTGTCCATTGGTAGTCATGTTCAATTATCCATTAAAAATATTACAAATTGGAATCTAAAAGCAAATTATACTTTCTTTTTCTGTGTTATCTCTTGTGGGTATATTGGGTTGTGGACATACTGACTCTAGAGGCTGGGATCCTCTAGAGAAACCATATTTAAGGCACAGGGATCAGAAGGGAGACTTAGTGTCTAAAGAGAGAACCTGAAATATTAAGCAAAACAAAAAAGCAAGATAACTGAGATGATGACACAAATTTAATGGACACTAAAATGTGAGGTTTGAGCCCAGAAATCTTCATGTTTTACTAGAGTTGAAGAACTGCATCAACTCTTCTCCCTTCTAACCAAAGTTTCATTGCCTTTTACCTCTTTATTAGTCCTTAGAAACTCAGAAGTATTCTTATGGTAAGAACAATGTCACAGTAATTTCCTTGTGTGCTGAAGGCCCTATTGTGGAAAATCTCCAAGAAGCATAATGCATGTTGTGTTTATAAGGGTATGGGGGTACAATTGTTTGCCCTAGTTAAACTCAAGTTGATTTAAACAGAAAATATCATTCTAAAGAATATCAACGATAATGTAGCTTATTATTAATACCAAAGAGTTGCATAAAAATGTGGTCAAGAGCAATAGCTCTATGGTTTGATTCCCCCAGGCAAATTATGTTTCTGCCTTGTGTCTTACTGAGTAACTTAGATAAATGACCCAAACTCTTTGTGCCTCAATTTACTCAACTGTATTAATACATAACTGAAACACTATGTGACAATACAATAACTATAACAATACAAGGCTGCAATGAGACCTAAATGAAACAAATAAATAATGTGCTTGGACGTATGCCTGCCACATGGTAAGTACTCCATAAATATTTGTTACTATTATCATTGTAAATTATAATTATGAAATTGCCGATTAGATTTGCATCAGCAGCAATTTAAAGCATTGTGTTGCTCTGCATCAGCATCAAATAAGAAGGCACAAAATTTTAGGACCACTACCATGACACGTATTTCATGACTATTGAGCCTCTGAGGAATAGATTTATGAAAACACAGAGGGAAATATCAAGCGAGTAAATTACTCACTTTTTCTTTCAGATGAGAGAACAGAGAAGTCTCTGCATTTAAAAAGGAAAGGAATGACATCTGTATTTGTACTGTGTGTGCATTGCTGTTTAAGTGTGCAGATTTGTGTAGAGGTGTATGTTTCCCTAGTAGCTCTAAAAATACATGAAATGCTTCCCTCACTGCTCCCATTTGTTTCTTTTTGGCAATTTATATTTAACTTTTCTCTCTTTGTCCCTGTCTCCTTTCTCCTCTTTCATAAATAATATACTGCTTTTCTCTGTCATTCTAAAGGAGTCACGGGGACTTTAAATTGATACAGCTGTAAAGGAGGAAATGAGAGGCAAGGGAATACACTGTGACTTTAGGATGGAAAGATATGCAGTTTGACTGCAAAACGCAGAGACAGCTTTGATTGAGGTGAAACATAGGAAAAGTCCAAGAAGAATCAGAGGAAACCATTACAGATCTCCTGGGCAAAGGGAAAACTTAGAGGGGAAAATGTTTTTGCAGAGGGATGATGAGGAAACAGCTGATTAAGACAGAGAGTGTCAATCATGTGGGGAAATAGACACGGAACTGAGCCAGGTGGGAGTGCGGGCTCCTTGCAGGGCTGGAATGAGGGCAAGGTTGGGCTCAGATTTACATACTGATTCATACCCACGCACTCATGCACGCACATGCACATGAACACACACACATTTTAAGGGTCCTCTGAAAGTGGCAACCGCACATCCATGTTCCCCTGGCAGTGGGCAATGTGAACGGCATAGGCTATTCCCCAGTACCCATACATTAGACCTGATGGACTTTCCCTGAGCACCTCCACCTTGCCTTGTCCCTTCATGTTCTGTGGCTTTCCTGTTCATAGCCTCTGAAGGTGAGGAGCCTCAGCCTGGGTTCTGCCATCAGCAAGGACTCATTTCTTTGCTCTCTAAGGCTAACTGTTGCTCACATACTGGCCAGAAGCCAAAGAAACAATTTCCATGTGAATGGTATTTTAAGGCTATCACTTTCACACTCCTCAAACTCTAGTATTTTGGGTTTTGGAAGCAGCGCTGCATACAGACAAGGGTTCTGGCTTCATTTGCAACAGTGAGAGCTGCAGAAGGGCATCTTGGGGGCGGAGGGCATTTTTTTTTGAGGTTTCAGGAAGCACCACAGAGAAACGGAAGGTGAATTAATGGAATGCCGGAATTCTGTGGAGAAGCATGGAGCAGACCTGCGACATCCGATGAAATGTATACAAAGGAGAAGATTATGAAACTGACTGAAAATCGTCTATAAAGTCGGGAGTAAAAGGAATGACGTATGGGAACTGGGGGAGGAGAATGTCTCTTTAGTAAATCAGAGACTGAGAAACTACCAAAGAAAAGCTGTTAGTTTTGTTTGTATAACATGAATCTAGTCTAAGGGAATTAAACCAAAAAGAAATACATGATTCCTTTATATTTTAGTAGAAAATTCTAAAGAGAAAAAACTATGAAATACAAGCATTGTGCATTTCAATGTGCAAGCTCTAAAGAGAAAACTCTAAAATACAAGCATTGTGTAGGAAGGAATATGAACACTGACAAGAGGAAATGATAAAAGGAGAAAGAGTCTATGTTTCATTGCAGTCTGTGTGTAATACAATATGACAAAAGACAGGGAATAGGCTGGCTTTTGTGAACATAAGATCTCACTATATCTGAGACTTCTCACTATATCTGTATTCTGTAAGTGACATCGCTGCACAAGAGAGGAGATTGGGTAAGAAATAGGTCACAAAATATGTCTGCATGCTGTAAGTTTTTTGGGGAAAATACTAGGAAAAAATTAAATCTCACTAGAGGCAGTAAGTGAGAGTAAGTCCAAGACTAAGGTAATACATGATACTACAAAAGAAAAAGTCATACAATAGCCATTTTTCCAAGGAAGATATGAAATGGTCAATTAGCATATGAAAAGATTCTCAACATCATCAGTTGTCAGGGCAAACCACAATGAGATACCACTTCACACCTTCTAAGTAGGCTGGAATCCAATAGTCAAATAACAACATATTTTGATGAGAATGCAGAAAAAATGGAGCACTCATATATTGCTAGTGGAAATATAAAATGGCAAAACCATTTTGAAAAACTCTCTGGCCATTCCTCAAATAATTAAATATTGAATTATTGTCTGACCCAGCAATTCTACTCCTAGGTATATACCCAAGAGTAATGAAAACACATGTTCACATAAAGCCTTGTACATAAATGTTAAGCAGCCTTGTTCATCATGATAGTCAAAAGGTGGAAACAACCCAAATGTCCATCAATACACAACAATAATAAGCAAAATGTGGTATATCCATAAAATAGAATATTATTGACCATAAAAAGAATGAAGTATTAATGTATTCTATCACATGGATAAAACTTCAAAACACTATGCTGAGTTTTAAAAGTCAGCCACAAAAGATTAGATACTATATAACTCCATTAATATAAAAATGCAGAATGAGGAAATATACAGAAACAAAGTAAATTAGTGGTTGCTTATGGCTGATGGAAAAAATGAGGGCTTGTAGGGTAATAGCTAAAGGGTTGGGGTTTTCTTTTTCAGGTTGTGAAAATGTACTAAAATTGACTGGTGATGTTTGCACATATTTGTGAATATAGTAAAATCTGCTGAATTGTACACTTTAAATTAGGTGAATTGCGTGGTATGTAAATAATATCTCAATAAAACTCTGGTAAATAAATTAATAAATTACTATTAAATAAGTATTTAATTAATAATTGTGAAATAAATATTTAATTAATAAAGTATTATGAAATAGGTAAATAGAAAAAAATGAGGATAAGAAGACACTAAGATGTTTGAAAAAATAAGCTAAAAAATCTTTCCATTGTTTTTTGCAATCGATAATACAATTAAAGGGGCACACATCTCAACGCCAGCATTTGTGCATAAAGTAACAAGAACAGGAGCATTAAAATAAAAATGTAACCCATCAAAGTCTCCAGACCAGGATGGTTGTAGCTAGAAAACTCTTCTAAACATTTTTAAAAGACTCCTTAGCTAAGGAGTGAGGTCAGAAATAGAGATCAAATTGTATTCTATTAATTTTTAGCTTATCATTGAAGCTGTATGGAAGGAATATAATCACAAGTACAGAGCAGAATAGAAACAGAAAAAAGCTGATTACAGAATCCTAAGAACAGAAGTATTTAAGAGGCGGGATAAAGAAAAAAGCCAGCAAAGAAAGTTAAGAAAGCCAGACAGGTGGGCGAGCAGGCGAGAGTAGTACTAGGAGGCTATGAGAAGACTATCAAGAAGTGGAGTTTCAGCTTGTCTTATTAAAGGAAAAACAAAATCAGTGGATTGAGGTAGTCAGTAGAGTGAAGAGGACAGAAGGTTTTGGAAAGTCAGTACTGTGCTGAAGGACACAGTTATGCAGGGAAGGCAATTCATTGCATTATTAGCTCAGGGTCACGGTGTTTCTTAACTATATTTTTAAAAACTTTTTGAGATATTTAAAAAAATGCTGCCCAAATAATGTATTAGATATTTCAAGGGAGTACTAGGGAAACTTGAAATATTGCTCAAATTAAATTTAGAAGCAAGATTTACCTCTTGCACTGCTAACAAGAATGGGACATTTTGATCATTTGCATTGGATTTTTGACATGGAATCATTGACCTAAACCAATGAGAAAAGCAATATTCTTTATTACAGCTTCACAAAATGCCCTAGACCACACGAATGGAAAAGAGAGAAAGATGTTGTCAGTTCTATTCCTAGTACTGCTTTGCATTGTCTCAAGGCTTAGTAAACGGTGACTGGCAACAACTTCATCCCACATCCTTTCTCTGAGGAAAGTTTGTAAATTGGAAGACAGGAAGAGTGTGGTGGGTCATGTAAACCAGGGTTGATACAATTCTGAAATTTATCTTGCTGCTATTTAAATATCCAATGGTGCAGTGTAATGGTCTTCTAGATAAGGGACAACACTCTGGAAAAATCCAGTCATTTCATGCCGTCCAAGACTGAATCTCAGGAGCACTAACATCTTTTCTTTTTCTTTATTTCAATTGAACCAGTAGCCAGAATACCTCCATTCCCTGGCCTTGCCAGCTTAGAGAGTTCTCTATAGTTAATTATAATAAGAGCTTAATAACTTAAAATATCTTAAAGGTAATAATTATCCTCCTTATGCTGTGGACTCATCTGTGTGTTAGACAGTCACTTGGGGATGGGTATTGTAATCGGAGCAGGGCTGCAGCATCTGATGAGCTGGAGATTGGAGAGTGGGGTTTCTGATACACACATTTAGTTTCCAAGGTGACACAGAATGTGCTAAGGAATTGAAAAGATCTACGCCTCTCTTTTAAGCATAATAAACTCAGAACTACGGCAATCAGTCCAGGGGATGAAGGATAGCAATGGGCCACTCAGGGATGACAAGATGGCGAAAGGTTTGATGAGATGTGGCACACTGAGGCAATATATCCAATTTACAGAGGTTCCATTAATTTCTTTAGGAGTAATTTCTAGAACGTAAATCACCTTTTATAAAATGTTTAAAATGGCATATTGGTACTTTTTGAGGATACAACAGCATTTCATATTGTAATTCAAAGTAATGTTGCAAATATGAGGAGTCATGGTTAAATTTCCGTATGGCATTAATGTTTTTCTGCTAGTCTCATTAAAGTTCACTTTTTCAAGATCATGAGATATCTGTATTGTCAAATGTGATGACAAACATATATATTTCTAGCTCACTAATTTACAAAAAGCTGGAGGATGTGGATTATTCTGAAGTATTAATACTTGAATAATTCACAACCCCATTATTACTACACATCTTGTAAACCAATCACATTCTCTTGATATGTGCAGCACATCACTCTCTATAAAAGCTGCACTTAACTTATTTACAGTGTTTGGTCACTAGCCACACATGACTCAGGAGAATTGAGTTAGGCAGTAAATCAAGAGAATAACAACAACAACGAAAACAGTATATCTCTTGAGGGATCCTGGTAATATTAACAAATGTAAGAACTTCATTTTAGTAGCTGTGAGATTTCTAGGAAGGCACCTGAATCACTAAGGAATCCACCTTCAATTTTCAAGAGATTTATTGGCCCACTTCATTCTTGGCAATGTGCTATGAGAATTTTCATCTTTATTTGTATAACTTAAAGCATTGCATTTTTACACTGAAACTTTATAACATTTAAGCATTTAAGCTCCAATAAAATACAGTGATGTAATTATTCGTCAATAATCTATGTAAATGTAAGCTCAACCTCCTGAGAATCCAAAGTTATCACCTGTAAGTCATCCAGAAACTTCATCGTGTACTGTCCTCTTGCTTTTGGTCATACACAGAGAGCATCTACTCTTTGGAAAACCTATTCTTTTTTTAATATCTATTTTATTATACTTTACATTCTGAGACACATGTGTGGAACGTGCAGGTTTGTTAAATAGGTATACACATGCCATGGTGGTTTGCTGCAGCCATCAACCTGTCATCTACATTAGGTATTTCTCCTAATGCTATTCCTCCCCTAGCACTCCACCTCCAGACAGGCCTCGCTGTGTGATGTTCCCCTCCCTCTGTCCATGTGTTCTCATTGTTCAACTCCCACTTATGAGTGAGAACATGTGGTGTTTGGTTTTCTGTTCCTTTGTTAGTTTGCTGAGAATGATGGTTTCCAGCTTCATCCATGTCCCTCCAAAGGACAAAACTCTTCATTTTTTATGGCTGCATAGTATTCCATGGTGTATATGTGCCATATTTTCTTTATGCAGTCTATCATTGATGGGCATTTGGGTTGGTTCCAAATCTTTGCTATTGTGAATAGTGCTGCAATAACCATATGTGTGCATGTGTCTTTATAGTAGAATGATTTCTAATCATTTGGGTGTATACCCAGTAATGGGATTGCTGGGTCAAATGGTATTTCTGGTTCTAGATCCTTGAGGAATCACCACACTGTCTTCCACAATGATTGAACTAATTCACACTCCTACCAGCAGTGTAAAAGCGTTCCTACTTCTCCACATCCTCTCTAGCATCTGTTGTTTCCTGAATTTTTAATGATCGCCATTCTAACTGGAATGAGATGGTATCTCGGTTTTTATTTGCATTTCTCTACTGACCAATGATGAGCTTTTTTCATATGTTTGTTGGATACATAAATGCCTTCTTTTGATAAGTGTCTGTTCATATTCTGCTCCCACTTTTTGATGAGGTTGTTTGTTTGTTTCTTGTAAATTTGTTTAAGTTCCTTGTAGATTCTGGATATTAGCCCTTTGTCAGATGGACAGATTGCAAAAATTTTCTCCCATTCTGTAGGTTGCCTGTTCACTCTGATGATAGTTTCTTTTTCTGTGCAGAAGCTCTTTAGTTTAATTAGATCCCATTTGTCAATTTCGGCTTTTGTTGCCATTGCTTTTGGTGTTTTAGTCACGAAGTCTTTGCCCATGCCTATGTCCTGAATGGTATTAACTAGATTTTCTTCTAAGGTTTTCATGGTTTTAGGTCTTGACGTTTAAGTCTTTAATCCATCTTGAGTTAATTTTTGTATAAAGTGTAAGGAATGGATCTAGTTTCAGTTTTCTGCATATGGCTAGCCAGTTTTCCCAACACCATTTATTAAATAGGGAATCCTTTCCCCATTGCTTGTTTTTGTCAGGTTTTTCAAAGATCAGATAAGGTTGTAGATGTATGGCGTTATTTCTGAGGCCTCTGTTCTGTTCCGTTGGTCTATATATCTGTTTTGGTACCAGCACATTGCTGTTTTGGTTACTGTAGCCAAAACAGCATGGAAAACATATTCTTTTATGTGTTCTGAAGTTATTATTTTGTTATTCTGAGTAATTCTACCGCATCTGTCAAGGATAAGCTCAGATGTCACTTCCCCGGAAGTGACATCTAGATTTTTTCAATAATTGTCTCTAGCTCCTCCTATCTCCCAAAGCATATGCTTGTGCCTTTATTATAACACCTATCATTGCACATAATTATCTACTCCTCAACATACACTCACCAGACATCAAGTTCCTCAAGAACAGAGATTCCTTCTTGCCCATCGCTGTGTCCTTAGTACATACATGAGCATGGCACATTAATCCAATAATGTCTATTATAAATGAATGAATATGTGAGTTCATGACTCAAGAATGTCGTGTGCTGGAGACATTTTACAGAAGCTTTTAGGGGAAGTTACCAAAGTACGGTCCTATTATAACATGGAAGAAAATGAATTAAATAAAAAGATATAAGAATGATTAAAAGGGCTGCACTGGTAGTATAGATAGAACAGCATGCTACCATGAGCAAGACAGAAACTGTAGAAACTGATTTTTTTTTAAGTCCATCAGGCTGCATTGACTGGAGAGGCAGTATGGCTGGTGGGGCTAAGAACATAGGCTCTAGACTCAAATCCTTAGTTTTAATTGTGGCACTGCTATTTCCCAGCCAAGCTAAATTTTAACATAAGTCTCAGTCTCTTCTATAAAGCCAACCTCCTAATGTTTAGGGCATTATTAAAAAGATGAATGTCACATAAAGTGCTTTCTAAGGTGCCTGGCACATGCTAAGTGCTGAATTGTAGCTATTATTATTATACCTTTTATGTATGGTTTTTACTTCTATCCTATTGCTGCTCTTTTGAGTTTTCAAGGTAAACATGCTTCTCTGAGGCTTGAATAAATATTTGCATCCACAATCACTCAATTAAAAATGTGCTCTAAAATATTTCATCACTTATGTATTACACTGGGAGAGATACCAGCTAGACTAAAACTCTAATGATCTCTGATGTTCTTTGTAACCTTAGGCACACCTTGCTCTGTTTTTGTTATCTGGCAAATAGAGAGAAAAATTAAAACTTAACTATAGATAGGTTTTTAGAAATAGCAAATAGCAAAAATAATAATGAAGCACTTAATCTTTAAAGTGTCACAAGGTGGAATTGTATTTTATGACCTTTTATCAGAAAAAAAAAAAAAAAGCAAAACAAAATCAATAAACCCAGGGCATAATTCACTGAATTTAAAAGTGGTCTGAAAATATTATCTGAGGCAAACTGCAAATTGCAGCATTAGCACTACCCCTTTGTGAATATTGCCCAGGGCCATGGGTGAATAATTAATGCATTGGCCTCCATCAAAAGGTGACTGCAAAAGCAGGCATGGGATCAAGTACCACCTTCATTGTGGGCTAACTCAGTGACCCTGGACATGTTATCTAAGTCTTCAGATCCTCGGTTTCTTCTGTAACTTAGGGATAATCAACTCTCTTCCTACTACCTCAGAGATCTTTCAAGGATTAGAATGAGCATGGTACAAATAAACTTAAATGAATTATTGGCACTAAAAATAATAATAATAGAATGTCACTCACGTGCTTTCTTTTAGATAAGATAATGATGGAAAGCCCAGATGAAAATAGGATGAGATAAAGGCTTATCAATGGGGACTAGAACTTCCCTGAGAAGTTACAGTGAGAGGGACCACATTGGAAGATGACAAAATAAGCAATGATCAATTTAGCTATGTGGTGCTGGGCTCAATCACTAAATAGCAGATGTTCAGCAATGTATATCAGGTGATCCTAGAAGACAAGGGATGTCTCATTCTGCCAATCAAGCTATAAGGCTGTTGTCATGGTAAAGGCAGCATGTCGTTCAAAAGGAAGAGGTCTTGAAGGCTGGCACGTCTGAGTAGAAATCCTGCTAGGGAAATATCAGCTGCCTATTCTTGCTGAGTCTCAACATCTTTTAAAGTAAATTGGGGATATTAATACTTACCTTATGGGTGGTTATGAGAATCGAAGGACATAATGCACGTGCAGGGTCTAAGATATGGTAAGTTCGCACTGAAGTAAGCATAGCTTATTGTTAATCCTGTGAAACTGAGTATTGTCTATGCGCTGTTTCCTCATTGATTGCAGGAACTTCTTACTAGGAACATGCACAGGGCAGTAGGCTTCTTTACTAGTGCTCATCATCCTCTGCTGCCATCAGTCATGCATTCCTTGTTTGTTTGTTTTGTCACAAAAAGGAGGGAATGTTAAATATCTAAAAAATAACCCTTCAGGGGCCAGGCAGTGTGGCTGATGCCTGTAATCCCAGCACTTTGGGAGGCTGAGGCGGGTGGATCACTTGAGGTAAGGTGTTTGAGACCAGCATGGTCAACACTGTGAAACCCCATCTCCACTAAACATACAAAAATTAGCCAGGTGTGGTGGCACACGCCTGTAATATCAGCTACTTGAGAGACTGAGGCAGGAGAATTGCTTGAACCTGGGAGGTGGAGGTTGCAGTGAGCCGAGATCGTGCTACTATACTCCAACCTTAGCGACAGAGCAAGACTCTGTCATGAAAAAAAGAATAACCCTTCAGGGTAAGTTTCTCAGATCTGTTGACCTAATAATCCCTGATGTCATCATTACTATTGCTTTCATCTTTTATCACTTTTCAACTACTTGTTATTAATATAAAGTGTAATTAATATAATAGAAGAGGAAAGAGAGCCTCACCTCTGTTTTTCTTTCAAACTACCCACTTTAAATCTGAAAACTTTGCTTTTATGTTCACAGCAGAGTACCTTGTCAGCTTACTTTAAGTGGAATATATTTATGACAATAATAAAAATACCATTAAAAAACTATCCTTTAACGTGGATGGTAATGTTCTACTCACATTATATAACAGATGAAAATTTCACTTATATTTTCAAATTGAGATTTTTGTGAAAATAACCACCCATGTTAAAAAAAAAACCAATAATCTAGATAGAACCTAAATCATTTTCAAGGTATACTATTTTATATACCTAAAATCCTTGAATTAAAAAATGTAATTTTGATTTGTTATAAATTAAGTTTGTGAGGATTCATAGAGAATGCTTAGTTTATACAAAGCTATATGCTCAGGGAAAAACTAGACTTTCTTTTCCATTTCATATAGTGAACACTTGCTTTTGTACTACTAAGTACCCATGCCCATATCTTAGGCTAAAGCATCCTTATTGCCATTTGCCTTTTGAGCAATCACTCTTTTTGTGCAGGATGGTGGTAGTACCCAAATAAAGTGGTCAGTCATGGACCTTTGGTCTCAGTGTGGACATGTGGCCCATGGCAAACCAATTGGACTATGTCTCCTGCGATTTTGAAACATGAATAGATTAATGCCAATATAGAAAAAAAAACAATTGGAGCCAATTCATCTAAATGTTGGGGCCCAAGTTTAGTAAACCAGTGGCTCAATTGTTTCCCTAAGGATCCAGAATCTTTCCACTTTGTTTCTACAGTCACAGAGTGTAGACCCATCTTCTATAGCAGCCTCCTCTAATGGTCCCATGATGGCAGCTTGGATCCAGGTGTTACAAGACAATGTGATTCTACAGAGTGGTGATTCAGTCAGGGCTCACCTGGACAGCTCACCTCTATGATGGTGCCAGCTGAGCTTAGTCATGTGGTTAAATAAGTAAGTACACACCAGCAATAATTATGTGGCTCTATATTTTCAAATATTCTTATTTACATCACAAATCTATAAAAGTATCCCAAATACAATTTCTACTAATTTGCAGTTATGCCTTTTGAAGCTGCCTTTGTGTGCCAGAGTATTCTTTCAGTGACTTTTTTTGGAGCGATTTTGAAGGCAAGAGAAAAAAATATCTACTCAGCACTACTCAGAATTCCTTTAGTTTTATTTTCAGTTTCTCACCATACAGAATCCCCTCCAGCTAGAGCAGCTGTAACTAAAAGTCTGCTTGATGCTGCACTGGGGTTTTGCTTTCTCACTCTCCTGTGCCCACTTAGGTTTAAGATATGGGGCTCACCATTAAATGTTTTCTGAATTAGTAACTGAGAATAGATTAAATGAGGAAATGAAATTATTATGATGAGAGCATGGGAGAGTGGTTACCATAAACAACAAGAATATGGCCGGGCGTGGTGGCTCACGCCTGTAATCCCAGCACTTTGGGAGGCCGAGGCGGGCGGATCACGAGGTCAGGAGATCGAGACCATCCCGGCTAAAATGGTGAAACCCCGTCTCTACTAAAAATACAAAAAATTAGCCGGGCGTAGTGGCGGGCGCCTGTAGTCCCAGCTACTTGGGAGGCTGAGGCAGGAGAATGGCGTGAACCCGGGAGGCGGAGCTTGCAGTGAGCCGAGATCCCGCCACTGCACTCCAGCCTGGGCGACAGAGCGAGACTCCGTCTCAAAAAAAAAAAAAAAAAAAAAAAAAGAATATAATGGACATGACTCCAGCAAAAGAAAAGGGAATATATAGCTGAGATTATAACAGTGAGAGATGGCAGAATATGAGGTGCGTGTTAAAAATACGACTGTCTTGAGATCCATAAGATTTGGCTCTGAGAGTTGTGGGAATCTCTCAGGCGCACATTCTTGACAATAAACAATTGATGTTTCTGGTATTTTTTCTTTGTTATAAAATTTACTCAGTCGACACTATCTCTGGGAAGAATACATAAGAAATCGTCTCTGTTTTTGGTATACAATCTAGTAAGAAGCCTGTCAAGTATACAGACTTACAATCAGAAAGACCCAAAATTGTTTTTTAATCTAACTTGTTCATTTTATAAATAAAAAGACTGGAGTATAAAGAGGTTCAACAAGCCCATTATATATGTATGTATATATTTTTTTAATTTTTATTTTTATTTCAATCGTTTTTGGGTACATGAATAAGTGGTGATTTCTGAGATTTTAGTGTACCTGTCATCGGAGCAGTGTACACTATACCCAATATGTAGTCTTTTGTCCTTCACCACCCCCTCCCAACCTTCTCCCATGAGTCTCCAAAGTCCATTATATAAATCTTATGCCTTTGTGTCTCATAGCTGAGCTTCCACTTGTAAGAGAGAACATACGATATTCAGTTTTCCATTCCTGAGTTACTTCACTTAGAATAATGCTCACCTAAACCTCTGAACCCAATTGCTCCATCCACATTGCTGCAAAAGACACTATTTAATTCTTTTTTATGGCTGAGTAATACTCCACACATTTTCTTTATCCACTTGTTCGTTGATGGGCACTTAGCTTCGTCCCATATCTTTGCAGTTGTGAATTATGCTGCTATAGACATATGTGTGCATGTGTCTTTTTCATATAATGACTTCTTTTCCTTTGAGTAGATACCTAGTGGTGGGATTGTTGGATCAAATGGTAGTTCTATTCTTAATTATTTAAAGAATATCCATACTGTTTTCCATAATGGTTGTACTAATTTACATTCTTACCAACAGTGTAAAAGTGTTCCCTTTTTACCACATTCACACCAACATCTATTATTTTTTGACTTTTTGATTATAGTCGTTCTTGCAGGAGTAAGATGGTGTCTCATTGTGGTTTTAATTTGTATTTCCCTGATGATTAATGATGTTGAACATTTTTTCATGTGTTTGTTGGCTGTTTGTATATAGTTTGCATATATTTTTCTCACTGTTAGACCATAGTATTTTTAATACCATCCATTAATCACTTGTGATGTATTGCCTTAAGTCATTTACACACATTATACACACATTATCTTATTTAATACTCTCAACAATGTTTAGAAACAAGAGTCCCAATTTATGGATCGGGCAACTGAAATTCAGCAAGATTAATTAACTTCTCCAAGGTCACATAGCCATGCTGCTTATCAGCAATGGGGTCCAGCTCTGTTGACTCCCAGCCTAATACTCACTCTACAGTACTGATAACCAGTGCCTGAGCCTCTGAAACAGCCTAAATTGGGAATCTGGAGCCCAGTAACTAGGCAGAGAGGTTTAGGTGGCCTTTATGTGTACATTGTTTTATATGGTTATGTGGTTTTATTAAAAGTATCATGCACTATTAATTCAACAGCTTTTAATACTGTGCTTACTGCTTACAAATGTAAACACAAATGGAAAGACAAAAGTTATGAAGATACACCTAATGAAATAGGTCATCTTAAGCTAGAGCAGTAAGTGCATTCAAGTCAGCATGAAAAGCTGCCAAAATTCCTAATACAGCATAACCAGGCTGGGAGGGGGCAGGTGAGGGAGATTGAGATTACTCATTCTAATGATGCCAATTTCTATTTCTATCTCAATGATGTTGAAAGTGCAGAGTATTGAGACATGGCCAGAACGTCATATGAGGTCATTAGAGACTGACAGGGCTCCTCCAAAGTCACTAAAACTGTATGGGAAATAATGCCATTCATTGTCATTTCACCCACTGGCTCTGTCAGTGCAGTGCAATGAGTTCAGCAGAAAGCACCTCTGGCATTCCGTGTTCAAAGCTAGGACTAGTCATTGATTAATTCATGCATGCATTTATTCACCCTCATCATGATTGAGATCATATGGTTGGTAACTTGCAATTGTGGCAGAAAATATGGGAAGAGTTCTGAGAGACAACTAGGGATCCCCTTTCCAAGAAGAAAAGTTAAAATGTGTTGGGAACATAATTAGAGAAGATAAGACTCACTTTCGTTTTTGTTCTTTCTAGAGGTAGAAGTTTCATTTTTCTGTATTTTTATGTAATTAGTGTCCTAGCCAGAAATGTTCTATTTTTGTTCAGTGATCTCAGTTTCTGGCCTCTTTTCCAGGACAGCAATTCCTGGTATCTTAATAAGTACAATGGGATGGCTACACCCTGCTTAATGGATATGAGCTTTAGAGAATAATGTCATTTCTGAACACCTAACAAATTTCACAATTAAGAAGGTACTGAAGTTCAAGCTCTTATCAAAAAGACATTTTCCTAATCATAACGTTATTTGAGTTAGTAATCCAAGTAGTCTTTTTTTCTGATTTAAGACTCAAAGTCATTAATTTATTCTTATTTCTACCTGGTCTTGACATAATTCAAATATGTGAAATACTGTTGGACTACTATCACTGAAAACTACTATGTATGTGTGTTTGTGAATGTGTATATGAAATATTAAATATAGTATAGCATAATATACATAATACAGATTCAGAACATATCTAAATCTACTATATCATATATATGGCAGAGCATCTGTATTTATATTGACTATGATATATATTATATATTATAGTAGGTATAGATGTACTTTAATATATAATCATTTTAAAATTATTAGTAAAACATTGTTTAAGGAAGAAAAAAGTGACAAGTTTTAAAGAATGAACTAATACACATATAAATCCTGTTTTTAGTGTCAACTAGAAGGATTAGTAATAGTGAAAGGGTTGATTATATTTCTTTTCTGTTTCAGTAATAGAATTGAAGCAATCCTTTCAAAGTTATACTCAATACAATGTGTGGTACTTGGGTAGCTACCATAAGTACACTCTGAATTTCTTTCTCACTCATCTAACAGGAATTGCAAAGTTGTGCCTGCAGTTCATCAAGCAGCCTGATTGGAATAGATGCTCATTACAGGAAAAATCCTATCTGCTGATCCTAAATTCACTTCCTCTAAGACCCTGGTGGGTTCCAGATGGCTTCAATGGAGACTCCTGTCATCAGGAATTGTCTTTGTATTGTAAGAGACCTCTTCCAGTTTGTAGAGGATTCTAAATATCAAATACAGACCAAATATCATTTCTGATTAGAATACTCTGAGACATCAATTTGAACTTGAGCTAAAGTCTAACTGTCCTCCACCATGGACTGACGACTTTACTCTGACACTTCAGTTATGTCCAGGTATTCAGCCAGCCTAGGCTTATTGTCTATAAAAGCCTTTATATTAACCTTGGTAACTCTTTTGACATGCACTGCTTGAAGTGGTTGTGTGATTAACATGATAAGTGGCTAATGCCTTTTACTTGGCACAGTGAAGTTAAATTCTCTATTGTTGCTTGGTTACTTTTATTTGGTTTGTAGAATGGCGCCAGACACTCAGCGTGCTTTTTAATAAATATGTGTTGCTAGCTATCACTATTAAGTGATGTTGGGCAGTCACTAGGCTTTTTGATTAAATTGAATGTGAATAACATTTAGCCAAGATCAAATTTAGAATAATAATTGGTATATGTGCCATAATGGAGATCTATGGGTTTTGCCAAAGTAAGGGGATAGAAAGACAGTGAATCAAGGCTCTTTTTTCATGAGCATTGCAGAATTTTATGAAAAAATAGTTTACTGCTGCAGCCTCTAGTTTCTGACCTTATTTTACTCCATTTTAAACGCAGTGTTTCTATCATTTCATTCATTTTAATCCACAAATTCCCCATTGAAATACAAATTGTTCAACTTGGTCTCCAAGACAATCTCTTGATTGCTCTGCCCTGGACCCATTCTGAACTCTCCAACACACACACAAACACACACACAGAAATACAATCATAGTTCTATTTCATCATGTTGTTTCTAAAGGCCTCATCAGTTTTCACAGTCAATCTATTGTTTATATCATATACAGATGTGGAATCTGTTACCTGTCAGTTAGTGCTGCATAACAAACAACCTCAAAATCTCAGTGGCATATGATGATGAGCATTGATTTTTCCCTACTAATGTACTAGGTGGACAAGGAAGCTGGGCTTCAGGTTGCAGTCATGGGAGTGGGTCATTTCTATGTCTCTTATCTTGACTCTGGGACCATCAGGATAATTGGGATATTCTTCTCATGAAAATGGAAAAAGTACAAGACAGTAAGACCCACTGTGCAAGCTCATATCAAGCCTCCACTTGCATCACAACTAGAAATAACATATTGGCCAAAGAAAGTTACGTAGATAAGTCAAATTCAAAAGATGGGAGAGTACACTTGGCCTTTTATGGGCAGAAAGTATAAGGTAAAGGATGTAGATA
The DNA here is from genome assembly GCF_000001405.40 of Homo sapiens. Taxonomy (NCBI): domain Eukaryota; kingdom Metazoa; phylum Chordata; class Mammalia; order Primates; family Hominidae; genus Homo; species Homo sapiens. The sequence goes on along the minus strand of NC_000008.11, from coordinate 62,013,049 downwards.
AAGGGAGGCATGAAGGATTGTGTCCAATAACTCAGTCTACCACAAGTGATGAGATGATATGTGCCCTTTAACATACGCAACATACATTTGCTGCCATCTCTATCTACTAGGACTTAAAATTGCAGCTATAAATAAAAATGTGTCCAGGGAATGTGGCTAGAGCAGAAAGTTCCTCCTGCATATGACTTATTTAGCATCATGTGGGAAAAATTGTGATTTGCTTTGCCTAAACTTATGATAAAAGGAGAGATTAACATTTCTCTTAATTTTGAGAAAATGAAGAACAAATGTATCAGTAACCTTCTGGGTAAAAATGAGCGTTCCTTTATGTTGCCAATTAATACCACTGAACAAATGCCATGGATTTTCTATTTCCAACAAGACTGTAATTGTGAGATTGTAAGGAAGAAACCATTTTGACTTTATCTTGTATTATTTCCAAAATAGCCCAGATTTATGTTATAAATATAATATTCAAAATATTAAATATACTTCACACATGTTAGAATGGATAAATTTTTAAAATCTTAAAAATACCAAGCACTGTGAAGATACAGAATGAACAGAGCTCTCATACATTGCTAGTAGGGGTACAAAATGGTTCAGCCACTTTAGAAAACAGTTTCAGTTTTTTGTTTCATTCTGTTTTGTTTTTGAGATAGGGTCTTCCTCTGTCACCCAGGCTGGAGTGCAGTGGCACAATCACTGCTCACTGCAACCTTGACCTCCCTGGCTCAGGTGATCCTCCCACCTTAGCCTTCTGCCGGAGTAGCTGGGACTATAGGTGTGTGCAACCATACCTGGCTAATTTTGTGTGTGTGTGTGTGTGTGTGTGTGTGTGTGTGTGTAGATGGGATTTCACAATGTTGCCTAGGCTGGTCTTGAACTCCTGGGCGGAAGCAATTCACCTGCCTTAGCCTCCCAAAGTGATGGGATTACAGATACGAGCCCATCAGTTTCTTATGAAGTGAAGCACACATTCTAAGACATGGCAATCCCATTCCTAGAAATCCTTTGCTATTTTTATCTAGGATGGAACAAAATTTTTGTTTTGGGGACTTCCCTTTAGGGCTGCTGTGTTTGTTTTGCAATATTCTAATTTGCTCTTTCAATTTCTTCTCAAATTACTAGGCATTCTGTTTACTCATGTCTTTTTATATTCTCCTCATTTCCCATAATTTCAAAGTTGCTGATTCCAAAAATGTTGATAAATCTCTTCTTTTAGAGCCAAATTATCATATATTCTACTCACTCTGTTATGTCTAGTGATTATGCAAAATGCATAGTCTTGCTCTTGTGTGTACTGCTTGACATCAACTAGACCAAGAGCCTGTGACCCTTACAGATAGTCTTCTCAGGGTAGTTAATTCTTTTTTCACTGCTAGATATTTATTTTATAATCACTTATTTTAAAGATTGAATATAGAGATTCTTGTGGCAAACCTAAGCTACTGGTAGCCACTCTTTACTATCAAAATAAGTGCTTTTACATGTGCTCTTATAATACAATCATACGCTTGAGGAAACATCTTTAGTATTTCCTAATGGTATAAACATGCTAAACAGTGAGTCATGTCTGAGATACAGAATTTCTCACAGTGGATGCATTTTACATGCCAGAAAACTTAATCAGCTATGATGTTAAAGTTACGGAGGGTTCATGTTGTTCCAGTTTGCTGCGTTTGTCATTCAGCTGCCACACTGCTCTGTCTGCAGTTCACCACATCAGAGGCCATGTAGCTAGAGCCCAGGATTACACATCTTCTTTCATTTTCTCTCTCTCTCTTCCTCCTATTTTTGATATCTCTTTCACAGCTTCCTTTTTACACTTTAACACATCTTCGTTATAGCCAAAGAAAAACAAAAATCAAAATAATTTCAATAACTTCACTATAGTCAATAAGAAAGGAAAACAAATATCAAAACAATTAACATAAAACCTCATCACAATGTGCCCTATCCCCAGCTTCTTTTCCACCTCTATTTTTTATCACTGCCAAATATCACAAATAAAAAGCCTTTAGTTTTTTCCTGCATCTTCATCCCTCCATTCTCAGAAGAGCTGCTTCTGAGTTTTATAGTCTCTAATACGTAAATGCTGCTGTTCAGAGTCCCTGATTAATTTCTCCTCCCAGCATTAGGTGCCTTTTCCTGAATCTCATGCTCATGTGACTTTCTGCAGTATTGACACTGCTGATCACCGATTAATTTCTCCTCCCAGCATTAGGTGCCTTTTCCTGGATCTCATGCTCATGTGACTTTCTGCAGTATTGACACTGCTGATCACCCATTCCCTTTTGACCTACTACTTAATTTTAACCTCCTCATTCTAATTTCCTTGTTGAACAGCCTTCTCTATGGCCTCTTTTTCTCCACCTGCCTTATAGGTGTAACTTTCTCAAGGTTAAATTCTTGGTTTTCCCACACATGCTCCCCTTAGTGATTTCAGCCCCCAATATGCTTTCAACTTTCACCTCCCTTCAGATGGTTCAAATTCTGTTCTCCCAGCCTAGCTCTTCTCCTGGGCACCACGTCTGCATTTGCAACCTGCATCTGCATTTGCTGGATGGGGATGGTCCTCTTATACTTGACTCGGCATATTCAAAACAAAAGTGGACAGTGAGGAACTGTGCACAGAGCATGGCCTTTGGACTCTGACAAACCTGAGGGTTACAATTTTTCCTTGGCCACTTGTCCACTGTGTATTTATGGAAAAGATACTCAAATAGTATATGCAGCTATAATTTAGAGGAAAGTACCCTGCCTTACAGAGTTACAGGGAAGATTAAATACCTAACATACTACCTGAAATATGAGTGCCATTATATTTCAGGCAGTATGTTTGATAAAATAACTATTTAGCAGTCAAAAAGGAATAAAAGACCCTAAGAAGACTACCTGCAAGGGTCACAGGATTTTGGCCTAGTTGATGTCAAGCAGTATGCACAGTAACACCTGCGTGATAGTCTGTGTTATTCTGTGTTATTGTCTCCTTTCAATGGCTTTTCACTTGTTGGATCCCTCTGTCCTTAAATAGTCCCATTGCAGTCCCATCATGAATTCTTTTCACTGTTTATCTTCATATCCCCTTAGTGGCCTAGTCATCTTTTTTTTTTTTTTTTGAATTTTTATTTTTTCTTTGAATCCATATCTGTATTCTCTGTATCTTATTATCTAAACCTTCCAATTGTTTCTTCTGCTTTAAGTCTCTTATTTCTCCAAATCATCCATCATACTCCCATGTAAGTTATCTTCTTAAGGAATAACAACAATGCCTTTAGATTTTTCCTCATCTAGCTTCAGTGGCTCCTAACTGTGCAATTTAATGATCAAACTCTTAAGCCAGGGGTTCCCAATCCCTGAGCCACAGACTGGTACCGCTCCATGGCCTGTTAGGAACCAGGCTGCACCACAGGAGGTGAGTGGCGAGCCAGCCAGCATGACTGCCTGAGCTCCACCTCCTGTCAGATCAGCGGCAGCATTAGTTTTTCATAGGAGCCTGACCCCTATTGTAAACTGCACATGTGAGGGATCTAGGTTGCGTGCTCCTTAGAGGAATCTTAATGACTGATGATCTGAGGTGGAACAGTTCCATCCCAAAACCAACACCCCACCTCAATCCCTGGAAAAATTGTCTTCCATGAAACCATTCCCTGGTGCTAAAAAAGTTGGGGACCACTGTCTTAAGGTACCATTCACCATCCTTCTCAGTCTGATTTGTAGTTGCCTTTTTAGTTTTATCTCCTACTTTTTCTCCTTATAAAATCTCTGCTCGATAATTAACATGCCATGAATGCTCAAGACGCATCTTCCCTTCTCAATGTCTCTATTTCCTTAACAAATTCCAGCTAGACTCACCTGCTTCTTCCTCAGTGATCATGTAACATGTTGCTTGTACCTTTGCTAAATGTATTTTTTTCTTTCTCTCTTATGTTGTTGTTAGGTATGTGGGTTTCTTTCTTCACCACAGTTGAAGCTCACCGGAAGCAGCAATGACTATACAATGAAGCCAGTAAAATATAAATAAAAATGGAAAACTAGGATTGAGGAAAATAAATATGCCAACATTATGGCCCAATATGATTGTGATCATCGCCATTATTTCTTAGTAAACAAAATTTAATTATTTATTTTTTCATCCATTTCACAAATACATTTCACAAATGCCTTCCTTCCTTAAGTCCTGTACTATGTTAGATCCTTGAGACACAAATGTCAAGTTCATAGGGACTTAAGGTGGCAAGTTATGTACTTCAAATTTTTTCAAGAGGAAGATACAGATTATTCTTCAAAAAAGAAAAATTTCTCTCACTACTAATGTTTAAGAAAAGTTTATTGGGACCTTATGAAGAATCGAATAAAGTGATGGGCATGAGTCTCAACAATTTTCTCACAAAAATATAGATGCAAAGCTCCATAGAGAATCAAAAAGCAGTTTACCTCACTACATTACAAGTAACACGCAACAGCAACGGTGTCTTTGTTCATCAGCATCATAATCAAGTATAGCCAAACCCATTGACAACAGTAGCTTTGAAACATTACTCAAATTTGTTCTATACATTTTCTTAATAATTAGTACTAAGTGATTCTCAACTGTCAACTCCTATCACTGGCATGTCCCAATTTATTGTGTGGATTGTGACTGTAACTCCTAATTAAACATTCAAATGAGCAAACTCTATGAAATAAATCTGCACCCAGTTCTTGGAACAAAGAGTCTTATTCTTCCTTAAATTCATAGGTAATCATATAAATACATGTGTATCTTTAATTTAGGACACAAGCATTATTTTTCTTGACTTTTGATGTCAATCTTTGGAATCAGAAGAGAGCAGCTGGTGTGTTCTGCCTGTCTGTCAAGATTCTGTTTTCCTTTTAGTTATTATTGTATTCATTTCCTTCTGAGCTATCTCTTTTCATTTTTCTGCCTTTCCTCATCTGATGTGTAATGTATAATAGGTTGCAAGCATCTGTTCCATTTCTTTGCCCAAAGCAAAGTGAAACAATAATACTAATATCTATCAACAGTGGTTAGCTCTTAGATAAACAAGTGACTTTATTCTTGTGGTAAAATGTTTTTAGTTGTGAACATGCTGTTTATGTGATCTGCTGAATAAACATAATTAAAGAATATAAATGGTTAGTAAACATTGCTATTTTGAGTCCACTGGCTTCACTTTAGAAAATTTTAACAAACTTAAATATTGTGGATAAAAATCCAGTTAGATGAAGATTTTTTGACTTGAGACTTGAATGTGAACAAAGCATAAAATATTTTTCTGGATTATGAAATACTTACTGAGACGTATTAAAAACTCATTGAGTCACTGCCTCAGCAACTGTCTAGTTTTGTGCACATAGCAGAGACTCAGTAGATGCTTAATATCTAAATAGTAGAAGTATTTTCTACTCTCCTTTTCACTAGTCATCTTTATGTCCTTGCCAAGTGACAGATATGTTAAACAGGTAGAGATAATTGGCATTCTCAATTAGATTAATGCTTATTATTCCTGTTGTTCATGCCATTCTGGAGCTCATACCCCCACTAAGACACCAATTATTGCTCTATAGAGTACAGAATACTAGACTCTTTTCTGAATGCTGTTAGTGTTATCACCCTCCTCGATAATGTTAAAATTATACCCCACCACATTAGAACCATAAGCCTGATACTGGATTTCTTTTTTCTTTTGGTTGGGACAGGGATTGGCTACTAATTAGATGAAAGACAGTATTAATAGCATTCTTTCTTCCTTTACAATATTCTTATTTACACGTATATAATTGACACAAATTACTCAACAGATTAAAAACTTGATGTAATTTTCCAAAGTCATGATGTCTGTACTAGACTGTCCATACCAACTGTCAGAAAAGGAATAACTTGCAGAGAGACTCATGCAAAGAAATGGGAGGGCAGAGTGGTGATGAGAGTGAAGAGATCCCTTCACCTCATATGCTGGTGTCAAAAAATGCCAGGTTTCAGCTCAAAGGCGTAACAGTGTTAAAAAAAACATTCTGATGTGTACAAGACAGGCTCCACTGAGACAAACATCTCTGTTACAACTTCATTAATTGGATTATCTAAAGGAATGTGATATCTTATTACTTCCAGAGAACAATCTTTCATATATCCTGTTCCCTAAGAGGCCTCTCTTCAAATTCAAATAAGTCACATGATATTGAAGAACATGCCCTAGATTTCAATCCCAGCTCTACCAATTATTAGTGTTATTTTGGTTAATCATCAGCTGACTTTTTTATTTCAATAGTTATTGGGGAACGGGTGGTGATTAGAAAAGTTATTTAGCAGTGCGTTCTGAGATTTTGGTGCTATCAGTTATGATGTGACTTTCAACATGTCAGTCCATTTCATTTTTCACAAAATGGGAATACTCTCAGCCCTGCCAACTTAACTCAGTAGCTTTCTTCCTGCCCTTGGGTGTCCCTTCCATCATCTCACAAATGGGACTTAGCTTTTTGCTCTGAATAGTCTTTCAGAACAATGTAAGGTCAGGCATTCTGCAACATGTTTGCTCAATTTAACCTCTTCCCTGTTGCCAGTTTGCCTTGGGAGTCATTTTTCCTCTTGCTCCCCTCTTTCTTCCAACCTTTCAGGGTCTGATTTTCATGAGAAGCGAAGTTTCCCTTTGCTCCACATGTTGAATCCCAGTCACTCCCAAAGTGACCACAGCACCTGGAACACCAGCCTGAGACAATTCCCTAAGCACCTTGTTTGCTAATGAAGGCCAGTTAGACATGCCAGTTCCACAGATGTATTTGGAGAACCCAATGAGACAATGTGTTTACATATGCTTGTTAAATTCCGTAACATTAGCGGTAACCTTCCTACCCAGATTCAGTGATGTACACTGATTTGGCTTCCTCATCTTCTCTCATTCAGACCTTTACTAGGTTTTTAAAACACACACACACACACACACACACACACACACGTACAATCTATATTATTAATATATAATGTTTGCATGGCATATCATTTTCATCATTTCATTTCAAGCTACCTATGTTGTTGAATTTGAGGTGACCTTCTTGTAAACAGTATATAGTTAGTTCATGTTTTTTCATCCACTTTGCAAATCTCTTTGTCTTTTTACAGGTAAATTTAGATTATTTATATTTAAGGTAATTATTGATATGCTAGAGCTTAAGTCTGCCATTTAATTTTGTATTTTATGTTATTTCTCTCTGGTTTTTATTACTCTGTTTTCCTTTTCTTATCTTCCCAAGAGTTATTTAGAAATTATTTAGAATTCCATTTTGATTAATTTATATTTTGAATGCATCTGTTTGTGTCACTTTTATAGTTGTTTCACAGGGTATAACAATATACATACGTGGCATCACATTCTACTAGGAATCAACATTTTTTCACTTCATATAGAGAGCGGAAATCTAACTTTCTTTTAGGTTCCTTTGCTATGCTTCCAGTTAAATACCATTTTCTTGAGTATCAGATGGTGTGATAATTTTGATTCAGTTAGGTAATCAATTAATAAAACTCATGAAAGAAATTATAGTCTACTGTATGAACCCACTTGTGCTCCTTCTTCCTTCCTTATGCTCCCAGAATCTTTACTTTTAAAGATTCTCTCTGAAGACATTCCTTTGGCCAGTTTTTGAGGGTAGATTTGACAAATTCTTTTAGTTATTCTTTATCAGAGAATGCCTTTATTTCCCCTTTACTCCTTAGGAATAGTTTTGCCACATATATAGTTCACAGTTGACAGTTCTTATCTTAGCACTTGAAAAATGTGTCACTTCCATCTGGCCTTAATAGTTTCAGAAGAGAAATCCGCTATCACTTAAATTAGTGTAACCCCATGAGTAATGAGTCATTTCTTCTTGGCTGCATTCATGATTTTTCTTTGTCTTTTGTTTTTAAAAGTTTAATTATAATGTGTCTTGGCATGAATATTTTGGGTTTATTCTTTCCCAGATTTGCCCACCTTGAATCTGGAGGCTTGTGCCTTTTGCCAAGTTTGGAAAGTATGGAGCTTTTTTCTTAAATACTCTTTCAGCCCCAAACACTCTGTTTTTCCTTTTTTCTGAGATGCTGTATTAGTCCGTTTTTACACTGCTGATAAAGATATATCTGAGACTGGGAAGAAAAAGAGGTTTAATTTGACTTACAGCTCCACATGGCTAGGGAGATCTCATAATCATGGTGGAGGGTAAAAGGCACTTCTTACTTGGTGGCGGTGGCAGCAATAGAGAAATGAGGAAGAAGCAAAAGCAGAAACCCCTGATAAACCCATCAGATCTCAAGAGACTTATTCACTATCATGAGAATATCATGGGAAAGACTGGCCCCCAAGATTCAATTACCTCCCCCTGGATCCTTCCCACAACATGTGCAATTCTGGGAGATACAAATTAAGTTGAGATCTGGATGAGGACACAGCCAAACCATATTAGATCCTAATGATACAAAGGTTAGGTCTTTTGTTATTGTTCTATAGAGCTCTGAGACTCTTACTCATTTTGAGGGGTAAAACAGTTTATTTCTGTTTTTCAGATTGGGTAAATGTTATTGATTTTGAGAAGTGAAGCCAGGTGGACTTCCTGGGTCGAGCGTGGACTTGGAGAACTATTCTGTCTTACAAGAGGTTTGTAAAATGCACCAATCAGTGTTCTGTAAAAATGCACTAATCAGCACTCTGTAGCTAACTAGAGGTTTATACAATGGACCAATCAGCACCCTGTAAAATGGACCAATCAGCACTCTGTAAAATGGACCAATCAGCAGGACATGAGCAGGGACAAATAAGGGAATGAAAGCTGGCCACCCCAGCCTGCAGCAGCAACCCGCTCTGGCCCCCTTCCATGCTGTGGAAGCTTTGTTCTTTTGCTCTTCACAATAAATCTTGCTGCTGCTCACTCTTTGGGTCTGTGCCACCTTTAAGAGCTGTAACACTCACCGTGAAGGTCTGCGGCTTCATTCTTGAAGTCAGCGAGACCATGAACCCACCGGAAGGAACCAACTCCAGACACAATTTGACCTCAAGTTCACTGATTCTATCCTCTATAATTTCCACTGTACTATTGAGCTCCCAGTGAGGTTTTTTTTTTTTTTAAATTTTAATTATTTTGTTTTTTGTTCCATAATTCTTATTTAGGTCTTTTTTATAACATTTCTTTTTTGGGATTTTCTATCTTTTTGCTTCAAGAGAATTTATAAGTCAGTGTTGAAGCATTTTTATGTTTGCTTTAAAATTCTCATTAGATAATTCCAATACACGATTCATCTTGGCGTGAATTGATTGTATTTCTCTTTCAAGTTTGATTTTCCTGATTCTTGATATGATGGGTATTGTATCCTGCTCATTTTGTCTATTACATTAGGAGACTCTGAGTCTGATTTAAATCTCTTATTTTAGTAAGAGTCACCCTGTTTAGATGTATTATGTGGGTCTAGAGCTACTTTTAAATTTTCAGAACCTTTGTGGTGTCATTTTGGTCTGCTTGGATAATCTGCTGTCGCTGGGGCTCCCACTAGTCCTTCTTGTTAGTACTGCCTGAAGAGACAAAAAGGGTTTCCCTGGGCCAGGCAGCCTGATATCTCTCAGTGGGGAAGAGGAGTCTCAGGCCTGGTCCATAAACACCAGGAAGCTTCCCTGGTCTGATTGGTTGTTGGGGTGAAATCTGTCCTGCCACTGTTGCCTGTTCCACCCCCATGTCTTCCACTGGGGAGAGGAGAAAAGAGATTCCCGTGCTGTTAACTGTTAGTGGGGCTCTGATAATCGCCCGTTCTCGTGGTGCAGGGCTCCCCCACTGTTGTAGGAGGGACTTCCATTCAACCTGAGATATAATGAGTCTACTTGGGCTGCCTGCTGTTGCTAGGTTGTGGTGGGGAAGTGCCAAGCCAGATCATCTTTTTCCCTTTTTCTGATAGGTGTTCTTCCTTCAGTCTTGGTTCCAAAGCACGCTTTCTCTCTCCACCCTTGAGAGCTCTCCTTTGGTTTTCTCTTACATTATTTCCAGTGTTTATAGTTGTACTTACCAAGGATGTGCAGGGAGAAATGAGTCTATGCCATCTCATTATATCATACTAATCGAATTAGTTTTTCAAAAAGAATCTCTTCCTAATTCAGTTTTTCACTGAAGGCCCATGTATTGTTCACTCATAGTATGCAGAGTTCTACACTAGGTTTAGGGTGGCGGGGGTGGTGGTGCTTTCTACACCATTATCAGGCAATAGTTCCTACCCCTGGATTTTTTGTAATCTTATTGAGGGCAATGATGCCAACAAACAGGGACAGAAAAGTAAAGGAAACAAGTAAAATATAATAGTGGCAAATAACTATACATGTACAAAGTGATAGTGCACATGATAAACTTTATATGTAGGGGATGAAATATTGATCAAAGACAATAAAGGAAAGAATAGAATGAGAAAATTTAAGGAAGTTTTGCCACAATATTAAAATTAGGAGCAGAAAGACATTTAATAAGACATCTCCTTTTAAGTTTACATATCACTTTGTAGCTCATGCCCCAGGCTCTGCCTCACTTCATCAGAGTGAGCTTGAGTATCCACCATACCATCTGTCCTGGGAAAGGTCTTATCTGGTGAGATTTGTGGCTCTTGTTCATCACATCCTTTATCTGCCACTTTCATTTATGACTGTGCTTCTATGCACCCTTCCTTTATTGTCTATACTGTGTGTCCCTGATGGGACAAAAATCATCTGATGTTTGGTATTTTTGATTTATGGCCTATTAGTGAAATTCAGCAGTGATTGCACTTTCATATTTAAGTACATTAAGCATCCAAGGAATAGAGGCTAATATAATTACCAGGTTTCCATGAGACCTGGAACCATAATCACAAAATTCTTAAGTAGCTTTACCTGGTTCTTCTAATTTTGTTTCTTTTGAGAGAAATTTATTCCTTGCTGTAATTTTCCTAAGTATAACATTATCTATTTTCCTCTTTTACCAGTCTTATTCATATAGAGACATCTCTAGACATACCATTTGGACATTTCACTAACAGAATCATTATTTTTTATGGAGGAATTGCTATGGGTAAAGCATCGTGTTAAGTATTGGATATAACTTATACATGGATTCTGCCCTTATTTGTCTACCATCTAATAATGTTTGTCAGAATATTTACATAAATGCCTTTGTTTTAAGTATCCAAAGAGGAATTACACAAAAGAGTATTCAGGGGGAGAGAGAGATTCCTTTGGACTGGGTAGAGAAGTGAATATCTCAAAGCAGGACTGGCATTTATAATATGCCTTTCTGTATGTCAGGAAACAACAGATGCTGGAGAGGATGTGGAGAAATAGGAATGCTTTTATACTCTTGGTGGGAGTCTAAGTTAGTTCAACCATTGTGGAAGACAGTGTGGTGATTCCTTAAGGATCTAGAAACAGAAATACCATTTGACCCAGCAATCCCATTAGATATACCCAAAGGATTATAAATCACTCTACTATAAAGAAACATGCACATGTATGTTTGTTGCAGCACTGTTCACAATAGCAAAGACTTGGAACCAACCCAAATGCCCATCAATGATAGACCGCATAAAGAAAATGTGGCACGTATACACCATGGAATACTATGCAGCCATAAAAAATGAGTTCATGTCCTTTGCAGGGACTTGGATGAAGCTGGAAACCATCATTCTCAGCAAACTAACACAGGAACAGAAATCCAAACACCACATGTTCTCACTCGTAAGTGGGAGTTGAACAATGAGAACACATGTACACAGAGAGGGGAACATCACACACAGGGGCCTGTCAGGGAGTGAAGGGGAAGGAGAGGGAGAGCATTAGGACAAATACCTAATGCCTACAGGGCTTAAAACCTAGATGATGGGTTGATGGGTGCAGCAAACCACCAGGGCACATGTATACCTATGTAAAAAACCTGCACGTTCTGCACATGTATCCCAGAATTTAAAGTAAATTTTTTTTTAAAAAGAATGAAAGCTCAAACATTGCTATGGATCCTGAATATCAAAAAGACAATAAAGACATATTGTGAACAACTTTATTCCATTTAGTTCAACAGCTTAAATAAAACAGGCAAATTCTAGATAGATACAAATTTTTCAGACTCACTAATGAATAGAGAAATATGAATAGCTACATATCTATTAAACAATTGAATTCATAATGATAAACATTCTCATTCTGAAATTTTCAGGACCAGAGAGGTTTCTTGTTGAATATTCCTGGGAAGAAATAAATAATACCAATTCTTCACAAAATATTTTAAAAACATGGAGAAACATGTTCCTACTCATTTTAAGAGGTCAGTATTGCTGTGATATCAAAACATTGAGGAGATATTCTAAGAAAAGAAAATTATGGACAGTATCTTTCAAGGTTGTAGATGCAAAAATTCATAAGAAAATGTTAGCAAATCACATCTACTATTATTATGTATGTTAATAATTTGTGACTTTTTCAACAAATGGTACTAGGACAACTGGATATCCACGTGCAAAAGAATGAAGTTGGACCCTTACTTTATGCAATATATAAAACTCAGCTAAAAATTGAATAAAAGCTTAAATGTAAGAGATAATACTCTTAGAAGAAAGTATAGGGTTAAATCTGCATGACTTCAAATTTGGAAATGTATTTTTAGACATGACATCAATGTATAAACAACAGCAATTACAAAACAGATAACCATAAGAAATTAAAACTTTTTTCTTTTTTTTTAAGTTTTTTTTCTTTTATTATTATACTTTAAGTTGTAGGGTACATGTGCACATTGTGCAGGTTAGTTACATATGTATACATGTGCCATGCTGGTGCACTGCACCCACTAACTGGTCATCTAGCATTAGGTATATCTCCCAATGCTATCCCTCCCCCCTCCCCCGACCCCACAACAGTCCCCAGAGTGTGATGTTCCCCTTCCTGTGTCCATGTGATCTCATTGTTCAATTCCCACCTGTGAGTGAGAATATGCGGTGTTTGGTTTTTTGTTCTTGCGATAGTTTACTGAGAATGATGATTTCCAATTTCATCCATGTCCCTACAAAGGACATGAACTCATCATTTTTTATGGCTGCATAGTATTCCAAGGTGTATATGTGCCAAATTTTCTTAATCCAGTCTATCATTGTTGGACATTTGGGTTGGTTCCAAATCTTTGCTATTGTGAATAATGCCACAATAAACATACATGTGCATGTGTCTTTATAGCAGCATGATTTATAGTCCTTTGGGTATATACTCAGTAATGGGATGGCTGGGTCAAATGGTATTTCTAGTTCTAGATCCCTGAGGAATCGCCACACTGACTTCCACAATGGTTGAACTAGTTTACAGTCTCACCAACAGTGCAAAAGTGTTCCTATTTCTCCACATCCTCTCCAGCACCTGTTGTTTCCTGACTTTTTAATGATCACCATTCTAACTGTTGTCAGATGGTATCTCATTGTGGTTTTGATTTGCATTCCTCTGATGGCCAGTGATGATGAGCATTTTTTCATGTGTTTTTTCGCTGCATAAATGTCTTCTTTTGAGAAGTGTCTGTTCATGTCCTTTGCCCACTTTTTGACGGGGTTGTTTGTTTTTTTCTTGTAAATTTGTTTGAGTTCATTGTAGATTCTGGATATTAGCCCTTTGTCAGATGAGTAGGTTGCAAAAATTTTCTCCCATTTTGTAAGTTGCCTGTTCACTCTGATGGTAGTTTCTTTTGCTGTGCAGAAGCTCTTTAGTTTAATTAGATCCCATTTGTCAATTTTGTTTTTTGTTGCCATTAATTTTGGTGTTTTAGACATGAAGTCCTTGCCCATGCCTATGTCCTGAATGGTAATGCCTAGGTTTTCTTCTAGGGTTTTTATGGTTTTAGGTCTAATGTTTAAGTCTTTAATCCATCTTGAATTGATTTTTGTATAAGGTGTAAGGAAGGGATCCAGTTTCAGCTTTCTACATATGGCTAGCCAGTTTTCCCAGCACCATTTATTAAATAGGGAATCCTTTCCCTATTGCTTGTTTTTCTCAGGTTTGTCAAAGATAAGATAGTTGTAGAAATGCGACGTTATTTCTGAGGGCTCTGTTCTGTTCCATTGATCTATATCTCTGTTTTGGTACCACTACCATGCTGTTTTGGTTACTGTAGCCTTGTAGAGTAGTTTGAGGTCAGGTAGTGTGATGCCTCCAGCTTTGTTCTTTTGGCTTAGGATTGACTTGGCGATGCGGGCTCTTTTTTGGTTCCATATGAACATTAAAGTAGATTTTTCCAATTCTGTGAATAAAGTCATTGGTAGCTTGATGGGGATGGCATTAAATCTGTAAATTACCTTGGGCAGTATGGCCATTTTCACAATATTGATTCTTCCTACCCATGAGCATGGAATGTTCTTCCATTTGTTTGTATCCTCTTTTATTTCCTTGAGCAGTGGTTTGTAGTTCTCCTTGAAGAGGTCCTTCACATCCCTTGTAAGTTGGATTCCTAGGTATTTTATTCTCTTTGAAGCAATTGTGAATGGGAGTTCACTCATGATTTGGCTCTCTGTTTGTCTGTTGTTGGTGTATAAGAATGCTTGTGATTTTTGTACATCGATTTTGTATCCTGAGACTTTGCTGAAGTTGCTTATCAGCTTAAGGAGATTTTGGGCTGAGACAATGGGGTTTTCTAGATATATAATCATGTTGTCTGCAAACAGGGATAATTTGACTTCCTCTTTTCCTAATTGAATACCCTTTATTTCCTTCTCCTGCCTAATTGCCCTGGCCAGAACTTCCAACACTATATTGAATAGGAGTGGTGAGAGAGGGCATCCCTGTCTTGTGGCAGTTTTCAAAGGGAATGCTTCCAGTTTTTGCCCATTCAGTTTGATATTGGCTGTGGGTTTGTCATAGATAGCTCTTATTATTTTGAAATACGTCCCATCAATACCTAATTTATTGAGAGTTTTTAGCATGAAGGGTTGTTGAATTTTGTCAAAGGCCTTTTCTGCATCTATTGAGATAATCATGTGGTTTTTGTCTTTGGCTCTGTTTATATGCTGGATTACATTTATTGATTTGCGTATATTGAACCAGCCTTGCATCCCAGGGATGAAGCCCACTTGATCATGGTGGATAAGCTTTTTGATGTGCTGCTGGATTCGGTTTGCCAGTATTTTATTGAGGATTTTTGCATCAATGTTCATCAGGGATATTGGTCTAAAATTCTCTTTTTTTGTTGTGTCTCTGCCCAGCTTTGGTATCAGAATGATGCTGGCCTCATAAAATGAGTTAGGGAGGATTCCCTCTTTTTCTATTGATTGGAATAGTTTCAGAAGGAATGGTACCAGTTCCTCCTTGTACCTCTGGTAGAATTCGGCTGTGAATCCATCTGGTCCTGGACTCTTTTTGGTTGGTAAGCTATTGATTATTGCCACAATTTCAGATCCTGTTATTGGTCTATTCAGAGATTCAACTTCTTCCTGGTTTAGTCTTGGGAGAGTGTATGTGTCCAGGAATTTATCCATTTCTTCTAGATTTTCTAGTTTATTTGCATAGAGGTGTTTGTAGTATTCTCTGATGGTAGTTTGTATTTCTGTGGGATCGGTGGTGATATCCCCTTTATCATTTTTTATTGCGTCTATTTGATTCTTCTTTTTTTCTTTATCAGTCTTGCTAATGGTCTATCTATTTTGTTGATCCTTTCAAAAAACCAGCTCCTGGATTCATTAATTTTTTGAAGGGTTTTTTGTGTCTCTATTTCCTTCAGTTCTGCTCTGATTTTAGTTATTTCTTGCCTTCTGCTAGGTTTTGAATGTGTTTGCTCTTGCTTTTCTAGTTCTTTTAATTGTGATGTTAGGGTGTCAATTTTGGATCTTTCCTGCTTTCTCTTGTGGGCATTTAGTGCTATAAATTTCCCTCTACACACTGCTTTGAATGCGTCCCAGAGATTCTGGTATGTTGTGTCTTTGTTCTCGTTGGTTTCAAAGATCTTTATTTCTGCCTTCATTTCGTTATGTACCCTGTAGTCATTCAGGAGCAGGTTGTTCAACTTCCATGTAGTTGAGCGGTTTTGAGTGAGATTCTTAATCCTGAGTTCTAGTTTGATTGCACTGTGGTCTGAGAGATAGTTTGTTATAATTTCTGTTCTTTTACATTTGCTGAGGAGAGCTTTACTTCCAAGTATGTGGTCAATTTTGGAATAGGTGTGGTGTGGTGCTGAAAAAAAATGTATATTCTGTTGATTTGGGGTGGAGAGTTCTGTAGATGTCTATTAGGTCCACTTGGTGCAGAGCTGAGTTCAATTCCTGGGTATCCTTGTTGACTTTCTGTCTCGTTGATCTGTCTAATGTTGACAGTGGGGTGTTAAAGTCTCCCATTATTAATCTGTGGGAGCCTAAGTCTCTTTGTAGGTCACTCAGGACTTGCTTTATGAATCTGGGTGCTCCTGTGTTGGGTGCATATATATTTAGGATAGTTAGCTCTTCTTGTTGAATTGATCCCTTCACCATTATGTAATGGCCTTCTTTGTCTCTTTTGATCTTTGTTGGTTTAAAGTCTGTCTTATCAGAGACTAGGATTGCAACCCCTGCCTTTTTTCATTTTCCATTTGCTTGGTAGATTTTCCTCCATCCTTTTATTTTGAGCCTATGTGTGTCTCTGCACATGAGATGGGTTTCCTGAATACAGCACACTGATGGGTCTTGACTCTTTATCCAATTTGCCAGTCTGTGTCTTTTAATTGGAGCATTTAGTCCATTTACTTTTAAAGTTAATATTGTTATGTGTGAATTTGATCCTGTCATTATGATGTTAGCTGGTTATTTTGCTTGTTAGTTGATGCAGTTTCTTCCTAGTCTCGATGGTCTTTACATTTTGGCATGATTTTGCAGCGGCTGGTACCTGTTGTTCCTTTCCATGTTTAGCACTTCCTTCAGGAGCTCTTTTAGGGCAGGCCTGGTGGTGACAAAATCTCTCAGCATTTGCTTGTCTGTAAAGTATTTTATTTCTCCTTCACTTATGAAGCTTAGTTTGGCTGGATATGAAATTCTGGGTTGAAAATTCTTTTCCTTAAGAATGTTGAATATTGGCCCCTACTGTCTTCTGGCTTGTAGGGTTTCTGCTGAGAGATCCGATGTTAGTCTGATGGGTTTCCCTTTGAGGGTAACCCGACCTTTCTCTCTGGCTGCCCTTAACATTTTTTCCTTCATTTCAACTTTGGTGAATCTGATAATTACGTGTCTTGGAGTTGCTCTTCTCAAGGAGTATCTTTGTGGCGTTCTCTGTATTTCCTGAATCTGAACATTGGCCTGCCTTGCTAGATTGGGGAAGTTCTCCTGGATAATATCCTGCAGACTGTTTTCCAACTTGGTTCCATTCTCCCCGTCACTTTTAGGTACACCAATCAGACGTAGATTTGGTCTTTTCACATAGTCCCATATTTCTTGGAGGCTTTGCTCATTTCTTTTTATTCTTTTTTCTCTAAACTTCCCTTCTCGCTTCATTTCATTCATTTCATCTTCCATCACTGATACCCTTTCTTCCAGTTGATTGCATCGGCTCCTGAGGCCTCTGCATTCTTTACGTAGTTCTCGAGCCTTGGTTTTCAGCTCCATCAGCTCCTTTAAGCACTTATCTCTATTGGTTATTCTAGTTATATATTCTTTAAATTTTTTTCAAAGTTTTCAACTTCTTTGCCTTTGGTTTGAATGTCCTCCCGTAGCTCAGAGTAATTTGATCATCTGAAACCTTCTTCTCTCAGCTCGTCGAAGTCATTCTCCATCCAGCTTTGTTCCGTTGCTGGTGAGGAGCTGCGTTCCTTTGGAGGAGGAAAGGCGCTTTGCTTTTTAGAGTTTCCAGTTTTTCTATTCTGTTTTTCCCCCATCTTTGTGGTTTTATCTACTTTTGGTCTTTGATGATGGTGATGTACAGATGGGTTTTTGGTGTGGATGTTCTTTCTGTTTGTTAGTTTTCCTTCTAACAGAGAGGACCCTCAGCTGCAGGTCTGTTGGAGTACCCTGCCGTGTGAGGTGTCAGTGTGCCCCTGTTGGGGGGTGCCTCCCAGTTAGGCTGCTAGGGGGTCAGGGGTCAGGCACCCACTTGAGGAGGCAGTCTGCCCCTTCTCAGATCTCCAGCTGCATGCTGGGAGAACCAGTGATCTCTTCAAAGCTGTCAGACAGGGACATTTAAGTCTGCAGAGGTTACTGCTGTCTTTTTGTTTGTCTGTGCCCTGCCCTCAGTGGTGGAGCCTACAGAGGCAGGCAGGCCTCCTTGAGCTGTGGTGGGCTCCACCCAGCTAGAGCTTCCCGGCTGCTGTGTTTACCTAAGCAAGCCTGGGCAATGGTGGGCGCCCCTCGTCCAGCCTCGCTGCCGCCTTGCAGTTTGATCACAGACTGCTGTGCTAGCAATCAGCGAGACTCCGTGGGTGTAGGACCTTCCGAGCCAGGTGTGGGATATAATCTCGTGGTGCGCCGTTTTTTAAGCCCATGGGAAAAGTGCAGCATTCGGGTGGGAGTGACCCGATTTTCCAGGTGCTGTCCGTCACCCCTTTCTTTGACTAGGAAAGGGAACTCCCTGACCCCTTGTGCTTCCTGAGTGAGGCAATGCCTCTCTCTGCTTCGGCTCACGCAGTGCTGCGCACACCCACTGACCTGTGCCCACTGTCTGGCACTCCTAGTGAGATGAACCTGGTACCTCAGATGGAAATGCAGAAATCACCCGTCTTCTGCATTGCTCACGCTGGGAGCTGTAGACTGGAGCTGTTCCTATTCGGCCATCTTGGCTGCTCCCCTAAAACTTTTTTTCTTCAAGTGATACTATCAAAAACTTGAAAACATAACCGACAATATAGGAGAAAATATTTGTAAATCATGTATCTGATGGGGGACTTGTATCTAGGATATATAAAGAATTCTTATGAATGCAAATGCAAATCAAGACATCAATGAAACACCAATTCAGAAGCACTAGGATGACGACAATCAAAAAGACGTGATATTTCTGGTTCTAGATCCTTGAGGAATCGCCACACTGTCTTCCACTATGGTTGAACTAATTTACATTCCCACCAACAGTGTAAAAGCATTCCGATTTCTCCACATCCTTGCCAGCATCTGTTGTTTCCTGACTTTTTACTGATTGCCATTCTAACTGGTGTGAGATGGCATCTCATCGTGGTTTTGATTTGCATTTCTCTAATGACCAGTGATGATGAGCTTTTTTCATATGTTTGTTGGCTTCATAAATATCTTCTTTTGAGAAGTGTCTGTTCATATCCTTCACCCATTTTTTGATGGGGTTGTTTGTTTGTTTCTTGTAAATTTGTTTATGTTCCTTGTAGATTCTGGATATTAGACCTTGTCAGATAGATAGATTGCAAACATTTTCTCTCATTCTGTATGTTGCCTGTTCAGTCTGATGATAGTTTCTTTTGCTATGCAGAAACTCTTTAGTTTAATTATAACCCATTTGTCAATTTTGGCTTTTGTTGCCCTTGCTTTTGGTGTTTTAGTCATGAAGTCTTTGCCCATGCCTATGTCCTGAATGGTATTGCCTATGTTTTCTTCCAGGGTTTTTACTGTTTTAGGTCTTACATTTAAGTCTTTAATTCATCTTGAGAATTTTTGTGTAAGGTGTAAGGAGGGGGTCCAGTTTCTGTTTCCTGCATATGGCTAGCCAGTTTTCCCAACACCATTTATTAAATAGGGAATCCTTTCCCCATTGCTTGTTTTTGTCAGGTTTGTCAAAGATCAGATGGTTGTACATGTATGGCATTATTTATGAGGCACTGTTCTCTTCCACTCATCTATATATCTGTTTTGGTACCAATACCATGCTGTTTTGGTACCAATACCATGCTGTTTTGGTTACTGTAGCCTTGTAGTATAGGTTGAAGTCACATGGAATGATGCCTCCAGCTTTGTTCTTTTTGCTTAGGGTTATCTTGGCTATGTGAGCTCTTTTTGATTCCATATGAAATTTAAAGTAGTTTTTTCTAGTTCTGTGAAGAAAGTCAATGGTAGCTTGATGGGAATGCCATTGAATCTATAAATTACTTTGTCCATTTTCATGATATTGATTCTTCCTATCCATGAGCATGGATTGTTTTTCCATTTGTATCCTCTCTTATTTCATTGAGCAGTGGTTTGTAGTTCTCCTTGAAGAGGTCCTTCACATCCCTTGTAAGTTGTATTTTTAGGTATTTTATTCTTGGTAGCAGTTGTGAATGGGAGTTCATTCATGGTTTGGCTCTCTGTTTGTCTATTATTGGTGTATAAAAATGCTTGTGATTTTTGCACATTGATTTTGTATCCTGAGACTTTGCTGAAATTTCTTACCAGCTTAAGAAGATTTTGGGCTGAGACAATGGGGTTTTCTAAATATCCAATCATGTCATCTGCAAACAGAGACAATTTGACTTCCTCTCTTCCTGTTTGAATACCCTTTGTTTCTTCCTCTTCCCTGATTGCCCTAACTAGAACTTCCCATACTATGTTGAATAGGAGTGGTGAGAGAGGGCATCCTTGTCTTGTGCCGGTTTTCAAAGGGAATGTTTCCAGCTTTTGCCCATTTAGTATGATATTGGCTGTGGGTTTGTCATAAATAGCTCTTAATGTTTTGAGATACATTCCATCAATACCTAGTTTATTGAGAGTTTTTTAGCATGAAAGGGTGTTGAATTTTATTGAAGGCTTTTCTATGTCTGTTGAGATAATCATGTGGTTTTTGTCATTGGTTCTGTTTATTTGATGGATTATGTTTATTGATATGTGTCTGTTGAACCAGCTTTGCATCCCAGGTATGAAGCCAACTTGATCGTGGTTGATAAGGATTTTGATGTGCTGCTGGATTCGGTTTGCCAGTATTTTATTGAGGATTTTCACATCGATGTTCATCAGGGATATTGGCCTGAAATTTTCTTTTTTGTTGTGTCTCTGCCAGGTTTTGGTATCAGGATGATGCCGTCCTCATAAAATGAGTTAGGAAGGATTTCCTGTTTTTCTATTGTTTGGAATCATTTCAGAAGAAATGGTACCAGCTCCTCTTTGTATCTCTGGTAGAATTCGTCTATGAATCTGTCTGGTCCCGGAATCCCATAACAGGGTATGTACCCAAAGGATTATAAATCATTCTACTATAAAGACACATGCACACGTATGTTTATTCCAGCACTATTCACAATAGCAAAGACTTGGAACCAACCTGAATGTCCATCAATGATAGACTGGATAAAGAAAATGTGGCACATATACACCATGGAATAGTATGCAGCCATGAAAAATGATGAGTGCATGTCCTTTGCAGGGATATGGATGAAGCTGGAAACCATCATTCTCAGCAAACTAACACAGGAAAACACCACATGTTCTCACTCATAAGTGGGAGTTGAACAATGAGAACACATGGACACAGGGAGAGGAATATCACACAACAGGGCCTGTCGGGGAGTGGAGGGCTAGGGGAAGGATAGCATTAGGAGAAATACCTAATATGGATGACAGGTTGATGGGTGCAGCAAACCACCATGACATGTGTATACCTATGTAACAAACCTGCACGTTCTGCACAAAAAAAGACAGATGATTACAAATGTTGAGTATGTGGAATATCAGAAGTGTTTTACTTTGTGGGCCTGAATGTAAAATGATGCAGACACTTAGAAAAATACTCTGGTAATTTCTCAAATAGTAAACATAGAATTACCCTATGACCAAGCATTCCCACTTTTATGTGTATATTCAAGAGAAAATAATATATGTCTACACAAACACTTGTACACAACTGTTCATAACCACATTATTCATAATAGCCAAATGGTGGAAACAACCCAAATGTTCACCAACTGATTAATTGATAAATAAAAGGTGGCATATCTATACAATGGGGGTAATTTGCTACAACATGGATGAACCCTGGAAACATCATGCCAAGTGAAATAAGCCACTAATGAAAGACCACATATTATATGATTTACTATATGACATATTTAGAATAGGCAAATCAATAGAGACAGAAAATAGATGAATGATTACTTCTGTCTGGAGAGGTTGGGAGAATAGAAATAGTAACTAAACAGTACTGGCTTGCTTTTTGAGGCGGTAAAAATGTTGCCAAATAGACTGTGGTGATGGTTGCACAACCCAGTGAGTATACTAAAAACCACTAAACTGTACACTTTAGGTGAATTTTATAGCACATGAAGTTTATCTTATAAAGCTGGCATAGGAATAATAATGATTTTCCTAATGACTGAAAATACTGAGCAAACTTTTTATTCACTTATTTGCCATTCCTGCATCCTTTTTGGTGGAGTGTCTGTCCAAACCTTTAACCTATTTTCTTAATTGTGCGTTTTGTCTTCTATTATTGATTTGCAAGAATTTCATGTTCTTTGTTTATTGTAGATACAAGTTTATTATCACCTATACTCTTTTGCAAATATTTTCTCCCATTTGTGGCTTTTATTTCCTTTTATTAATAGTGCCTTTAATGAGAAAAAGCTTTAAATTATGAAATACAATTTATCATGTAAGACTTCTTGGCCTCTATAGTTGCATGGGCCAATTCTCATAATCAAACTTCTCTTGTATATCTATATATATTCTATTGGTTCTGTTTCTCTTAAAAATCCTAAGATATGTATAAACATATGCATATATGTGCATACATACATTTCATCCTATTTTTGTGTGCACATACATTTCCACAGACAGATAGGCTTAAAGACTTTAAGATTACAAACTTATAGATTTTTAAAAATCTTTAAGCCTATAAATATGTGTTTATAAATGTATGCACATATGTTTATACATGTATTTGTACACAAATACTATATTTGTATAAATGTATGTACAAATAGTTTCTATCCTTGATACACACATACATATGTACATGTATATATGCAGAGAAGACAGAAAACATTAAAACAAATAAAACAAAATACAAACAATTGTTGAATTTCCTAAATTGATTATTTTTAATTGACAAAAATTGTACGTATTTATTGTGTACGGCATATTTTGAAATATGTATAAATCATAGAATGGCTAAATCAAGCAAATTAACATGCGTATTACCTCACATAGTTACCATTTTTTGAGGGGACAATACTTAAAATCTACTCGCTTAGAGATTTTCAAGAATACAATATGTTGTTATTAGCTATAGTCACCGTGTTGTACAATAATCTCTTGACCTTATTCCTCCTATCTAACTGGAATTTCATACCCTTTGACCAACCTCTCCCCAACTTCCCCACTCCCAACCCCTGATCACCATCTTTGTACTCTATGCTTCTATGAGATCCACTTTGTTAGATTCTACATTTAAGTGAGATCTTTGTATGCCTGGCTTATTTCATTAACATGATGGCTTATTTTATTAACATGATGTCCTCCAGGTTCATCCATCTTGTCTCAAATGACAAGCCTTTTTTTAAAGGCTGATTAGTATTCCTCTGTGTATATATAACACATTTTCTTTATCCTTTCATCCATTGATGAACATTTAGGTTGATTCCATATTCTGGTTACTGTGAAGAGTGCTGCAATGAACATGGGAGAGCAGATATCTCTCCAACATACTAATTTCATTTCCTTTACAGATGCACTCATGAATGGGATTTCTGGATCATATGATAGTTCTATTTTTCATATTTTGAGGAACCTCCATACTGTTTTCCATAATGACTGTGCTAGTTTTTACCTTCCCACCAAGAGTGTGCAAGAGTCCCCTTTTCTCTACAATTGCTGAATTTGATTTAAAAATATGAGATTTCTTTGTGCTATATTCCAGGTTTCTATACATTTAAAATCATATCAAAGTTTTTAAAGTCTGATATAGATCCTAGACTTATATAGGAAGCAAAAGTCAATTATCTTGAGAATGGAGAAGACAGATTCACACACTGAAATCTATTCAGTAAGAAATAATGAACTATATAATATACATTTGTCTGAGTCCACTCAGGCTGCTATAACAAAATACCTGACACCAGGTAATTTATAAAGAACAGAAATGTATCTCTCACTGTTCTGGAGGCTGGGCATCCGAGGACAAGGCACTGGCAGCTTTAGTTTTCTGGCACGGGCTGCTCTCTGCTTCACAGTTGGAGGAAAGAACACCGTGTACTCACGTGATGAAAGGCAAAAGGGTAAGAGCACCAAAGAAATACCGTGTGAAGCCTTTTTTATAAGGACCCTTATAGTCCTTATAAGGAATTAACCTCATGACCGAATTACCTCCTAAAGGCCCCATCTCTTAATACTATGACAACAACCATTGTTTCAACACTTGCATTTTGGAGGGGACCCATTCAAACCATAGCAATGTTGCAACAGGATAAACCCCCAAAATCTTATGTTGTATGAAACAAACAGATGTAAAATTCATACTGTATGATTTCATTTATGTATGACTCAAGAACAGGTAAAATGAATTAACTTATGAAGATGAAAATTAGAAGTTTTTGCCTAAAGGGAATAGGGACTTAATGGCAAGACAGCATGAAGGAACATTCTGAGGTGATGAAAATATTCCATCCTCACAGGAATAGTGGTTACCCTGGTGTGTAAATTCATCAAAACATCAAATTGTATGCTAAAAATCTGTACATTTCAGTACACATGAATTTAATCTACTTTTTAAAAAGTCACTATACAATGTTCACAATTAAAAGCAGAAAGAGAGGACTGGGCGCGGTGGCTCATGCCTGTAATCCCAGCACTTTGGGAGGATGAGGTGGGTGGTTCACGAGGTCAGGAGATCGAGACCATCCTGGCTGACACAGTGAAACCCCGTCTTCACTAAAAATACAAAAAAAACTAGCCAGGCGGGGTGGCACGTGCCTGTAATCCCAGTTACTTGGGAGGCTGAGGCAGGAGAATAGCTTGAACCCAGGAGGAGGAGGTTGCAGTGAGCTGAGATTGCACCATTGCGCTCCAGCCTGGTGACAGAGAGAGACTCTGTCTAAAAAAGAGAAGAAGAAAAAAAAAGCAGAAAGAGAAAATTAAACATTAAACAGTTTTAGCCATGCTTTTGAGTTATTCGTGAAACTTCACCTTTATAACCTCAGGTAATGTTTCCCTAACCTGTGTTTAATTCTGATTATTGGCTTATTCTCAGCTCTATTCCGTGAGTTACCACTTTAAATACATTATTTGTAGTAGCACTAGCTACTTATATTAATAGCACAAGCTACTACTATATTCATAGGCAGACTAACTTTAAAAATTGCCTTTTAACTTTTCTAGCAGTCAGGAACTGATATTCTTAATCTCAATGCTTACTAGCTTTGGGATTTGGAAACAGCCTAACATGCTTGGACCACAGCTCTCCTGAGATTTAAGTAGGTCAGCTCTAGGATTATTTACAGTTTCCAATACTAATACTTAATTTCAACCTCAAAGTATCACGTGGAAAGTGTTCCTCTTAGAGTCTCAGTCATAATACTTCACGTAGACCATCATTCCTGAATAGAACATATACACACTAGGATTTTTGCATGAAAAAAATAAGTTGAATTCAACATTACTTCCCTTGAAGAGGTTCCAATACCCTTGTAGTTAAGGCTGCTGCAGTGTTAACACATTACAGACAGAAAAAGTAAAACATCGCTAGCATTACAAAATGTCTAGGAAGAGACAAAGAGGTAAGCTGACTTGCTGAAGTTCTCTAGATGATTCACTTACAGAACTGAGAGCAGAAATTTTGTATCTTCTGTTTGATTCCCTCTAGTGGTGTAGTGTCCTCTCAGAAGGGTCAGATTCAATGTTCAGATTCTTAGAAAGGTGTCATCATGAAAAACAAAACAAAACAAAAATATTCACATCAACAAGGAGCCACCTGTCACTCCACATTTTATTTTCTCTGCAGATTAGAATCTATACGAACACACCTATGATTCATGCATGTCACCCTAGAGGGAGCCACCTAGCATGTGCCTGGTGTCATGAAAGGACACTCTCAAGGAGATGTCCAAGGAGACAAACAGAAATCTTCTACACTTGGTGATGGAAGTGAATGTCTTCATGGAAGGCATGAAAAACTCCACATTGCTGTGGGTATCTCTGACTGATCAGCTTCCACCTGCCTGTGTGGGATTCTGATAATGGGCCTATTTTCAGGTCTAACCCACGATCTGTAACTTAAAAAAAAAAACTTTTCAAGATTATTCTGAATTTAATATTTTCATTTCCAGGCAGCTGTTTCCAAAATTACTGTCTGAGCTTTCAATTAGTCAGAAACTTGATATGAATTTAGCCTTTGAATCTCAAGACACAAGTCACAGACCTGTTCTTTTATGTCATAATTAGCATAGCTCTCTGCAGATAGGCCTAATTCTGGAAACCTTCCCAGACTAGCTATATATCCTGAGGAATTCAAAAATTCCTTTTTCAGTATTCTTTTATTCACATTGCATCTCCTGGTGTACCATTTTCAAATCTGGAACAAAAGATAAAGGAGAAACCTTGAAGACATTATGCTGAGTGAAATAAGACAGACCAAAGAGAACAAATAGTATATGATTCTGTTTAGATGAGGTACCTAGAATAGTGAAATACATAGAAACAAAAAGTAGAATAGTGGTTATCAGAAACTAGGAGAGAGGAAATGAGGAGTTACTGTTTAATGGGTTCAGAGTTTCAGTGTGGGATGATGAAAAAGTTCCAAATATACATTGTGGAGATGGTTGCACAACAATGCGAATGTAATTAATGCCACTGAACTATAAACTTAAATGATTAGAGTAATAAATTTTATGTTATGTACATTTTATCACAACAAAAGGGAAGAAATTTAAATTAGCTTATTCATATACATTAGCTGTCCCACTACCTTCGATTTGTAAAAAGCTGCTGATGGTGCTGCTTTGGGTGCTGCTGATGTTTGGGTAATTTTCATTGCGTGGCATCTTTACACTGCCAAGTTTATATGTAGAAATGTTTTTATCACTTACATAATAAAAAATGTTCATCAGGTAATATAATCAGTAGTGAAAATGTACACACGGGGCTCATACATTGCTAATGTGCTAAGAAGGTAGAAAATGAGCATAGACATGTCTTAAATCTCAAGAATTTGTATTACAAAGTTTCAAGAACACACCTTTCAAATATTCTATATATGACCAACCCATATGAAAACAAAAAATGCGTACGTGGAGAAAAAAATGTCATCTAAGATGTAGATCTTCACCCTCCCCATCACTGGTTAGAACCCTACTGGAAAATGATATATATTTCTAGATTATGGAACTGAAGAGGAGTGGAGATACATTCTAGAAAGATGAGAGGGTCATCACAGAGGTTTAAAAGTGTTTAAAGGTGTTTTTAAAGTTTTGGAAACAACATCCATGAGGACAAAATTGATTCAAATTCTTGTAGAACCAGCCACCTATAATCCCAGCTACTCGGGAGACTGACGTGGGCAGAGAGTTTGAAGCCAAAAGTTCAGGAACAGCCTGGTCAAGATAGCAACGTCCTGTCTCTTAAAATACTTAATTAAAAAATACGTAAGTTCATGTGGAAAGAGTACATGACATAAACATGGTTGGAGGAGTCCTTCTCTAATGCAAACAATAGCCAGACGCAGATAAATGGAGTTTGGCTCTAATGAGAGAGATTGTTTAGCTGTAAGAAAGGATTTCTCTCTATTCAGAATAGGAAGTCTCAAGAGCTCTGTCTCTGGAGCTCATCAAAATTAGGGGAAATGTGCTTCTGTCTGGGATGATTTAGTTGCAGCCCTTCCTGAGGGATGGGGGATTGCACCAATCTTCTCTCAGGGTCTCTTCCTGCTCTATGATTCTAGGATAACCCATGGGTAGAGAGGCCACACTACCAGCTGTTTTAAAATATTGTTAGGAAAGCAAATAGTTTGTGTGATTACATGACTAATGTTATAGAATTTGTTGATTTTTTTTGCTTGAAAATGTGCTGATAAACTGAGTAGTATCTTCACTATAAAAATGGGAAAACTCAGCTAGTAGGGAAATTCTTTTCGTAGAAACAATTGTACTCATATTTAATACACATTAAATTATACGTCTATCTTTGAGGGGCATACAAACACCCCATTTAAATGACCAGCAGAGAGCTTCTGAGGCCAGGGACACACTCATGTTAAATTAATTGCAGAGGGGGGTGCCCATGGACCACATTTATGAATAATTATCCTTTGCAAATGATTGGAAATAATCTATAGCATGGCTGAATTATGCACAAAAAGGATCATCTTAAGTTTGTACCTGGGTTGTAGTATCTCATTATTTACTCCATAATTTCTAGCAGTCAGGAACTGATATTCTTAATCTCAATGCTTACTAGCTTTGGGATTTGGAAACAGCCTAACATGCTTGGACCACAGCTCTCCTGAGATTTAAGTAGGTCAGCTCTAGGATTATTTACAGTTTCCAATACTAATACTTAATTTCAACCTCAAAGTATCACGTGGAAAGTGTTTGAGGAATGGGAGAAGGTAGAGGAGGATGAAGCAGACGAAGAGGCAGTTTCATAACTGGAGGAGAAGGTAATATCAGAAGAATCCTGGTAAACCTGTGAAGGCATGCCACGGGGCGAGCATCTCTTTATGTTCTGTTTTGCACATCAGTTTCTTGCTCTTTTTGAGAATATAATAGGCACTGGAACTAGCCTGAGTTATTTACATCAGAAGCTTTTCAACTTACAGTGTTCCCATAGTCTTGTGGCATGTAAGTCATTACAAAAGCATTTGTTCTCATTTATTTGTTCAGCCCATAATTTGTCTACTAATAATGTAATCTGTTTACCATTCAATTTAACCTGAGTGAGTAGCCAATTTCAAGATATTTTAGGTAAATTTATCTTTTGTTAGGTAAGTTATCAACATGTATAGGTCCCTATAGCAATACACATGGAAGATGATCTTTACATGTAACACAATTCAACATTTGGGTTCCCACACCTGCGATCACCCCTGGCATGTCAACATCATGTCCTTTGTAAATCCAGAGAGGACATAGAAGCACAATTGCTTCATAGGTACAATTTTGAATTTGTTCTACTAAAGTTTCAAACTTGCACAACTTAAATCTTTAATATTTAGGAAATACATCTTATGAGCATGTCACAAGTAATAGAACAAGATATGAAGTCAATAATTATGGAGCCATGAATGAGTAGCATTTGTGCTACATACGAATGGAAAGACACTTCAAAGAGCATCTGGTAGTGACCCACAGCCCACCCTACGTAATGACATTTGGTGAAGGAATTCTCTACCTTCAAAGAGTCCAATTGCAAGTGCCAATCATCTGTCTCTTCTTTGTATATAGAAATCTGAACTGTTGTCCTGAAAGAATATGATTCCTCAGAGTCTACTTACATAATCACAATGATGCCTCCTCTATTTGTCAAGACTGTAAACATAGACTTGCCAAGTCCCATTGGAAAGTTAGGCATATTACTTCACTTTCATGACCTTGGCACTTTTGAAGCTTAAAGCTATTTATTTGTGGAATTTGTTTCAACAGGAGTTTTACTGATGCTTTATCTAATTATTTTTAGTTTATTCATATTGGGCAGGGATATCAGAGAAATGATGTTAAGTATGTTTGTTATTGTATTCTATCAGGTGGTACACGTTTTTTTATGTGCACCTTTACTGATGGTGTGAGATCTGCCAGGGTCCACTGTAAAGTAACTTCCTTTCTCTATAATCAATAAGCATTTTGTAGTAGGTTAGTTTCATGTG
Organism: Homo sapiens; assembly: GCF_000001405.40. NCBI lineage: Eukaryota > Metazoa > Chordata > Mammalia > Primates > Hominidae > Homo > Homo sapiens. Next base: position 61,983,365 of record NC_000008.11, on the reverse strand, counting down.
TCAATGTGGCTAGGCTATAGTACCCAGGTATTTAATCAAATACTAATCTAGGTGTTGCTGTGAAGGTATTTCATAGATGTGGTTAACATCTAAAATCAGTTGACTTTAAGGAGATTACCTCACTAGTGTGGGTTGGACTCGTTCAATCAGGAGAAAGCCTTTTAGAGCAAAACTGTGGAAGAAGAAATTCAGCCTCAGGACTTATCGACTCCTGCCTGAATTTCCATCCCACTGACCTTCCCTGTGTGTTCTGTACTTCCCAGCCCACACAATCTAATGATCCAATTCCTTGAAATAAATCTCTTAATACATGTGTATAATATATTAGTAACAATTAATTATATATCTATTCCTTTAGTTCTGTTTCTTTGGAGAACCCTGATCTGACTGGTAGAGATTTGGATACTGGAAGTGATTTACAAGGAACAGAATCTTAGAGATGAGTTTTCTAAATTGGATCTGTGAAGGTACTTTGAGGTTATGAAATGTTCTGTTCCTCATCAAACTGTGAATTGATCCATTCCTTCATTTCTATCAATATGAATTCATGGTTTTCTAATTTACTGAATGGCTTATAGTATATTTTTGTAACAGTTTTATTGAGATATAATTCATATAGTGTACAATTCACCCACTTAAAGTATACAGTTCACTGGTTTTTAGTGTATTCATAGAATTGTGCAGCCATCTGAATATTTTCCTGGTCATAAAACAAAGTCCTGTACAACTTTAGCTTGCACTGTACCACATTCCCTCTTCTCATCGAGGCTTGGCAAACACTGATTGACTTTGTCTTTAGAGATTTGCCTTTTCCAGACGTTTTATATACATGAAGTCATATAATATGAAGTCTTTGTGACTGGCTTCTTTCACTTCACATTATGTTTTCAAGGTTCATCTGTATTGTAGCATGTATCACTGTGTTGCCAAATGCCAGGGGTTTGGCCTATGTCCAGCTGCTCGCCTCACAGAAAGCCAATCACTGAGACAATGAGTATTGGCAAGGAAGAAAGGCTTTAATGCGGGTGATGTCAGCTGGGAGACTGGAGACCAGTCTCAAACACATCTCCAAAACTGACTTAAGTTAGTGGTTTATATAGCAAAGAATTAGGAAGAGGTAAGAAGAGGAGTTGGTCAGTAGGCAGCAGGTGCATTTCATTGTCCGGATGTTGTGACCTGGGAAGGCTCAATTCATTGCTACTGTCTGGGAGCCCTGATGGTCGGTTTCTTGAGAAAGGAACTTACATAAAACAAATGTGTATTTCTCAAGTCTCAGTTCTATGGGAAAATTGGGCCAATTTCAACTTTATCACTCTTATTTATGTTCAAATGATATTTCATTGTATAGAAAATCACATTTTGTTTATCTTTTAATTACTTGATGGAAATTCAGGTTGTTTCACCTTTTGGCTACTATGGATAATGCTGCTAAAAACATTTGCATCTAAGTTTTTGTGTGGACATATGCTTCCAATTCTGTTGGGTATATGACTATGAGTGGTGTGTATATGCCTATGGTATTGGTGTGTAAAATGGTAACTGTACGTCTAACTTTCTGAGGACCTGCCAGACTGTTTTTCAAAGTGGCTCCATCATTTTATATTCCACAAGCAATGTGTGAGAATTACAATTTCTCCACATTCTCACCAACATTTTCTATTTCGGACCTTTTTATTATAGTCATTATTATACTCATCTTATAATTATAATGGAAATTAAAATACGGTATCTTGCGGTTTTTATTTGCATTTTCCTAATGACTAAAAGCATTGAGCATCTTTCATGCATCATTTATATCTTATTGGCCATTTGTATATTTTCCTTGAAGACTATCTATATAGATCATTAGCTCAATTTTTAATAGTTACTTGTCTTTGTTACTGATTTCTAAGAGTTTTTATATATTCTACATACAAGTCCCTCATAAGATGCTTGATTTGAAAATATCTTCTCCCATTCTGTGAGTTGTCTTTCTTTTTTCTGATAGCACCCATTTAAACACAAAAGCATTTCATATTTTTAAGCCCCAATTTGTATACTTTTTCTTTTGTTGTTTGTGCTTACTGTGTCAAAGCTAAAAACTCAATGCCAAATTTATGGTCCCAAAGATTTACTCCTATGTTTCCTTCTAAGAATTGTATAGTTTTAGTTCTTACATGAGGCCTTCAAGTTTGAGCCAATTTTTGTATTTTGCGTAAAATAAGGTTCAACTTCATATTTTTTGCATGTGGATATCCAGATGCCCCAGCATCACTTATTGAAACGTCTATTCTCCCTTTGTTGAATTGAATGGTGATGTCATAGAAAATGGTGGAGTTGGAAACTAGAAGAATCAGGGCCTTAACTGAACCAACCATTAAGCTGGAAAATCTTACAGAATCAACTTTTCTCGAACTCTTAAATCTAAACAAAAACTTACAGGTGAGTTTTTAATAAAGACAAAAAAAAAGAAAAAGACTGCTGAGTGTCACTGTGGCATTTCTGCTTACTTGTCTACCATCCATCATTCTCCAGTTCAGGAGTGGCTGGATGGACAGCAGCTGACATCACTGGTGAAAGTTGCTGGGGTGAAGGGGAGCAATGTAGATCTTATTTTCCAAAAGTTTTGGTTGTAAATTTTGACCTTTCTGGATATTCCCTGAAGGATTAGCATAGCCTGAATGGGACAAAGGAAAGTTTATCCTCTGGAGCAGCTGGAGCAGCTTTCCAAACATGGCAACATCCACAGTTGCCTGGGGCAAACAATGGCAGATTGGACAAGTATCAGACAGACTCAACAGGCTGGGAAGGAGGTTGAGGAGGAAAATTCTTGGGGGAATAAGGTATTTGAAGGGTTACTATGTACACCAGGGAAGCCAGAATGCAATGCACATAGGGCCAGATGTATGCTCAGAAAATACCTGAGAAGAGCATCAGCTTGCACCTCTGGCTAGTCTGTGAGTTCCATGCAAGCAGGAGGTGAAGCATAAAGCAGAGGTGTATGTAGCCTGGATTAGGGTTGAAGAAGTGCCACAAGTCAGAAGCAATCTGCAGACAGGGAGACAGATTTCTTTTGGTTGGCTGGCTGATTGGTTGGTTGGTTTTGTTTTCCTCCAGGCACTTAAGAAAATCTCTTTCAGCTGTTGGGTTACCGGCTGACATCTGAGGTCACAGAACAGAGGCTTCAGTGACTGCGCATGACAAAGAATACAGCTTTTGCAAAAATAGTTTGCAAAAGTCACTAAACAAATAGATGACTTCAGCCCTCAATCAACAACAGCAAACCTGAAGGAAGGGAAAATCTTATTTACGGAGTTACCTCATTATGATATTCAACATGTCTAGTTTTCAACAACAACAACAAAAAAATGCAAGGTGTAGAAATAGGAAAATACAGGCCATTCACAGGGGAGAAAAAAAGAAAGAAATGGAGAGAAGCTATTTTTTGACGAAGTCCAAGCACTGGATTTATAGAAAAGACTTTAAGTCAACCATAGTGTGAGGTGATTAGAAAATATCATTGGCAATAAACTTTTAATTATATGCTCAGTGTAAAACATTTGAAACTATTTTCATGAGACTGACAATGCCACCAACTCTACTTTTTATTTTTAACGAGTTCTTTTTCTAATTATTGTCTTATATTCAGTTTTGGAAACAAAGCCTTCAACTCTTCCCTTACTCCAGAGAAGGGATAAAGGATAGTTCTCTTAAAATTTGTGTTCTGCATTAGTCTAAAGGGCAATTTCATCTATGCTCTGATTACATAATTGAAAAAATATGAATTTGTAAAGAAAAAAATGGCAATGCTACCAGACCAGTGCAACTGTAAGTGCTGGCTTCTGGCCTGTGTGTGCACTAGTCCACAATGAGGTTAAAAAAAATTGAGAGTAAATGTTTAGAAAATTTTACAACAATTTCACAGAGTAGTTCTATGTCTGTTGGATATAATAATGAAAGACTTGGTGGTATTTCCAATGCTTTCCATTTCATTTGTCTACTCATTTACTTTTATTTTACTTTACAGAAGTACTGATCCACAACATATTTGGCAAAATTTTCTTAAAACTAGTCCTTTATTTAAAAACTAGCACTGTTTAAGACACACTGTGCCAAGCATATTTACCAAGGCTTCTGAATCAGCTTTTATTTGAGAGGAGAACAATTATTTCCTCTGGTACCAAAATACTTAGATCTCAACCCAAGGACAAAGCTGACAAACAATTAACTACATTGACAAAAAAAAAAAAAAAATCTCAAATTACTACAATCAGGAGTGAAACAGGGGACATGACTACCATTTGGGGGGCCCCCTTTTTCTTTCTCAGATAACCACTTTAGGTTTTTTTTATTCTCTCTGATTTTCTGTTATCTATTCTGTTTCTTGATGCTGTCATCTTGAGCTAATTTTTCTTCTATCTCGCTGCTTTGAATTTAGTTTGCTCTTCTTTTTCTAGTTTTAAGGTAGACAGGTTGTTGTTTGAGATTTTTTTTATTTTTTAAGGTAGGCTTTTAAAATTCTTAATGTCCAGCTGAGCATTGCTTTTGCTGTGTTCTATAAGTTTTAGTATGTTATGTTGTCATTTTCATTTATCTCAAAATATGTTCTAATTTCCCTTGTGATTTCTTCTTTGCCCCACTGGTTACCTAGGAGTTTGGTGTAATGTTCGCATATTTGTGAATTTTTCAAATTTCATTCTGTTATTGCCTTTTAATTTAGGTTCTTTGTGATTGGAGAGCGTACTCTGAATGATTTAAATCTATTTAGGTTTATCCTAATTTGTTTTGTGGCCGAACATATGGTCTGTGCTAGAAAATGTTTCATGTGCATATTATTAGAACACACATTCTGCTGTCCTTTCTGAAGTGATCTGTAGATGTGTTTAGGTCTAGCAGATATACAATACTATTCAAGTAACCTATTTTCTTGTTGATCTTATGTCTAGTTGTTCTTTACATCAATGAAAATGGGGTACAAAAGTTTCCAACTCTCATTGGAACTGTCATTTATCTCTTCAATTCTGTCAGTTTTGCTTCATGTATTTTGAGGTTCTGATGTTCAGTGCAGATGTTTATATTTGTGATGTCTTCTTGATGGATTATCCTTTTATCATTACATAATGTCACTTTGTCTCTCATAACAATTTTTATCTTAAAGTCTACTTTTTCTGACATTAGTATAGTCACTCAATTTCTTTTCTTTCTTTCTTTCTTTTTTTTTTAGATGGAGTTTAGCTGTTGTTGCCCAGGCTGGAGTGCAATGGCATGGTCTCGGCTCACTGCAACTTCAACTTTCGCCTTCCAGTTTGAAGCAATTCTCCTGCCTCAGCCTCCCAAGTAACTGGGATTACAGGCACCCAGCACCATGCCCAGCTGATTTTTGTATCTTTAGTAGAGACAGGGTTTCACCATGTTAGCCAGGCTGGTCTCAAACTCCTGACCTCAGGTGATCTGCCTGCTTCGGCCTCCCAAAGTGCTGGGATTACAGGCATGAGCCACTGCACCTGGCAACTCTATCTCTTTTTTTTTTTTTTTTTTTTTTTGGTTACTGTTTGTGTGAAATACCCTTTTCCATCCTTTGACTTTCAATCTCTTTGTGTTTTTGAACTAAAATTAGACTCTTACAGACGGCATATAGTTGGGTATTGTTTTGTAATTCATTCTGCCAATCTCTGCCTATTAAAGAGTCTAATATTAATTGATATATATCTAATGTAATCACTAATAAAGAACTTCTTTCTGCCTTTTGCTATACATTTTTCTATATGTCTTATCTTTTTTTCTCCTTGGTTTTTCCATTTTTCTCTTCTTTTGGTTAAATAGATATTTTTTAGTGAACTACTTTAATTCCTTTGTTATTTATTTTACTATATTTTCACATCATTTCATTTGTAGTTGCTCTGGAGATGAGAACTGACACCTTATTTTAGAACAATGAAGTGCAGACTAATATATTTTCCTCCCTATTGTTTATCTCACATTTCCCGCTTTTTTTCCTCCTCTGATTGTACTGGCCCAAACTTTCCAAATGTCATTAAATGAAAATAGTGATCACTGGTGCCTTTATTTTGTGCTAATCTTTTCTTTTTAAATGATAATCGTATCATAAGTTAGGTCTACCACAGAGAAGTGAAACATAGTGGGGCACCAGATAAGCACAAATCCCCTGCCTGGTGTAGAGTATGTGCTCATTAAACATTTTTGAAAAACTGATACTCTTTTCATGTGTGGTCTACTGCTATGATAGACCAAATTCAGTTCCTGACATTCTCCTCATCCTCACCTAATAACCACCCCCCACAAACATGCCAAACTTTTACCTGATTGTGCTTTTGTGTGTGTTTTGCAGTTTGAAATGTATTACTCTCTAATCTGCCTATGAAGATACCATTTATCCTTATAGGTAGTTTAACAGCAAATCCTTTTAAAAATATTACTGATTTCTCCCTTGAGAATGAGATTGCCTTTGTTGTTCCCTCTCATTAACCCAGAACACTTGTCTTGCTCATATTGCCTTGCACTATAAGGATATATTTAATTATCTGTTACATTGTAGTCTTTTGTATTGCAAGGATATGTTTGTCTTTTCCCCCCCTTTCTTCCTTAAAATTAAGGGATATATTTATACATCTTTTCTCCCAATTCATTAGTCAGCTACTTATGGGTAGAGATCAGGATATTTCCTGTATTTGTATCTTAAGCATAGTATCTATTCAATTGATGGGTGATAGATGTGTGTTGAACAAAGAAAGAAAGTGATGATTCTATTCATCATGTACTTCACAATGTAAAGAACCCAGAGATGGACTGAAGTGAATGACCAACAGTCATCTCATGGTTTGTTTTCCCAGGACATTGCAATGATGAAGCCTGATTCTGAAGTCTAGTTGGAGATGGGGAAGAAAGTTTAGCTAAAATAACCAGACCTCTGTACTCTTCTGCATCACCAACAGCACCCATTGCTGTAGTATGAATGCCGTGTGTAGGTGCACAAAACTCCATGCATGTAGGTCCTTGCTAAGTGCTATCATGACTGCCTAGTTCTCTCGGATTACAGTGAGGAAGCTGGGGATTAATATATCAATACTTGACATGTCTGGGTAATTATATTGTCATTAAAAAGCACTGTATAAGCCCCAACAGACACACTTTGTCATCTACATTCTTGGATTAGGAATGGCATGAGGCTCTGGTAAGCTAGTATGTATTCAGAGTGTCCATGTAAAATAAGACAATTGTTTAACATACCATACGTGGTCACACTGATTGTGGCTGGTTACTTGAAGAAGAAGGATGACTGCATACTACCAGGTAAGATAAGTAAAAAGACAAAGGCTTGGCGCAGAGAGGCAGAGTGCTCCATCTATGTCAAGGCTGTGATGTGCTTTCACTCAGCCTCTGCTGTCTTCCCTGGGCTAAGGCTTTGTAATTTGTGATTCAGCCCAAAAGACAACATCTATATTTAGACTAAAGACTCAGGGGGAAAACTACAACATAATGAATGTGTGCTTTATAAATTTGATGCTCTAATTATCTATGTTTCCATAGATCTTAATCTTTTAAAAAAGAATTAGTGTCCCTGTCAAGCAGGCTCAGGATTTTGCATTTGTTTAGTAATGATACAGTTTCGCATTGGATTTCTTCCTATCAGCATATACAGCAATATATTGTACAGCATATTTGGCAATATACTGTTTAACAGTACACTGTACTTTGTCTGATTACCTTATTGTTATCTATATTGAAATAGAAGAAAAAATAAAAATAAAACCATAGTTCTGTGGTCCAGCTCTGCCATGTGATTCCACCCTATGTAAGTTTCAAAATGTAGCCAAAATTTACGGGAATCTTCCCCACCAACATCTCTGTCTTCCTCCCCATTCTAGGTGAAGTTAACTACCTGGCTGAGGTGGTTGTTTTCAGGGACTAAGTAGGACAAACTTAACAGTTCACTCAATATTATTGCTAGGTATGGTCTTGACATCCTGGCATTACTGAGAGAATATTTGTAATCTAAATGATTTTACCTTCTGGTTCATTTATTCATTCACTCATTCCACAGAGATGTATGAGTGGCTCAATTTGATAGACATTTTTCAAAATCCTGTGGATACAGCAGGTCACAAAAGAAAAAAAAAAACACTCCTTCCTGGAGCGTGCATTCTTTTGAAGAAAGGCAGATAGTAAATCAAGTAAATGCATAAAATCTAATGATCTTGCACAGTATTATCAAAAATAGCAGGGAAAAGGATTAGAAGAAAGAGAGAGTTTGAAATAGTGGCTTGGCTTTATCTTCAATTGTTTGGTCAGGAAAAGTTCCAATGTGACTGAGACAATTGAATGATTAGTCAGTTAAAAACACCTAATTATCTCAAGCCAAAAAAACTAAATGTATTTTAATTATGAATAACATATGTTTGAAGGTTTTAACCCTTTCTTGGAAAGCAAGGCTCCAGTGAGATAGAATAAGATAAAGGATCCAGTTGGGCTTAGAGATTCTAAGTGTAGCCATGAAATTTAGACAAACTGTTTCATAGTTTTAACTAAGAAAAATTTAACTCCCATCCTCCTATCTTCCAAACCAGAGTTTCCTGGTGCCTGGATGAGGGGATTATTATTTGGCAGGCACATATTACAGGTGGAAGGCAGAATTCCCTCCATGTTGGGTTTTGATAGCTTTCCCTCTTAAGCCTATTAATATTATTGTCCTTTGTAGGTGGGATGGTGGCTTAATTCTAATTTCTAAAATTGACCTCACTTTTTCCTGAAAAATCTTTATCATTCGTTAGATAAAACTAGAAAGGTACTGGGGATAAAGTATATTTTCTTCATAGAAATGTGAACTATATCTGGATTTATTTAAGTCTTTTCCCTCCGGACTCAGAGTAAATGAAACTCCACCACCACGGAATTACAGAAAACAGAGTTGTGATAATAGTTATTCTTCAATATCATCCAGACTTGCAAGTTGTTAGACATGGAAAAAAACAGGCATCAGACTGGAATTGAGAACTGGCACACAATAAAGAGCATGCAGCTTGCAGAGGGCACTGCAAGTCCCCGGACTCTGATCCTCCCTGACTTCAGATGCATTATCACCAGGGCAACTTCGTGAAAATCACAAGAGTAGGCTGAGTTTCAGTGGACTACTGGTATTTGTGAAGATTGATACACAGATCTGGTGTAATCCCTAAACACGTCATATTTTCCCCTATTTCTCTTGGCCAATGGTCATGGTCATGAAATAAGGGCTGGCTTAATGAGAGAGTATATCAGAGTCAATTTAGCACCAATAAGAGCAAGCACCAGAAGCTGGCTCTGGGTTAAAGCCCAAGCACAATGTGGGCAGGACTGAACCGATGTCTTTGAAACATAGACTAGAAATGTCAGAAGGAAATACCATATGATGAATGCTAATAGACAGCATAGCTTTTCTGCTATTCTTAATGTTTCTCCCACAATTCTGTCTAGCTGTGTTCTAGAATAATGAGACCATGACTATCCATCCCTTTCCATTTTTATAATTTTGATCACAGTTAAATATGAGATTATTCAGCTTCTCATCGAGGTAGGCTAAATCCTCCGGTGAACTGTAAAACATAACACCCTTTCCTTATGCTTGATATCAAAGAGCTGAGCCCTTTATCTGATGTATTTAAGTTTCCAGATGGAGGACTCTGCCATCCCCTGTCTGGTAAAGGGTTTGTTCTTCATGGAAGAGTTTTATTAACATCCAAATTATTTTTCTTTCTTCATGGATAGTCTAGTTATCTAAATGTCACATAGATGGTTCCAAGGGAGAGTGCATAAACAGTTCCTTAGGCAAACAAGGTAAGTGAAACAACTCTACCCATAAGCATATATGTGTGTGTATGTATATAAGATTTTAACTTCACTTGTGTGCCTCTTTACTTCTGAGTAGCATCACTTATAAAATAAGGATAAGGCTCCCTTCACAGAGTCATTTCCACCACTCAGAGAGTCACTATGTGATTTCTCTATTCAGAATTGGTAGAACCAACAAATAAGCACTCAGTGGAATCTGTAAATTCTTTGTAGTACATGCGGCATCTCTACTTTTTTTTCTTTTGACATTTAAGTTTCCTTGTACCAGTATTAAATGTTTCAGAGACCTTTTGGCAGAATTTTTAAAAAGTGACCTTAAGTAATTTTTTAGTAATTTATAAATTAAAACTCATTTAAAATTACAATTTTGGTTTTATTACCTTTAAAAGTTAGGCTTGACAAGCTCTTTTCATGACAGACTATTAGCCTAAGTACAGAGATGTGGCATATCCTTATTGCTTTTACTCTTGGTTTTAAAAAAATATATCAGTGGCATAAACACCCAACACCATTTATTAAATACTATGTGCACGATGCAAGGTACCCTCTAGGCTGATGCAAAATTGTTATTTATATACAGTCCCTTCTCCCAAAGAGCTATCTCCATATTGCAGGTGATAGAACCTAATAAAGAGATTTACAGGATAATATAGGCTTTGGCTACATTTTTTGTAAAAATTAGATATGGGAATAGTAAAACAGTAGGAGACATTTGCCCTGAATGTTCTCCGTCCTCATCTGGCTTACAAGGAACTCTGGACGCAAACCTAAGAAAGCCTTGGAAAACATGTATCCAGGAAAAGCTTCTGTGGCCATAGATTTCCCCAGAACAATGTATTTAGCACTCTTGTAGCATTTGCCATTTCTTCATTTCTTCCCTTTTATTTTTGGCATTCATTTCGCCCAGGAGGCAGTTACATTTCAATTAGGCAACTTGCCTAGCTTCTCTGATGTTAGCCACAATGGCATTAGAACCCAGTTGGAGTATTCGTTACCTCCATTGCAAACAAAAACATCTCAGCCTAAACTCTGATACCTACCAGACTCTCATAATAACATGGATGTAATCTATTCACTCTGCCAGCATCACCGAGAACTTCTATTTTCCTTATGCTACACTCAGAGGGAGGGAAGCAAAAGACAGGCACATGATTACTAATAGACATGGCACTACATCATTTAGTTTGAGATTTTTATGGTAAGTACTCTGATAGCTCAGAAGAAAAACAACGAACAAAAGCTTTTACCTCTGACTTTACTTTGGAATGAATTCTGGGTAAGGGCATATTTCCAATGATGGCAAAATGCAAATACATCCTAGCAATTAGAAAGAACACTTTTTGTAACTTTTGTCATTGAATCAAGAGATATTCCAGAATTTCTGTAAAAGTTAAACACAAAACGATCTGCTTGGAAGAAAATGCTAAGTGACTTCTGAAATACATGTGCAGTTTTTATTTGGGATATATTAATAAGGTTCCCTAAAACTGCTTCATGTATAATTTATAGAATATGATCTATATTATACACTTATAATTTATATAATATAAACATATAAATAACATTAAAGTATATAAAATCATATATATATCTATAAATTTTTTTCTTTCTGTGTGAGGCAGCTGGGGATATTGATGGAAATTACTGAGGGTATAAAGAATTCCCCAAATCCACCCCTTGGTGTTGCTATTATGAATAAGGAGATACAAACTGAGTCTCAGGCTTTTGTTCAACAATTTTTAATACCCCAAATGAAAGAATGTTTCCAATCAAAACCAAATTATTCCCCAGTTTTACTTCTCAGGACATCTTGTCTTACTTTAACTTCTTCATTCTTGGCCCTTCTACCTAACTGAATCTCATTACACTTAGTAATGTTCTGATCCTTTGTCTCCTTTTATATCTTTAATACAACAGCGCTTTATATATCATATATAATATATGTAATGGGCAGTTCCACAGAGGCTGTTATAAATTCTTCAGGAATATAGGGAAACTATGGTGAAGAAATACAAGAGCTTTATCAAGTACAAATGGAACTGGTGGCTTTTAAAGTTGACTTGCTTTTTCCTGAACAACTTTGGTCAGATTTCTTTCTTAAAAATGCCCTGCTGAACTGGAATTTACAGAACCTTATGCAAGATACTGAATGTTCTACATTTCCTGGCACAACCTATGAGAAGTCAAGATCGGGGATGGAGCTGTGTCTTTTTTTGTGCCTGGCCTCACAGTGATGGCAACTGTGATTACTGCACAAACTCCCTGGAGTCCAGGGTCTCTGCCAGGAACTGCTTCCCTTGACAGAAAGCAGGTGCCAAGAACAGGGAAAGGGGCAGGAAAACAGAGCTCCAAGGAAGCTTGGAAAAATTATAGGTCTGGCTTGATCTGTAAACAAGTACTTTCCAAGAATAGTCCTTATTGCAGAATGGGTTGTATATTTTTCTCTTTCCTTGCTTATGTTGCTTTCTCCAAAATAGATTTAGAGTGGATATCAGGAGAGAAGCAGTTTCAGAATGAATGTTATTGTCATAAAGTTCACATTAGTTAGCTACAGCAACAAAAGTGATTCCTTTTGGATTTCTGCAGTGTGGAGTTATAAGGAAGTTTCTCTACTGCTAATTTCAAATAATTTATAGCACTATATATGGTTTCAACCATGGAGAGTTAAAATTAATGATGATTTCTCTGTCTTTTGTCATTAATATTCTTTTGTACAAACTCTTTGTAATACCTTGTTGCCTAGTGAAATTCTGTATTATCCAGCTTTTATAATTTGAACCAATAATAAGAAATAAAAGACAAAGAAGAAGGAAGAAGAAAAGGAGAAGGGAAAGGAGAGGGTATAGGACTTACTCACATGCACTTAAGAAGTCAATAAAATGTAAGACAGCATCTGCCTTTGTCATACCACACTTTATTCCATGTGACATGCTACACACTTACTATAAGGTCCATGAAAATTGAAATTTTATTCCCCTCCCTTAGCAGCTACAGCAATATTAGGCACAGAGAAGGATTTCAATAGATGTTTGTTGAAGGAATGGGTGAAACGGTAGCCTTTCCAGTTCTCCTGGCTTTTAAGCCTGATACACTCTACACACTACTTTTAGTCTTTGCCATCAAATGTATGTGTCATTTTCACAACGGTTTTTAAACCATCCCAACTGATCATCACTTCTTTTTATGTAGGAGTAAAAATTAGCCACACAATAAGGAAATATGGCACTGTGAGGATTAATTTCTTGTTTGAATAATTGAATCATCATGAGGAAATTTACAGGAACTATAAAACGTAAATATTAGATATTTGATTGAGAATCAAAGCAGGGAAGTTAAAATTTTGTATTGAAATAGATTTACTTCCAACATCTGAAAGGTTGAACTGTAAAACTGGCAGAAACAAGGGTAGTGATTTATTTCAGGTCCCCTACAACATGAAATTGGCTATCTGTCATAGATAGACTCTCACTAAAAATCACCAAGATCTGAGAAACATGTTGCACAGATGATTAAAAGCCTAAAGGATGATTTCTGACTGAATCACGTGAATATATCTGGGCAAACTGACACTCTGTAGCAAACTGACACTCTACTTCTCTCAGGAAGAAACATTCCAATGTGTATTGTTTACCAGTCAACCACATTCAAAATAAAGGCAACCAATGATCTAAAACTTGCTTCATTTTCTGTTTATAAATATTGAATCAACTTTAACATGTGAGTAGTAATGAATGATGTGCTCATGAGTAGTTTATAATATTTAACTGATTTTTAAACTTCTTATCAAATATACTTATGTAATTTAAAAATCAACCACTTCAACAATGCTTGTAAGAAATAATGTCAGCTCCTTACCCACATTTGTTCCTAATTCCTGCTCTCCAAAAGAAACCATTTATGAAATTTCTACTTAACCATTTTTACCTATAAAATGGCCATTTCAAACGACTAAATTTAATACTTTTACTGTGTATATGGCCAAGTCATAGGAAATGTCTGCTTGTTATTTAAACATGGAACTGTTTATTCAACATTGTTTTTAAGAAAAATTTGTATGTATAAATCTTGTTCATTCATTGTAGACTTTAGTATATCATATATGTATCCATTTTGCTATTGATAGACATTTGGGTTGTATTTATTATTTGTTTCTTTACAAACAGCACTGCTACAGTTTTATTCATGCATTCAGGTGTATATATTTTATAATTTTCCTAGGCTATATATTTAGAAATGGAATTTCTGGATCACAAGGTGTATGCATGTTCACCTTTACTCAATGTGGACGAGTCATTTCCAAAGGAGTTTTATCAATGTACTTTCCCAGTGGCAGTACAGAAATTTTCTGGTGGTCCGTTCCAAGATGGCCGAATAGGAACAGCTCCAGTCTGCAGCTCTCAGCGTGATCGACGCAGAAGATGAGTCATTTCTGCATTTCCAACTAAGGTACCTGGTTCATCTCACTGGGACTGGTTGGACAGTGTGTGCAGCCCACAGAGGGCGAGCTGAAGCAGGGCAGGGCATCACCTCACCCAGGAAGCACAAGGAGTCGAGGGATTTCCCTTTCCTAGCCAAGGGAAGCTGTGACAGACTGTACCTGGAAAAACGGGACACTCCCACCCAAATACTGTGCTTTTCCCAAGGACTTAGCAACTGGCAGACAAGGAGATTCTCTCCCGTGCCTGCCTTGGCAGGTTCCATGACCACAGAGCCTTGCTCACTGCTAGCACAGCAGTCTGAGATCAACCTGCAAGGTGACAGCCTGACTAGGGGAGGGGCATCCGCCATTGCTGAGGCTTGAGTTGGTAAACAAAGTGGCTGGGAAGCTTGAACTGGGTGGAGCCCATCGCAGCTCAGCAAGGCCTACTGCATATATGGACTCCATCTCTGTGGGCAGGACATAGCTGAAAAAGAGGCAGCAGACAACTTCTGCAGACTTAAACGTCCCTGTCTGACAGCTCTGAAGAGAGCAGTGGTTCTCCCAGTACAGTGTTTGAGCTCTGAGAAGAGACAGACAACTTCCTCAAGTGGGTCCCTGAGCCCTGTGTAGCATAACTGGGAGAAACTTCCCAGTAGGGGCCGACAGACACTTCATATAGGTGGGTGCCCCTCTGGGCCAAATTGTAAAGACCATCAATGCTATGAAGAAGCTGCATCAATTAACAGGCAAAATAACCAGCTAACATCATAATGACAGGATCAAATTCACACATAACAATATTAACCTTAAATGTAAATGGGCTAAATGCTCCAATTAAAAGACACGGACTGGCAAATTGGATAGAGTGAAGACCCAATAGTGTGCTGTATTCAGGAGACCCATCTCACATACAGAGACACACATAGGCTCAAAATAAAGGGATGGAGGAAGATCTACCAAGCAAGTGGAAAGCAAAAAAAAGCAGGGGTTGCAATTCTAGTCTCTAATAAAACAGACTTTAAACCAACAATGATCAAAAGAGACATAGAAGGCCATTACATAATGGTAAAGGGATCATTCAACAAGAAGTGGTAACAATCCTAAATATATATGCACCCAATACAGGAGCACCCAGATTCATAAAGCAAGTCCTTAGAGACCTACAAAGAGACTTAGACTTCCACACAATAGTAATGGGGGACTTTAACACCTCACTGTCATTATTAGACAGATCAAGGAGACAGAAGGTTAAGAAGGATATCCAGGACTTGAACTCAGCTCTGCACCAAGCAGACCTAATAGACATCTACAGAACTCTCTATGCCAAATACACATTCTTCTCAGCACCACATCACACTTGTTCTAAAATTGACCACATAATTGGAAGTAAAGCACTCCTCGGCAAATGTAAAAGAGAAATCACAATAAACTGTCTCTCAGACCACAGGGCAATCAAATTAGAACTCAGGAATAAGAAACTCACTCAAAACCATACAACTACATGGAAACTGAAAAACCTGCTCCTGAATGACTACTGGGTAAATAACGAAATGAAGGCAGAAATAAAGATGTTCTTTGAAACTGATGACAACAAGGAAACAAAGTGCCAGAATTTTTTGAGACACATTTAAAGCAGTGTGTAGAGGGAAATTTATAGCACTAAATGCCCACAAGAGAAAGCAGGAAAGTTCTAAAATCAACACCTTAACATCACAATTAAAAGAACTGGAGAAGCAAGAGCAAACGAATTCAAAGGCTAGCAGAAGGCAAGAGATAACTAAGATCAGAGCAGAACTGAAAGAGATAGAGACACACAAAAAAAAACCCTTCAAAAAATCAATGATTCCAGGAGCTGGTTTTTTGAAAAGATCAACAAAATAAACAGACTGCTAGCAAGACTAATAAAGAAGAAAAGAGAGAAGAATCAAATAGATGCAACAAAAAATGATAAAGGGGATATCACCACTGATCCCACAGAAATACAAACTATCATCAGAGAACACTATAAACACCTCTATGCAAATAAATTAAAAAATCTAGAAGAAAGGGATAAGTTCCTGGACACATACAACCTCCCAAGACTAAACCAGGAAGAAGTTGAATCTCTGAATAGACCAATAACAGGCTCTGAAAATGAGGCAATAATTAATAGCCTACCAACCAGAAAAAGTCCAGGACCAGATGGATTCACAGCCGAATTCTACCAGAGGTACAAAGAGAAACTGGTACCATTCCTTCTGAAACTATCCCAATCAATAGAAAAAGAGGGAATCCTCCCTAACTCATTTTATGAGGCCAGTATTATCCTGATACCAAAACCTGGCAGAGACAACAACAAAAAAAGAGAATTTTAGGCAAATATCCCTGATGAACATCAATGCAAAAATCCTCAGTAAAATACTGGCAAATCGAATCCAGCAGCACATCAAAAAGCTTATCCACCACAATCAAGTTGGCTTCATCCCTGGGATGCAAGGCTGGTTCAACATACACAAATCAATAAACATAATAAATCACATAAACAGAACCAATGACAAACACCACATGATTATCTCAATAGATGCAGAAAATGCCTTCATCAAATTTCAACAACCCTTCATGCTAAAAACTCTCAATAAACTAGGTACTGATGGAATGTATCTCAAAATAATAAGAGCTATCTATGACAAACCCACAGCCAATATCATACTGAATGGGCAAAAACTGGAAGCATTCCCTTTGAAAACTGGCACAAGACAGGGATGCCCTCTCTCACCACTCCTATTCAACATAGTGTTGGAAATTCTGCCCAGGGCAATCAGGCAGGAGAAAGAAGTAAAGTGTATTCAATTAGGAAAAGAGGAAGTCAAATTGTCCCTGCTTGCAGATGACATGATTGTATATTTAGAAAACCCCATCATCTCAGCCCAAAATCTCCCTAAGTTGATAAGCAACTTCAGCAAAGTCTCAGGATACAAAATCAATGTGCAAAAATCACAAGCATTACTGTACACCAAAAACAGACAGAGAGCCAAATCATGAGTGAATTCCCATTCACAATTGCTACAAAGAGAATAAAATACCTAGGAACCCAAATTACAAGGGATGTGAAGGACTTCCTCAAGGAGAACTAGAAACCACTGCTCAGCAAAATAAAAGAGGACACAAACAAATGGAAGAACATTCCATGCTCATGGATAGGAAGAATCAATATAGTGAAAATGGCCACACCGCCCAAGGTAATTTATAGATTCCATGCCATCCCCATCAAGCTACCAATGACTTTCTTCAAAGACTTGGAAAGAAACTACTTTAAATTTCATATGGAATCAAAAACAGCCTGCATTGCTAAGACAATCCTAAGCAAAAAGAACAAAGCTGGAGGCATCACGCTACCTGACTTCAAACTATACTACAACGCTACAGTAACAAAAACAGCATGGTACTGGTACCAAAACAGAGATATAGACCAATGGAACAGAACACAGGCCTCAGAAATAACACCACACATGTACAACTATATGATCTTTGACAAACCTGACAAAAACAAGCGATGGGGAAAGGATTACCTGTTTAATAAATGGTGCTGGGGAAACTGGCTAGCCATATGTAGAAAGCTGAAACTGGATCCATTCCTTACACCTTACACAAAAATTAATTCAAGATGGATTAAAGACTTAAATGTTAGACTTAAAACCATAAAAACCCTAGAAGAAAACCTAGGCAATACCATTCAGGTCATAGGCATAGGCAAGGACTTCATGACTAAAACACCAAAAGCAATGGAAACAAAAGTCAAAATAGACAAATGGGATCTAATGAAAGCAAAGAGCTGCTGCACAGCAAAAGAAACTACCATCAGAGTGAAAGGCAACCTATAGAATGGGAGAAATTTTTTCAATATACCTATCTGACAAAGAGCTAATATCCAGAATCTACAAAGAACTCAAAGAAATTTACAAGAAAAGAGAAAAAAAACATCAAAAAGTGAGCAAAGGATATGGGCAGACACTTTTCAAAAGAAGACATTTATGCAGCCAACAGACACATGAAAAAACGCTCATCATCACTGGTCATCAGAGAAATGCAAATCAAAACCAAAATGAGATACCATCTCATGCCAGTTAGAATGGTGATCATTAAAAAGTCAGGAAACTACAGATGCTCATGAGGATGTGGAGAAATAGGAACACTTTTACACTGTTGGTGGGAGTGTAAATTAGTTCAACCATTGTGGAAGACAGTGTAGCGGTTCCTCAAGGATCTAGAACTAGAAATATCATTTGACCCAGCAATCCCATTACTGGATATATAGCCAAAGGATTATAAATCATGCTGCTATAAAGACACATGCACACGTATGTTTATTGTGGCACTATTCACAATAGCAAAGACTTGGAACCAACCCAAATGTCCATCAACGATAGACTGGATTAAGAAAATGTGGCACATATACACCATGCAATACTATGCAGCCATAAAAAAAGGATGAGTCCATGTCCTTTGCAGGGACATGGATTAAGCTGGAAACTATTATTCTCAGCAAACTATCACGTGGACAGAAAACCAAACACCACATGTTCACACACCTAGGTGGGAACTGAACAATGAGAACACTTGGACACAGGGTGGTGAACATCACACACCGGGGCCTGTCGGGGGGTAGGGGGTCGGGGAGGGATAGCATTAGGAGAAATACCTAATGTAAATGACGAGTTGATGGGTGCAGCAAACCACCCATCATGTATACCTATGTATGGCACATGTATACCTATGTATCAAACCTGCACATTGTGCACATGTACCCTAGAACTTAAAGTATAATTTAAAAAAAAGAAATTTTCCTTTGCTATACATCCATAAGACTATGCCTGTAAATAAAAGTATAATAAGACATTAACAATAAATAATGTTCTTTTGATCCTTCGCTTTAAATCTTGAAAATGTTTGGTGTTGTCAGATGTCTTTTCCAAAATTGCTTATGTCAATTCTTCTACTTCACCACATGCCCATCTTCCCAAGAGATATCTGAGAATGCCAATTCCTGAGCTTTTCTGAGGTTCTGTGATGCAGGTTGAGTTACTTCTTTCTACAATGGCTGCTTTGATTCCAGTTTTCTCTGATCCATCATATCAGTTCCTGTTTGTCCTCCTCTTTCCAGCTTACCAAATTTGGTTGCTATCATCTTCACTTATATTTTGTCTTTGTGGATTTATACCTTTATTGATCTTTCAATTTTTTTTATTTTAGTGAAGTTTCAACCAGGAATTTAGATAAACTCATGTACTTATCAATATCTTTAACTGGAAGCTGTTTTACAGTGTTTTATTTGCATACACATCCATGTGTCTTGCAACTACTCAACTCTGTGTTACAGCACAAAGCAGCCATAGGCAATGTATAAATGAATGGGCATGGGTGTGCTTTAATAAGACATTATTTACAAAAACAGACAGGGAACTACATTTGGCCCACTAGTTATCTTTTTCTGACCTCTAATATAAATCAGGGGCTGGTTATCTCACATTGTGAATAGTACATGAAATATGTCCCCCAATATGCATTGCTTCCAGGACTTGTCTATGTTATACTCCCGCTAATAATATTATTGTGGGACTCTATAACTTACAAACAAAGATTTGAGAGATTTCCACAGCCCACTGTCAATCCCAACTTTTTCTGGGCATTGCAATCTGAATGGAGGCAGACTTGAAGAGGCTGATACAGCACATGGACTGCCTCCAAAAGCCAAAGTCAGTTGTATACTTGAACTAATGCGTAACTCAGGAACAGCAGCTAAAGCAGTATTGAGGATAGCTCTCTATAAACTTTTTTCAAACTTTCATATTTGGTTGTTTTCTAAGCAACAAGTTCATGTACACCACCAATTGTGTTTTTAATTACAGAATTTCAGGCCAGATGTAGTAGCTCACACCTGTAATCCCAACACTTTGAGAGCCGAAAATGGGAGGATTGCTTGTGACCAGGAGTTCAAGACCAGCTTGGACAACATAGCAAGGCATCTGTCTCTGTAAAAATTAGCCAGACATGATGGCAGGCACCTGTAGTCTTAGCTACTCAGGGAGCTGACGTGGAAGGATCGCTTCAGCCCAAGAGTTTGAGGCTGCAGTGAGTCTTGATAGCGCCACTGCCCTCTTGCTTTGTGGCCTGGGCCACAGAGCAAGACCCCATCTCAAAAAAATAATAATAATGAAACAAATTACAGAATTTTGAGAGAGGACATTGTAAACTAGAATTCTCTGCGTTATTTTTTGAGATGGAATATTTGTCATTTTCTTTCCATTTAAGTATAAACTTTAAGTGTGTGGGAAAATATTAAAAGAGGAAAATACCATTTCAGATCTTTAAGGCTTGGTGCACACTTAGCATTCCATGCCCAGGATTCTGACACGGGGTGTCACAAGAGCCAGAATAGCTTTAAATATTGAAAATGAGATTTACGCCAATGCAGTATATTGTTTTATACAAACAACAAATATTCTGTTTTCTAGTGTGTGGTGCCAGGGAGGAAATGAGTTTGCAGAGGCCTGGTGTAGCTCAGCTGATGTCATAGACTACTCTTTTCATCATTGATGTCTATGGTCTAAAGATGGATTCAAGGACTCACTTGAAGAAGACAGACAAGGAAGAATGAATGCTATGGTTTGAATGTGTCAGCTCTATAATTCAGGTGTTTCCAATGTGATAACATCAAGAGGTGGGGTCTTTAAGAGGTGATTAAGTCATGAGGGCTCCTCCCTGCTGCATGGGGTTAGTGACCTTTATAAATGGCTTGATGGAGGTAGTTCATCTCTCTTGCCCTTCCACCTTCTGCCATGTAAGGACATAGCAAAAAAGGCCCTCACCAGATGCCAGTGCCTGGGTCTTGGACGTATAGTGTAATATATTTATTACAAGATATTGGCTCACACTATTATGAAAGTTGAGAAGCCCCATGAATTGCCACCTGCAAGCAGGAGACCCAGGAAAGCCAGTGGTGTGGTTTGAAGGCTTGAGAGCCAGAGTGCCAGTGGCAGGAGAAGACTGATGATGTGTTAGCCCAATCATTTAGGTGGAGGGAGTGTGGATCCAAAATTCCTCTACCTTTGTGTTCTATTCAGGCCCTCAAGGGATTGGAGGATGCTCAACCGCACTCAGGGGGCCATCTGCTATACTCAGTCCACTAATTCAAATGCTCATGTCTTCAGGAAATCTCACAGGCAAACCTGGAATTAACATTTAACCAGCTGTCTTGGCATCCCATGGCCCAGTCAAGCTGACACATTAAAATTAACCATCACAGACTGGACACAGTATCTCACATCTGTAATCCCAGCACTTTGGGAGGCCAAGGTAGGTGGATCACTTGAGGTCAGGAGTTTGAGACCAGCCTGGCCAACATGGTGAAACCCGGTCTCTACCAAAAAAATACAAAGATTAGCTGGGCATAGTGGTGAGTGCCTGTAATCCCAGCTACTTGGGAAACTGAGGCAGGAGAATCCCTTGAACCTGGGAGGCGGAGGTTGCAGTGAACAAGATTGTGCCACTGTACTCCAGCCTGGGTGACAGAGTGGGACTCTGTCTCAAAAAAAAAAAATCACAATATAAAATGTGTGTATATGTATATATATATATATATATATATATATATATATATATATATATATGCATACATGTATACACACATACACATACAAAAACACTTGTACATATGTGTTTCTACTTTATGAATTTCCCAAAAGCAAAATAGCAATTCCAACTTCATTAAAAGATTATTTGTTAAGAAACAAATTTCACTGACATTTAGTAAAAATAAGGTTTCAACTTTGGGTGGCTTCAGCGGATGTCCAGGGCCTTCTTGCCCTACCTGGTCACTGATTCCTGGTCAAGCAGGTGCTCTCTCTACAGCCAAGAAGGAGAACTCAGGGAGTGGTACTCTAGTCATAAGGAGAAACACAAGTCTATATTCCTTGACCCTAGTGCCCAGAAAAGCTCTAATGTTTGATGCTGTTTTAAATTAGTTGAAGAGTTCCTGAGTACTAGCTCAATGATGATCTAAAAGAGTAAAATTGGTACTCCAATTACAGCAAGCAGAATCTTGTGGGGGCATAAGCTCTGCTTGGCTTCAGTCTGTGGGGTAGGTCAGGAGTCACTTTATTGATTGCTGTACAATTGGCATGGAAGGGAAATGAAGAGGTCTTCTGAGATGGCAGTTTTCAAATTTGTATATTATACGCATTATATATATATACACACACACACACACACATTGTGTGTGTGTAATCACCTGACATCCTGTTAAATGCAGATTCTCATTAACTGGGTCTGAGGTAGAATTCAACATTCTGCACTTCTCTGGTAATATTCCCTGGTAATGCTATGGTGCTGGGCTACAACCCACAATTAGAGAGGTGAAGCTATTTGGAACCAGTGGTCCAAGAGAATAATACATCCCTGTCCTATATCAATTACTGGGAGATCTCCCCTTGATCTCTTAAGCTGAGAATCACTTTTCTAGTTTTAAAGACAAACTTGTTAGTGGAAAAGCAGTATGAATATGTCAGCCTAGGCATTTGATGTGGCTGCCTTCTAGCTTTTGTGCATATGACTGTGTGTTTCAAGTGTTTGGAATCGGTTCTGCAGATACACAGATAATTGTGCCATTGTTTCAGAAAGATTATTATAGTTTCTGGATGCTGTAAAGCCTGGAACTATTTTTTGAAGTGATACTTTAAATTAGTTTAAGCTATTAAGTCATATGTATTATAGGACCTTGTGTTATAATCTCATAATTCTGTAGTGTCTTGTAATTTTTTCTTTATACTGCATATCATACTAAAGACAAATTTAAACAGTTGTCTTTTGCACTCACATATATTTTGAAGTTAAATTTATTATAACCATAAGCCCAATTTTTATAAAGTACATATTTGCATCTAAACTAAATTAATAAAATATAATATAAAAGAAGTAATATTATATTTATCACTTTTATATTCAGTCTCATGTTCCTGCAAATATTTACAAATTAGTTACTATGGACCAAGATTCATATTAGGAACTATACAAATACACAGGAATACAAAGATAAGTGAAAATGTTCCTTTTCTCATCCAGCATAGACAGATAATTTAACGAGTAAACACTGCATGTTGTAGTAAGTGTCATATCAGGGAAAGTGCAGAGCTATGAAACCACGTAGTTGGAACAACTTACTTAACTTGTTTCCAGCCTTTCCATTTCTACAAATTCTCTGGCACTAGATTTACTAGGTCCTTAAACATACTGACTATATTTATTTTAAAGTCCCTATCTGATCAATTATAGCATTCAGTGTATTTCTGAGTCAGTTTCTCTTTATTGGTTTATCACTTGACAGCAGGTTATTTTCCTTTTTAATATATTAATATTTCATAATTTTTATTGAAGGTCAGACATCATGTGAAAAGAGAGGTAGGAAAGCTGAATAATGTGAATATCTGAAATTGGGCATGCCTACTTTTCTTCCAGGTCCCTGGCGTGAGGAGCCGAATCAATCTAGAAGTTGAGCTGTGTTTTGGGGTGTTTGGGGTGTTTTATTGCCATTATTATCTTCAGTGTGTCAAAAACTTAACATTCTGATGATGGATTGTTGTGACCTTGGGCTTCATGCAGGGCCTGAGATGCTTGAAAGTATTTCTTAGTTTTGGTTTTCAGTGTGGCTTGAATGACTGTGACACGGAAGGGGCACTCCAGATGCCTTTGCATCTTCTTTACAACCAGTCAGCTGTTGCTTATCAGTTGGTGCTAGAATAGTGGTAAGAGGGAGGTGGGGATTCTTTGCTCTCATGGTTAAGTCCCAGACCCAGTTAAGCCCTGTGAGCCTGGGCCTTATGGGTATGGCTTTCTCAGCATCCTTTCTCCTACTTTCATAGGATGGCAAACCCTATGATGAGTCTTGAGAATTTCCTGCCTCCACCCAAAGGTATCAGATCTCTGCCTTATAAACTGTACTGGAAGCTGGATCTAAGGAGCCTCCCTGTCTGTCTTCCAGAGAAGGACAAGTTTTTCCTCTATTCCTCCTGGAGTAGATCCTTACTTGGCCTCTTGTTTCCTCTTTTAATGCCTCACTTAAAGGACATATATGTCCATATGTAATTTTTCTTCTTCATATATCTGCATATTCTCACATTTTTGACAGCACAGTAGAGATCTATTACTTTTATAAACAATACAATTAACTATTGACATATCTCTAGATGCCTAAAAAGGTCTGGCACCCCATGATTTGTGCAAAATACTTGCTTCCGCAATTCACATCCTGGAATATTGGATGGCAAAGTAAACTACAACTTCCCATCCCATGGATTTTCTTGAGAGAAAATGATAGCATCTTGAATTTGTTCAATGCCAGTAAAGTGATTTGAAGATGAAAACTGCTACATAAGTGCTAAGTATTGTTATTGATCATTAAGAATCACTCAACATAGCACAAGTGATTCTCTTCATTACTGGCATGAAAGTCATTTTCTCTAGGCAAAGGGTAAGGACTTACTCATAATATTGACATTTTAAAAAGTGTGTTACTAGGAGACATGGTGTGCTGGAAACACTTATCTTTCCTTTCATTTACGCCCTGATCTTGGAAATTTATATCTTGTGGAGTCAGACCTGCATTTATTTGTGTCAAATGCTAATGTTGCTATATTATAAATTTTACATGAAACTGCTGTATCAATGAAATTTTCAAGAAACAATGATTCATTTTAACAAGAATGTCTTTGGTGCAGGTAAGTTTTTGTGAACTGTTGGTCTACACAATACTGGATTGATGACAATGGAATCTGGAAAGGATGATGTTAACTCAGACAAATAATTTTAGGGTTGAGAGAGGAGAAAGGTGGGTATCGATTTTGCGTGGGTTGGTGTGGAGTTTTGCCATCTAGATTGATTGTCCTCTGTGTGTTTTATAGATATTCAATTGCTAATGATTACCTGCAAGGCAAGGATTACTGTTATACATATTTGACCGATAAACTAAAGCTGAGAGGTTGTTACTTGATGGTTGTCACACAGGAGATAAATTTCTAAAAAGTGCCATGTTACTCTACTGAAGGATAGGGAGATTTTGCTTTGCCCACCTTGGCGATTAGGATTAAGCTGAGGAAGTAAAGAGATCAAATGGGGCAAAGCCCTATCATTTCTAATTGCTTCCTATGTTATTTCTACCTCTGATAATGCGTTTATTTTGGAATTCAATCTTACTAAATAAAGAGCTTTTTGCTGCAGGATTTCAGTGTGGTATGATGGAAATGAAATAGGATCAAGACATTAAATTTCTATTCTTAGCTCTGTCTCCAATTAGTGACTGTTATTTTTTCTCATATACTCAGTAGGATAACAATATATTTCATACTTTTATTAGAATCGTATGAGATTAACAGATGTGGAAAAATTAAAGTGGTAAATTACTTCTTATCCATACTATCGCCTTGGAGCATTTCTTTAACACTTGGGTTTATTCCCTGACATATTGAGAAGTTGATGAAATAGTCATCACATGTTTCCTATGTTTTCATTATCACTCTGCCAGTGGATTGCTAAGTCAGTGCACAGTACACTTGAAAGAACCTTTCTGAGTGCATGTGTTGTACACGCCCTTCACATACAGTCTTTCAACTCCTCAGCCTCTGTAGATCTGTCTATTCACAATGAAGCATGTGCTTCTTGGCTGTCAACACAGCTGTGAATGGCCTTGTATTGATTCTCAGGTTGCAATCATTTTATTGTTTCTGCTTCTAGTCAGCAGGAAGAATAAGAATAAAAGGCAGCTCACTTTATTTACAAGAAAATTTAGTTTCCAAGAATAGGTTACTCCATTCTTAAGAAAAAACTTTCTTACTGTTTCAATTTGGACGAAGCTCATTCTACGAATTCATCCTAGGTAAGGATCCAGAAATATACTCTGTTTGGGGGAGTTTTAAAAGCTATTTAAGTAAAAATTGAATTTCATCAATATAAACAAAATACAATGCAAAGTACTATATTAGGCATTTAGGTGCGGCAAAGATTAATAAAAAGACTACTTTGAAGAGTGAGTGTGTGTAAGTGTGTGTGTGTGTGTGTGTTTAACTTGGACATAACATGGCACAGTAAGTCCATCTTCTGAGGAATTTGAAAAATTTACTGATTTATATCAAGGCAAATACATTGGTGTTCAATGAGGAAAGTCATTTGCTCCTTTGTGCTAGATGAGGAAATGCCTGACATTGTGAAAAGAGTTAAAAACGCCTTCCACTTGTGCTCACATGCATGATACAGCATAGAACTGTCAGCACCTCATACCCCTTGTTTGACAGGCTTTTATGTTGTTGAATGTGTAGGCACTTCCATTCTTTTCCCTCACTATAATGAAGTTTTTAATGTTTTTTCTGTAGGTTGATTCTCAATGTTACAAACCAATAATGGCATTAATTTTGTAATGACATAATATACTCAATGCAGAAGCAGGTAATAAGGTCACATTCCCCCTCCATGGTACCAACATCAAGACCCATGTGTCCACGTACTATACATTCATACACACTAAATTAGGACAATGTTAGCATGCTTTTTACGTGAATCACATCTTTCAAGTAACATTTGCCTTGGTTTCCTTTATTCTTTTCTTCCTCTTTTACTTTTCAATAATATTAATTTAATTTCATATTTTTATCTTGAAAAAATGAGACATATGTATTCTTCATTATATGCCTAATAACTTCTGGTTACTATGCATCCTACCTATCAAATAGGATCATTCCATTGTTCTTCTTTAAGGTCCTGCCTCCTGTTCAGACAAGTTGACTGACTGCTACACATTCAGCTTTTTAAAAAATTTCCTGGAGTGTCTAACTGCCCTCTTTTTATTGACCTCTGTGACTTTATTGTACCCTCCAATTCTTCAGCTGCCAACATCAGGAATTGGCAAACTTTTCCTGTATCAAGGCAGATAGCAAATAACTTTAGCCGTTGCAAGACATTCACTCTCTGTTGCTACTACTCAACCCTGTTGCTGTGTTACAAAAGTAGCCATAGACCATATGTAAATGATTGAGTGTGGCTGTATTCTAATAAAACTTGATTTATAAAAACAAGAGATGAGACAAATTTGGCCAATGGGCCATGGTTTGAAAACCTCTGGGGTACACTATTCTTTCATTTGCATGGAATCTGTGGTGTCATTCCTCTCAGATCCCTCTTTTCTTCTGCTCTCTCTAGAGTGGTTATTTCCTACTTGGCTTAATTACTGTTAACCAGTGGCTGATACTGACTGCTCTCCTGAGTTAGAGCCACTATTTTGTGAAGCTTGTATTTTCATTTCTCCTGACTTACTCCTTAATTGTTATGTCATCAGGTAATTAACCAATAAAAGTACACTTGTGATTTTTCTGATTCCTTAGTCTGGAATATCTTTATTTTGCGTTCATCTCTTGATTGGCAGTTTATCTAAATACCGAATTTCACGTTGAATATAGTTTTCCCTCAGAACTCTGACCACATTGCGGAGTCAGTGTCGAAGCACTCTGACAATCTTGCTGAAGAGAAGTCTGATGTTGGTCTAAATGTTAGTCCTTTATTTCTGTTTTGCTTTTTCGTCTGGGAAAATTTTAGAGCATTCTTCTTACTACAGGAATTGTGGAATAATATAAGGTTGTGTCTACATATGGGTCATTTTCATTCAGACTGTTCTTCACTCAGTAAAACATTTAAATCTAAAGTTAGTGTCCCTTTCTTTCCTAGAAAATCTGTTTTAATTATTTGGCCATTTCTTCTTATGTTTCCCTTTTATTTTGGGGATTTCTATTAGCAGAAAATGTACTTGATTATTGCTTTGTGTTTCTCATCAATTATCTTAAAATTTTGATCCCTTACTGTGTTGAGGATGATTTTTATAATATTAACTTCCAAATATCTGAATTGTTTATTTCAGCATATTTCTAGTGCCTAACAGTCCTTTTGCATTCTCCAACTCTCCATTTTGTACAGTACCCTTTTATTCTAATAAGGCTAAAATAGCTTTGTGGCACTCTCTGAAGATACCAGACACGCTGTAAAAAGTGACTTTGCATGACCTCTCTGCTTCCCCCAGAACTATGTGTGTCTCTGTGCACTTGGTCTTGCTCTTAGATCCCTCTTTTCTTCTGCTGTGCTCTAGACTGTCCTCCATTGACTGGTAAGCCTTGAGTGTTTGTTCATCACCACAATAGGGCAGTTGCCAAATAGAATGGGAAGTCAGCTTACACGGGCAGGCTGTGTTGTCTGGCATACCTGGCAACATAGGTGACTGAGTGTGCAAGAATCTGGTTATTACTATGGAGGGAGCTAAATATTTGAACAACTGAAGTTTATCTCCAGGATGCCTATTCATACACCAGACATACTGTCCATTATAGTTCTTATCATGTAGTTCATTCTGTTTGTGCACAGAAGAGTGTGTGTGTGTGTGTGTGTGGTGTGTATGTGTGTGTGACAGAGAGAGAGAGAGAGACAGAGACAGAGACAGAGAGCAGTGGGAGAAGTAGTAAAAGGAAATCTGTGGGATTCTGCATGCAGGTGAGGTGTGGAGAGAATTTTTATGGGCAGAGCATTAACTGAGTCTCCTGTCTCCAGCCAGGTTTTTCATGGCCAGCTTCTGTGGTCCTTCCTGTTTAGAATCTCTGACTCTTAAGGGTTCCTCTGGTCAGGTTTAATCACCTGTCAGCCCACTTCTATCTGCTCTGTTTTCAAGTTATTTGACATAATTTCTCATGTACATATAGGCACCCCTGTCATTCTCTTCACTGTTATCATAGTATAGCTTTTCAATTCCTACTTTAGTTTTTGGAGAGGGCCATGGAAGGAAAGGTTACAAACATACATTATCAACTTCAATATGAATCTAGAAACCCTGATTCACATTTTTAAGATTGAGGAAAGTCTTTATAGTTTATTCTTTCGTGATCAGTGTATTAAAATGCCGGTTTTCTATGCCTTTCAATTTATGAGATAAATGGAATCATTGGCCAATATCATGGATAAAATAGTTGTATCTCAGTAATAGCCTGTAAATGACAAAATCCATTTTGTCCTCCAAACTATCATCTAACCTAAAACCAGAAAATCATTAAGCTCATTCTGAACTGGTTCTGTAATCTGTTAATTTTGCATAAATATCCTACAGAAATGAGGGTCCAGAATCAGCATACCTCAAATATTAAACACAAACTTTCACTCCTCTCCTGTGGATCCAAATAGATTCTCAATAGTACATCAGAGGTTCAAGAAAAGAAAACAGCTGGAAGTTTTAAATCAATAGTCCTCCATTTATATGATAGAATCTGGGAATTATATTTTTCTTGAGCAAGTAGCAATACACTTATAACAGCCTTGGTGTTACTGTTAGCTTTTAAGTCTTACGAATTTGAATTTCAGAAAAAGCAATTTTGCAAATTATTCATGGCATAAATATACTCATGATTTTGGGAAATGAGTTTATCTGTAATAGCATGAATGTTTCATAATTCTTCTAGCATTTATGGGCACAAAAAAACTTATCTAAATTTCTACTATTTTCAGAATTATTTTTCTACGGTTTAAACTATTTGCTTTCCTTTCCAGCACAAGAAAATTTAAGACCCAAGAAATACATGTATTTGAAAGTTAGGAGAATATATGTATTTCAGGTACTTTTGTCCCAATAGTATTGAAGTTTATCTTCCCTTAGATGGTGATTATAGGATTTAATACAAGATAGATAGATATAGATAGATAGACAGTTTCTATCTATATATATACATATACACAGGCTATATTTATATACAGAGAGAGTGAGAGATGGATATAGATAGATTTTTAAATTTTGTGTCAGTCCATGACCTTGTTATATTCTAGATTATTTGAATGATACTGTGTCAGAGCTTGAAATATATGTTTATTAGAAATATTTGCTTGTCAGAAAATGTATAGAACAAGAAATCAATATTTGTTCATTGTTGATATGTAATCAGTTGATAAATTTACTGTCCTTTTGACAGTAAATTAAGCATACTGATTAACTCTACTTTGTATTATAACCATTTTTACAGAACTATTTGCAGTATATATTTCAAACTCCTTCTGAGCTAAGAGAGCTATAGGTATATATTTTAATTCCAATGTAATAAAATAATGTCATCACACAGGTTATAAAGTATAGAGATACTTTTGCTGGGAATCTGAATGAATAAGTGGTCTGAAAGATTTTAGAAGTTTTTTGTTTGTTTCCTTTTTGTTGTGTATAGTTTGTTTCTTAAAGTGCAGCACTCAAATATACTTTCAATAGATTTTATAGCAGCTATTATTATAGGTTTTCTTTGGCTAGTCTGCTTCTTGACATAATTCGCTTCCTTCAATTTCTATCATTTGGTTTCTTTTTATGTGTTAATTATTTTAGGAGTTCTTATTTCAAGCCACCTAAAATGTATATTAGGGTATTCATAGAATAGATAAATGGATGATAGATAGATGATTCATAGATAGATAGATAGATAATCTTCCTCAGTAAAGAATACAGATCTCCTAATAAGCGTCATTAATTTGTAGTCTGTCTCATTATATACTTTTTGTTTAACACCATAAAATGAAATGTTACTCATGCATTTTCTGACAGAACAGGTTATTGTGTTATTATCTGTTTGAAAACTTTACCTTAAACATTTTGTCCTACATGATAGCTTTAAAATATTGTTTCTTTTCAGAATGTGTTGCCTGCAGCTGCTCTTCAGGGATCTTTTTCTCTGAGCAGAGCACTTGTGTTTGTACCCTTGTGCCACACATAGATGGAGAAACAAATGGCTGTATTTTTAGTGTAGCGTTCCTGGGAACTAATTACAATCATAAGCAGAGAGAAACAGAGAATTGCAAGACTGCCCTTTCACTTACATTACTCTGATCATTTTGCTTTGTTATCATTTCTACACATCTTTCAATCTGTGGATGCAGGAGATGGTGACGAGTCAATAATTAGGAGGCACCCATGAAATGAATGTGCTTCTGGTGTGGTTGTCTTCAGGCATTTTTCTCTGTTCTCTTCTCTGCAGCTTACTGAAGGAGAATCTTAACCAAGGTAAATTCAGCTTGCTGGATGAAGGGCATTTCTTTTTGTCAAAGGAGATTAAAGCTATTCAAGCCAAACACCTGCCGCGCATATCTAGCAAAATACTTTGAGTGTCATTTTCACTTCTAATCTGTGGCTCATACTGCTATCAGTAGAGCTAATCATTGGTTCATTTTGTTGGAATATTATTTCATCAATGTAAATCTGATGAGGAGGGGGAATGCCTGAAATATGACATGTAGTCCCACTACAGCAGATGGGATTATAAAAATTATATATATATAATTAAAATGGTCTTTTTTACATGATTATAATCTTGTTGATCATCACTGAATTTGATGTAATTCAGTTGCATCATCATACACGATATATATAAATGCATACTTTAGCATATTCTCAATTGTTCAACAGTGTTGCATATACAATGAAAACAAGCTTACTGAAAACTCTTATGGCTCTGTGATTTTCACTTTAATATTTGAAAAGAATTTTACTTCCTCTAAGAGAAATTTTCCTGTAAGCGTTAGTTCTCAACAAAATGGGGTTCAAAGGAACTGCTTTCCACCAATTTTGCATTAGGACCCTTAGGCCATAGCAAGTAATAGAAAACTTTGCTTTTAATACATGGTTAGTACTCATCAAAATTGCCATTCTCGGGAAAACAATTAAAACCATGTGTATTTACTCATAGCAAGACAATAATGTGACTTTTTCTTCATGCAGTACTAAATATATTATTGCTAGCCTGAAGTTATTATTCAAATATCGTAAGCCAATCATTTTATCAAGCATAGTAGTATGTAAATTATGTTCTTCTAGATTTTCTATATGATTTTACCATCACTTATTCTTTCTCTTTGTGTAGATTTTTCTTTCTTCTTTTTTTGAGATGGAGTCTCACTCTGTCTCCCAGGCTAAAATGGAGTGACGTGATCTTGGCTCGCTGCAACCTCAACCTCCTGGGTTCAAGCAATTTTCCTGCTTCAGCCTCCTGAGTAGCTGGGATTACAAGGGCCCGCCACCACACCCAGCTAATTTTTGTATTTCTAGTAGAGACAGGGTTTCACCATGTTGATCAGGCTTGTCTCGAACTCCTGGCCTCAGGTGATCCACCCACATTGGCCTCCCAAAGTGGATTATGGGCGTGAGCCACCACGCCTGGCCCTCCTTTCTTTATGTAGACCAAGTTTCTGATATTTTCCTCCTGTCTGAGAAACATTTTTAACATTTCTTGCCCGGCAAGTCTGTTTTCATTAATTTCCTTCAGTTTTTTTTTTTTTTTTTCTAATCTGAGAAACATTTTCTTCATCATTTTTCAAAGACAATTTTACTGGATATAGAATTAAGGTTCATGTTTTTTTCTTTAACATCTTAAATGTTTTATTCGACTCTTGCTTACATGTTTTAGATGATAAGTCTGCCACTGGAGAGCTATTGGTGTGGTGACAAGGCATGAGGGAGGGTGAGTGTCTTACAATCTTCCAACTAAATCTGTCTTTTAGTAAGTCTGTGTCTCAGGCTTTCACAAGTGTTTCTCCAGTTGTATTAACCCCCGCTCCTCCCATCCCTTCATTTATATTGCCTAGTTCTTTTCCTGGGCTGCAGTGTTTCCAATCCATTTTCTTGGAGAACAGAACTTTGGTGGATGTGTTTTTTCACCTTACTAGACCCTAGAAGTCTGGAGAAGGTTGGAGTGGAGAGGAATCCTCTTGTCCCAGATGAGATAATGCTCTGGCAAAATTCTTTCCTCCATAGAAGGCTTTGCTATGGAGAAGGCTATGGGTATATTTCACAGTGGTTACTCCTTCCCACTCCCCACCCTTCAAGAGAGCCATAAAGGGATCTTTCTCAGATTCTTACATAAGAACCTGATGGGGTTCCTGTAGGAAAAGGCCACGGAAGCATGGGAGCCCTCAAGACTGTGGACCTATGCAGCTTCTCTCTCTCAAGTTATTTCACATTCAGCATCCAGCGATTCATCAGAATCAACATTAGAGGTCCTACTAGTTTATGGCTCCAGCAGCTTCTGCTCCAGGTAAACAGATTTCAGCTCTATCTCTCAGGATATGCCTGCCCCTCCAAATGTAAGGGTGGCAGTTTGTCCTGGAATCTCCATTTTCTGATTGGTTCAGTACAAGTTATTGATTTTCAGTTTGTAAAGCTTTTCCTTTTACAACAATGGGATGGATGATTTCCAATTTCTTTATATGTGGGAGCTGAAGCTAGAAGCCTCCTCAACCTATTTTTAAATTTCTACTTATATTAGCCAACTTTTCTATATCTCCAGAGTCAGGAGCTCTGGGTCATTTTTGCAGTTTTATGGTCCTTTAAAAATAAGTTATACCAGGAAAACTTCCACTTCAAAGTCAAAATGAGAAGTATGACATCAAATGCAATCAACTATGGGACTACACTTTCAGAAAAAATCATGAATGACAAAACAGAGGGAATGTAAATGAAATTGTGTGACTATCATGAGCTGCTGAGTGACTTATGATTACTGTAACCATTCATAAATATCACCCACATTGCATAATTCTATCATTGGGTAGATTATAAAATTACTTAAAGAAATACATTTAATCAATATAATATCTTTGTACTTTTATTTCCCTTAAAACTCATTTCTTATCACTGATAGAAAGCCATAATATAACTAGTGTGCCTATATAATGAATATTAAGGAATTAAGAATTTATGAACTTTTATAGTAAAGTAAATAGCAACTAGTGTATTTAATTGTGGTGACATTCTCCCAAGGAAGTTATCATTCTCAGTAATTCAAGCTTCTCTATAGTTAAGTTCTCTGTGGCAAAATTTATCTAAATCTAAAAGTGACTGGATTAGATGAGCTCTAAGATCTCCATCTGGGGCTAACCAGTGAAGTTAAAGCTAACCAATTGCGGTGGGCTGGGGGTAGGGAAATGGGGAGATGTGGGTCAAAGAATACAATGATGAATAAGTTTTAGGGATCTGATATACAGTATGAGAGGTGATGGGTATATTAACTAATTTTATTTTCATAATCATTACACAATTTATACAAATATCAAGTCATCATACTGCATGCTTTGAATATATGCAGTCGTTTTTGTCAATTAAATATTTTAAATAAAAAGGTGATTCCCTTAAAAAAAACCCACCAAATTAGTAATTATAGCATTTTCTAATACAAAGGAGCCATTAATAAAAACCATTTCATCTGTGGTGTCAACAGATTCATAAGCTGCTGAGTTTGATTAGAAGGGTTTCCATCATTATGGAAATCTGCTGTTAATTTATTCATCCTAATTCTATTCATTAAATTGTCATAGCTTTTTTAGTTAATATTTTTGGCCTCAGTTAATATTATGATTCACAGAAAGCACACTTTCTATTTTTATCAGATGAACCAAGAAAGTACACTATACTCACTTAAGACCACATCTCTGTTTTTAGAACTAGCCTACTATTAGGGGTATGGGAGTGTTGTCATTTACTATCTCTAGTCCTGACAGTTTACTAGCATAATTTATTTTGATTTTACGGGTGGCATGATAGAAAATTTGTATAATGTTATTTGTAACAAAATGAGAATACTCAGAAAACAGTAGTCAATTCAGCATTTAAAATAAAGTTATATCTTCAGGCCAATAAAACACTTTAAAAATAAATCGAATTTTATTGGCATGTACTACAAGTGGCAGAAACTATTGGTCTTTGAAATTTTAAAGATCCTATCAGACATTGTAAAGCTCACACTTTTCTGGGTGCCCTGTCTCTTTTTTTCTAGATTTAAACTTATTGACATTTTTATTATTGACTTGTTTCCAATAAATGCCTTTAATCGCCACATTTTTCTCCTCTCTTTTTATTTTATTTTTTTCTTATGTACAATGCGGACTGCCCTTTGCATCACCTGGAATGTTTTTATTATCTATTTTGATCTGGAAGTAGGTAACATTTCTATGGGTAGTTTATCATACTATTTATTATACTGTTGCTAAGTAGAAATATGTTTATAAATTATTATGCTTATACATTATTGTTTATATAATAATCAAAATAATATGATAAAAGAAATGCCCATTTAAATGCTAAATAATGAGTTTGGAAATATGTAAATATAATAAAGCTTCAAGACAATAGCCTTATGTTTTGGTTTTTTTATGCTGAAGTGGGAGTTGGTTTCTAATCTCTATACTTATAAAAGAATAACATCAGCATACCACAGCTCCAAATGACTAAAAAAAAATATTTTAAACATGCTTGTTATTGAAACAATAAAAGGAATTGACTAAGAATTTTAATGCAACAATACACATAGCAAATTGGTATCACAGATCATATGGCAATTCTGGAAAATGAATTATAACAAAGAATGGCATATGTACATATTGAAGTGGAACACTTATTTACGACCAGCTAAATGTTTTAGTGTGGTGACTCATCTTTCTAATTCCTGATTAGATGGCATAGCATTGTCAGGATGAACTCTTAGACAAGGGTTATATCAGTCTACCTAGAACAAATGTCAGAAGAGCACAGAATTGTTATTATAATTCCTGCAGAAACATTTTTTGATTGCCATCCAAATAGAAGAGCAGCTTGGGTTGAATTTTTATTTAAGTGATTTAAATATTTTCTTGTATACAGCATAATTTGTTATTGTAAAGAAGAATTTAAAACAGTATGATTAAATAAAAAGCCACATCTATTTTTTAAACTTCTCATTTGCAATTATAGTTTTCAAATGTATGCTGATGTTTAAGTCACTCTCAAAGCTCTCTGAGTACCACAAAGGACCTCTACTTGCCCTTGTGGTTTAGATCTTAGAAAATCTGCCTGGCTGTCTAAGATTTTTAAGGAATTTGTCTAACAAAGACTCCAGAGAGGCCTAATGTGTGGCAAAGGACATTTGATTCAGTCAAAGAGTAAGAAATCCCCAAGGATTTCCTCTAGTGCCTCTGGAGGTGGTTTCTATTTATTCTACCTTATAATCACTTTATAGTCAGAACCTGTTACTGTTTCTCACATCAATGAATTTGTGAGAGAACCAGACATGAAATTTCCCACACTAAGTTCTATACCTATAAACTAATATTTCTCTTTAATAGTGTGCTAGTATTTCAATAATTGCCCAACTATCTTCTATCACATGCAAGTTATAAAACAACTTCAGATTTTATAAATAAAATAATTATAAACATTGTTTTATGTTGTCCTTCAACTCATTTTGTGGGCTGTAATTTGAATTTACTTTATTTGCTTCCATTTAATGTGATGTGAAATCAATCATCGATTCGACTAGAGATGGCATTCCCTGTAGAATAAATACCCTGTTAACCTGTTTTCTGCTGCAATTAGGTTTTCCATTGTCACTCTCAGCTTCCCAGGAGGCTCTCCCTCTTCCAGCTCACTTCCTCAGTGCTTGAAAATCACATAAACACAGGGCCTTTGTCTATAGAAGACCCTAACTGAAGACTTGGTGATTTAAAAGGATGACCACAGCACATTATGAATAGAACGTGACTTGAGCATTAGACATCAGTGATCCTGGGCCATCTCCTCCACAGGGAATTTCTCATTTGCCATTTTTTTCCTCAAACGTTTCCATGTGCCACTATTTCAGAGGTCTCTTTCCTCGTTTCTCCATACATACCTGATTTCCGAGTTTTTTTCTTCTTCTTATCCGGACTGTGGAAAACAAAATTTCTGCCCCTATATATTGGAATAAAACAGTTCTTCATTTCTCTTGGTCTTGCCCTTAGCCAAAGATATATAAAAACAAAACATTCTACTCTACAGATGTGTTATGCCACATCTCCAGTAGGCAGAAGCAGCTGCATAGAGATTTTACTCATATATTTATCCCTCCTACTATATTTGAGTAAGTTTTGAAGTATTGTTCTTGATGACTTTTTTTGCATTCAGAAGACCTCTCTAATTAAGGAGGTCAGATATGCAAGATGCTTCCATACGTGATTTGACTTCCATTGATGATTTGGATAAAACTATCCAAAGAGAACTGCTATTAATATTTTGAAACATTTTATTTCATTTCTCTGGTTTTGATATCCTTTTTATTTTTTACTTTTTCACATTTAGCCTCCTGTTTGAAATTTCCAAATGACTTTCTTGTGGATCCAAATTTCAATCTGATTTTCTTCTCTTTTTTAAAAAATCTTGTATAGTATTTATTTTAGTATATATCTACTAGCAACAAATTTTTTCACTTTCATTTATCTAAAAATGTTTTAATTTTTCCTTATTTCTGAAGAAAATTTCACAAAATACAGAATTCTGAGATGGCAGAATTTTCTTTTAGCATTTCAAAGATGTTGCTCCATTGTGTTCTTGCCTTCACTGTTTCTGATAACATGACAACTGCTCTTATTAACAGTTTAACTGTATGTAATGCATTCTTTTTCTCTGAGCATTTTATTAAGGTACGTTTCCTTTATCTTCCTTTTGCAGCAGTTTATAATATAGCTAAGTGTGTTTACTGTATGTTTATCTTGCTTGGAAGTTTGTTTGACTTCTCTGATCTGTAAACTGGAGCATTTTACTAACTTTAAGAATTTTTTGCTATTATTAGTTTAATATGAAAAAAAATCTCTCTCTGGGATTCTAATTGCATATATGTCAGAATTTGAGGCACTAGCCTCTCCCTCTGCCCCCTCCCCATCTTTTTATCTCTAGGTTCTTTAGACTGGATAATGTCTACTAGTTTGTCTTCAAGGTCAGCATTGCTTGTTTCTGTAGTCTTCAATCTTTTCCTCAGCCTATCCAATTAATGTATCATTTCACATATTGCACTTTTCTGTTACAATTTCTAATTTTTATGTTTCCCATTTTTCTCGTGACATTCTCTATCTCTTCATTCATTATTATTTTATTATTCTTTCAGTCCTTGAACATATTCATAATATAGCATTTTAAAATCCTGGTCTGAAATGTTTGCACCACAAAAAAATAAATATGTAAGGTGATGAACTTGTTAACTAGCCTGATTTAAATGATTTCATAATTTATATGCATATATTGAAATATTGTATTGCTTTCCATAAATATATACAATTATTATTTGTCAATTCAAAATAAAATTCTTAAAAAGACAACACCAACAGACGACCAGCTTAAAAAAGTATAATAAATCAAGTGCTAGCCTATTAATGTTAGCATCTGAGTCATCTTGAGGTATTTTACTTTTTCCATAGTAGGCCATATTTTCTCACTTATTCGTGTATTTTTTTAACTTTTCATTGCATGCAGAACAGTGTTGATGATATATTATAGGGAGTTTAGATATGTTGCCCTGCTTTACAGGGGTGCTGAGTTGTGTTTTGGCAGGCAGTTAACTATTGGAAAATCCTTTGTTCTGTAAGTCTTGGTTTTACTCTTGGCTAGAAGAGATCTATTTCAGCCTTCAACTTAGTCCTGCAACATGGCTATTCCTTGAGAGCATGCTTCCTACTTCTAAGACATGTCCTTTCTGGAGTCTCAGATGAATGTCCAAGGTATTCAGTAAAGTCTTTCAACTCTGGATAAACCAGAATGCTAAATCTCCCAGTCTAGATCTCTAGTAACACTTCGTCTCTCAGCCCCAGAGAAGGTTATCTTTGCTACACTTCATAGAAAGCCATCTTGTGCACGTGCATGTGCATTGTAATGCTTGGCCACTAAAATGTTATGAATCTTCATGAAAACTTCTGCCGTCTCTTACTTATTCCTTCCCTCCCTTATTTTCAGTCTCTGTCACATAAATTTTCACCATGTCAAAAATCCAGTGTCTTAGTCCATTTTGTGTTGCTATAACAAAATACTGCAGATTGGGTGATTTAAAATGAATAGAAATGTATTGACTCACAGTTTTGTAGGCTGGGAAATCTAATATCAAGTTGCTGGCATCTGGCAAGGGCCTTCCTGCTGTGTCAACCCACGGTGGAAGAGTGGAAGGGAAAAGTCAAAGTGAGAGAGAGCAACAGATCAAACCTGCAGCCTTAAATCCTTTTATAATTTGTGTTAATCCATTTAGGAAGGTGGATCCCTCATGATCTAAACACATGCCATTTGACCTCGCCTCCCAACACTCTGGCAATGGGGATTAAGTTTCCAACACATAAATTTTAGAGAACACATTAACACCATGGCACTCAAAAACCCAACCATCTTCCTCCAATAAGTAACACTGGTCCATAGCAAGAAAGTGTCTCTGGTCAAAAAGCTAGGATGATCTATTTTGTGTATCACATTTTATATTTTCATGCTTTCAAGGATCAGATTGCTGATCTGCCTGATGTTTAATGCCTGAAAAGTTACTTTATATATTTTGTTATTTTACTGTTATTTTCATCAAAAGGACAATTCCAGTAGCAGTTTACTATGCCATGGCCAGAAGTGTCAGTCTTTTATTTTAAGTTGTTAAAACATTGTCATCATGTAGATATGATACATAATTCTCTTTTTTTGTCAATTATGTTCCCTCCAAAGTCACTGTAATAATTAATGAGATAATGAAAATCATTAGTTTTTTTGTTTAAATTTGTTTTACCTATTACAATTCCAGAACCGAAATTATGGACTTAAAAATATGTACATTTAAAAGGCTCATAATGCATTTTTACTAATTTTTTTCAAATAAAAAAATTGTGATGGTTTAAAAATACATGGACAAAGTCCCTGACACTTTCCTTTGAATGTTGACTACACTTAGTAACATGCTTCTAATAAATAGCATATTATGGAAGTGACTGTGTGTGACTTTCAAATTTAGCTCATAAAAGGCATTACAGGTTCCACTCTATTCTCTCAGATTACTGGCCCAGGGGGAGGTGAGACACCAGATAGTGAGGAACCTCAAGTAGCCCTATGAAGAAGCCCACATGGTAAGAAACTGAACTAGCCATGTGTGTAAACCATCTCAGAAGGCCCTCCAACTCTAGTAGGCTTTCACCCTCAACAAAATCCTGATTACAAATTCATGAGTGATCCCAAACCAACTAAACTGCTCCCAGTGTCCTGACCCATAGAAAATGCTGAGGTAGTAAATTTTAATTGATATTTGAAGTCACTAACTTTTGGGATAATTTGTGAGGCAGCAATAGGTAATCAATATAAATGGCATCATAGCAATATATAAATTGTCACACTGTCATTAACACTGTCTGATGTCATTTCTTACTTTTGATATTTTGGTAGTTAAAAAAATCTTTATTTTCAAGACTGGGTACTTCTATGATTATGTCTATAGTTGAAGATCTTCCTGTATACTTAATAAACAGCTCATTTTGTTTTTATATTTGCTATGTGTTTGTGTATTTTAACATATTTCCTTTGGCAATGTAGTATTTTGTTTGGTTTTGCTTGATT
Source organism: Homo sapiens (assembly GCF_000001405.40). Classification (NCBI taxonomy): domain Eukaryota; kingdom Metazoa; phylum Chordata; class Mammalia; order Primates; family Hominidae; genus Homo; species Homo sapiens. The sequence goes on along the minus strand of NC_000008.11, from coordinate 61,942,695 downwards.
TCTTGGCAGTTTAATTTCACAACATGTTGTAAAACGAAGATTAAAATAGATGCTGCTAATAGTTAGGCAATCATATGAACAATATTTACTTAGCAATATTTCCATTGATTTGTCATTCATTTTAAATGATATACTAAGTTTTATAAGTCCTTTTTCTAAGGTACCCATTTGATTTCATTGATTTTTTTAATGATTATGTCAACAGTATTATTTATAATTATTTTAATTTTGTAAATGATGTTTTAATATATGATAAGGTTTACCTGTCTATATACTTCTTTCACTAAACTTACTGTTGTGTTTTCTATTTGCTTTTCCATACAATCTTTAGAGTAATGTTGCCAGTGTTCTAAAAGCACATATAAATATCTATGCTTTCATACATCCCATTCCACATTCTCTCCTTTCCATGTGATGTTGACAGTCCTCCATAGAGAATTGGATTTTATGCTCCCTCCTCTTGTATCTGGGCGTGGGGGACTGTGGCTATGGTGGAAGTGATATATGACTTCTGAGTTTAGGTTTAAAAGCCAATCAAGCTTCTTCCTGGTATTTCCTCTCTTTCTCTCTCTCTCTCTCCTTTCTTTTTTCAACATACGTATCTTGGAATCCCTGAGTCCACAGCTTAAGAGATCACATGGAGAGACATAAAAGATGAGAAAGATGCCCTGCTGTTTGGGTCTTTTCAACCTAAGTACCAGGTATATAAATAAAAAATAATCCCAGCCCCCAGTTCTCATGCCTCCCTACCTGATACTGACATGGAACAGAGACAAACTATACCCAGAGAGCCTTGCCCAGATTGCAGATTGAGAGAAAAATAAATATTGTTCTTATTCTAAACAACTAAGTTTTGGGGTGTCTTTTTATGTAACCATGGTACCCAAAGCATCCAACTTGTATTTTGTTTGGTGTTTATTATATTTACTTTTGCAATAATTAGGAAAAATTGACAGAAAGTTGTTTCATAGAACTCCAGAAAAAGCATTAGAGCAACTGTGTTGAATGCCCATGGGATATCATGTAAGGTGAGAACTAAACCAGTCACAGACACGATTGACATCTGCCCAATAGCCATTCTCCTTTTCTTCCTCGTTAAGAGAACTCTGATATTTTCAGATATTGGAGCTTTTCTATGTCACCTTGTTTTGCATAAAATGCTCATCCCTGGTGAACCACTGCAGATTCAGGGGATGAATCTGTCTTTGCTCAATTAATTATGGTCATCCTATTCCCTTTCCCTGCTTAGAAATGGTTGTATGATCCAAATCTGGCCAATGAGACATAATGTCAAGTTTGCCTAGGGAAGTTTTTAGGGATATTTTCTTAGCTAATAAAAATAGATAAAAGAAAGTGTTATCTCGTTATTTTTTTCCTGCTACTAGACACTGATGCGAATGAGGATATGATGGCTGGATCCACCTTGAGATATTGAGAAAATCACTCAATTGGGGGTAACAGAACAGAAAAACAGAAGGCATTATATTAAGGCATCCTTAATGTAACAGTACGTATTGAACCATAGAATTGAACAAACCCATGTCACTTACCTCCAGATTTTTTATCAAATGACACCATAAATTCCATATTATTTGAGAAGATGAATTTTACCGGGATTTTCTGTTGTTTACTGCTGAAAGCAACCTAATTGATAGAGGTGAGTTACTTCTTCATATTTCCTCCTAGTCAATTATTTACCACCCTGTATATTATTAGGATGAAGAGCAAGTTCTGTGTACTCTTACATTTCTACTGTTCATCCCAATGCCTAACACATAGCAGTCAACAATTTGTGGAATGATTATCACTACGTCCTTCTCCAACTCCAAGGTGATCTCATAGCATCTCCCAGCAATATGTCCATAATGCAGTATAGCATGCTGGTTAATGAATATGGTCTTGAGTCAGACATGCGTTTGAATCTCTTATCTGATATTTTCTAGCTTATCAATTTGATAAGAGTGTTACTTACTGTTTTTTGGCTCTTAAGTAAACCAGATCTCAATCACAAATAACTCTCATTTCAAAAGGAATTTTTAGTCACAAAATAAGAAGTCCAGAAGTAAGATGGTTGGATAATTCAGGGGTTCAATGGTCCAGGTTCGTTCTACTGTTTACACCCTTCCATATTCAGCAGAGCCTCTCCTTTGTCAGGCATAGTTCTAGGTGATCAAGAAATATCAGTAAAACAGACACAGAAGCCCTGCTTTTGTGGAATTTGCACTGTTGCCAGAGGGGAAAGCTATAAAGAGTATAATAGATTATAAAATATATAAATAATAAATAGATGATAATGTATAATAAATAATAAATATAATAAAAGAAAATCATATGGTACACTAAAAAGCAATGAGTTTTATGGGGAAAAATAGAACAGAGAATTGGAAGTTGGGGGGTGGCTTGAGGGCTTCATCTTGAGGTTCAATCATCTTCACAAGATGCTAATAGCAGATGTTGGTCTTACATCCACACAACATCCAAAGTCTTGAAGACAGAGCACAGATTTTTTTGTTTCTTTTAAAAAGGTAGACTATTTTCCCATAAGTAATGCAGCGAAAATATCCCTAACTGTTCCTTCAGAGATATGTGTCCATTCTCACCTCTCAATCAATCACAAGGGGGACAGAAGGACTGTGCCAGAGTGACATCGCTCAAAGTCAGACCCTGGGACTGGACAAGCACTGAGACTCTCTACATGTTCTCGTGCTTGAAAGAAATGTATATTCTTTGCAAGTTTATAGGGGAACAGTAAGGAGTGGCAATTGGGTATTTAAACAAAAGCACCCTCCATAGCAAATTACTCAGTCTTCTAAATCCTTAGTTTCTTTTCTACAAGATAGAGAAAATAATAGTATCCATTTAGTTGAGTTGCTGAGAAGATAAGATAATGCATAAAAAGTACTTAGTAAAGGACCCAGCATATTGTGAGGCTTTAATAAATGACAGTTATCATCATGGTCATTATTGCTGTTATTATTAACAGTCATCACAACACCCAGCAAATACTTTGGGGTATATATTAATTGTGATGCATTAAAGCAAAAGGGGAAAATGGAGGACTAAGTGACACATTAAATATATATAATGGTCCCTTTTGATAGAATCTCAGATCTGCACATTAACTTCAACACAGCTGTACCACTATTAATTACATTCTATGCTTTAACATGTAAATAGCTTTTTTAATATACGTCTACCATCAGATTCTCCTGGTATCCCTATTGCTCCCCGTAGGCATACTTTGGACATCTCTAGAAGTCTCCAAGACTGTTTTTCATGCTGCACTTTAAGATCAGCAGGGGTCCAGTGAAGTTATTGTTGCTTCCTTGGAAATAACATGACTTGGAATCATCTTCCTTCTGAATAATACATGCAGCACATAAATACGAAAGCTTCTTTCATCTGGCACATTTAAGATACCAAGAAATATATTGAAAATCCAAATCATATTTTTGTTTTCCTAAGGAATGAGTGTGACATTATTCTGTTATTTTGGTGATGACTAACATTATAGGCTAATTTTCTTTATTATTTACTTTTCTTGAGAGAAGTGGAACTTTTCCTCTGATCCCAGAGTGTTTTCAATGTTTCAAAATCTCCAAGTACTCAACATATGTACAATTATACATAAACAAACTTAGGCATAGAAATAGGACAGGTAAATGTGAAGAAATCTGTAGATTTATCTCACATTAATCATGAACTTAAATTAGCAACCTTCTAAAAGTAATGATAGAAAAAGAGGGCTTTCCTATCACATCACATATAGGTACTGATTGCCTACTGTGTATATGTTCTTTACATTTATATTTTTTGTTCTATTCTTACAGCAACCCTTTGAGGTGAATATTATTTTCCTTATTCTATGGAGAACTATGGTTCAAAGAGTCTAAGTAATGTGCTAAGAGGACACATTTAGTGAATAGAGGAAATAGACTTTATCCTGTCAACTTAAAAAAACACAATTTATGAATTTAGAAGAGGAGACTTTATTTCTGTCAACTTAAGATAATACAATTTATAAATTTAGAAGAGGAGACTTTATTTATCATAAAGAGTTGCAGCCTACAGCCATTCTGATAGGCTGGGAAGCATAGACTCTGACCAGAAGCTCAAAACAGATATTTCAAGGCAGGGGCAAAGGCAACAGGAATATGTTAAGTGGGGTGACCAAATATACATCTTCAATAAGCTACAGAAGGAGTCATGAATGTTTATGAAAGGAGAAACATGTACATGCACAATGGAGCTCCCTGTGTCTCTCTGTTCAAAAAACGGTGGTGATCTGAGGGCATTTTTGGCCTTCTGGTATCAAAAGGTAAAGCAGAAGACATGAAAACCCTCACTGTGCATTCTCTGTAGACTGGCCAGACAGTAGTGGTCAGTGGTCACTTATCAGGCAAAAAAGGATGGGTAGCATCAGGTGGTTGGTTGATATCAGTGGTGGAGTTTTTCAGAAAAGCTGGTTTCCATTAGGCCCTTAGGGAAGAAAGTCTAATTATGGTTAGCAAAGGAGGTAGTCTGACTCCCTCATCCCATAATGGCCAAGAATTCAGTTTTCGGGGTTATTCTGGGGTCTTCTTGCCTAAGAGATGGTTCATTCAGTCAGTTGGTGGGTTTAGAATTTCATTTTTAGTTTACAATTCCCAGGTCTTGACTATAAGATTTTTGCCTGATCCATCACATAGCTTAGTCCACAAATCATCTATATTATCAAATATGGGTTTTCAAGTATGTATTTTTCTTTTTTTCTGTTATGTACAATGTTTTGTGATCTTTTTCTATAGTGGCCTGATTTGCCATTGTTTTGAATCCGTAAACCAAAAAGTATCTGAGACAAATCTCAACCAGTTTAGAAGTTTATTTTTCCAAGGCTAGGGACATGCCCATGACACAGCCTCTGGAAATCCTGAGAATATGTGCCCAAGATGGTCAGGTTGCAGCCTGATTTTATAGATTTTAGGGAGGCATAAGACATCAATCAATACATGTAAAATGCACATTGGTTTGGTCTGGAAAGGCAGGACAACTCGAAGTGGAGGCTTCCAGGTCATAGGTGGATTCAAAGATATTCTGATGGCAATTGGTGAAAGAGTTTATCTACAGACCTGGAATCGAAATGTTTAGGTTGAAATAAGAGGTTGTGGAGACCAAGGTTCTTATTATGCAGGCAAAGCCTCCAGGTAGCAAGCTTCAGAGAGAATAGATTGTAAATGTTTCTTATCAGACTTAAAAATGTGCCAGACTCTTAGTTAATCCTCTCCTGCGTAAGGAAAAAGATCTAGAAAGGAAAGGAGATTCTCTATAGAATGTATTTCCTCCATAAGAGACAGCTTTGCAGGGCCATTTCAAAATATGCTGAAGAAACATATTTGCTTTTTATTTCTCTCAGGGCCGCTATCTGTCATTGGGTATCTTATTGCTACAAAGAGTCAGGTTTGTCCCTCTTAAGATTTCTGTTTTAATGTTAATGCTGATCAGTTGTGCCTGAATTCCAAAGGAAGAAGGGTATGATAAGGCATGTCCAACCCTCCTTCCCATCATAACCTGAACTCACGTTTTGAGTTAACTTTGGAATGCCCTTGGCCAAGAGGAGTCATCCATTCAGTTGGTTGGAGGCTTAGAATTTTATTTTTGGTTTCCAATTCTTTAAGAAAGTTAAGCAATTTTTCAAAGTACCAGCAATAGAACCTTATTTAGCTATTTTGACTTGACATCACTACCCATGAGAGCTCATTTTTCCCATGAAATATTTCACCTGTGTATTTCACCTGAGGAGTCAGGCAGGGTCAGTGAAATAATTCTTCTTTGTCAGGAATTCTTATACCTAGTTTAAATTCTTCCTCAGAGCATTGCTGGGAAAACATTTTGTCTAGCTCAAGATTTACCTTTTTTTTTTCTAATCTTCAATCTTTTTTGTGCCAGGAATGTAGGAAACCCCAAATCCCAGTTTCCTCCAGGTGGCTACAATATATCTATTACATTTAATAAACTATTTAATAATTTTTTTTACCTCACAGGTTTCTTTTTATTTTCAGATGGTGAAACTTAGGCAACCCTGCTTTGTATATTTTTATTATTATTTAAACATATACAACTAACTTAAATCTAGTAATTAGTTTTATCTTTTATAATTTACTTTTATCTTTTCTTTTGTATATTTTCTTCCTGCATGAGCAATCACTGAAAGAAATCTTGAACTTTTTTATTTTTGGAGTTCTGGAGGCTGCTAATACCTACATTCAAGAATAATGTCTCAAGGAAATAATCTGGACGCCTTTACCGAAATAGCATTCTAAAAACACAGCAAAGGCTATGCCTTATTTAGGATCTACAAGAATGGCATCTTCTTTAATAATCTAGTATCATTGTCAATTAGGCACTTTTTGGAGGATGAGGGGAATTTACCTAGGTTATTTAGGTTTATAAGCCTCTAGGCAATACTTCTACTTGTTTGTTAACCATATTGTCAATGCTCAACAAATAGTACAATTGGGCATTTTTTTAAATGCATAAACGCTTTTACATCAGTAGGGGAAAATGAAGCTCTGTATGTATTCTACTTTTCTGTTTTTATTCTCAAACACTGTTTGCAGAGCAGACTGAAAGAAGGGAGGTGATGGGGACAGACGTTTGTCTAGATTTGGAAGATCTCTATAATTAAATTCGACTTTGGGTCTTGATTGTAAAAAATCTAAAGTCCTATGGACAGTAGATGCTATGTTTTGTTGCTTCACAAAACTTTTCCAAGGGATGCAATTATATTTCAGAAAATGGAACAAGTCATCTTAGAGATATTTCTTATTCCAAAGACCTTAAAGTTTGAAGTGAATATAATTCCTGAAAAATTAAGTTCCAATATTCTCTCACTGATATGGTGACCTAATTTTTCCTTCTGCCTGTTTTCCACAATGAAGGAAATCTATGAAATTTGAAGCCTGTATTTTATTTATCATGATGTTTAATGCAAATACAAAGATTTGGGAATCTTTTCTCAGAAAATTTAGTTTACTGCGGGGTTATACAATCTAGTGACAAACAGAAACCATCTAAATTTTTAAGTAATCAATGTGGCTGATGTTTTATTAATAGCTGTTAATCAGAAATTTGTGTAACAACAATATGTCTCTCTTTGCAGACAAATAGGTTGCCAATAGGTTTTATTTTTGTCTTTTTTCAAAAGCAATTGGGTTTCCAAAAAGCAGTTGCTCTTTTAGAGTTGCTCTTTTAGAGTCACTGTATTGAGCAAGGTATGTGCAAAAATAAGCAAATATCTACGCAGAAATACATGGTTTCTGTTATTTTTCTTCTATATCGTATTATCCCTCCAATCAAATACGAGAAAACAATTTTTAAAGAAAAGTAAGTGTTTTACCTGTGTCATTCATTTATTTCATAGTTTCAATTCAGAAGTATAAATATGAAATGATCTTAGTTTCTCCAACAACTCACTCCCCAACTCTTCTGTATTGAATCCCCTTTTCTAATTCTTTAACACCTCATAATTCTGTACTAACTTTAACTGTTTGAACTGAGTTCTTAAAACTTGTTCTCATGTCTCCATCTCTGGTCAAAGAAAACCACACTTGTGACTTGTGGCTTGAAGGTTTTCTATCTTTCCCAGCCATTGACTTCCAGACTTTACTGCCTGAGTGTGGGAAGATATGGGCTGTGGTGGTCATCTCACCCTGCCAGAAAAAGCCGGGAGGAGGCTGGGAGGTGACCCTATTCTCATTCAACTTCTCCAGTGCCCCTGGGAGCCCTGCTGATACAATGGTCTCCAAATTTGCCCAGTTCTTGTACGTGCTTCTATAGAAACATTTCTTTCTCAATGAAGCTATACCTATTCTAATAAGTGAGAGTTAGTTGGGCCACAGATTGCGAACATTAAACCATTAAAGGTAGGTCATGGCTGCCAAACTTCAATGAAAGTAGTTTTGTGCTCCAGAGAAAACAGCTTGAATAGCTTCTAATGAAAAGTGTTGCTGTGCGTTTTAGAAGGAATTTCAAATATACGAGTGTAATTCTTGATGGAGCAATCTGAATATAAGGTCATTCTAGAACAATATGTAGAACAAATAGAACACCAGTAAATGCCATTAAGATCATGAATTATCTTGCTGTGATGTTAGTGCATTTCATGGATACAATCTCATGGTTGAGAAACTTCAATTAAGAGTAAAATCTGAATGATGAAGAATTTTAGGTGAGATTTGCAATGGTTCATAGATGATAAAAGAAAGCCTGATAAACAGATTTATTTGCATGTCATCTTTTTTGTAACTGAATAGCAATGTATGCCTCTGTGTAGTTTTACGCAATAAAACAGAATACTACTACACAATTAAATGATCTGAATGAACATTTTGTTGAAGTGTCTTGCAGGAACAGAGGAGCTTAAGATACAATTATGTAACACTACCTTCTGCGATGTTGTAAAGGAAAAAAAACCCTAAATTACTACAAAAATTTACCTCTGTAACTCCTTTTTTAAAAACTAGATATATCTTGTAGGTATATCTAAAAACTTTTCTCTTTGCACAGAGAAAGTTTATTGTTGATGTCATGAGAAATTATGGGTTAAATGCTTTGGAGTGACCTTGAACATGAGAGGCACTATAATGGTCATGCATTTGATTTATGATTTGACTGAGATGACCATGACAGGGTGCGACGAAGTGCCCTTAAGGTTAGCACAAGCATTCTAGATCCCTCACCCAAAAAGGATAAGTCTGAGACTTCAAGTTAAGCAGGATTATGGGGGAAAGCAAAGCAATTATATAAGGAAAGATGGAAAAAAAGATTGGTTGAGGCCAGCACAGCACACTTGGGCCAAAAGATAACCTTGAGAAGATAAGTAATTGATTAGGATAATAGAGAAGAAAGATGGGAGAGCCTGAGACCTTATATCTTTGTGGAGATATTACATTATCTCTAGTCTGCCTAATATTGAATTTATTTTATATGATAGAATATCTTTTAAGCCATTGTTTTGGGGCTTTTCTGTGATATATAACCCAGCCTAATGCAAACTGACACACAAATTTTAGTTTAGAACTTATGAGCATAGAAATTGGAACATAAGAATATACCAGATAGCTCTGTTCTCATGAAATTTTCTACACAATGGGAAACATAAGTAATAATAAATTTAAGTAATAATAATAATAGAATATAAAAATGTTATGATCAAGGACTTCCCTTAGAACTTTGAGCACATAGGGCAAGAGTGTTAAATACATCAAGATGAGCAAAGGTCTCCCTGAGGAAAACGTGATGGGTTTATGCATTACTGTGTTTAAGACAATACAGCCTTAATGTTTAATATTTAATGCTGATATTCACGTATTCGGACAATGTTCATGACCAATAACATGTGAGAAAAGCAGTTTGTTTTTCTATCAATTGCGATGAATTGTGTTCATCTGTCAATCACCATCAAACACTCCTTCTCCAGACTCTTTTTCTACATGCAGTTTATTTTTATTTTTATTTTTATTTTATTTTATTTTATTTTATTTTTTGAGACAGAGTCTCTCTCTGTCGCCCAGGCTGTAATGCAGTGGCGCCATCTTGGCTCACTGCAAGCTCCGCCTCCCGGGTTCACGCCATTCTCCCGCCTCAGCCTCCCGAGTAGCTGGGACTACAGGGGCCCGCCACGCCCGGCTAATTTTTGTATTTTTAGTAGAAACGGGGTTTCACCGTGTTAACCAGGATGGTCTTGATCTCCTGACCTCGGTATCTGCCCGCCTCAGCCTCCCAAAGTGCTGGGATTACAGGCGTGAGCCACCGCGCCCGGCCACTACATTCAGTTTATATTTGTGATTACACACTATCATAGATTACTGTCCTTAGAAGGTAGTCCTCCAGAAACACACTCTAAACAAAACTACTGAGTTTTGATGTTATAGACAAGAACAGCAGTAACATGCTTTCCTCCTGGGGTGCCTTTTGAGATGCCCGGAAATCATTTTTCCTAAGCACATATGGACAGATGTACTTTTCAAATACAAGACTCCTATATGGCACAAGTATATTAGTTTAGAGCCAGTGATGATTCAAAAAGTGCTTCAAGGAAGGATAAATATGCTTCCAGAAAATTCCCCTTTAAAAAGTATGCTTCTAGAAAAGAAAATGGCATTAAGAAATCTTTTTAGAACAAATACCATATCCCAAAGCTTATTTTAGGAATAAAAATTCTCTTTGGTTGTTTTAAGATATGATCTCATCTTTATGTCTAGAATAATGTGCAATGGGGTAATAGTACCATTTCATAATGGGCCATCTGATGTTTTAGTTTGTACATATAATTAATCATTTTTTGGTCTCCTGTAATTATAGAATTAATGGAAATAAAATTTCCTCTGTGTATTTAAAATACTAAAGGACATTAAAGCTATTAGTCCTACTTTACAGTAGCATACGACAATTAGTGTAGTGTAGTGAGCTGTGTTCACCTTTAACTGAAATACCGAGACAGAGGGTATAGTTATTTTTCCTGCTTACAGTTTTAATTTTACATCTGAATAAAATGGAAACAATCAGGTGACATATTTTTCTTCCCTATAAAAGAGAGAATTACAGTTCCCTAAAATCAATAGCTGTCAATCAAGGCCTAGACATAGTGTGATGTGCATGAATAATTAAAGACTGATTTGTTAACCGTGCAGAAGTGAAGTTAGCCATGCAAAGAGACACATTGTCAATTGCCAGCAATTTACTATGTTTTTGAAAACCGCAGGCAGCAATTTATAGAAAAGATTAGGCCAGTTACTGTACACATGTGACATTTTCTTGATTTAAGATGTCAATCTGAAAAGCTGTAAACTGACACCTGGAGTTTGGATTGAGGTTATAAAGTTTACAAAGAGCTGCTTTTTGCTGAAAATGTCTATGTTTCTGCTCTGGGAGACCCCTGAATGCACACCCCTGCTGGGGCTAACCATGTGTATGCAAATGAGCTCTGTCACAGAAGGGTGACACACCTTCTCTCGGGACCATTAAGTACCTACCTTTGCATCATTCACTGCTCAAATGCACTTGGCATCCATAAGAAAGCATGCCCAGGGGCTTTTATTTCTTAGGGCTGATATTATTAGAATGAAAGCACTATGAATGCATTTTAATAGTCCCAAACCATCCCAGCAGATATAGTTACTTTAATCTTGCATCAGGATTCCTATTTTTTAGTTGCTCTTATAAAGAATATGGTATGAGCAAAGTGGAACATCACCACTGAATAGCGCAGTAATAATTGCCGCAGGCAAGATCCACTGATGAGTGCTAAAATTAATGGGTCAGTCTTTAAGGAGAAACAGGTTATCTGTATAGCCTCAAAGTATCTTCCTCAAGATATTTATTAATTACTCTAATGGTTTTAACACATGTCCCCAGATTATTTGATATTCCCTTCTTCCAGAAGGTGAAACTTAATTCTACTTACTCTCCATGTTGCTGGATTTATTGACTTGCTTCCAAAGAATAGAGCATGTAAAGGGAAAATGGTAACTTTCCCATAGAGAAACCTGACATACGGCACTTTATCAAGGGGATCAAGATTAGCATCATCTAGAATAAGCCATGTTGATATCATGTACCCCCAATATAATGTGATGGGTAGAGGATTTCCCCTCTAAAATATCTTTCCCAAAATTCATAATGTCAGTCTAATCTAAGGAAAAAATCAGGAAAAAATCAGAAAGAAATCGAAATGAAAACATTCTACAAAGTATCTGTCCAGTATTCTTCAAAGTCTCTATGGCAAGTTCGTGAAAACCAGGGAAACACAAAAGATTGTCACAGATTGGAGGTGCGACAAAGTTGACTAAATGAAACTTGGTGTTCTGGGTTGAATTCTGGAACAACAACAACAAAAACAAAAATAGGCGTTAGTGAAAAAATTAGTGAAATACAAATAAAGTTTCTGGCTTAATTAATAGTAGCATGGATATGAAAGTTGCTAACATTAGAAGCTGGGTGAAGGATGTATGAGAATGCTCTGTACTATCTTTGTAACTTCTGTGTACATCTAAACAGTTTCAATACCAAAGGGTTTTTTTTTTTTAATTTAAAGAAAAAAATGATCAATGGATGATATGGGTTGAATTGTGTCTCCCCCAAAAGACATGTTGAGCCCTAACCCCCAATACCTCAGAATGTAAACTTATTTGGAAATAGTGTCTTTGCAGATGTAATTCGTTAGTAAGATGAGGTCATACTGGAGTAGGGTAAAGCCTTAATCCAGTATGGCTGGTGTCTTCATGAGAAGACACAGGCATGCAAGGGAAGAACACCACATGACATGGGAGGCAAAGACTGAAGTGCTGCGTCAGCAAGCCAAGAACACCAAGGACTGCCAGCCTCCACTAGAAGCGAGGGAGAAGAAAAAGGTTGCTTTCTTGCAGAATTCAGAGGGAGCACAACTCTGCTAAAACCGTGACTTTAGACTTTGGACTCCATAATTGTGAGATTGTTTTCTGTTGCTTTAAGCTGCCCTATCTGCTGCTTTGATGTAACTTTGTCACACTAGAAAAGTAGTACAATTGAAAACTAAACTTCTATCCACTATTTTTTCTTATTATAAGCCATTTAAATCTGTCTTTTATTGATATTGAAGTTAGAAACAAATTCTTTTCCCTTGAATTTTAGAGGAAACTACATAAAGCTACATTTCCAGTAAAAATTGTAAACTTCAACATGTCCTGAAAAATGGTGGCTACTCAAAGAGAATCTATGGGACAAAGATTCCATAATTCAAATGCAATGGTATATAGTGTGTGGTTGATAATTTCTCTGTGCTTTAGAAAAAAAAATAAACTTCGTGTATATTTCTAAATTTATTCTTAGTGTTTACATTAATTTATTAAACCCGTCAACATTTTCCTGGGAGTCCAAACTTTGTAAACCAGGGTTCTTCTTGTAATTCGTACTCTAAGATTGTGTATGCCAATCGTCATCATAAAATACAGGTTGAAGCTTTGTTTTCCATATGAGAAACTAGACAACATTTCCTTTTTGTTTAGCACTAAAATAAATCTGAAGAGTGATTCTAACATCTTCTTCTGTCTTACGCAGTTTGATATGTTTCCATCATTTTTCTCTATATTTTTTCTTAAAGGGGAGAAGAATGAAGACTTTAATAAATTATTTTCTTATTTTTTTATCTCAGATTTTCAAGGGTAAAATGTAAAATGGTAGAAGTCAACACTGAAGTGGTTTGTGAATAGAAATTATTATTAGACCGTTGCCCTGACTTAAGGATTTTTTTTTCTATTTCAATAAGTGGCGCTTTTTTTTTTCCCCGTTTCTAGTGGGGCTGGAAATGAGTGACTCTTGTTTGTTGAAAGCAAATCATCTAAGTTTACATTCCCCTGGACAATGTATAAGATGGATCATATCCCCAGATAAGTGAAGAGGCCCCAAACAGTTTCTCAGATTACAGGCATGAAGGCTACCAACAGTCAGGGAAGAGCAGGAGCTTAGGCTTCTGAGTCTCCTGACTCCAAGTCCTCACTCTACTGCCTACTAGCGGGTGACTGAGCAAGTTTTCTAACATCTCTGAGCCTCAATGTGTGATTCATTATTTGAAAGATAAAGTACATTACATACTAAACCTTTGTGGTTCTTGTCTGTCAATAGTTTATAAATGAATACTAAAATCATTTCAGAGGATATACATTCCTACTCGTCTTACTCTCCATGGACAATCTCTTTGATGATTTCTTCTGCGTTTTTATTTCTAATTTCACCTCTCACTATTTCAGGGAAATGAACTCCCTAATCAATGCTAGACTTTCTTCATCAGGAACCTCATATTTTCAGATGGAGATTTCACATACAAAAAGTCAAATCTATGTCTGTTCTGACTCTTCTCTGAAGTACCATATTTCTTGCAATGGACAAAATAATAATGTTTGAACTGCTTGTCATCAACAAAAATGAAGTGCACACTTACATCGTGTCCAGCCTTGCTGTGGACCTTCTTCCCTCTGCTGTTGGACAGTTTGAATAAGCTGTGAATTCCTTGAGAACAGAAACCCTGTCATTTTCACCTTTATTCCTAGGGCCTGAGAAAAGTGTATGTCTTAGTCCATTTGCACTGCTCTGAAGGAATACCTGAAGCTGGGTAATTTATAGAGAAAAGGGGTTTATTTGGCTCACAGTTCTGCAGACTGTACAAGAAGTATGACACTGTGCCTGCATCTGATGAAGCCCTCAGACTGCTTCCACAAGTGGTGAAAGGCAAAGGGTTGCCGGTGTGTGCAGATCTTTTTGACATACTTTTTTCTTTTCCTTTGGGTAGATGCCAAGATTTCAACACAAAACTTGGCAGAGCCAAATAAATTATATCCAAACCATAGCACTGCATAATATATAGTAGGTGATCAATAAATAGTTGTTGAATACATAAGTAAATGAATGATTGAAGAATGAAAGATTTTTTTCAGATTGGAAAGGTTACCTACAGTGGAAAGAGATGGGAAATCAAAGTAATAAGTGTTGTCACTAGTTGCCTGCCAGGCCCTTGCATGTATTATTTCTAATCTGTACAAGAGCCTCACTGGGTAGGCGTCAGTGGCTGCAGGAGAGAGGGACACTGCAGATAACAGAGAAGAATACTGAGCCGAAGGGCAGTCCATGCAATGCCTGGTACAGTCATGCCCATTGCCCCTTGGGAATGAAGCTGCCAAAAGCTCACCTCATCTTTGAGCACAGCTGCCATGCTCTCTGCCATGGACACCTTCAACAGCAGCCATGTGCTTGGAGGCTTCGGTGCCTAGCCCAGAGGCAGCCACACAGGGATACTGGCAGGCCCCCCCCGGGAGAAAGCCCACCAGACGTGCGCTTAGCTCCTGGAGGGGTTGAGAATATGGAGAGGACAGGCATCCTTCTAGGAGCCGCCTGTCATTCCTGGTGACCTCCACTCTTCTCTATTCCTTTATGTCTGAGAGAGCACAACTAATACAAGTAAGAGGGGCGGGAGGGCTTAGTATTCACTTTTGGAGTTGGGACTCTCATCCCTCTTCTCTCAAAATAAAAATGTAGGATGGATTAAGCTACCCATGTTCAACTTAACTGAAGTCAAGAACTTGGAATTACCTGTCTGTGCTTTCCTTCATCTCTCTAAAATAAAAGAGGTGACCCATGGTGGGAGACATGCCAGGGACAGTGGAGAGGGAAGGGACAAAGGTAGGAAGAAACAAGACCTGGACATCTTAGTTTTGTCAAACATCTTTCAAATTTCCTACAGGGGGAGTGAAAAAGAGACAGAAATGAAAGGATGAGCAAAATGAAAACACAAGCAAGAACCAAAGGGCTGCTCTAATGGCCTGTGACAGCATGACGAATATGTTAGGATGAAGGACACAGAGGAGGAAAAAGTAGAGAAAGGAGAAGAGGGAATGTGGAAGGAAGGACGAAAGAGGGAATCCCCAGTGTTGTTCTTTGTTGGAGACTCAGGGAGCCTAAAAGATAGAAAACTCAGAATTCAGATATAGATTACACAACTGGTGAGAAATCCTAGTTCAGTTTGGGAGGAATTTGTACTGCCTAAAATGTGGGAATCTTGGGAGGATAAAAATAATCCTTCTTCTCCATAGGACTAGATCTGAAGACGAAAGAAGAACATAAAGATGAGACTATCTTACAAAGATATTTAAACACTTTATATGCCTGGTAGGTTATATACCATGAAATTGTGCCATTGTGTCATCAGAGTTATATATAGTTTATTCTACATTAACTGTTATTCTAAGTTTTGCACAAATTGTTTTGTTTTTTTTTTAATTTACACATTTGAAGAAAATTTGAGGATACCAAAATACAAAGTTTGACATGTAGAGGCCAGTGTCACAGATTAGGGTACTCCCAGGTGGTGACCACAGGAACTTGCCTCTATCCAAAGAAGGTAGGGTAGTCTTAGATTTGGGAGCTGTCTTAGGATAATTTTATCATATTTGCACATATTAATATTTTAGTGATATGAATTGGAGATAAAATTGCTACAGAAATCACATGGTAGTGTGCATAAGTACACCCCAAAGGAAATAAGTGAGTAAAGTCCTATCCTCAGGTTAGTGTAAAATAGACCTACCTATACAATATCATATGCCCTGTATTCATTCTCTAGGGCTACTGTTACAAATCACCACAAACTGGGTGGCTTAAGACAATAGAAATTTATTCTTTCACAGTTCTGGAGGCCAAAAGTCTGAAATCAAGCTGTCAGCAAGGCCACACTCCTTCCAAAGTTTCTAAAAAATAGTCCATTCCTTGCCTCGTCCAGCTTCTGGCAGTTCCAGCCATTTCTTGGTCAATCTCTGCCTCCTCTCTGTGTCTTTATGTCTCAAATGTCTTCTGCCTTTCTCTCATAAGGGCACTTGTCACTGGATTTGGGGCCCATCTGGATATTCCAGGATGATCTCATCTCAGGGCCCTTAACCTAATAACATCTGCAGTGATCCTTTTTCCAAATATGGTCCCATTTACAGGTTCTGAGTGGAGAATCTTTGGGGAGTGGAAGCACCATTCAACCCACTACTTGTACCAAGTTAAGAATCCACCCAATCAATAAGGTGATGCAGAGTAAAAGGGTTTTTAGATTGCAACTTTTTAAATGTTGGTTTTTATTTTTTACTTTGTTTTCCTCTTAAGCACCAAAAAGTTGGAGGTTAGGAATTGTGACTGGGAATGCCAAGTTTTCAATTCTATTAATAGTCGACACATAGGCAGTACCCATTTCACAACTGTGACATATCTATCCCCCAAATATTCTATAGCAATATATCATCATGCGAGTTTCTTGAGAAAGTCTCAAGAAAAAGAAATACAGGATTTACGTATTTCAAAAATTCCAAAGACCTTAAATAATTTAGCCTCTAGGGTGACACGAGAACATCCCCGCACAAACCCTGACACACAGGTACCACCACCACCTGCATTGCCTACTACGATTCCCTGCTCAAGTAGGGCCAGAGTAAATAAATATCTTCCTACCTTCGAAAGATGAAATGTGCAGTAGCACAGACCAGCTTTTAAAATATAAATTTCTCAGAAATTTAGAAAAGTCACATCCTTAGCAGTTCTAAGAAAAATGTGTCAGCTTGAATATAAAACCCTCTCTTTGAAATTAATAAGACATTTGAGTACATGTAAATTGTAGCTGCCTATGTGACAGTATTTCAGTTGGTATCCATCAGTAACTCCATTGTCACTGATTGAATCATTTTTTCTCCTCCGGGGCCTTTCTCATACACTAGAATGCATTTATGAAAGTGTGGTTGACAAGTCCTAGAGAAATAAATTATTTATAAGTTTTCCAGTGCATTGATTTTTTAAATAGGAGGAAACCATGCTGTGGCGTAAATTCTGCTACAAAGAACTACATGACAGAACTAAGTATGTTTAATTAATCTTAAATTCATATAGTATAATGACAGTAAATCATTATCATTGTTGGTAAATTACACAATTGTTAGCAAATCTCACTGATGCATTTTGAGTAAGTGAAACACAGAACTATACACTCTCTATTTTTTTAAGAAAATTTGATTTGCAACGAAGTCTCTTCATTTTTAGAAATTTTATTTTTATACACACCAACAAAAATCAGGTTCTTTAAAAAAATTAAATAAAATTCAGTATATTATTGAGAAAACATTGTTTAAAGTTTATTATTCTAGTGAGGAATATCTTAATAACAAAATTAATAGCAGTTAAAGACAGACATAAAACAAATATTTCCCACTTTCATGGACTATATCTTTGAAGAGCATCCCTGAGGCTGTTCAAAGGCTTCCTAGCAATTGTCACCTCTCTGTTATATGACACAAGCAAGCTTTAGAGAGATGCCTGGTACACTGTGCAGTAGGACACACATGCAAATGAGATTCCAGTCTCAGCCAGCCTTTCTGGACTGGGTTATCCCTGCCTACATTCCACCATATCCCACCACACAGGAAAGCTCCAATAGGAAGACAGTAATAAGGTCACTGCTGGACAATGAAAATGAAGTCTGAAGTTTCCTGCCTAGAAAGGAAATAAAGAGCTCAATCGACTGGCAGATCCCACAGAAAGTGTTCTTCAGGGCTCCATTTAGCGCTTCAGAAAAAGGAAATTTCTGTGTCCACCTTTCTTGCCCTTTGAATTCTTATTAATTGAGGCTGGATGGACATCCAGGTCTTCCTAGTCCTATGAAGGGAATATAACTCCAAGAGTTCATGGTGAACCCATTCTCTAAGTCAGGATGTGTTGTGACAGTACAAAGAGTAGGATGGAAGGGGGCCTCCCAGAGGGTGAATCTCAAGGACTGGGGGAGTCACACTGGACTTAAGGGATCCAAAATCTTCTGTCTTGGGCAAGATGGTGAGAACCAGAAAGGGGACATAAGGAACAAGAATGCACAGTAGAATCTAAGTCTAGTTTTCTACAAGATAAAATATGCTAACTGCATTGTGTTGGCCCCTCAGCCCATGACAAATTATAAATGCTGTCCTAGTATACCTAGAAATGTACTTATAACAGTACATTTCAAAATTGCCAAGTACATTTCACTAACTACTGACAATACTATAATGTTTTTAAAAGGTAAGACACCACATAGAATAGTAATAAGTTCTGCCTTTTCGAAATTATGTAAAATCTCAGAAATAGGCTTTCCTCCAAATAAATGAGCCTAGAAAAGCTTCAAGTGATTGACTTATACTAAAAGGAGCTAAAATCTCATGAAAGAAAAGGGCCACATTAAGGTAAGTGTTTTTGGTAGTTATTATTGTTATTATACATGTAGAAATAGACATTCAAACAGGGAAAAGGTACAAAACAAAGAGTTAAAATTGCCTAGTCCTACTCCGCAGACACTGTTTTAATTCCGGTATTTATCCAGAATTATTGGATAATTCTAAATTGGTTATTTATCTCAGAAAAAAACACATATTTTAGAAGCTTATTAAGACCTTGAATCGTGTACAAAAAGGTATGGCATATTGTGTTACTTTTAGTATTTAAAATAGAATGAGGCTGGGTGTGGTGGCTCATGCATGTAATCCTAGCACTTTGGGAGGCTAAGGCAGGAGGATCACCTGAGGTCAGGAGTTCAAGACCATCCTGGCCAACATGGTGAAACCCCATCTCTACTAAAAATACATAAATTAGCTGGGCGTGGTGGTGGGTGCCTGTAATCCCAGCTACTCAGGAAGCTGAGGCATGAGAATCGCTTGAACCTGGAAGGTGGAGGTTGCAGTGAGCCGAGATCATACCACTGCACTCCAGCCTGGGCGACAGAGTGAGACTCCATCTCAAAAATACATAAATTAATTAATTAAATAAAATACAAAGAAAAAATAGAACAAAAGGTATCATGGGCACATAAAGGGCTTGGGAGCTTTTTAAACTCCTTTTAATATGGGTCAATCACTCGAAGCTTTTCAAGGCTGATTTATTTGGAGGAAAGCCTATTTCTGAGATTTTACATGATTTTGAAAAGACAGAATTTATTACTATTCTGTGTAGTATCTTACCTGTTAAAAACATCATAGTATCATCAGTAGTCAGTTAAATGTACTTGGCAGTTCTTTTGGACTGAATAAAACCTGCCATAAGTACATTTCTGGTCATTAGCATGGCGTTTATAATGTTTCATGGGCTAAGGGGTGCAGTGGTGCAATCATAGCTCACTGCACCCTCAAACTGCTGGGCTCAAGTCATCCTCCTGACTCAGCCTCTGGAATAACTGAATTATAGTCGTGCACCACCATGCCTGGCTGGCACATTAAGGTTTATAAAGTAATCATGGGTCAGAGAGGGGAATCATTTTACCAAACACAGAAACAAAAACAACACAAGTAAATAAACTTGGAATATCTCATCTGAAAGTTTTTCTCAAATTTATCACTTTTAAAAGCACTTTTCTCTTCCATTCTCCTTATGAATCTATGGCCATATACTTAGGTCTTCCTCACCAGGGAGTTACCTCCTGCATCCGGGCACTGAAGGTGAGAGGAGGATACCTGGAAATGAGAGAAACATAGAATTGGGCAGACACGGAGACCGCTAAGAGATGTGTCATAATATGTTAATTATTCCCACCTAGAATTTATTTGATGCAGAGCATCATCCTCTAAGTTGCCCAAGAGGACCCTCTGATCTGCAAGCGAGAGGGCCTGGTGAAATCCCAGAGCAGTAGATTGAATGAGTGGAGCAAGGCTTTAAGTGCCTGTGAATGCAGCTCTGATTGCCAAAAATGGCAACACCTGTGAATATTTCTGGTAGCTTCTTTTTCTCAAACCTGCCCCAAGTTAATGCTCACAACAAAAGGCAGCCCAATTTTAATTGTTCCACACCAGACTTCTTGTCAAATGCTTCTGATTCTACCCTCACTCCACAATCAAATGCTATCTAGCCATTTTTCCAAAAGTAGAACCACTTTTTACATAGAGATAATCAATCATCAGTCCCCACATAGTACAGCCTGAATAGTTCAGATTCCTGCAAATTTATATGAAGGAACTTGGGTGCCCTGCATTTTCCCCAAAGTCAACTCTATTCTCATTCTTAGTTCTCCTTTGAACCATCTTGATGTTGAGTGATCCCAACACTCTTGCCCCCTGTGACATAGCACTCTCGTACCAAAACTGGGCTTGCTTAGAAATTGGCCCTGGAGAAGTTAATGACTTTGTTCTCAGCAATGTGCTCTCTTAGCTGAAATCTCTTCACTATTCTGTCACCTCCAGAGGCAGGAAAAATGACTCAGTCAGACTTTCACACCATCCTAATGAAGATGGTATTTAAAATCAGGGGACCAGATGAGATCACCTGAGGCTTAAAAGTAGAAAAAAAAAAAAAAGAATTAAGGCTTGGGCCCTGGGAATTCTAACACATAAAAGCTGATCTGAGAAAGGAAACCAATGAAGGAGCTGAAAGAGACCTGGAGACAGGGAAGCCTGAGACAAGCCAGGAGGGCAGCGTCATGAAGAGAATAAAGCATTTCAAGAGGGAGGGGCCTTGTGAGCCAGGCCAGATACTACTAAGAATTCAAATAAGATAGAGAGGGAGAACTGACCATTGGTTCTGGCAGAATGGAAATCTCTGTTGTTTTTAATAACAGCCCGGCAATGCACAGGCCAGGAGAGAAGCTCCCTAACACTGTATGGAAGAAAGAAGGACCAGGAGGCCTTGGAGACTGAGCCTGGCGAATGCTCCCATTTTGCTGCCAAGGTAAACAGGAAAATCAAGTAGTAACTGAAGGAAGACCAAGAATCAAGGGAGCATTGGATTTTTGTTTCTGTTGTTTGAAATATAGAAAATGTTAAAATTAAAATGCATTTGTATGTCAATGGAAATGATCAGTTTGGGAGAAAAATGATTTTTTCAAGGGAGGGGAGCTAATTCCAGAGTATGGTCTCGAGTAGACTAAAATAGGTCCATCTAAAGCACAAGTGGAGGGATTCAGCTTAGGCAGGCACAGGAGCATTTACCAAAGTGAAAGAAGAGAATGTGTGTGCAGGAGGTGTACGGAATTAGATTTGGTGATTGGAAGATGCAGTGATGTTTCTATTCTTGTTGCTTTTATATTCTCAACGATGAATGAGATGATGTCAATAAATGAGAATGAGACAGGTATTTAGAGATTTTCAGCAGAGAAAAGAAGTTGTCGTTCTAGGGAATCTTCGTTGTAGTTACTAGAGAATGTTAATAGGATTGCTGGGCTACACTTCGCATCTCAGCAGAAATTTGTGATTTAAAAATAATGCAGCCTCTACATTTGGTCTCTAATTTGACCTTTATCTTCTTCTAAATAACTTTATTAATAACTATTTTCTATGTGTAAATCAAGTCTTCACAAATTGATTACAAGTTCCTCGAAGTCAAGGTGATGATAGTTCTTAGTATTATATCCAGGGCATATTTTAGTGTCCTGGCCAGTTAATATTGTTCTCATGAACATTTGTGAAATTTAACATTGAATAAACTGAATAAAATACTTCAGGAAATGCATCTAGCACTTCTCTTTGTCCTGTCCCTTGTTAACAAAAATGGTTATACAAATTCATTGTCATGTCTCTTGTGCACATACACAGAGCATGGGTTTTGGTTATGCCAGAGGCACTTGTGTCACCAAAGGAATCCAATGGATCCCTTCTGAGACCCCTGGAACAGGTTCAAGTTAGATATGTTATTTGCTTGTCGAACTTCTGGAGCATGAAGAAGCACCTGTATGGGTGTCAGTTTCCAGTTTACTTCCTTGGAACATTATATCAAAGTATGTCAAATTCTTTTCTAACTCTCAACAATATGGTAGAAAAAGCCATATATGGTAGACTTTGCCTTAGAAATGGAAAAAAACAGCTTCATCTTCCTAAGATGAAAAAAGTCCCCAAACAAGGTTATAAAATTATACTAAAGGTTCCACAAAAATATTTAAATGTTTAATGATTTTTAAATCAATCTTCATAAAGTGGAAACATATAGTACCATTGCATTTCTGCTAGGCAAATACTGACCTAAGATATAAGAAGGTTTTAATTTAAAAGTAATTGTTAGGCCAACTGACCCCTATTGAAAGGAGCTGCATTTGTCCACATGGATGGATCTTTGTAGCTAAGAAATACCTAATCACAATAACGAAAATGTTTTCAGTAATCTATTAACATTTTGTACCATGTCTGCAGGCTTGCAATAAATTGGTCTGAGGACAGCTGTCATTCAGGAAAATTTTATCTGTGTCACTTAAAGGCTATTTCTGGTACCATACTCCTAGGCACAGAAAAACTTTTCTAGGATAGATTAAGGCACAAATTCACGATCACTTTTGAACATGGAAATCACAAGAGTTATTTTCCTGAAAATACTTAGTGTGACTAATAATTGGAAACCTTTATATATGATTTTCCTCTTTGCTACAAATCCGACCCATTTCTTCAGTCTTTAAAGAATTATTTTCCACTTAATTATATGACATGTTATTCTAAGGTTGATGTAATCCCCTCGGTGTCTTTAAACTCATACGTGGAAATGCCTGGCAGCCACAGAGCAGGCCTTCCCTCCCTCCCTGTTGGTGGCCAGAAGTCTCATGATCATGTGTGGGAGGTTTCATAGGGGGCGCAATGTCATGATAGGCTTACAACCACACTGTGCTGTGAGGAAGACAACTTTTTAAAATAAGGGTAATTCAATTGTACTCTCAAAATCTTGAAAACTTTGAAAAGTATACAAAAGATTATAAGAAATTATAGAAGATAAGAAATTATAGAAAACAAGAAAAATTATAAGAAAGATCACCCAAAATATGACCCTGATGGCTGAGTGTCCCCCAGAGGTCACTGCTCCTCTCAGTCTCACCTTCACTAAGGGACTGTTTCCTTCTACATGTCACTAACCTCTCCCTCTTTCAGATCCAACGATGACAACCGCTGGCTGTTCTTCATGTCCCAGAACTAACCTGTGTGGTTCTTTATACCATCTCCCTACTTTCTAATTATTTCCTTTGTGCATGAAAACTACTTCAACATATCCTAATTTCAATGTGCCATCTGTTTCCTCTTGGGATCTCGACTGATACAAATGTCAAAGTTTTACATAATTGTTTTTACTAGGGAAAACTCAGGCCTGTTGGTCTTCAGATAGGAAATAAAAATGTTTTGTGTTTATTTCCTTGGTTGGAAAGTGGGTGGGTCAACAGCTAACTCCTTCAAAATGGCATCCGCAAACAAGTTTCTGTCATCTCTCTGACTCTGTTCCACTTACTAAACATTTGAGTTTCCTGCTCATAGAGCCTTTTGAAAGATTAAGTGAATCACACATTCACCTAATAAAGTCAGAGGATCACAGAAAACAAATATAAAACAGAAATGTCGGTCACTACTAAAAGCAAAATAATGGCTATGTATTGATTTTAAATATTGATCTTGCCTTTTACTTTCTGAATGATTTTATGACGTTTATTTTAAAATAGTTTCCCAGAAATCAATATAAATTTTAAAGGCCTTCATTCTGCCTTGTCCATGGCACCTAACACAGTATTAGGCATAGGCAGATGATTTATTTCCATAATTATACATGCAGTTGTCTACATATAGCTGTGTAGCTGTACATGAAGACTGCTATTCATAGCTTTATCATTTTTAAAAATTGTATTTTCAAATATTTCTCACTACATTGATTAAAATAACATCCAAAGGATAATTATGTGGTAAGTACTACTCATAGAAAGAGTCCTCCTTATTCTTTTGATTGTGAAACACTCATATAAGTCAAATCATAGCAGAATTTTATTGTCCCCAATAATAATTAGAAGTTGTGGGACAAGGGGAAGCTGTTCAGTATAGGAATAGAGCTTGGGTAGCTACTACTAAAAGCAATTCACCCCCTAATGATTTTGCAACATAACATTGAGTATCACAAGACCAGGGATAACTTCTTGGAAAAGCAGACAATGCAATTTTTTGAGGATGTTATTTGCTTCATACTTAGCAGGAACTCAACCTAAGTCCCTGTGTTTATCCAAAATTATTACTTTATATCTAACACCTTTTAAAGGAGAGAGAAACAGCTAAATTCTACCAAGTAATATGTGAATGACACTGTTTATTAATTTACATTTGATAAATATATTGAAGTCAGGATATTTTCTTAGAAGAAGGTGGTATCAGTAAAAAGAAAACCTGTTTTTTTAATGGCATCTTATTTAAATGTGAATGTGGATAACTATACTTAAAGTAATGAAGAGGCAAGGATATTGCCTACACTCACACACACACACACACAAATACACTCGTGTACACATATACACACATACACAGACACTTAGATCCAAGTTTTTCAAATATTTTTCCATATTAAAGATAAATGAATATACTGATTTGAGTATTTGTTAAATATGAAGCTGATATTGAAGCTCGAAGATTTACTTTTCTTTAGTAGATCTAGGGTCTAATTTAAAATGCATTACTACTGTCATATCTGGTTTAGTTTGGACAATTAGAGTTCTGTTGGAATTTTCACTCTATACTTCTATTTTGTGACCATAAGACCAATTTTGTGATATAAAACATCAGTAACTAAGATTTCTAAATGTGAAGGCTTGGACCAAAACAACTTTCAATAATCACATTTTCCATCTAGTCTAAAGCCATTTACATGTACACAAGAAATTAGCGTGATCATTTCCCAAGATGTTAGTGTTCTCCAAAGCTCTTTCTTGTTTTATAATTAATTCTTGAAAAGTATTACTTTAGAGTGAATTAAAAGATTTTTTTGGGATGAAACATCTTATCTGTTAAATACATTTTTTACAATTAAAACTAACCATAATAGAACAAAATAATGTAGCCATAGTTTAATAGTAGTTTATATTTAAAAATATACATTAATATGGCAACCTACCAATCTCAGTCTTTGGTTTCCTAATCAGTAGTCTCCAGAGAGGCCTTTTTAATTGTCCTCTACCACTCAGCATATATTCATTAATTTTCTACAATATGACTGGCATTGTGCTAGACCCAAGGCTACCAAGAAAAAGAACATGCAGTCCCCTGCTCTTGAAGTACTCCCAGTCCAAATGGGGGAGGGAAGTGAGTGAATCTGATCACAGAGGTATTTCCAAGAGCCATAGGTGCAGATCTGTGGAACTAGATTTGCCTAGAGAGATGAGATGGGGCAAGTTCATCAGAGGCACAACCGTTGACCTGTTGTTGAGCTAGAAGAGGCAGGTAAGTCTGGAGATTGAAGAAAACACTAATTTGTGTTATTTTTTTTATCTACTGCTCTATCCAAAGAGCTTTTTATTGTTGCAAAAGCCTAAAATTCAAAGTCATTTTTCTTATACTTTGGGGAAAGTAGTTATAGGAATTGTTGGCTGACGGGAGTTTTTTGATTATATGTCTCCTAGACAGTTTAATTTCGGAAGCCCAGATTAATTTAGAGGTATAAATAAAATAAAGCTTAGAAGATGATTTTCAGGGAATTAAGCCAACTCTTTGCATAATATATGAAAAACTTATTTACATTTAAAACTGGAAAACAGTGTACAAAATAAAGAATTGTGTCTGTCTTTTGGTGCCTTGGCCTCTTTTTTTTCATTGCCTTCCAAAATTCCCAACTGAGACATTTAAACACTAAAGAGAAAGCAATTCTAGGAGGTAATATGCTTAGACAATAAAAAATCTTTGCTGAGTACATAGTGCTTGCTCTAGACATAGAACTGACACATGGAAGTTCCTAAAGGGCAGACCACTCCTTGTGCCACCCAGCTCCTGCGGAACACCATGCTGAAAGTTAATTCATGTATTTCTAATGCTTAGAGTTTACAGTTATGGCTATAATGCTTATACAGCATTATATTTATCATTTCCAATGCACTTATTTATTAATTTTGATTTCTTTGAAAATTTATTAAATTTTCTAAATTTTCATTTTGTATAAGCCTTCAGTCTATTTCATAGTCCTATGAATCACTATAAGCAATTTCTGTTGAAGAGATGACAAATTATACATATAGCAACATATAAAATGGAAACAATGCATGTTCCCATATAAAGTAACAAAGAAGCACCCAAAAAGATCATAAAGAATAATGAGTCAAAAACTTTTCAAAAAGAACAGAAGATTAAACCTTGCCAATTTCAATCATGAAATAAAACCCAGAGAGCACTGTGACCAAACACAGCAATGATTGTTAACACTAAGAGACTCACATGTGTATGAATGCAATGTATTTCCTGGCAACATCTGCACAAGTGATAGACCACGCCCTGCCAGCAATCCATCCCAAATGTTCCATCACTCACTTCCTGTGAAATCAAGTCTTTAAAACTTCAAGACTGTGAGTTTTAAACTCTATATTTAGTCATATCCAGCATGCAAGCAGAAAACAGAAAATCTCTGAAAATGTAATTGCAATTACATTCATATCTTTGTGGTTTTATTTCTTAAAGAAGGTGATAATATATTCTACATTAGATGCCAATGTCATAAAAGTCATTAAAATGAGGCTGAGTGCAGTGGCTCACACCTATAATTCCAGCACTTTGGGAGGCCGAGGTGGGCAGATCACTAGGTCAAGAGATTGAGATCATCCTGGCTAACATGGTGAAACCCCATGTCTACTAAAAATACAAAAAATTAGCCAGGCATGGTGGCACATGCCTGTAGTCCCAGCTACTCAGGAGGCCGAGGCAGGATAATCGCTTGCACCCAGGAGGTGGAGGCTGCAGTGAGCCGAGATTGTGCCACTGCACTCCAGCTTGGCAATAGAGTGAGAGTCCATCTCAAAAAAAAAAGTCATTAAAATGCCATGTCCTATAATTTTGTTAAGGAGAGCTAATAACACAAACAAAGCAAGACTATGCACCTTCGTTTTTTGAAATTCAGAGAATTTGCTATCCAGGAAAAAAAAATAAGATTTTAAATGAGGGTTTTAAGTAAGTCCACTCACTGTGTCAGGTTCTGGGGAAGGCAATTTTAAGCATAGTGGATAGAGGCCTGCCTTTATACAAAAATGAAAAGGACAATTAAATAGCCTTTCTGATTAAATGGTAGAGTGCAGTGAGAGCAGACATACAGGTAGAGTGGGAGCCATGGTAAGAACCCTGGACCTGGACTGAGAAACAGATAGGGATCCAAAGGACGTTCTGGGGGAAGAGGCATTTAGGCTGAGGCCTGAAGAACAAGTATAAGTTAGCAAGGTGAAGAAGAGAAAGAAGACTATTTCAAGTAGAGGAAAAATAGACTCAGAGGTAAGAAAGATCCTGGGGTCATGAAAAAATAAAAATTCAGTAGGACTGGATTCTAGATGCATAAACAAGAAATATAGCTGGAAAGACATGCCAAAGTAAATACAATAAATAATATTTAAGAATAAGAGAAAATCTTTGAGAGGTGTGTTTTACAAGGATCGCTCTCTAAAGAACACACTGGAAAAATGCAGGAGAGACAGAAAAACAGCTTAAAGAGGTTGTCGTGATGGAGATGGAATAAAGATGGTGAGGCTGAGGTGGACTTACGAGATGGACATGCCAGGCCTGGTGAGAGATCGAATGTGCACAATGAGAAGTAAGAAGGA
This sequence comes from Homo sapiens, assembly GCF_000001405.40. Taxonomy (NCBI): domain Eukaryota; kingdom Metazoa; phylum Chordata; class Mammalia; order Primates; family Hominidae; genus Homo; species Homo sapiens. Next base: position 61,914,638 of record NC_000008.11, on the reverse strand, counting down.
GCGAGGAGTCAGGCTTGATTCTCAGATATCCGATTCAGGCAACTTAGTGCACAACGATGTCATTCACAGATATGAAATGGCAAAACATGAGCAATTTGGGGCAGGCTGGGCGTAGAAATGTCCATGACTTAAATGTTAGGCATGTTGCAATTGAACACCTGTGAAGCATCTAAGAAGTGATGTCCACCAAGATCTGGATCCTTGGTTCTGGAGCTCAGGAAAGAAGCCTAGGATGGACATCTGGGAGTCCTCAATAACGGGAATCATGAGAGTCAATGAGATCTCCCCCGCAGAACATGGGTCATGAGGAAAAAGGAGGACCTGGAAAGTACCCCAACGAATGCCAAATTCGAGTGATGGGCAGAGAAGTCTTGTGTCATATAACAAGTTTGCCAGCAAGTAAAGCTTGAGGAAAAGCTGTGTCCTAACACCGTATTTCCGGTGGAAGTCTGGGAGAATTCAATGAGGGTGAAACAGAAGTTAAGGAAGGTGATGCACCTCCATGCTAGCCACAGCCCCACAGGATAAAGTGGCCAACTGCTACTTCACACAGGGCATCTCCAAAAAGGCCATACAAAGCCCATGAAACAGTTTTGGGTGTGTGGTTTCTGTTGTTGTTGTTGTTGTTGTTGTTGTTGTTGTTTCAGGGTAAGAAAGGGCAAACAATTTATCTGCTCACTTTTTCCAGTTTCCAGTTTCTTGCTGATCAAAGTTCAGTCCCTGTGTGTTAACACTGCATATTTCTAGGTTCCAAGCATTCCGTTACCTTGTTCTCTCAAGCAGCTGCTTGGAAAACCCGAGTTCCCAGGGGTTCACTGGGTTAAATGGGTCACTGGAGCTGCTGCCATTCCCCCATGGCAGGCCCCAGGCAGACTTTGCTGAAATCAGGTCCTTGTCCCCAGAAGACGCAAAAACAAGAGTAGGTGACAGGAGATGAAGCAATAGCAGGGGCAGCCAGGACTTTATAATCGCTGTCATGATGCAAGCCACCACTGGGCTTATCTAGTCTAAGATCAGTGTACGTTGCTGAGACTAAGGACGAAGGTTTTTCCAAACAAACCTGGTTACCAGTGTAAGAACTGTGAATCGTATATCCCGTAAGGAAGTCTGGCCTGGAGGGTGGATGAAAAATTAAGTAATGTCAAAGAAGGCAAAGAAAGAGTGTCTCATGGAGGAGTCATCTATGTCAAACATTTCTGATAAATCAAATAGGATAAAACCTGTAGTTAATTTTAATGCATGGTCCCTTCTTGTGGCAAGGCAATTAACATTTCCTGTGGGAAACTACACTTCTTTTACTCTGGGTCATGTGCTCTGAATTGAGTGTAATCTATCTAGTGGCCCCAGGATTGGAAGATGATCCCAACACAGCCATTACAAATTCATCTTCGTGGTCACAGGGAGGACGTGTACCAAGCCAGGTCAATGAGGCACAATTTCGTGACTTTTGCAAGAACAATTGGGAAAAAGCTATAAGCCTAGACTTTTCAATTGTGTAATGTAAATGTTCCTTTTTTCTCAAAGCCAGTTTTAGCTGGATTTCTGTCACTTGTAACTGAGAGATTCCTGATAATTATAAGGACAGAAAAGTGTCCAGTGGATTAAGCATTGGGGCACTAATGGCCTTGAGAGAACAGTTGCAGTGGTGCAATGCTGGAAGAAATCAAGGTTATTTTTTGTCCTTTTTCAACTCATCAGACGTAACTCACCTACTGGAAAAGCATTAAGAAGAATGACTTTAAAATGTTTAAAGTACCTGTACGAGAATGCAGAATTAACAGCCACATGTGTGTTCTGCTTTGTGTGTCTACACAATTGTCTTTTTGTTAACATCTGAGACATCACCTTTCAGGTCAGCGAGTGGGAATATCTCAACTGCTACTGGATTCCTGCTCCATCCACTGCAGTTTCACAAACCTAAGCCTGGGAAGTATTTCCTTTGTAAATAAAACCCTTCTTTAAGTATGCTAATTTGATCATTCCACCTCTTTCCTCTTGGGATCCTGACTGATTCAAATGTCAAACTTTCATATGTTAATATTTTAAAAAGATTTGAAATCACTATATTCTGGTTAAGGAGTAGGGCTAGTTTATTCTTCCTGTTTTTTTGTTTGTTTGTTTGTTTTATTTTCAAGGAAGCATTTGAAACAGCCAAATCCTTCAAAATGGTACTCTTAGACAACCAGAAGAATATATCACTATTCATCTGTCTGTCTTTCTAACTAATATCACCCATGTATACCCCAAAGTTCATTAAAGAGTCAGGTTTGTGATATTTAGGACTCTTTGTAGCATTAAATATATCAGATATTTACCTAGTAAAATCAGTGAAAAGGAAAACAATAGAGTGTATATTTTTGGTTATGGCTGAATACTAAATAATGGCTACATATTCATTTTTAAATATCAATTTGCCTTTTATTTTAAATAACATTTAATGGTTTTTCCCCAAAATAGTTACTTAGCAATTAATGTATATTTGGAAGGCCTTTATATTACATCATTTACACCACCTAGGACACTGCTAAGTACAGAATAGGTCAGTAATAACTGCTGGCTGATTAATTTGTTTGTATAATTAATTGTTTATACAGTCATCTACATTTAGTATTACAGTTGCATATGCAAGCAGGTCATCCTTACATACATTCCTCTGAAAAACATAAACATTTCTGCATTATCTTATTAGAAGGATGAAAATAACATCTAGAAATGGGCTGTGTGGCAAATACAACTTTGAGGAAAGGTCTTTAATTTGATCACCCTTCTTCCACTCCTATAATCAACTCAATTCACACATTTAAATAACTTAAGACCTAGAAATAATTTTCAGGCCTTAATCCAATCCAACTACCAATAAAGAAAAAAATCAGTTTAAAAGATTATATGTTTCCACATAAAAATGTTCTTATTAAACCTGTAATAGCTTTTTCTGAACATAAAACTGAAAGACCAAAGTTAATTTACACATTGCTAATGTTTATTAAAAGATATTGTAAAATCCATTCTTAACATACTTATCTATTTTTTTTAGGTTGATTTCTTTGGAAACCCACTCCATTTTTAAAATTCTCATTATGATCTAAGCCCATATTACATTTAATAACCCTAAAAATTGCCATCAGCAACTCCGATTCAACAGATGATAAACTTTACAGTTTTTACAGCTGTTACAGAGCAACAAAAGTAATGGAAATCATGTACAGAACCTCACACACATGCGTGAACACAAACGGACCATTAAAACTAGCGCTGCAGGCCGCAGCGCGGACGGGAGCTCTCAATGCAATCTCCGCAGGAGCCGCTGCAGTGAAGCTGCAGGGACCACCTGGGCACCCGAGCACCTGCAGCTTTGGAGAAAGCCGAGGGTCCTGGCTGCGTCGCCGCCCCAACTTCCCCCTCGAGGAGCCAGAGAGAACCACCCCTGTCCGAAATACACTCTAAAATGGCTTTGAACGGTTGGGGACGGTCCTTTAATCTTCCTCTGGATCACCAGTCGGATTTTTTTTTTCTTAGCTATTCAGTATTTTATTGGAAGAACAAGGTGACAGCTAGCCTAATATTATTAATAATTATTCTTTTTTTTTTTTTTGAAGGAGTTTTGCTCTGTCGCCAGGATGGAGTGCTGTGGCGCGATCTCGGCTCACTGCAATCTCCGCCTCCCGGGTTCAAGAGATTCCCCTGCCTCAGCCTCCCAAGTAGCTGGGACTACAGGCGTGTGCCAACACACTAGGCTAATTTTTTTGTATTTTAGTGGAGACGGGGTTTCACCATGTTGGCCAGGATTATCTCGGTCTCCTGACCTCGTGATCCACCTGCCTCGGCCTCCCCAAGTGCTGGGATTACAGGTGTGAGCCACCACTCCCTGCCCATTAATAATTATTCTTACGTGAGGCCTTCAGATGATACTGGGCAGAATCATCTAAAAAGACTGATGAAGTTGATTGCAAATGCTAGTCATCATAAATACCAGAACACAGGTGTCACTGACAAACTCTATCAAAAGATGAAAATTCTTTGCTGGATTATGACAGGACCTCAAAATCTAGAAAAAAAAGATCAGACGCATCAGAGATACATGGGCCCAGGGTTGCAATAAAGCGTTGTTTATGAGCTCAAAAGAAAATAAAGACTTCTCTACTGTGGGATTACACACCAAAGAAGACAGAAACCAACTGTCCTGGAAAATAGTTAAAGCTTTTCTATATGCTCATGACCATTATCTGGAATACATGGATTGGTTCATGAAAGCAGATGATGATATATGTATATATATCACATTGGACAACTTGAAATGGCTTCTCACAAACTATAACCCTGATGAATCCACTTACTTTGGGAAAAGATTTAAGCACTGCAGAAAACAGGACTACATGACTGGAGGAGCAGGATATGTACTGAGCAAAGAAGCCTCAAGGAGATTAATTGTTGTGGTCAAAACAAAAACGGGCACACCTGTGTCCTTCTCTGAATACATGGCACTGGGGAGATGCATGGACATTGTAAAGGTGGAACCAGAGGATTCCAGATATCACACTGGAAAAGAGACTTTTCATCCCTTTTTAGCAAAACAGCCATTAATTACAGATTTTCTACTAGAACCTTTTGTACTGGAAATATAACTATTATCCTTCTGTAGAGGATCCCAGTTGCTGTTCTGATTTTGCCATTTCTTTTCACTATGTTGATGCTACAGCTATATATGGGTTAGAATACCTCATTTATCATCTTTATCTTTATGGTTATTTATACAGATATCAACCTGCCTTACCTGAGGATCTGTTAAAGGAAATAAGCAAAGCAAACAAAAGAGAAGATCCAAAAGAAGACCTAAGAAACCCTCAAAAGACACACATGAGAAAACAAAGATAGCATGACTAACACTGCAGGGAGGAAAGGTCTTCCCATCTTTGAAGAGAACACTAGGGTCCCAGTGAGCAATTCTTCCTAAAGTGAACACTCCATATTATTAGAAAACTTCATAGGAGCGACTGTAAACTAAAGCATTAGCAGGAGCAGTGAAGTATGTTAAAATGTGTTTTTAATAGATAGATAGATAGATAGATAGATAGATAGATAGATAATTGATGGATATTATTACATTTTAAAACAATGGTCACATAGAGGAAGATTTTTTTTTGCCTTATTATATGAAATAGAAACACTGAGAAGATAAAGCTATTAAACTTGCTAAAAACTACACTGCACCAAGTTAGTAAAACACACGAGGCTGAACAAATTTGCCTTAATGAAAATTCTAGAAAGAAACATTTATGGTAGGTTGTTTTTTAAACTCAGAACATGAGCTTATATTGCAGTATGACATAAATGAGCCAAACTCTCCTCCATTCACACTGCTTTTGTCTTATGGAAATATCTGTGATTACTTATAAATGGCTGCATTTCTTCCAGAAAAAGGTGGAATAAGAATGCCTCTTGTCCTAAAATGCACTAATAAAATCACATTTTGAAATTATTGTGTCTTGACTATGTCATATATTTGTTTTGTTTTTTTTTATCTGCTTGTTTTGTTTTGTTTTTGAGACGGAGTCTTGCTGCTATGCCCAGGCTGGAGTGCAGTGGCACGATCTTGGCTCACTGCAACCTCCACCTCCCAGATTCAAGCAATTCTCCTGCCCCACCCCAGCCTCCCAAGCAGCTGGGATTATAGGCACCTGCCACCACGCCTGGCTAATTTTTGTATTTTTAGTAGAGACAGGGTTTCGCCATATTGGCCAGGCTGGTCTTGAACTTCTGACCCGCCTCAGCCTCCCAAAGTGCTGAGATTACAGGCATAAGCCACCGCGCCTAGCATATACTTGGTTTTAATTAGTGGTTAATCTTTTATCAGAATGAGTAATATTCACTGAGCCCCTGTGGTCTCTTTCGTACATATGTTTAACCAAGTCTCTTGAGTATCATTCTTATCCACTCATATTTCTTTACTCAAAGCATTAGTAGCCTTCTATAAATATGCATGTTAAAATGTTCTGTCCCAAATCTACTTGTTAATTACGGTTACAAATAAATAGTAAATGTAATGCTATTTTTTACATTCACGCATTCAATTCTTTTCTTTAATCAGTGCCACTCTCAAACTCCTAAGTGACATTTGATTGATTAATTGAAACACTTCCAACTACATAATTATATTTCAACTATCATCATGTTGAGAAGTGAGAACTTATTTGGGTCTTTCATGACTTGTTTAAAGTTATTTTTAAAATCCTTCCTTCTTAGTATCTACTGTGGCCATTAGTTATTTTGACAAAATAGTTTGAATGCAAGATTTTGACAAAATTTTATACAAAATGTGAGAAAATGTTGAACGCTTAAACAAACCAAGATAAATATCGGAAATAAAACGACCAAATACTTCAATGGCTATGAAAAATAGTAGGGAAGTTTCTCAAACAATTAGAAATAGAACTACTATATGATCCAGCAATTCTACTTCTGGGTAATTTATACAAAAGAATTTAAGTCTCAAACAGTTTTGAGACTCTGTCTCAAAAATAAACACACAAACAACCAAACAGACCAAACAGTCTTTCTATAAGACATTTAAAGTAATAGATGAAAAATCTCTCATATGTTTGTCATATTACTAATTTTAAATGGTTGAATGAATTGTATTCATTTGTCAAAACTTGTCAAAACCATGACCACTTTGGATGGCACATTTGAGAAAGAATATTCGTTTTAGTGACTAATGGTAGAATCCTTTCTCCACATGCTAAAAATATTCACCACTATTTACCTATTACATTTGTCATATTGTTTTCATGATGGTAACTTCCACCAAAATTTGTTAGGATTTGTTTCCATTTTTAACAACTCTTTACATTAATGTGGGCATCAATTTATTTATTTGTACTTATTTTTAACTGTATGTATTTTGACATAGTCAAGTCTTATAATAATTTCAGTTGACAACCCAAGTGCCCATGATGATAAATGGATAAACAAAATGTGGTGTATATGTACAAGGGAATATTATTTAATATTTTGCCTTAAAAGGGAAGATAATTCTGACATGTTATAGCATGGATAAACTTTGAGGACATTATGCTGAGTAAATCGAGCCAGTCACAAAAATATGACTAGTATATGATTCCACTTACATGAGGTATCTAAAGTCATTAAACTCACAGAAACAGAGAGTAGGATGGTTGTTACTAGGAATTTGGAGGGCAAGTAAAAGGGCAGTTGTTTAATGGGTGTAGAATTTCAGATTTACAAGATGAAAATGTTCTGGAGATCTCTTGTACAACAATGTGAATATGCGTTAACACTACTGAACTGTATGTACTCTTCGAAACGGTTGTGATGGTAAATTTTTTATGTCTTTTTTTTAACCCCTGACCCTCACTGCCAAACACACACAAGAATAAAAGCCAGAATTAAAATGCTCAGTGAGGTAGTTGCAAGCTAAACATGATTAGCATCCTCACAGGTGAAACTCTTTCAGTTACTAGAAGGTGAAAATGTAGTACCTATTTGACTTGAGTGCTTATTTTCTTCCACAAGAAACTGGTTCTATAAACTATTTCATGTTTTCCATCTTTAATGTTAATTTTTTAAAGTTGTAAATTAAAAAGTATAAAGTTATGCATTTTTACATTACATTTAAGCTTAATTAATATTATTTCCAGAAAATGGAAACAGCTGAAAATCACAGTGGACCTTTGTTATAATTAATCTAAACTATATATGAAAATTATTGATTTTTGTAGGAAAATGCCAAAATATAATGTTTGGTTGTTAAGGTCTTTTCTTAGACACATAAAAACCAAATATTCAACTAAATATATACAGCTTTCTATTTGAGTATTTTTATAGGTATCATTCCATTTTAACACATACAATAGCAAAAAATACCAAATTATTTATGAATAATAGTCTAAAGTTTGCTGATATTTACTCTTTGAAAATTAAGTTTTGCTAATAGATAACTGTAATAAAGTAGAATATTCATTAGTCATTCAAAATTATCTTCCAAAATACATTCACAAATATTTCCATCGATTTTACTGATCCTCTAAAGTTTCTAGAAAAAAAATGAAATTTCAATTCTCCTTTCATTTAGCAATAACATCCAAGTATGTCATAACAGAATAATTTACAGTCTTTCTATAAGATATTTAAAGTAATAGATGAAAAGTCTCTCATATGTTTGTCATATTACTAATTTTAAATGGTTGAATAAATTGTATTTATTTGTTGAAACTTGTCAAAACCATGACCACTTTGGATGGCACATTTGAGAAAGAATATTCATTTTAGTGACTAATGGTAGAATCCTTTCTTCACATGATAAAAATATTCACCACTATTTACCTATTATATTTGTTATATTGTTTTCATGATGGTAACTTCCACCAAAATTTGTTAGTATTTCCATTTTTAACAACTCTTTACATTAATGTAGACACCAATTTATTTATTTGTATTTATTTTTAACTGTAGGTGTACACAGTTTCTGTTAAACATCTAAAAATATCTTTAAACATATATACAGGAAGTTAATATGTGGGCAGCATCCTTGAGCAATTTGCTTGAGCTCTGCGTGCCCCCATTTCCTCTCCTGTAATTAGAGATAATAATGATACCCACCTCACAGGCTGTGTATGAGAATTATGAGCTAACATATGTAAGGATCTTAGAGCCCTATCTGGCCCACAGTAGGTACTCAATAAATATAAGCTTGTATTATTATGCTATTGCCCTCAGGTATAACTCATTTAAATTGAAAAACCTACTTTGATCAAATCAGATACTAAAGAAAATATTTTTTGCACTTCATATAACAATTAATAGCATTTATTGAGTGCCTACTGTATGCCAAGCATTATAGTTGGGCAAAATACCTTTATTTCTCTCAAAGTGGATATGACTTCATATTACAGATGAAGACTGAGGATCAGATGACTTGGGCAACTTGCCCCATGTTACAAAAGTGGAAAATAGCTGAACTAAGGTTCATACTTGAAACCCTGTATGTTTTTTTCAGCATGCCAGGCTTAGGGTTAGTCATACAGAATTATTTCCATCCTCATGTGTCATGCATATGGCATCAGACAAGGCCAGTGATAGTGAAATTAACCTGACAGATTTTCACATTGGTTCTCCAATTGTGATTTTCAAACTCTCACCTGGGCTTGTTCAAATGAAGATCTCAGAGACCCCAATTTCGGAAATTCTAGTTCTAGTATGGGGTGTATAGGTGCCTGCCAGATACCCGAGGTCAGTGGTTTTCAAAGTGTGGTTCCAACCAGCAGCAACAGCAAGAGCGTCAGGGAACTTGTTAGAAATGCGAATCTTTAGACTCCATGCCAGACTTAAAAAAAGCTCTAGAGACTGGTGCCGAAACCAGGGTATTAGCAAGCAGTCCAAGTGAGGCTTATTCTTGCTAAGGTTTGAGAGCCATTTCCCTGTGCAGTTCTGATGCAAAGAATCCTTGAACCACATTGAGGATTACTGACCATTAGGTTAGAAATTTTTCAAAGACGTAAAGCATGTTTTAAATCAATGCAGTATAAGATCACACTATATTAAATGTAAAATATTTTTGTTTTTTATTTTTTTATTTTTAGAGAAGGTGTCTTGCTCTGCCGCCAGCAGCATGATCATAGGACCCTACAGCCTCTAACTCCTAACTCCCAGACTCAAATGATTTTCCCACCTCAGCCTCCCGAGGAGCTAGGACTACAGGCACCCAGCTCTGTAAAAGACTTTGGAGATAATTTTACTTAAAGGGTAAGGGAACATTCATTTTGGCAAAATTATTTAACTTCTCATTTTTCCCCACGCTCTCAGTTGGTATGTTAATACTAACTCTGGAATGACTAATACTAGGGGCATCAGTAAAATCTATGTCTTGAAAGTTAGGAATTCCACATTGGGGCAAGAAGGGTGTTTTACAGCACTAAACACATATTAATTCATTAAAAGAATATATAAATGAGTTTCATCTAAAAATACCCACAGTTGTTAGATAAAAATTTAAACAGAGATAGCTGTAAGAACAATTTAAAATTAAAATTAAGAGGCTTATCTATTGATAAGAAAGGAAGAGACTTCTTCACTCTCTCTTTTCCTATAAAACATGTAATATTAAGCATTTTTTCTTTGTCTTGGAAATGTGTGAAAATCTTTCAAGAAGCTAAATAAGCCTCTTGCCAGCTTTTGACCCAGAAATGTTTTTCTCAAGGACCTAACAGCCATCTCTTTAAAATGTAAACATCAAGGGAGATGTTTATTCCTGTTTCTCAGTTTCTGTGCAAGAATGGGACCCCAACATCAGGTATGCACCCCACTCCCAGTTGCAAAACAACCTCCTTTCATAAAGATAGGAAAAATGAATTTTCCTTTGTATAAAACCAACTAACACAGATGATTACTCCAATTCCCAGGTTAATTTATGATGAACTATTTAATAAATGCTAGTCAAGTCCTCTTATTTGAGAACTAGTTATCGTGTACCTTGAAAATATGTATGTTATGGGTTGTATCTCACAGGCTATATAAAAGAGTGAGATTCCTTTCTGTTTTTGTAATCTCTTACTAGATTGCCTGTGATGCCCATCGCATTGTGATTTAATGCTTATTCAATAATAAAACTGTTTTCTTTCTCTACTACCATCAGGGAAAAGATTTGGGGGTTGGGAAAAGATTTTTCTTTTAATTAGTTATATTGCTCCCACATAGCAAAACCCTGTTTTGTAATATGCACGTTTTCTGCTAATTAATATTATCAATGAAAAAATTCATCACTTTCAAGAATCAGTTGACTTTCCTATACAACCTAATAAAGCAAATAAAAAAGCTACAAATCTCATGAAGCACAAAAAAACAAATTTCCTGATAGTAATATTTTTTTTATCATCTCTTGGACATAGAAGATATTTCTCACTTGTATACATAATTTTAGTGCGGTCTCAAGACAAAAGGCTTTTGCTGCCTTGTATTTTCTATTAACAATAGACTTGTATGTTCTAGTGAAAAGTACATACATTAAAAAGTAGGTTTTTGTCTCAGAGTTTGATTATTTACTGTCAAATACCTTGAGTTACTGAGGACATCTAGATACTGTAATAAAATTCAAAGTAAATTAGTGATATATATATTTAATATTTTAAAATGTGATAATTGGACTTTAGCATTGAATTTCCCAAGTGGTTATTTCAACTTGAGTAATATTTATTGAGTATTATTCATAATAAATTAAGTATAATTTTTCATTTCCATGAGCCTATTGTTACAGTAGGTAGTCAGGCCCACCTGAGCAGGGCGGGAAAGGGCACCCGCCACACACCAAGAATGTCAGGTAATGATCAGTTCATGGTCAGGCGAACTGTCTCTCTAAAGTAATAATTGGTCATAGCGGCACCGGGAAAGGCAGTCTCCTAATAGATGGAAAAACCTGAAACTGGTGACCAGCTTTCCGATAAGATCTCAGGAGTTGGGCGAGTAGGCTCAAGCATGTGCACTAAGAGGCAAAATGGCGGAATTTAACTGGTATATGACCTTACTCTAGGTACGCTCGACAGGTAAGGGAACATGTGAGCATGTGCACAATTTTTGTAAACACTATGCATGCGGCGCCTCCCAAGTGCTGGCAGGCCATTGCACATGCGGTCAGCCCACCCCAAGGGAAAAATCAGGGGAGAAGTAACGCAAGACCCCAGAAGTGTGCCCACGTATAAAACCCCAAATCAAAAGGTCAAACCGTGCACCTGACTCTCTCACGTTACCTGCTTCACCCTCTTCTATGTGTACTTTACTTCCTTTCATTCTTGCCCTAAAACTTTTAAATGAACTTTCACTCCTGCTTTAAATTTGCTTCAGTCTCTCATTCGGCCTTATGCGTCTCAGTCAAATTCTTTCTTCTGAGGAAGCAAAAAGTGATGTTGGGGCAGACCGATACGGATTTGGTACCATTAACATACTTGGATACCATGTGACTCAGATATGTCCCGTTGCTAACATATTTTGGTGCCACATGATTTAGATACATTCCACAGTGGGTAAGACACTTCTCTGCCTCACCTTCTTTGGCTGGAGGCGTTCAACCCCCGTATGTGGTTTTCCTTCTCCACTTCTGCTCTCCTGCTTACTAACCAGCCTTCAGATCGATTCCTCTCAGCCACAGGGGCTCTGCTCCCCCTGGCTCTGCCAGCTCCTAATGGCTTCCCATACACTTTTTGTCCCTGATATGCCCCAGGGCTAAGTTTTTCAGTGGCTTTTAAGCAGATTGTCTGCCTGAATAGGGCCTCACTCTGTGGCCCTTTAAGGACCCTATCTACTTGCTTTTTTTGAGTTACCACCCCTTTGGGAGGAGGGAAAATTCTTCCTTTGCCATTTATGAGTGCTTACCCCAAGCTCTAAGTCCTCTAGAGGTTACTACTTTAGATCAAAAGGGCAAATAAACATTGCCCTCTTGAATCCAAGGGCTGCTGTTTTTGTGAGCATAGGAAGGCTTTCCATGAGTATTCCTCTCACTTCCTCCTGTATCCTCCATTTGCCTAACCACTTCCATGCCCTTCTCAATATGCATCAAGACCTTCAAGCTCCTATTCAAATGGAGGGAAGTTCAGGCCCCTTGCAACAGCTAACTGAAAAACAGGCTTCTCGTCTAGTGAAAGAACGTGGGAAAAGGGAATCTGAGAAAGGAGATAATCATTTTGTTGCTAGAATGCTCTGAGCAAGAGTCACTACAAGGTCATGGAGACAAGGATAGAGGCCGGCCTATATCCTTACCTATATAGGTAAGGCCTGGAGACATACAGAGTTGTCTGCTATGGGTTGCATTTCTTAGGCTATGTAAAAGAGTGAGGTTCCTTTCTGTCTTTGTAATCTCTTACTGGATTGCCAGTGATGCCCATCAAATTCTGGTTTAATGCTTACTCAATAATAAAACTGTTCTTTTTCTCTATTATCTTCGGGGAGAGGATTGGGGATTGAGAAAAGATTTTGCTTTTCCTAACATAGCAAACCCCTGTTTTGTAATATGCAGATGTTTTCTAATAATTAATATTATCAATGAAAAAATTCATCATTTTCAAGAATCAGTTAACTGTCCTATGCAACCTAATAAAGCAAACAAGAAAAATCCAAATCTTATGGAGCTATGCTGGACAGAGTCAAACCTCATCTGCACTTCTGTCTAGTGTCCTAAGCTTGACTTCTAGTACATAGAGTCGCTTACTTACCATGTTTTTCATCAAAAGTAAAAGTCACTAAGAGTTAACAGTGCAACATGTACTTGAGACTACTGGAAAAACAGTTTTACATACAATGCATGTAAGGAAAGTAAAATATGCTTTGGTAAAAGATTTTAAGAAAGCATGGGAATGTGGATTTTTTGCTAAGTTTAGAGGTTTAAAGGATTGTTTTAAGTTAGGTAGGATAAAGCTGAAGGTTTAAGCAAGATGTGGAAGGTCTGTAAAAGATTAATCTTGTAAAAGAAATTCTATATGTAAACATATTGGCTACGGTTAAAGGGGTATTATTCAGTTTTTCTAAAATTGAACATTGGAATAAAAGCACAGCACCGTTTTCTTAGAGCCTTGTTCTGCTGGGTTTCTTTGTTTTTTGTTTTTTTTTTTGGAGATGGAGTTTTGCTCTGTTGCCCGGGCTGGAGTGCAATGGTATGATCTCAGCTCACTGCAACCTCCGCCTACTGGGTTCAAGTGATTCTCCTGCCTCAGCCTCCTGAGTAGCTAGGATTACAGGCATGCACCACTATGCCTGGCTAATTTTTGTATTTTTAGTAGAGTCGGGAGTTTGCCATGTTGGCCAGGCTGGTCTTGAACTCCTGAAATCAAGTGATCCTCCCACCTCGGCCTCCCAAAGTGCTGGGATTACAGGCATGAGCCACCATGCCTAGCCTTGGTCTGCTCTTTAACAGAAAATTGTAAAGGGTTACAAAAGGCTTAAGAGAATCTTACCTTATGGTCAAACTGATTAAGATTGGAAGATTTGTCTATAAAGTTTTATTAAGAACTGAGTTTGACATCAATAGTACACTAATGCAAAGGTCAAATCTGGCTTTCTTTAGACTGTTTTTATATAAATGTATTATTGGTATATGTTCTAAAGTTGTGCAAAACTTCTATAATTCTGATATGACTCAGTATACATTATCAGTAATAATTACAATTGTTATGTTAAATTATTGTGTATTAGAGAGGTAACAAATTTCCTTGTCAATTGTGTCTTTGACCGTGGCTGCCCTTAGATATTTGTCATCCATATGCCAATGTCTTGTTTTAATCCTCTTTAAAAGGTGGTTTTATAATCAGCTATAGGGTTAACTTCAGGTTTCTGATAACTTTGGAGATTGTGACATTAGAATAGAAGAAAAACTTTCTGGATTCTCGAGGAAAGTTGAAATGCTCATGAATATCAAGCAGAACAGGAGTTAATGGCATGGACTGAAGTAATAAAGACTGAAATAATCATTGTATGACTTTTTGTTTAAAATGTTGCTGATCCTTTGTGTGTTTTTCAGAGCCAAGAACACTTTTGAGCTATTTACAGCTTTTAACAAATCAGTAAAGTATACTCCCATACCCAAAATTTAAAGCATATTTGTTTCTCTCTACCTGATGTCTCCAGAATTTGGAAACTATTTGTGAGTATTCTTAAATTATGGCAATATAATTATTTGCATAAGTGCAATAACAATCTGTTTCCTTTTGCAATAGGACACAATTCAAGAAACTGGTTATTTTACCCAGGCTTTGACTGGCATGGTATAATTTCCTTTATGGAATCCAATTTGACTTACAGAGTGAATAAAAGCCCCTTGGGAAACCTAGCCTCATACCTTGTCTACACAGTTCCTGTACAGGGTCCTTGACCTGTGGTAAGTAAAGAATGTCACTTTCTGACAGGCCCAGAAGCCCCAGATTATCTTGGGACCCCAAGAGGAGAGGAATTTATCCTCTTTTTAAAGCTTTATGAAAGTCTGATCTAAGATGCCTTATGGAACAAAGTTCTATCAATGCCAGTTTAAAAAGGAGCCTATATGGCAAATAATTATTCTTGCTGCACAATCACAGGTTGTGCAGTGTGATTATTTATGCAAATAATCAGGCCAAGGAAATAAGACTAAAGCTTATTTTGCAAACAAATCAGTCCCATCATTATTTGTTTTTAATAAAAATGAGGACTGGAGAGAGAAAAATTATGTTTCAAAAACTATGGTACATTTATTATTAGATTCTAGTCTCGTGAGTTGTTTTTGAGTTTTTGTCTGCAATTTAGACTAACCCTGTTTATCCCTGTGAACCAACCAGTGATCACTGGCTGCAGCTCAGAACAAACAAAAGAGATAGGTAATGTAAAAATATAGATCTAGCTTTTCTTCCTCATCTAAGTTTTTGATTTACTAGACTATTTCTCTAACAACTTAAATCTTTTTGTTTGCAGTCCTCCTTTACTGCCTTCCTAATTAATTTCCATTTTCTACTCTTAATACTGCCTTCACAAGATTAATTTGAGTGATATTAGTATGATTAGAATTTGTCCAACCTACTGACAACTTTTTAACAATGAACTTTAGGTTTCACTGTGAGATTGAAACTAAAAAGATCTCTTAAGAAAAATGCCTGCTAAAATTTAGAACATTTGTCCTACCTTGACAATCTACCATTTTAAACTGATTCTAGATAGACAATCATTAAAAAATAGAGATTTCTCCTGCCTGCCTTTTCTTTTAAAAACCAAAATTTATTTGCTTCATGTATCTACTTCTTTATGTAGGTATTTAGAAATACACTTAAGGAAACTAGAGGGTAAGTCGTGGTTTCATTTATGCAAAATATAGCCTCTCTTGATTTTAAAAGTAGAGTTATAAATCAAAATTGAAACAAAAATTTATCACAGATTGGTATAAGAAATTTTACAAATTCTCCTTAGAGAAACCAAATCTAAAAACAGCTTTAGAGTTGAATTATGCTGTATTTCAACTCTCTTACCTCTGGTATTCAGTTTATATTAGTAAAATTTAAATAACTTTTCTAGACCCTGCAAATTAATGGTCTATATTAACCTAATACATTTTTAGAGAGAAATTTATCTTGCTGCTAAGCAGTGTGTTATACAACATGGTGAATGTTTACGTGTTGGAATTTTTTAATATGTAATTTTATAGCACCACAAATATTTTTTAAAGAGTCTGGAGACTTGCTCATTTTAAGAGAAAAAGTATTTTTTAGAAATGTTTTAAGTGTCTTTTGGCTGTTTTTAATCAACAAATTTAAACTACCATAGACTATTTAGCATGATAAAAATTTAATGCTACATGAATGAATCTTTAAAGTTATATTAGATTAGGCTAATCACACAAACAAAAAAATAAAATAAACTCCAAGAGAGACATGGTTGAAAATGCCTGCACTGTAAGTGTATACAAGGCTCCCTGTGCACAAGTGATAGTCCCCGGAAAGCAATAAAGATGAGTGTTTAGTCAACTCAATTGCAGTGAAATCGATTCTTAAACTGTAGGTTTTAAGCCATATATTTCAGAAAAACCAGAATGTAGAATGCAAAGCAGGAAACAGATCTTGAAATATGTAATAGGGATTTCATTCACATCCTTGTGCTCATATTTCTTAGAAGTTTAAGACACCTAGCTAAAAGTTTAGTGTCTTAAAAGTCATTATAATACCATCTCATATAATTCTGTAAGAAAAGCTGTTAAAAGACTCTGCAAAAGCAGGATAGCATATACTAGATTTGTGAACTTCCTGCAAGACAAAACTGCATGTTCTAGATTTGCCAAAATGTCAAGAAACAAGAACACTTATAAATGTGTTTATATATTAGATATATTTTTAAGCCAATCACTAGGCCAGGTTCTGAGAAAAGTGACCATGAACACAGTAGGCAAAGGCCTGACCTTATACGGAAATGAAAAGGATAATGAAACGGCCCCTCTGATTAAGTGCTGTAAAGTAATGAATGACAGCAGACATACAGGTGCAGTGGGAATCATGGCAAGAACTCCTGAACTGGACTGGAGGAATGGTTGGGATCCAGAAGGACTTCCTGGAGGAAGGGGAATGTAGGCTGATAGCTGAAGGATGAGTGTAAGTTAACAAGGTGAAGAGAAGAGGGAGGACTCTTTCAAGCAGAGGAAATAGCTTACGTGAAGACTTAGAGGTAAGAGAGAACATAGGGCCCCCGGCCCCCACAACTCAAAGTTCAACAGGGCTGGAACCTACACCCATTAGATTGTTGAGAGGCAAGCAATGAACCTGAAAATATATAGGTGGAAACTACAGGTGGAGCATACAAAGCAGACTACAAAACATCAAAAAATATTCACCTAAGGAGGACAAAAAGCCTTTAGAATTGATATTTCAAAGAGACTGCTATATGCATGATGGACTGGAGGAATGCAGGTGAGGTTAAGTGGATGGCTTGCAGAGGTTTGGTGGTGGAGACAGAATGAAGTTAATAAGGCTGGGGTGGATTTAGAGGTAGAATTGTCAAGGCCTGAAGAGAGACAGGTTATGCAGAGTGAGCAGTAGGAAAGAGTAAAGAATCAAGGTGATTCTCAGATGTCTGACTTAGACAGCTGGGTGCGTGGTGGTGCCAGTCACTAAGAAAAAAAAAAAAATCAAGGAAAGAGCAGTTTGAGTTTGGCATGTGGATAAGCTTTGTGCATGTTGAACTGGAGATACCTGTGAGCCTTCTAAGTAGTGATGTACAGAAACAGCTGAATCTGTGGATCTGGAGCTCAGGAGCAGAACCCAAAGGAGATGAAGATATGGGCATCATCAGATTATGGTTGGTGATTGAAATCTCAGGCATGAGTGATGCTCCCAAGAAAAATGTGTGCTGTGAGAAGATAGCTGACCTTGGAATAACCCTACAGAGCACTGTAAATGTGTGATGATCAGAGAAAGATGGTCCTGTGTCTAAGCCCAGACTTCCTATGGGGAGTGGTGGTGGGGCTGAGGGGTGTGCCATAGCAGGCAGTAAGAATAAGAGAAAAATAAAAGTGAGATAGGAAAGGCAGGAAATCAAATACATGGTGATGTGTTACATATTTTGCCACAGCCTCAAAAGAAACACAGTGTGGTGTTTTGGTTATGCAAGACATCTCCAAAGAGATTTTGTGTAACCACTGCCCTTGGAAATAGTCTCTTGGGCAGAGGAAGAGTGTGCAGTGTCTCTTCTGGCTCTCTCTTATTTGCTGCCTTTCATTGATCACTCCAGCTTCCTGTGCATTAGCTTTCCCGCATTTCTTGGTTGTGCTAACCAGCCCTTCTAGGCAGCCATCAAGAAAGCAGAAGCTTCTGTGGGAGTATTTAGCACTAATCCTGGTAGGAACTTCTAGTACTCCCTCCACAGTGGGCACAGCTGAGGCTTTCCAAAACTTAAATGCTGGGAGATCTGAGAGAGATGGCAGTGGGGAGAGATGCAGTCCTGGTGACAGGACCTGGAGTTTTGCAAATGATTAAATAATGTAGCTTTCATCTGGCCTCTCTAGCTAGGAGTCAAGGTGAATGGCTGAATCAATTTCTAAAATTACATAATGAATTTTTTAAAATGCAAAGTGAAATCAGGTCTAGTACATCCTGTAAGGAAAACTGAGAGGATAGAAAAGTGGAAGAAAGCAAAATGATGTCACAGATAGCAAGGAAAGAGTATGTCTACTGTTCCTGTCAAGTCAAACAAAATAAAAACTGTAGTAGATATGTATGGATTCCCATGCTTCTGAGAATGTAGCTTTCCTGTGGGGGAATAATGGCTCCTCTACTTTTAGTTCATTCAGTTTGGTTTGAGCAAACTCCACCCAATGGGTCTTACGGTGGCCCAGGTACAAGCATTCCACCTGTGAACCCCCAGCCACCCCACACACACTGAGCACAGTAGAGGCCTGTGAGTCAGTGAGGCCAATGGGACTCCATGCTAGGGATTTTGCTGGAACAACTGGTACACAGCTGGAAGTCTGGGAATTTCAAATTTTGTAAACCAATGAATAAATGTCCTTTCTTTGATTATACCAGTTTGAGTTGTTTTTTTTTTCTATTATTCTGCCATTTCTGTTCCTCCCAACTGCTACAGAGGCAGAGAAGTGTCCACTGGATTTAGTTACAGAGACGCTGTGGCCTCAGTGAGGATGGTGTCAGTGGAGTGGCGCTGGCAGAAATTGAGGTGATTCTGGCCAGGCACGGTGGCTCACACTTGTAATCCCAGCACTTTGGGAGGCCAAAGCTGGCAGATCACAAGGTCGGGAGTTCGAGACCAGCCTGGCCAACATGGCGAAACCCCATCTCTACTAAAAATACAAACATTACCCGGGCGTGGTGGTGGGTGCCTGTAATCCCAGCTACTCGGGAGGCTGAGGCAGGAGAATTGCTTGAACCCAGGAGGCAGAGGTTGCAGTGAGCTGAGATCGCACCACTGCACTCCAGCATGGATGACAGAGCAAGACTCCATCTCAAAAAAAAAAAAAAGAAGAAGAAGAAGAAGTTGGGGTGATTCTCACTACTGCTTTATCCTCTTTCTTCAACCCTTAAAATGTTGTTTTATCTACTTAAGAGGGGAGGACAATGATTAGAGAAGCAGAAATGACCAGCACAGACTGCATGTTACCTTTCTGCCTTTTGGTCTGGACCTCACCTGGCAGCTGGGGCTACCTCTTCCTGGGTGCCAAAGCACCTCCAGAACATAGCAGATGCCCATTAATTTTCAAAAGTTGCAAGGACTCAATCATAATGAAGAGGTTTGATCTGAATTTGTGTTTTTTTCAAGTGTCTAATTTTGTACCAGTTGCATAGATAACTTTTATTAAATACAAAAGATTCATTTGAGATGCCTGACCCACCTAGGCAAGGAGCAGCCCAGAGAAGGTACTAGATCTACAATTTCTACAGAAGACAGTGTCCTTCTGATGGCTGAAGAGGCTTATATTTTGGTCAAATTTTGAAAATCCGATTACTCTTAAGACTGTAGATGTAAAAATCTTCATATTAATTTTATGACTCATTCCTTCATCTCAACTCTTTTCCTTTAGGATGGCAAGAAATCTTTTACTCAAACCTCAGATTCCCCTCACAATATGTCTTGTATCTGCCCATTCTTTCCTATTCAAATCATATTCGCAGATTCAGGTGTTCATTAACTCTGGCCTAGAATAAAGAAACAACGTTCTAATTGGTCGTTGTGCCTCCAGTGCCTCCAGTCACTACCTGTTTTTATGCATCATTATACACATTACTAGTAGACTAATAATTGTATAATTTTATCAAATGTCTGAGCCTTGTTAAAGCAGAGGCACTGACCGTATACCTATAGAGTGTTTTTACTTGTGTTGTAGCATATATGATACCCAGTGTTTTATTACAATTAGTTGTAGACTATCTTAGATCATTTTGTGCTGCTATAACAGAATACCTAAGACGGAGTAATTGATAATGAACATAAATTTATTGGCTCACAGTTATGGGGGGCTGAGGAGTCCAAGATTGAGAGGCCAGTATCTGGCAAGGGCTTTCTTGCTGCAACATTCCATGGTGGAAGGGCACAAAGAGAGGGAGGAAAAGCAAGAAAGGGCCAAACACATTTACAACAAAACCCCTCTATAACAAAATCAATCCCAAGATAACAGCATTAATCCATTCAAGAGGGCAGAGCCCTCATGACCTAAGCACCTTTTAAAGGTCCCAACTCTCAACAGTATTGCATTGCATTAAACTATTGCATTGCACTACTGCATTAAAACTTAATCAGTTTTCTACACATGAACTTTTGAGGATACATTCAAATCATGGCATAGGTATTTGTGTCTTTATATTTATTTGTCAGTTTTCTTTAAAACATAGTAAATTTTTTGGAGGCTGCAGGATAATTCAATGAGCATCAACTCATGTATATGGCCAGAAGGCAATTAAGTGGAGATTTCCTTAAATGCTGGCATATGGCAGGTAGATATTGATTTCCAAGTTAGCTACTGGAAATGTGGTCTGAGACATGGCATCGGTTTACTTATTATTTACAGACTTGGTCAATATGGACCAAAATATCCGTCCTGTTTCTATATTTTTAATACATTCAATAATAATGTGATATAGAATTGATATGAGAACTAACAGTGATAACTAAAACATTCTTTTGGTGAATATTTTTTCTTTACCATGTACCTTTTTGCTTGGTATTTTTGCGGTATCTTGGTTGAGCCTTTATGCTTTTTCAAACTCAGAGAATATCTATAGTAAACAATCAAGTGCATATGTTTAAAATTAAAATGCTTTTGAATATATTTTCTGATTTCCCATCTGCACCTGCAAAAAAAATAAATTCTTTTCTGAAGGGAAAAGGAAATGTATTTACAAGGTTAATTTCTTGGGGGAAAAGTGGGGTTTTTAGAGCAACTTTAATTTATTTTTTTCTTCAATAAAATAAAACTAAAATAAAAAATAATTTAGTTTTTATTTTTCTTCAACTTACAGCTTATGATTTAATTTTATTCACATTTTATATTCAGATTTGCATGATAAAGAGATGCTATGTCATTTTTAAACACCTCTTCATCATCTGAAATGCTGAAGAAAGAGAACTAAGGAATAAAATAGAGAAAGGATTTTAAAAATCTCATATTGGATCAATTTCTCTAATCCTCTAATATTCAGCACTAATTAGCAGTGGCACATAACTGTGTTTCTTGTAGAAGGTTTGAAATGAGTATTTATCACAATTTTCAGATTTTCATCTTAGCTCAATAATGTCATCTCATCCCTTTTTTCTTTCTTTCTTTCTTTCTTAAATAGAATCACCTGTGTAATGGAAGTCGGGATCTTCAGTGTAAAGAATAAATATCCAAATTTTCTCTGAACAGAAGTCAGCATTAGCTTGGCTAGCATGTAATCCAAAAGCTCTCCTTTCAATTTTGATCCTGTAACTTTGTCAAAGACACTGCCAGACATATGTAGAACCAACATTACTGCCCAAGTGTGATAAAAGCTTTCTAGAAGGATAAGAAAAATTTCTCATCCAAAAATGTTAGGACACAAATAAAGCTCTAAAACCATCTTTTTCCCTTTTTGGTCAATCTATTTGCAAAATGTATCTGAGAACATTTAAAAGATGTGGGCTATTTGGAAGAATGAGCAGTGGCTCAGTGTGTGCCAAGCCCTTATTCCTTGTGTGGAGTTACCCCATAGAAGTGAGTGAATGTGAAGAATGGCACTACCATTTGGGAAGCAATTCCTATTTGCCACATCTCCACTAAGCACTTTACACACATTACTTTCTTATGTTATTCTTCCTAACACATTGAAGGATGACCATTGTACATTTTTTTAAGAGATGAAAATTGAATCACGGTTTCATTACAAGAAATTTAGGTCAAATGCAAAGGATCACAATTTAGAATATCTTCAGATTTTTCAAAAGTTAATGTAAAAGATAGCTGTGGAAAGATACTTTCAAAATTTGGCAGGCAAAATATCCCTTACTCAGATTACATACCCAGGCAAACTATGAATCAGGTGAGAACAGAATAAGGACATTTTCAAGCAAGAGTGGTAAAATGACAACAAAAATAAACAAAAGTCCCACCATTTCTTAAAAGGCTGTGGTCCAACAAAAAGATAAAATGGAAAAGGAAAAGAAAAGGAGAAACTTATGGGCTACAGAAAACAGAATATAGAAAAAAAAAAAAGGAAGATATTTCTCCACCCCTCTTGAATCTGGACTGGCTGTGATTGTCTTAGGACAATGAAATGGTGACAAAAGTAACACAAGTGGAAGCTTTGAAGGGTTTGCATGCTAGAGCTTCCTCCATACTGTTCGTAGGAGCCCTGCCATCTCGCTGTGTAGAAAAGTCTGAGCTTGACTGCCAGGTAATGAAAAACACATGGCCCAGTCATGGCCCCAATTAACCTGCCCAGCCAGTTAACTCCAAAAGCAAAGTTTTTAGCTCAAATGCACTCAGACACATGAGTGAATGCAACAAAAGACCAGCAAAAAACCACTTGGCTGAGCACAGCTCAAACTGCTGACCCACAAAATTGTAATAGTGATGGTTGTTTAAAGCAGCCACGTTTTGCAGTAGCTTTTATGCTAGAAGAGCTAACTGATAATAAAATTGGAAATCCAATGTGGCCTGCTATCAAAAGAAAACTTGAAATATATGTCACTGGCTTTGAGACCAGGCAACAGACAGAAGCTGAAAAAGCAGTGAAGAAGTTATTTGCAAAGTTTGGCAAATGGTGAGTGGAGTTCTACAGGAGCAAAACAATTGGCAGAACTTACAGCTGCAGCAACTCTGAAAAGTGCAAGCACCCAATACATTTTCAGATTTGCTAAGGAGACCACCAGCCAGAATCTTGAAAGTGCTATTTCAATTCTCTTATGATAAGAGGCAGGAAGAAAGAGATGAGTTAAAGAAAAAATTGTTTCATTTATATGCAGAATTTAGAAAGAATATAGAAGGCTCAGCATTTACTGGGTTAGAAAATAAAATCTCATGTTCTGCCTCTTCAATTAGTAAAACATTCTTAATGGTAAATATCAAATCAAAAGTGTGTCTGCAGGCCGGTGTGGTGGCTCACTGTAATCCCAGCACTTTGGGAGGCCAATGGGAGCGGATTACTGGAGGCCAGGAGTTCAAGACTAGTCTGGTGAAAGGGCTTCTTTTTTTTTGAGACAGAGTCTCGCTTTGTCTCCCAGGCTGGAGTGCAGTGGTGCCATCTCAGCTCACTGCAAGCTCCGCCTCCCAGGTTCACACCATTCTCCTGCCTCAGCCTCCCGAGTAGCTGGGACTACAGGCAAAAATACAAAAATTACCTGGGTGTGATGGCGGGCACCTGTAGTCCCAGCCACTTGGGAGGCTGAGGTATAAGAATCACTTGAACTCATGAGGCAGAAGTTGCAGTGAGCCAAGATCATGCTACTGCACTCCAGCTTGGGTGACAGAGTGAGACTCTGTCTCAAATAAATAAATAAATATAAATACAAGTGTGACTGAAAAGCCAATTGTAAGACCTCTAAAATATTTAGAGTAGTGCTAGAAATACCTTTCAACTAAATGAAAGGACTTCTGAGAAACTTATCGAAGCAAAAGAGCTACTACATTTGACCTAAAGGGACTGAAATTATTCACATTTCAGAAAGGATCTCTGAGATCCCAAAATTCCACTTGAAGAAAGCAGATTTAGACAGCTGCTCTCCTGCAAAATGGGCCTTTTTTTTTAATAAGGAGAAAATGACATTTCCCAAAAGGTACCATAAGCCCAAGAGATGGAGCCAACAGCCATGAATTAGCAATAGATTAGGAAGCCATTAATCTTGAATTAGCAATAGATTAGGAAGCAACAGATTGGAAGACCATTCCCAGGGAGCAGAAAAGCTCTAATTAAGGAACATCTGCTGCCAATAGAGCAAGGAATTTGGCATATTTATCTTGCAGGATTTCAAAATTCTTATGAACCAGTGAATGCCTGTTTTGATTGAGAGTGTCTATTATGGAATGTTATAACTATATGGTAGAGTATGGCACAGCATGATTTGTATGGGGTATCTATATGCATACAGAGAGTGTGTGTGGTAGGGAGCATATACCTTCTCTTAATTCATTAGTATCTGGATATAAAGGATGCATATCTGAGGGGGTACTGAGACCCTGGACTTTTGGGGGATCTAAATTAGGGAGCATTTCTTACAAGTGAGAGTAATATAAGTTATTGTGGCCAGAAAGTAGACTGTGGTAGATGGCAAAAATATCCACAATGCTTTGTACCTCTGCCATCAAATGTTGAATCTTCCTCTACCTCCATGGGTCTGGTCTGATCTTGTAACTTGTTTTGGCTAATGGAATACAAATAAATATTATGCAGGCAAATAATGGAAATAGTGCATGTGCATTGGGGATTCTTCTCTTGCTGCTTTTGAGTCTGCATGAAGAAATCTGAGCTAGACTACTGGTTAATCAGAAATGTGTGGTACAATCACCACCTTTGCCCCAGCTGAACCGTCAGCCCCAGGAAGCCCTAGAAGCTGAAACATCTAGCTGACAGGCAGCTACTGAAGATATATACATAAGTCAGAGATCTCAGAGAAAGCCAGCAAAAGAACCACCCAGCTGAGCCCAGACCAATTTGCTGATTCATGGGCCATAAGCTAAATAAATGACTGATCTGTGGTAATTTGTTACTTGATTGCTAACTGATAAACTCACCACACAGCAATTGGCTTATGAACCATTTATTCTACAGTTTAGAAAGTAACACATTACTCACTCACTCCTCTCCTTTATGCTTACTGGCAACACTTTAATTTGAACCTGCCCCAGTTTCAATGGGCATATTTTTAAGTGCCAGGATATACTGCATATTTATGCTGGAGCTTGTCTGTGGTTCTTCAATGCCTTTAAAATAAAAAGTAGTAATGCCTTGATAGGCAGATAAAAATTCAGAATCCAAATCTATTTGAAAGACAAATTTCCGTGTGTTCCCTCCTCTGTGAGGATATTCATCATTATTCCATCCCCTCACATCTGTTGTGCTTAAAAATCATTTCAATCTGTGTGGAATCTCTTTGACAATGGACTTCACTATGCCAAGATCACAAAATTAAATTAGTACTACAGCCAAGAGTTAACCTGAGGCGCATTCATTCCACTTAACCTCTCCATCCCTAGTGATTTACATAAATGTCTCTCCCACCCCCATGAGTGACAGTGACCTGTTTTGTGAGGCTCTGCCTTCATGCCACCTCCTGTTCTAATAATGGGAGGCTGGAGATACACAGACTTGGGTTTAGATATTTGCTCTGGCACTTACGTGTTTTGTGTCAGCATGATTATATGTACCTCATTATATTTTATAAGGATTAAATGAGATAATCCATGAGAAATACCTTAGGACCTTCCATGTATTAAACTCTCTATTTTTTTAAAAAAAAAATATTAATGTGACTGACAGGTACATAACACCTCTGCTTTTTCTGTCATTGTAACAAGGAGTTTATAAGGCTGAGGTGCTCCATCAGGGTTCATTGCACTGGATAAAGATGAGGGCTGCTTCTTGGTCATTGTGTAATCTCTTTAGCATATGCTATTATTTGGTTGAAGGGTGAGAACAGATTTGACCATGCAGTAGGTTGCATCCTCTCTGTGTAGCTGAACATAAGGGGGAGGTCTGCCTGTTTAGCTTACATGGAGCCATTCCTGAGAGAGCATCATGCTCTGGGAGGCAGCAGGGCTTTCTGGGTTGAGCACAGGAGCAGGAATCATGGGACTCGAGCTTCAAGCTGCCAAGTTTTAGTGCTAATTTGATCAGTGACCTTGTGCAAACCACTTCCCTCCTTTTCTTTTTATTAGAGAAAAATAATTGATCTGATGACCACATCACAAAGATGTAGTGAAGGTGAATGTAGACTATCTGGAGCAGCTTCAGAGGGAAAAACCACAGAGTGCATAATTAGTTTTATAATCTATAATTAACTCTATAAATAGTGAAGAGGTATCCACACCTGAATTATACAATTAAAAATTAGACTTTTATCTTTCTAAGGAAAATTAAGACCAATTACTTGGTAATATTAGTAGAGTTGACAAACTGAAAATAAAGATCATGGCCTGAACACAGCCTTAATGCATCTGGACTCTGTAGATAAGATGAGCTCCTAGAGGAGACTGTAACATGCACATCTGAAGGCAAATGATGGTCAGATAAACATCAGCAAGATGTTAGAATAGAATTCTCCAAAATTCATCCCACTGCAGAAACATCAATTTGAATCACTATCCATGCACAAAAATATCTTCACAAGGTCTAGGGAAATGAGGTGAGAGATTACACACCTAGGTATAGCATGAAAAAAAGAAGAGACAGAAGATACCCAACATTTGAAGGAAAGAGAGATAAGTTAGCACTGACCTTTGCTTCAGACCCCAACACTGGATCCACCCCAGTAAAACCCAGCACTGGGCATGCGCCCACAGCCCCAGGCTCTAGGTCAGTATCTGTAGACTGAGCATCCAAGCCTGCTCTTATGCCTTATGCCAGATCCCACAGCCTCAAGCTTCAGGCCTGCCTAGTAGACTCGGTCTCCATCTCCTTAATGCTGACCCTAGGCCAGCTCTCACATAGTAAGGTTCTAGGCCCAGCCTAGGCGATACCAGGCTAGCCCCAGCAGCCCTGGGCTCCAGACAACTCCAAGCCATGGGCTGGTCCCCATGATCCCAGCCTCCACAATCCTAGTCAACAGGCTGGCACCTATGGACCCAGCCAATAGGCCAGACCCTGCAGAAACAGAAAATAGGCCCATTCAGCACAAAACCAGACCCTGTGCCCCCAGGATTCAGGCATACCCTAGCACCAAGTCAACACTGCTGGCCTCTAATACCAGGTGGGCACCTGCAGATACAGTTTCCAGGCCTGCCCAGTGCCAGGCCAGTCCTCACAGACCCACTGTCCAGATTGGCCCCTGCAGCCTCACACATCAGCAGACCCAGTGTTCAGGATGGTCTTAGCAGACCCCAGGATTGATTGATCACCACAGACCCAGGCTGCAGGACTGCCCCTGTGTACCCAAGTTCTAGACTGGTTCCCAAGGACCCAGGACCAAGGCCAACACTTAAGGACCTAGCCTGCAGGCCAGCATTTGCAGATCCAGTCTCCAGGCCAGCACTAATGGACACAAGCTCCAGGTCAATCCCCACAACCCCATGCTACAGGCCAACCCCAGTGACTCCAGACACCAGGCAAGAACCTAAAATCCTAGGTTAGAGACCAGTCCATTTGGACCCACATTCTATGCCAGCTCCAGCACCAGGCCAGCCCAGGCCACAGGCCAGTCCCTGTGGCCCCTGACTTGAGAGGATTCAGAGGCCAGGCCTGCTCTAGGAGATCCAGGGCCCAAGCCCACCCAATACATCCAGTGCCAGGCTGGACCCTATGGACTGAGGCTCCAAGACCACCCCATGTGAAAGCAGGCTCCAAGCCAGCACATGTGGACTCAGGGCCCAGGTCCATTCCAGTGATCCCAGGCACTAGGCCCATCCCAGATCTTGGTCTGCCCCTGGAGACTCAGAATTAAGGCCCATCCCTGTACCAGTTTACTCCCTGTGAACCCAGGGTCCAGGCCATCCCCACACACTCAATTAACAGGTCCACCTTAGTGGATCCAGGCTTCAGCCTCAATTCTGCAGACTCAGACATCAGGCCACCCACCTGCTAAGTCAGGCTCAAGGTCAGCCTGATTGAGGACTCCAGCAGTAAACCCACCTTTGGACTATACCAGACAACCTGTTCAAAATCTCTGGGCAGGCTGACTGGTAAAGGGCTTTCCCAGACAAAGCCACTCTTCAAACACTGAAATAAGTCCCTGCTTCTTCCAAAAGTGTAGACATCAACATAAGGCAACAAGAAATATGAAAAACCAAGGAGACATAACACCACCAAAAGAACACAACAATCTCACAATAATTGACTCCAAAAGAAATGAAGATAAAAAAATGGCCTGATAGATAACTAAAAATAATTGTTTTAAGAAAGCTTAATAACCTGAAAAAAAATCAAACAATTAACTGAAATTAGAAAAAGAACAAATGACCAAAATAGGATATTTAACAGAGAGATTGAAATTATTTTTTAAAAAATTAAATAGAAATTCTGAAGCTGAAAAATACAATGAATGAAATTTTAAAATGCAATAGAGAGAATCAACAACAGAACTGATCAAGCAAAAGAAAGAATTTGGGAACATGAAAGATTGATTGAAAATATACAGTTAGAGGAGAAAAAAAGAATGAAAAAATGTGAAGAAAACTTATGGGATGTATAGGACAGCATCAAAAGGGCAAGTGTTATAGTAGTAAGAATATGTAAAAGAGAAAAGAAAGACAATGTAGAAACCTTTTTTAAAGAAATAAGAGTAGAAAACTTTCCAAATTTTGGAGAGGAATATAAATAGTACACTTATAGAAAGGTCAAAGTTCTCCAATCAAATTCAATCCAAACAAGACTATACAAAGTTTTAGTCAAGCTATCATGTTATAGTCAAGCTATCAAA
This sequence comes from Homo sapiens, assembly GCF_000001405.40. Taxonomy (NCBI): domain Eukaryota; kingdom Metazoa; phylum Chordata; class Mammalia; order Primates; family Hominidae; genus Homo; species Homo sapiens. Next base: position 61,885,598 of record NC_000008.11, on the reverse strand, counting down.
AACCAAGGACAAAGAGAAAATCCTGAAAGCAATGAGAAAAATGATGCAAATAATATTTAATGAAGTTCCAGTAAAGTAGAACGTAAAATTTCTCAGGAGAGATCTTATAGGCCAGGAGAAAGTGCGATGACGTATACAAAGTGATGAAGTAAAAATAATAATTAAACTGCCAACTAAGAACACTATATCCAAAAATAAGATAAATTTCTTCTTCATTTCTTCTTCAGAGGAAGATCATGGCTCGAACACAGCCTTAATGCATCTGGACTCTGTAGTAAGATAAAGCTTCTGGTGGAGACTGTGACAGGCACATCTGATGGCAAAAGATGATCAGATAAACATCAGCAAGATGTTAGAATAGAATTCTTCAGATTTCATCCCACTGCAGAAATTTTAAAATGCAATAGAGAGGATCAAGAGCAGAACTTATCAAGCAAAAGAACCCATTTGCGAATTTGGAAGATTGAATGTCTTCTTCAGAAATGAAGAAGACATCAAAACTCCCACAAAAGCAAAAGCTATTTTCTCTAGCTGATTCAATTCCTCCTCACCAGCCACCACTTCTCTAGGCTGAGACCAAGAGGGTGAGGGAGACGTAAACTTAGCAGTCTCCCAGGTTATTTCAAGTAGTTTACTGTTGCAGAGTCTCACTCTAACAGACCTGTTCCTCCCAACTTCTACCCTCTTGATTGCCCATATGGCTGTTAGCTGTAGGAAAAGCTTCTTACCCTCCTGATATCAGGATGAAGAAAGGGATCTTAGGTCTCATAGGAGGTCTTGGGCTCATCTCTTCTGTATCAAGTCTTTGATCCTCACCGTCTGCTGACTATGTATGCTAAAACCTGGTTTATCTAGTCTTAACTAAGGCATTCTGCCTGTGCTCCCGCTCAAATCTTGGCTTTTGTAGCTCCAGATGTGTTTGCTCAGCCAGGCCACATTCCTGGGAGGCCAGCACCTTTCATGGCTGAGTAGGCCTCTTTCCAACTCTCATCACTATATTTCACCCAGCAAGGTAATTGTGTGAGCTTTAAGAGACCTGTCCATCAAACCTTCTATTCAGGGTCACTTTACTAGTGCCAAAAGGAGCCCGTCTAAAACTCCCCAGTGCTTAAACCATCCCTTCTCTCATAGGAAGCAGTAACTGATGATCCTTTCTATGCTACACAAGAGTCCAGACTGGATAAAGAGCACTTACGCTGTCCCCTCCTTGCCCAGACATACTGAGCTGCCATATTTACACACTATGGTTTCTGCAAATCATGACCTTGGCCCTCAGTCTTACCATAAAACTAATGAGAGATGGTAAAATATACCTTGGTTCTCAGAATTTCCCACAATGTTCTTAGCATTCCCAGACTTCATCTTTCCCATTCACTAGCCACGGCTGACTTTTACAACATTTTTCTCTATTTCTTTGAAATAAGTATTTCTTTGAGACGTACCAACCACTCCTAAACTAGTTGTAACATAATCCTTGTTTCCACTGTTTTTATTCTCTTTCCCCTTAAAATTCTTTTTCTTTACTACTTTCCTCACAAGAGTCATCGTTTCCTTCTACCCTTCAGGTGGACCTGGTATACAATAGTCTTAAAAGTCCACATATCCAGTCTTCAGATTGAAGAGTATACACACACAGCTAATATTTAATGGGCTGGGCTCTCTTCTTCATGCTGGAGATAGAGCAGTCAACAGAGCACTCAAAGCTCCTGCCTTCATAGAGCATGTCTTCTAGTAGATAACCAAACATGTATTTATTTTTATTGATCAAATAATGGAAATTATTATCCCCTACATTTCTGTAAAATGTGCTAAGCACTGAAAAACATGTGTACGTATGTTTGGAGGAATGCTCAGTAATGGATAACTCTTGCCTTCAAAGAATTTCTATATTCAACTATGGAAACCAGAAATAAATAGACTGATACACTGATAGATCCATAGATAAAGACAAAGGTATCAGAATTTTAATAGTTATGTGGAGCAATATGCAGGTGCCTAAAGGGAATTGCAATTAGTAGAAATAGAATGAGTTTCTGATATTTTGATACTTCCCTTCACTTCACTATACCCTATGTACACTATATTAGACACTATATACCTACATACTCCACTTTCCCTCCTTTTATAATGGATGAATTTCCTTTGTCCTTGTTTCAGGCCAGCTCCCTGACTTTTCTGATGGATTCCATTCTGTTACCGAGTCCAAGGCCATTGCTTCTATGATCATGGTCCGTCTTCATAAGTTATCTTTTTTTGTTTCTTTTTATTGCATTTCTGTGAGCACAGAAAAGCAACACGGTAGCTCCTATCTTAGACAAATAAACGACTTAATGTCAGAGTGTCACAGAATTCAGTCCTGGGTGCCCTTCTCTTACTACACTCAAGCCCAAAAGTGATTTTATCCAGCATTTGGTGTTGAATGCTGTCTATAGGTTGTTGACTCCAAAGCATGCATCTCTAAGCTCAGCTCTTCCCTGAGCTCTAGAGTTGGGCATCCTTATTTAGGTATCTCATAAGACAGCCGGAAATGAACATGTTCAAAATAGAATTTGTCATTTTTTTCCCACTGGCTCTCTCTTGGTGTATTAGGAGATTCTTGGTCAGAATTCCCATTGTTAGGATTAAAATCCTTTAATTTACACCATGTACTTAAATGCTGATTTTTTCCTTACCTGGGAAAAAGTTGAAAAGAACAAACTGTGACCTTTGATTAAAAGAAGATTCACCATAAAATAAATGAAGCTTAAGCTTCAGGTCACCACACTGCACAGGCCCTTTTCAAGGTGTTGGGAAGGTCCATGTGCTTTTGTAAAATTTCTAAGAGTCCAATATTTTAACTATGTTAGATTTAGAACTCTGTTGCATTGCATTCATACTTCCTCTTAGTAACATTTCCTCTCATGGCATGAGAGAAGGTGCTGGTCTATGGGGAAGTTGAGGTGGTGATACAATGATTGTGGTTGAATGGCATTTATTTATGTAGTTCACAGACATTTCTGAGTTCTGTTAAATTATTATGTTCTTTCAAGATAGAAATTACTTCCAGAATTTTTCCCCTTTGCCTGAAATACTCTTCGCCCTCATTATCTTACTGTCTTTCTCTAGCAAATTTCCTTTCCTGAAGGAGGTCTCCCCTGACAAGAATTACACAAGGGTTTCCCTCCCCTTACATTGTTTTATTTTTTTCATCACAGTATATCTATCACAAATAATAACACTCTTTTTTTGTTCAGTTTTGTCTCCTTCACTAGAAATTAAACTTCCAGAGGTCATGGTGTTTGTCTTTTTCCTTGGTATGTTCCCAATATTTTACAATCAGCCAAGCCTGAGTAAATAATTAATGAATGAACAAAATTATATCCTTAAGTATTTTATAGTGTAAATTTTAATAATTCCTAAAATAAAAACCTAGTGGAATAACTGGCAAGATGGCAAAATAGAAGTTTGCAGCTCTTATCTTCCCAACAAACATCAATTTCGACAACTATACAAGGATGAGAGTATTTTTGAGGGAGAATAGGAGGCCAGTAGAGAGATGCCAGCACCCTATAGGTGTCTATTCTAATCTATGAATAGACACATTGAAGAGGGTAAGAGAACAGTTTCACTATATCCTCATCACCCCTCCACCAAAGCAGCACAGCTCAGTGCTGTGCCAGGAGACCCTCTTTGCCTTTAATTTATCTCACAGGGGAAAGTGAGAGTATAATGAGCACCCTGTCTCCCTAGCCATTTGGGACACTACCGAGGAGGCCAACATCTGTCTTATCACACCCAGAAAACTGAGAGAATTGGGATTACTCAATAGTTTGCAGGCAGCTAGGAGAAGAAAAACTGAATAGGCACTCAGAGCAATGGAGCACAGAACTCAATAAAGTGTTGTGATTTTTACAAACCACTTCGCAAACTCCACCAAGAGTCCAGACCACCAACCTCATAACGCAGGTTAACTGCAGACCCCTAGGTGGTCCACATGTGTCCCTAGCACTCTACGTGCCCCTCCTTTTCATAAGCACCACCTTCTGTGCTCCCCTGAAGAAAGTACATGTGAGTCTACAAAAATCATACACAATACACAGACACCCAGATCAAACTCTACTTAACTCGGGAAAAGCATCTGACTTTGAACTCTTCAGGGCACTTCCCCAGGGGAAAAAAAAAAAAAAAAATGGCTTTGTGGGATGGAGATAAGGCATATGATACCAATACTTTCTCCCCAAAAGGGATAAAGAAAAATGGAGTGGGGCATCCACAGAAAAGATCTGAGAGACCCCCACAATGCCTAACTGGGATGACTGATGAAGATTTTTCACTCTCAAAGCCAGTCAGTAAAAACTGAATGAAGTGATTGTTTCTTGAAATGCAAAGAAGGCAACTCAAGATTTCAAGAAACAACAACAACAACAAAATTTCACATGACACCACCAAAGAAATGCAATAATGTTTTAATAACTGACCCCAAAGAAATATACATCTACAAATTACCTGACAAATAATTCAAAATAATGGCTTTAAGGAAGCTTAGCAAGCTCCAAGAGAACACAGACAACTCAGTGTTATCACCAAAACAATACACGAACAAATGAGACATTCAACTAATACATACAAATAAAAAAGATACGAACAGTAATTCTGGATCTGACGACTACAATGAATAGAATCCAAAATGGAGCAGAGAGCTTCAAAGGAAGCTTTCAAACATCTCAATACTAGCTCTTTACCCAATCAAGCAAAAGAAAAAAATCTATGAACTCAAAGACAGGTTACTTGAAATAATCCACTCAAATGAAAAAAAAAAATCGAAGAGTGTGGAAATAAAACCCTATGTGGTTTGTGGGATACCATCAAATGAACCAATGCATGTATTTGGAAATTCCAAGAAAGGAGCAGAAATCTTTTTTAAAGAAATAATGGCTAAAAAAATCTCAAACGCCCAGCTATTTTTTGTATTATTAGTAGAATCGGGGTTTCACCATGTTGGCCCAGCTGGTCTCAAGCTCCTGACCTCAGTTGATCTGCCCACCTCGGACTCCCAAAGTGCTGAGATTACAGGAATGAGCCACCATGCCTGACAGAGCTTTTTTTAAATCAGTATTTTGAATTCTTTATCTTGAATTTTGAAAATTTCTTTGTGATTAAGATTTATTGCTGGAAAATTATTGTATTCCTTTGGAGGTGTCATATTTTCTTGTTTTTCATGCTTCCTGTGTCCATACATTGATATCTGTGCATCTGGTGTAATAGTCAGTTTCCCTATTTTTTAATTTACTTTCATAGGGGAGGACTTCTTCCTAAAAAATGTATGCCCCACAAAAGACTTATTTCAGGGCTAATTCCATTTGCAAGCCCTCTGAATAGCCATCTCAAAATATGCTGAAGAAGGATATTTTGGCATGAAATATTTTTATTTCCTTCAACTTCATGACCTCATTTACATGTGGCATCTTAAGAAGTTAAACTCACAAAAGTTGACATTAAAATGGTGATTACCAGGAGCTGGGGCTTAAAAGGTGCAAAGTTCTTGATCTACCAGATCAATAAGACTATAGTTAATAATATTGTATTACATTCTTGAAATTTGCTAATATAATAGTTCTTACATGTTCTCACCACAAATAGGAAATTATAACTATGTGAGCTGAAGAATATATTTATTATTTTGATTTCTGTAATCATTTCATGATGATATACATATTAAAACTTCATGTTGTACAACTGAAATTTATATAATTTTATTTGTCAATTATACCTCAATAAAGCTGGAAATAAATATCTATTTGAAATTTGCAATAAAATACAGAAATTATATTTTCAAACTTACATATTAACTAGTTTGTGGGCTGTCAGAGAAGAACTTCAGACGAGAACTGTCTTACTTCCTGTCCTGTGTTATTTCTATCACTTGAGCTTCTTTCTCAGTAACATATTAAACAAAAATGTGTATATTAGAGATTCCATACATCTGTAAGATATCTAAACCAATAATTAAATTTATTGCTAAGTCAACACATGACCCTAATAGATATCGATATATGCAGTATAATTTGTTTAAAAATAAACATAGGAAAAGGAAGATGAGAGAATGGAGACTTTCAGTTTACTGTTATTTTTATTTTTTTAATTTTTAAATTAAAGGTACACAGCTGTTGATATCCATATTATTAATACCTATTTTTCAGTAAATCTACAGTTTCCTTTAATGTGTACATATAGTCATTATTTTTGTAGAATTGTTGTATAAAAGAAAAAAATAGTATAAGTGCCATAATTGTACATTACTTTTATACTCTATCTGCCTACAAATTTTAGATTGTGCTCCTCAATAGCAAGAAAGAGAAAAAGTTAAGAAGTGACATTTACTTTCTAACCTTAATCTTTAACTAATTCTATTTATGTCATAGTAGATTCTGAATTCATTTTAATGTAGCTATAATCTTTCTAAATTCATACTTTTTTATTTTAGGGAAATGTGTTGTCTTGTATATATTTTTGCAAAGACTATAATCATGCTGGCATGTACACAAACAAAACAAAAGATAGGGGAGAGAAAAGATACACATTGCAAAGCTATATCAAATGGCATAAGTGACTTCATGTTGTATTTTCCCTGGCTTCTTCTATTCCACCGGATGAATGACTGTCATTTTGCATTTATCAGTCTGAGGCAGTGACATGGTGAGGCCTGTATTGTGATGGATGAAACTGTCAGAACCTACCGAGTACTTAGATATTGCACCAGTGAATTATATTTACAAAGGGCTGCTTTATAGAAAAGTGTGATTGCTCTCTTCTATGACTATTCTTTGCGGTGTTAAGGATATGCACTCATAGTCAAAGAACAATGATGCATTTTCCCTTTTATCAACCTATCATCTCTTTTGTGCCTCTTAGCTATCATTGAAGCAAACCCCAAAGCTTTTGTCCATGAGCTTTTAGTCTAAGGATGAAATATTTTTTCTTCACTTAACTTCAAACAATCAATATAGCAAAGGCAAGGCACTTGGAAATCAAGTTTATCATGCCATATTTTGTAGATGGGAAGAATAAACCACCATAGCTGACTAGAAAACTAGCCTTATGAAGACTTGGAATAAATACACTGCCTCATTTTTTCTCAGTGTGCTATATCCAATAGAAGCATTTTTAATGAATAAACTAACTTCATCCATCTTGTCAAGGGTGGATTCAAGAAGTCTATCTTTTGCTCTTAGGATGGCTGTATGAGTGGCAGAATACGACACATACGCTTGCAATCTCAAGCTTTTTCCTCCTACTATATTCCAAGGAGTTACACAGCATGATCATCAATATTATCTCTAAGAAATTTCTTTCCCAATATTGTGCCTAGAAGAGTAGTGGCATTTTACACTTCAGTTGTATATTTATAGAAACATTTTAATCTTTTGACCAGCTTAAACAAAATGATAGTAATCATGTTGCTTACTCCTTTAACAACATATGTCTATAAGAAGAGCAACAAATTACTGTGAATCCTTGTACTACAGATAATATAGTTGCCAGTTGTGCCATTTTGTCTGGATAGAGTGCATGGTTCTTTCTAATATTACCCTGATTTCCTTTGGGAAGAGTAACTCTAAGTGTCTGCTTTTCACTGCAGAAGCACAAGCACAAATAAAACAGATCTTTTCTTTCCCTGCACATTTCCACTATTTGACCAAATGATCCCTACCTCCTGGGAATTTTCATCTTAACCAAGTTAGGTGGTGGGAGGGGGAGGTTGAAGGTATTTCATCATTCTTATAGACAGTGGGGATTCCTGCCCAGGCTGTTAATGGTTAGAGACGGTTATTGTGCTTCCTGTTTCCTGTTTCCTGTTATATGCTTGTATGTTTCCTTCTGTTTCTCTATTGGCTTCTTCCTGTATTCAAACCTGGTATGTTACTTCATATTAATTCTATGAGACCCCACATATGCGATCACACACACACACACACACACACACACCCCTACAAACACACACCAATATCCTTTCTCACAAGCAAATCCCTCTTGCTCAAGTCAGAGTTCATTTCTGGTTTTTGTGGCAAATAACCCTAACTGGTACTAAGTCATGATTCTAAATCTTATGGAAAAGTGGTAACCAAAATCCTAGTGGAATGTGTATTCGGCACAGTCTTCAAAAAGTGAATATTCACAGTTAAGTTTGTGAATAATGAAAGTGTGGTATGACAGGTGTTAGAGAGTACAAGAGTTCATGCAACATCTGAGAAATATAGTCATGTTTTCTTTGACACTTTCATTTTTATATAAACTGTTATAGTATGCTGCCTTCATTTTCAAAAATTTGAAATGTTGAATATGTGTGGTAAATATGTAGCAGGCTCAACCAAAATACATATTCTCTTAAATTCTTTTTTTCTCTTCTTTTCACTTCTTTTAGTAGTATTATAACACTTGTAGAATATCTTCTAAACTCTACTTCATTTTATAGAACTTGATTTATAAATAAATATCTTTTATCCTCTACTCATGGCCATAAAGTGTCAGGTAGAATGAGTTATACTCTTGAGACTAGGGCATTATGTTTCAAAATTAGCTGGAGTTGACCTTGCTTGTTCTAGTTTCTTTCCCTTACAGAACTTTGATCTTGTGTGCCTGAGAGCTATTGGATGAAGCAAGAAATGCTGACTCATGCTGAGTTGGCATGACATTAATGTATTATTCAGAAATTCAATTGATTTTAAAAAATTGAAAGGTTATTGGCCAAGAGGGCCAAGTACTTGCATCCTCTAAACACATTCTCCCCATATAAGCAAACTATAAGCACAGCAAAATTATTATCCAAATGTTGCCTTGTACATGTGGAACTGGGATGGGATGACCAGTTTTATGATTTAGATATTTGGTGACATCAAACTTTCAGAGGAAAATTCCTGCATCTTCTAAGCCTGGCCACCTTCTTTCTAGAACAAGGTTCAGGTAGGCACTGCTCAAGTGTGCCACAGTGACTCTATCTCTGCTTTTCTGAATAACTCATTTTTTAAATAAATATCTTCAATCAAATCTTTGGCACAGGAATTCTGTCAATTTGAAATATATTTGTATATTTTGGCCTATTATATATCAAAGCCAAACTAGTTGGGCAGAATCTTATTTTTTCTCTTATATACCATGTAAGCAGACTTTCTTACTAACATTTTCTTCTTAATTCATTAAGAGACTTATAACTAATTGATTGAGTGCCCACAGCTGGCAAAGTGTCAGACATTTGACCTGTATTATCTTACTTCAACATATGTGAGGCAAATAGTATGATTCTTAAGTTAGAGTAATGGAAACTTAAGCTCAAAGAGGTCGTGCAACTTGCTCAAGGTCAAATATCTAATTAGTAATAAACATAGGATTCAATATCATATTGCTATGAATTCAACACCAATGCCTTTTCAACATGTATTGACTAGGAGAACATATTAAGATGGGCTTTCTGTTCTCCTATTATTTCTAAAACTATTGCAGTGCCAAAGTCTTGATAGATGGAGAAAATTAAAATTCTTAATTGTGTTGATTATTATTGAAAGATGTTAGTTTATTATAGTATATATTTCCTTTGTGTCTGTATTGGGCAAGTCTCTGTGTTACATAGTGTAGAGTGAAAAACAAAACATATCATATTCTTAAGACAGGAAAATAAAAAAATGAAACTCAACAATATATAAGGAAGAGTGTTGTAAACTGAAAAGCACAGTAAAAATGTGAAATGATTTTTTAACTATCTGTAGCAATAGCCAACTAGTCATAACTACTAATCTTCCTGAAATTCTGTAAATTATAAAATATTTCACAATTCAACATTCTTTTTATGTATAAATAAATCAATATTTCCAAATTAACCTAATGGATATTGTTATGAAATGAATGTTATGTCCCTTCAAAATGCATATGCTGAAACTGCAACCCTCATTGTTGCTGTAGCTAGAGATAGGGCTTCTGTGAAAGTAATTAAGGTTAAATGAGTCATGAGAGTGACACCCTTATTCCACAGGATTAGAGGCCTTCTAAAAAGAGTTGCTTCGGAGCTCACTGTCTTTCAGCCATGGGAGAATATAGCAGGAAGGAAGCAGTCTTCAAGCAAAGAAAAGTGCCCGTGAAAGAAGAGCTGAACCCTGCTAGAATATTGATCTTGGACTTTCCAGCCTCCAGAACTGTGAGAAAATAAATTTATGTTGTTTAAACCATGTAATCTATAGTGTTTTGTTACAGTACCTTGAGCGACTAATACAGATATTAATGACTATAAAGTCAAATTTTATTGTACACCATAACTCTAACATTTTCGTTGACTCCTTTATTCTAGTGATCACTTTTATATCATACTAAAGTCAAATTATTTTTAAAATTCCCAAAGCATTATAGCTTGGTTTGGGTAGGCACTAGGAAAAATCAATTGCAGGCAGCCAGGCTTACAACATTTCCACCAGTGGTGGATCAGATGCCTACAACATCTCTGTGGGTAAACACTGAAGTCAGAGATCCTGAAAGGTTGCTGGGCTAGAACAGATGTGAACCTGAGCCAACAGCTATCGTTCCCCCTCCCTCACTCATAAAAAGCTGTGAGGTACACTTTCAGGACCACTAGGCAATGGTGATACAGGAGGTGATGGTGACCTGTAGGAAGTTCCCCATGGGAACAGGTGATCACATCATCTCAGCTTCATCAAATATACCTAGCATCATTAATAGACCACAATCAGAATTGTGCTTTTTACTTAGACCATTTTCAACCCAAATTGCTCTTCCTGTTCACTCAATAGGCATTTGCTGTGCAAGATGACACAGGAAATTGCTTTGTTGAAAAATCATCAGACTCAGACCCTCATGGTAAGGTGCTTTAAGTCTATTAGGTAATGGATATATACATCACAAATACAATACACAACAAAGAGTTAAAAATGTTGTAATTAGGGAGCACAGAGAAGGAAAGCCCAATGTGCATCAGAAATCACTTTCTCTGAACCTATTTGAGCAAATGTCACAGCCACTTTCCCACTCTCAGGGGCTGGGTTAATTTGAACATAAGATCAGTTCACAACATGGATTAAGTTCATTAGGTCATCACCATAGTCCATTTGGTATTGGGATGATTCTGTTCAAGATACTGCAGAAGGTTGTGTGCTTTGTACACTGACTAATGTGAAAAAGCCTCAGGACATTTCAAGAAAAATGCTCAAAAGAACACATTTTGTGCCTAATGCATTTCCTACATCTCACAGGTCCCAGGGTGCAGACTCAGTGACACTAATGGGAGCTTTTATCCCCCACTTCCACTGCACACCATACATTGCATTGGCAGGTGTAATGCTGAGTACATTTCTTGGGTAGTTACATTCAAACATACTTCTGGGGCTTGTTATTCTGTTTTTGTTTTTAAATGAAAAGAGAAATCGTTTGACATTTTTTTCTTTTGCCTTCTATAATAGCTTTATTTACTTTAAAGTATCCACAAACAAAAATTCCTTTTCTTGCTGCTATGGAAATTATACTCTGAACAAGCATCCCAAGCAGTAGAGAAGTCTCTCTGATATCTGCATGAGGGGAAAAATAGGGAGCTAACATTTACTAATTGCCTCTTATACACCAGTTTTAGTATCTTCACACAGGAAATATACTGACCAGGTCCTTTGGTTCTTAATCCTCTGTTTACAGTCTCTGGACTGGGACCTAAGACATGCCTTAGAGATTTTCCCCAAAATGACCCCTAGCTGACATGGCCTATGGTGCTGGCCTGTGCCTCCTTGACATAGCTGACCTAGGTCAATGTCTTAGTCTTTCTGTGCTCTTATAACAAAATATCTTAGACCAGCCAATATATGAATATAAGAAATTTATTTCTTACAGTCCTGGAGGCTGGGAAGTCCAAGGTCAAAGCGTCAGCAGGTTTGGTGTCTGATGAGGAACCAGTCTCTGCTTCCAAGATGGTGCCTTGAATGCCGGCACATGGCAGAAGAGACAGAAGGGCACAAGGGGCCTGGCCAGTGCCTCCCAACCCATTTATAAGTCACCAATCCCATTCATGAAGGTTCCACCCTCATGACTTAATCATCTCCTTAAGCCACTCCTCTTAATACTATCACATTGGGGCTTGAGCTTCAATGTGAATTTTGAAGAAGACACAAACATTCAAACCATAGCAGCCTCTGATTCACCTGACTTGCAGTATATGCCAGTCACATTCTTGACTATGATATCTCATAGCCTGAGGGATCAGACTGCAAATTTGCAACTAAACTGTGCCTTTGTCTGAGCAGTGTTATCAATTATTAGGTTAACACGAGCTCTATAATTTAAGTAGAAAAATATGAGCCTAATATGTATTTCTGTTATACGTTATGTACCACATGAACAAGACTTTGAGACAGAGATTTACTGCACTAAGTTGATTAGGAAATACATTCAGAATCAACACTCCTAAGAGAAAGAAGGAAGCAAAATTAGTCATAAAATATCTTAATTTTCTGTTGCTGCCATAACAGATTACCACAAACTTTGTAGCTTAAAACAAAACTCATTTCTAACCTTACCTGTAGTTTAGAAGTCCAACATGAGTCTCACTGAAGTGAAATCAAGATGTCTTCCAGGATCAGTTTCCTTCTGAAAACTAGGGGAGAATCCCTTTCTTTGCATTTTCCAGCTTCTAGAGATTTCCCACCTTGGTTCCTCTGCCTTTCCTCCATCTTCAAATCCAGGAATGACATGTTGAGTCTCTCTCAGGTTTTATCATTTTATCTCCTCTTCTGATTCCCTTTCACTTTTAAGAACTCACTTTTAAGATTACATTGGGTTTATACAGATAATCTAGGATGATATCCCTATCTTGAAGTCAGCTGATTAGCAGCCCTAATTCTATGTGCAACTTTAACTCCCCTTTTCCATTTAACTTCATATATTCACAGATTCAAGAGGTTAGGACATGAATATCTTTAGGTGACCATCATTCTACCTACCACAGAGAATTGGAAGTAAATTCAGTTATCCTGCAGAGAAGATGACCCTTTAGAGCCATCCTGAATTGGGACCAGGGTAACAGGTCTTCTTAGCCCTCATGGACTAGTCCCGGGTGTGGGCTGCTCCTGGGAAAATGACATAATCTTGGGTAAGGCCGCTCTTTTCATTGGATGACAGCCCCAGAGAGAGGGATGCATCTGAGAGCTGCTAGTCCTTGTGCCATCAGCAGTGAGGGAAAGAACATTTCTGCCTTGAATGGTACTGGGAGGAATTTGAATCCACACCACAGTTTCACTAAATTAATGTAAAATTTGTCTCCCCATCTATAATTATGTGGCTGTAAATTAATGACACTGGTGGTACATACTAATGATTTGCTGCAGATAATGTGTTACATCAATGCTTTACCATGCCTCAGCTAAGTTTCCAAAATAACTGCGCAAACTCTACCTCAGAGATTACGTAGAGTTGAGGATATTAATTGACTTAAAACTTCATCATTCAATGTACTTGTCTTAATATCAAAACACAACAAGTTTCTTGGTTATTTTCAAAAAGTTTCAAAGTCTTTTTCCAGGATTTTGAATATTTTATAATTGTGACATCACATAATTTGAGTAATCAAGGCTCTATTGTAAGTGATACTGAGACACTAAGAAGTGCAGAAAAATCTCTGTGCCTCTGATCCTCAGATTTCTCATCTCTAAAATAGACATGCTTTGGTTTTGAAATGTAATATATAACATCAATTCCCTATATAGTACCTGGAAAAATAATAGCTGCTCAATAAATTGCAGCTAAATTAATAGATCTTACTGTGGTATTGTCCCAATTTTTTGTCTGCTCAACTAAAATAATGTAACTTAGAGGACAAAATGCTGTGTTATCCACCATTTTATACTGAATTCTTAGCACAACATCTGGCATATACAGCTGCTTAATGTTTGGTGGTTGGCTGCTGATTGGTCAGGTAGCTAACTGAATGATTGAATGAATATCATTTCCATTCCTAATTCCTTAGCTTGGCATTTCCTTAAGGGCCTTTTATTACGTCTTCTCAGTAGGATTTTCTAAATTTATCTGCCATTGCTACCCAATACAAGCTCTTTGTTTCAGCTGGAATGGTGTCTTCACTTTCTCCAATCTAAAAGTATTGTCATTAAATCAGACTCCACCTCTTACATGGTATAGGTATCCCCTCTTTCCCTCCCCCGTTGCAACCCAATCCAGGTATCAAGGCCCAGATCAAGTCTCACCTTCCCATGAAGACTTCCCACTTCACCGTTCTTCCCAGAAGTTTACCAATTTTGAATTCTCATTTTCCTACACATCTCAAAACTAATTTTACACTTTTATATAATAACTTGTGTTGTTTGTGTTTTATCTTGTCGATCACATGACCTCAGATGCTTCTAAGCTCTTTTAGGGCAGGCAGTGCATCTCATATCATCTTTCATCCATTCTGTTATGTGTTTTTTTCATATTTTAACAACTCTCAAATCAGAATGCATTTTACAGTAAATGGCAGTATACAATTATTATAGGCTCAAATTGCAGTGAGTTCTTGTAGACAGTAGATGAGTTGCTTCTGTCAGAAACTATCAATTTGAAACCACTTTAAACTTAGAGTGTATACTCAGAACATACACTGTAAGTTCTGTTACACTTACAGTGTAACAGTGTAAAGCTAGCACTAGCTTTAAATTTTTAGATGAGATTTGTTTTCCCTCCCTCATCCAGTGCCGAGATTGAGACAGGTGACTTCTCTTGTCCTTTTCTGCTTGTCAGGTTTATTTCTTGTTTGCCCTTACACCAAGTATGTAGTAGTTGCCTCAGCTTAATGTGGGGTTTCCTGCCACACCCCCTATATGAAGTACTCTCTTTCTTGGTTGTAAATAAAATAATCATCCAGGTTACCAAATGAAGGCATCCTGGTCGACGACATGTAATACTAGTTTGTGTTTCTTAAATGCATGGCGCGGTGTTATTTGAAGATTAATATATGTGTACTCAGTTGAGTTAAAGTCACTCTGGATGCTCTTTGCTTTCTTATTCCACTACCTACTTCTCTGTCAAATCTAGCCCCTTTTACTAATTTAGTCATTTGGATATAAAGTAAGGGGCCAGAATTAGTATACAGTACTACAGGTTACTTTTACAGTCCTTGAAATCAGACCTCCTGGGTTTGTAGATTGGATTTTTGTGCTTTCTAGCTCTACTACTTCAGATATATAGCTTAATCCCTTTAAATCTCAATTTTCTGATTTGCAAAATGGGAGCGACAAGGATGAGGTGAAGATTAATTTAGAAACCCATGTAATGTGTTCAACCTAATTCCAGGGTCATTGTAATGCTCATTGATTATTAGTATATTTTTAGTCGAGTAATACATATAAATCCTCCTTGTATACCAAGATTTGACTGTGTCTCAGTCGGTGCCTCAGTATCTTCCTCCGAGTTGTGTGGTAGTAATGGTACTGACCTTCTAGGGCTGGTGTGAACAGTAAGTGGGATAATACATTCTGAATGCTTGGCACACTTCGTAGCACATGTGTTACACCTCTATGCGTTGTCTTCTATCCTCCCTACCACAGCCATATGAAACTGGTACTATTGTTACCCCCTAATTTATAGACCAGAGTCTAAATAAATTGTTTAAGTGAACACAATTAGTGTTGTCTCAGTAAGAAATCAAGCTCAGGTCTGTCTGAGATTAGAGTTTGATAGCTCCGTCTTTTACCATCTGCCAATGGAAAGTAACTGGGAAACGTGCCTTGCCATTTTAAGCTTTCCCCACTGCACAGACCCTAAATGTGCGCACTCTCTGTCAAACACGAACATAAAAGGAGGCATTGGAAGTGACATGGAGTCATTTTTCTAGCCGAGAAAAGGGTGATGTTAGAAATATGGTAGCAGTTAAAACTGAGAACATATGGATGTGATTTAACTGTGAATTTAGCAAGTCAAAGAAAATGAGAAAGCAATAAAGAGAAATTTTTAAGTAGAAATTTTTGTTTTCCCTGAGCTTTTATAACAAATGACTGATCAAATACCTCTTCACTCTGTCATCTCTACAGCCATGTCAATTGTGTGCAATAGCTGCATTTATCCATTTAAAGTGTCTTTTTATATTTTCAGTCATGATTAAAGTTTAGCAGACCTTCTTCAGTAAATGGTACTTTTCCTTCTTGATAAGATGATTTCTTTATCTGCTTAGCACCTTCTAATCTCACCAGAATGGAATAATTGCATGGAAATTTCTGTCCATCATGTCTTATCCTTAAGAATAGTAATGGAACATATTAGCAATTAACCTCTTAAAATTTATCAGGCAATAGGAAGCATTAAAAGATAATTAGTGAGTTGTCCAATCTCCTGAACTTCAAAATCAGTATAAAACCTTTAAAATGCCACATTGTAAAATAATCTTGAAGACTGCTATACTTTCCTACAGATAAATTGAGTTTTATATTTATAGAATTAATGGCTTTGAATTTGCATACTATTTCCTGTATAATTATATAGTAAACTCTAAATATAAGAACACTAGCTCACAGATAATTAGAGAATCTTATTTATCGAAGTTATTATTAACCACAAAATAAAGTTATTTTAGTGTATGAATAAGCTATTGTTTTCTGAAACTACAGGTTTATAATTTCATTCATTCACTGACCACATTTTGATTTAGCACCTAGGTTGTTCTAGGTAGTGGGACACAGCAATGAAAAAGACAGACAAGATCTCTATTCAAATGATGTCTATATTCTGGTGGTGGGATGCAGTCCTTCAACAGAACAATCAATAAGGAAAAATCAGATAACAAAAAATGTTCCCCAGAGAGTTAAAACAGAGAGAGGCCAGGTGGCAGCAGTCATGTTTTACATCTTTACTGACTGCCTGTTAGTACTATTGTGTGGAACCCTAAACAAAACCATAAACTGTGCCTTCCTGGAGCTTATAGTCTAGTCTAGCAGTTTTCTGTGTGTATAGAGGAAAAACATATGAGTGTAAAATGTCACATAAGAAAAATGTGAATAATTCTTAAAGAAAACAAATGTCTGAAAGATCACTTCAAAATGTGAGGAGAAGATGATGAGGTTTTATGGGAATAAAATGGTACTTCATGTGAATCTTGAAGGATGGGTAAGATTCCATAGGTGGATAATGATAAGGAAATGAGTAGAGATATTCAATGGAACCAATGAGAGTGAGCCAAGCAGTAGAGTAGAAGTGCTGGGGAGAAGGGCAGGGGTCTTGTTAGGTGAAGTACAGGGAGTGAGTGCAGATTTGTGGGATGTAGAGGGGCCACTGAAGAAGACATCTTAAAAATTGGTTTGCATTGTTCCACTTGACTGGATTGCCAGATATAAATTCCCACCTCCAAGTTCAAATACATAAAGGTTCAAATCAAATGATAGCTTCAATATATTCAACCACATTTATTAAGTGTCTAATCTATAACAGGCATATTTGTCAATGCTGGAAATGTGTCCTTGTCTTTTCTCAATTCCTTTAAGGATATACCTGTGATATTGCAATTATGCTTTGATATTATAATAGGCAAGGGGTCAGCACACTGTGTCTGTAAAGGGTGCGACATATCTCTAAATATTTTAGGCTTTGCAGGTCGTTTGTTCTCTGTCACAACTACTCAACTTCTTTGTCATATTATGAAAACAGCCACAGACAATACACAAATAAGTGTGTGTGGCTGTTTTCTAATAAAGCTTCATTTACGAAAGCAGGCAGTGGGCCCACCGACCTCTTAAATTGACTATAATCCTATGAATATAGAATTCCTGTGTGCTCACTTATTGTGGAGTGGATTTTATACAGTGGTCACTCAATTAAAATTAGAACAGAACAAATACTTGACAATACTTTATATCTTATAAGAAATCATTAACAGTCTCTTCCAAACTCAGTCTACCTACCCATAATAACCAATCACCAAATAGCTCATTAGATTAGTACATTGTCGATTCAGGTCATTTATTAAAATCTTCCAAATAACTAGACTGAATATTTTGTATCTCAAACATTTCCAACATGTTCACAATCATTATTAGTGTAACTGCATAGTAATTCAACTATTTATTCCCAAAATATCTTAAAATTATTTGACTAAAATGGTATGCTTTTTTAGTTGTTTATTTTCCCCCTATTAATTCAAACATTGAGAATTTTGGAAAATAATTAAGAGTTTACATTATCATGTCATCATAACATATGAATGTTTGCTTATACTATATTTAATGAATAGGTCAACATTCTAATTAATAATAGTGGTAAAGGATGGGAGACTGGGGTCAGGGCCAGAGAAACCAAGGTGATTTTTGAGGAAGCAGGGAAGATATCACTAGGAAGGGAGACCTCCCTGGAAGCCATAGTGAGTGATCCACTGGTTCAGATCTCTCAACCGGTTCAGAAGCTGTGCTGACCATTCAGGGCTGGGCAAGGACAAACAATCAGAAACTACAACGCCCAGGAAAACAGCTGAAAAGAGATCATCAGCCAGCACTGCAGGGGCCTCATAAAGCAGGCAGGTGAGTAGATTTGAGGAGTCAGGAAGAAGGGGATCTTGGCTACTGAGTCCGTTTTCAGCCAGCAATGAATGTAAGCGGATGCATGTGGCAGTGGTGATGGATAATAAAGACCAACTCTTAATGGGAAACACCCACCAACAACAGAAACAGCCTCCCTAGTGTTGTCAAGAGATGGTGGTTTCTTGAGGGAGTTGGCTATTGTCCTTTTTTTCTTTTCTCTTTAGGAAAAAAGCAACTTAGAAACACTTTGAGATCATGAGAAATTTCTCATATCCAAAACCAGGAGAGGGACAAAAGTGACATTCCACTGTGAATACATGCTCGTAACATGAATTTCTACAACAGTAATTTTCATTTTCTTCAATATTAAAAATCAACAGAGTTAAACATAGTGGTAATTTGAATCAAAATATAATTATAGCTAGGTGAGGTGGCTTGTACCAGTAATCCCATTGCTTTGGGAGGCTGAGGTAGGAGGGTCACTTGAGGCCAGGACTTCAAGATTGGCCTGGGCAACACAGCAAGAGTCCCCTCTCTTAAAAAAAAAATAAAGAAACAAAATAAAAAACAAATTAGTTAGGCATAATGTTGCATGCCTGTAACCCCAGCTAAGAGGCTGAGGTGGGAGGATTGCTTGAGCTAAGGAGTTGGAAGTTACAGTAAGCTATGATCGTGTCACCACACTCCAGCCTGGATATATATATATATATATATATACACACACAATAAATAAGGTGATATAATGATTATTTATATATCTCTCAATGCCTCTCTGCATAAAACTTTGATGATGTTTCTACACTATAAATTTTCAGAAAAGTAATTATAACTTTGATGAAATAAACTTTAGTGAAGAAAAATACACATATGATTTCTAAATGATTTATCTTTATTTAAACTGTATTTTTAAAGCACATAAAATGAGATGGTGACTGTGCTTATCAAAAAATAAGATCCAGTAAAAAAACTGGAAATGACTCAACGAGATCTAATAAAGACACTGGAAACGACTCACTGTCTTAAGCTAATTTTAAGGGCCTGAAAAAGTTAAAGAGGTTTTATAACTTCTTTGAGTCTCGATGGTAATGCAGATCTGTCTATAAATTTTTTTTAAATAGTGTGCCAGTAAGAAGACACAATATAAATTAAAACTTTTCAGACATTCTGTTGAAAATTCTTGGAATTAAAAGAAGTCAGTATGTGCTTACATTGTAGTTCAGATTCTTACTCTTAATTAAGAATTTAGTGTAGGTAAAAAGTTCAGTCTACATACTCATGTATGCTATAAAGGATATTTTTTCTCACATTCCTCCAGCAACACAATTTGCGTTTGAGAGATCTTATTAACTGAATGATTGAAGTTTAACCTTAAATTAGGGTCCTGCCCCATCACTTTCTCTAGGATGATACTATGTTATGTGGGTTTATGTGATGCCAAGACCTCAGATTGGAAGTGGGGGAAATACCGTGGAATCCATTGATGTTTTTGTGTTATCTATGGGCTAGCAGTCATCAGCACACCCTTCTCCCTTCTGGTCTTCAGCTATTTGATCATGCTGGGACTTTTCTATCCTATTACCTCTCTGCACCACTGTTGGCTCACCATGACAAGTTTGAGCCACTCTAGGGCCCATGGAAGATGTTCCCCTGCTCCTACACTGATTTCAGGACAATCTTCCTAAACATACTTTGTAAACATTTTTTTTCTTCCTACAACTTTGTGGCTATGGGATATCTTTGAGACCCTGCTAGATATTAGAGTGCTAGCCAGGGGAAGGGGACACAGATCTCCTCTCTGTCTTAGATTTTAATGATGGAGGGAGGACGCCCCTTCTTAGGCAAGTTGCTTGTAAGCTTTCTTCACTTTCTTCTTGGTTCATCCTTCCCTTCACCTGAAGAACCTGTATCTAGTCTTGGAATAGGAGGTTGGGATTAACATTTTGAGAAAAACAGTCTGGCTTTGTTCATCACATATCTTTCCATATTTTTTTTTGTCCATGTCTGGTTTTAAGCCAAAAGTATTGGCCTCTTTTTCTTTCTCTTCTGCTGGAGTCATCCCTTCTCTTAGGCATGGGTGTAACATAGAGAATAATAAATTTCCACAAATTTCCAGAATGAAAACATGTGGAGCCATGGAGCCATGCATGGCAGTTTATGCAATGAGGATCTTACTAGGGGTTGTTGAAAATCCGTATCAAACGAGAACAACTTTTGACCTACGATACTGCCATATATTAGGGGATCAAAAGGCACTGCCCTAGAGCATAGGCCAAATTATATTGAAGGCTTATTTTTTTTCTTAGTCTGTTTCATTGAGGTATAACTTATATACAACAAAATTCACCCTAAGTATAGATAAGTTTTGACACATGAATACAGTTATGTAACCACCACAACAATGAAGAGATACAGCATTTCTATGCCTCTAGGGCTTCTATGCAGTCAACCTCTCCCCCATCCCAGTCTGTGGTAACCACTGATTATATTTCTGACAATAGAGTTTTGCTTTTTCCCGGTTATATAAACAAGATGACACCATATATAGCCTGTGTGTCTGATGTATTTTACTCAGCAAAATGCTTTGAAATCTACTCATGTTGCTGAATGCATCAGTAATTTGTTCCTTTTTATTGGTAAGTAACGTTAACATTGAATGGATGTACCATAGTTGGTTTTTCATTCACCAGTTGAAGGACATTTGAGTGGTGTTTAGTGGTTGTTGATTATGAGTAAATCTGCTATAAAGATTCACATAGAGCTTTTTGTATAGAAATTTTTTTTCTTCTTGGGTAAAGACCTAGAAACAGAATTGTTGGTTTCTACGCTAAGTGTATGTTTAACTTTATAAGAGTCTGGCAAACTGGTTTGCAAAGTTGCTGATATCTCATCAGCAGTATGTGAGTTTTGCTCACCCTGCATCCTCGACCAGTCTTGGTATTGTCAGTCTTTTCAATTTTAACCTTTCCAGTGGGTGTACCATGATATCTTATTGTGGTTTTAATCTTCATTTTTCTAACAATAAATGCTCTTGGGCATCTCTTCATAGCTTATTTGCTATCTACATATCAACATTATATTTATATTTCCTCAATTCCATCACTTGTGATATTTCTGGCATATATTTACTTCTACATATGCTGTAAACCCCATAATACATTGTTACTAATTTTTGCTTTACATACTCAGTTATCTTATAAAGACATTAAAAGTAGAAAAGTTGTCATTTATATTTATTATCGTTTTTGCCATTAATATCTTGCTTTTCACCTAATAACTTTCTTTAATATATACTGTTGTGTAGTCTGCTGGCAATGAATGCTATCAGCTTTGATGAGGCAAAAAATTATTTACTTGTCTCAATATTTAAAAAGATATTTTTCTGAGTTCAGAGATCTGGGTTGATAGGATTATTTTTAGTCCCTTAAGTATGTTACTTTGTTGTCTTCTGCTTTACATAGTTTTTGAAGACATCTACTGTGTTCTTAATTTTGTTGTTCTGAATGTAAACTCTGCCTTATATCTATGGGGATTTTTGGAAAGAAGTGTGTTTTCTGTTTCAACCCCAGCAGAAACAGACCTCTGCTTTGTGTTAGTGTAGGATGCTGGCCCTCAACAACTTCCTTGACCTTTCCCCAAGGGTAGATGCCTTTTGCTTCTACCTCCTAAGTAGAAATGGAAATTGTTGTGGGTTCATCTAAATGGCCTTGGTTCTTGCTTTCTCCATGGCATTATTTCAGAACCTAATTTTAAAAACTTATTCGAGTTCCAAGACAGGTGAATTGTAAAGAAATACCATATGTTCCTTACTAAATTCCATGCCATTATAATATATTGTATTGGTTGTATATCTAAGCACATTAAATGAGATTTTAAGAGAAAGCTATACAGACAAGTGAAATTTTAAAGAGGTGAACATGTTGTAGATATTCCCCAAGGTTTCTCTGAGAGTAGCATCTTAATTTTCATTTTGTTAAATACAAAGTTAATATTGGCTTCAGTAACGGGCATAGACTTTACTAGCGGCAATTTAACCTTCGCCCTTCTTATCATTGTACCACTCTCCAACTACCCTTGCTGGTTATGATAACAATCATAGACCCTTTTCCAATAATCTTGCACTTGTTCTTTATGTAAATTTAAAAGTGGATAAAAGGCAGAGGCCTTTAAATCTGCATTTGTAATTTTAGCATTACTAAAGGCCAACACATCTCTTCAGAAACCACACTGTGATTATTGGATAGAGATTACCCCACATTACAATTTTCCCCTTTCATCTCTCTCCTAAAATAAAAAAATGGATTAGCTTCTAAGTAGTCTTTCTTCATTATTTTTTACCTTTTTTGGCTTGTGTCCTAGACTAAGGTGCATATTGTTACATATCTTACAATTTTATAAAATATCTCAAATTTAATTTCTTCTACATATCCATTAGAATGCACGTCATTGTAACTCCTAGAATACATTTTAAAGAAAAAAACATAGGGAACAGTCTTTATGTTTGTTTTTTAATGGCAAGAATGTAAGATTGGAGTGGGGTTGGTGGGTCTTTCCACATATTTACCATATCAATAAATGTTCTATCCTGGGAAAACTGAAGATTCTTCTAAAAAATTAGGGAATTTTAAATCATCTCCTAAGGGGCATGTTTTAACTTTGACAATTACATGACCCAACTTGACCAAGGGAAGAGGCGTTTTGAACTCCCTGTGATCCAGTTTGCCTTGTCTAAAAAACTGGATAATAGTTGTACCTACTGTATAGGTTTTATGCAGATTAAATGATATAATGTTTGTAAAATGTTCGACTGTGCCAAAAACATACTAAACACCAAATGGATGCTATCTATTTTTACTAAAATGGTAATGCAGAAGGAAAAGGATGTGAGCAGAAAGATAAACAAATCCACAAAATAAGAAATACTGGGCTATCTACGGTAGCCTCCCCCTTACCCGAAGTTTCACTTTCCACAGTTTGTTACCCACATACAACTGTAGTACAAATGTAGTCAACAGAAAATTCCAGAGATAATCCACTCACAAGTCGTATATTCTGTGCCATTCTTTGTAGCATGATGAACTCTCATTCTGCCCTGCCCCAGTGGCACTGGATGTGAATCCTCCCTTTTTCCAGAGTCTCCCCGCTGTAGATACTCCCCGTCCTTGGTCACTTAGTCACCAGCTGGGTTATCACATTGACTGTAGCGGCATTGCAGTGCTTGTGTTCAAGTAATCCTTATTTCACTTAATAATGGCCGCACAGTGCAAGAGTAGTGATGCTGGCGATTCTGATATGCCCAAAAGAAGCTGTCAAATCCTTCCTTCAAGTAAAAAGGTGAAAATTCTCCACTTACTACAGAAAGAAAATAAATCATAAGCTGAGGTTGCTAAGGTCTATGATAAGAACAAATGTTCTACCCATGAAATTGTGAAAAAGAATTTCAATTTGGTGCCTTCCACAGTTGCAGATATCCAGTATGGGTCTTGGAATGTATCCCCCACTGAAGGTAGGGAGGAACTACTGTTCTGAGAGGTTGGTGAAGAGCAGAGGGATTTCTGCCTTTACAAGGGGTTAATAAAGTACTCCCAAGAAGTGAGTAAGCTCCTACAGGAGACGACAAAGGTTTTATGGTAGAAGATGCAAATATCCTCTCAGCTATTCTGTCCTGGCTGTAATTTCTTCTATCATTTTTACAATGTACAACTGACTTATTTCAGCAAGACAATTCATTAGAGTATGAAATGAAACTATGTCATTGTTTTTCAGTAATGGCTGCCAATTTTACGATACTATGTTAAATATATCCATATGTACCTGGTTAGTGGACTCCCACTACTTAATCATAGTCAGAATCAAGAATATTTTAGTTATATTAGTTATTAAAGCTGTCATTTTGGATTCTAAACTCAGCTGTGTTCATTTTGAAATTTTAGTCTCGTGAGTTATTTCAAAGATATTGTGTCCATCCTGCATTTGCTCAAGAAGTAGAAGGAGGTTGTACTCCGGTTCTCACAGACTACTGCCCACCTTTTCCTGTCAATCGCTCTATTTTGAGTGTGGAGAGAGAAGGGGAAGCAGAGAACTGAGCAGACTCCATCCAGGAGGGTACAGTTCTCCCTTTGAATGGCCACAACCACCAGGTTCTGAAAATAAGCAATAGCATTTCTGTCTCATTCATGAGGGACTCATTATTCAGCGACTCTTGGTGGTCACTTCTAAGATTTGGCAACATCTTCCAACTGATCCTGCTAGCAGCCTCCCAGTGCATTATTTTTTTAAGTGTTTATTTTAAAATAATTTTATATTCGTATGCAGTTGTAAGAAATAATACAGATAGAGCTCATGTACTCTTTACCCACTTACCCAGTGGTAGCAACTTGCAAAATTATAGTACAATATCACAACCAGAATACAGGACATTGATATAATCAAGACATAGAACATTTCTATCACCACCCTCTCATGGTGCCCTTTTGTATTAATAGCAACACCAACTTACCTCCTGTCTCTACCACCTCAGCTACCCCAGGCAAACACAAATCTGTTACCCATCTCAATAATTCTATCACTTCACGAATGTTATATTATTTTATATAAGCATGCCAAAACAATTCAATGAGCACAGAATAGTCTTTTCAAAAAAAAGAGGCAGGAACAACTGGATATCCACCTGCAAAATGTTAAATGTAGACCACTTCTTTGCACCATGCTGACCTTGGTTGGTTAGCTATAAGATCAAAAAGCACAAGCAACAAAGAAAAACATATATAAATGAGGCTTCGTCAAAATCAAAACTTTGTGCTCCAAATCATACCACAAAGAAAGTGAAAATACAACCCACAAAACAGGAGATAATATTTTCAAGTAGTAGATCTGATAATATAATCCTGGTATCCAGAATATATAAACCTGATAGTAAAAAGACAAATAATTCAATTATAATGGGCAAAAACTCTTAATAGACAATTCTCCAAATAAGATTTGCAAATGGACAGTAAGAACATGAAAAATGCTCAACATCATTAGCCATTAGTTAAATCCATGTTGAAATCACAGAGAGATACCATTTCATATCCACTAGGGTGGCTATAAGAAAAAGACTGATAATAACAAGTGTGGATGAAAGTGTGGAGAAATTAGAGCCCTGTCACATTGCTGGTGGGATTATAAATAGTGCAGCCACGTTGGAAAACAGCTTGGCAGTTCCTCAAAAAGCGGACTATACTGTTACCATATTACCAAGAAATTCCTTATTGTGTACCCAAGGAAAATGGAAAAAATATATCCACACAAAAATTTGCACACAAATGTTTACAGCAACTTGCACACAAATATTCATAACAGCCAAAAAGTAAAAAGAACTCAAATGTCCATCAACTGATAAATGGATAAACAATATGTGATATATTCATAAAATGGAATATTATTTGCCAGAAACGTTCAATGGCATATGGATACATGCTACAAAAAGGATGAACCTTGAAAACCTCATGTTAAGTAAAAGAAGCCAGCCACGAAAGGCCATGCATATGATTCAATTTACATGACATGTGCGGAATAGGTAAATCTGTGGAGACAGAAAGCAGATTCGTGGTTTTCAGGGGCTGGGAGAAGAAAATTAGAATGACTTCTAATGGGTAAGGGGTTTCTTTATGAAGGGATGAAAATAATCTAAATTTAGATTTTGGCGATGGTTGCACAACTCTATGCTATACTAAAACCGTTGAATTCTATACTTTAGATGGGTGAATTTTGTGGTTTATGGATTTTATATAAAGATGTTAATTAAAATAATATTGTATAAATGGAATTACATATTATGTAACTATACAGGAATGACTTTTTACTCAGAATAATTCTGTAGAGCTTCATCCAAATTTTGCATGTATCAATACTTCATTTCTTTTTGTTACTGAATAGTACTCCATGCAAACCACTGATTATTTAACCATTCGCAAGCTGAAGGACATCTGGGTCATTTCTATTTTTGGCTCTTACAAATAAAGCTGCTATAAGCTTTTTTTTTCTGTGTGATTATAAACTTTAATTTCTCCAGGATAAATGCTAAGAAGTGTAATTGCTGAATCATATGGTAGCTCCATGTTTGGTTACTGAAGAAACTGTCAAAATCATTACCAGAGTAGCTGTACTATTTTTACATTGCCACAAGTAGTATATGCATAATCTAGTTCCTCTGCCTGCTCACTAGCATTTGGTTTTGTCACTCACTTTTATCTTAACGATTCTGATAAGTATGTGATGTTATCTCATTGTGGTTTTGTTGTACATTTTTTAAATGATTCGTGAGATTGCACATCTTTTCATGTGTATCCACCATTTTTATATCCTGTTTTATAAAATATCTCTTCAGGTTTTTTTTACCCATTTTCTAATCGGATTATTAATGACATGGTTTCTATGGTTGAATTTTAAAGTTCCCTATACATTCTAGATATTAATTCTTTGTG
Source organism: Homo sapiens (assembly GCF_000001405.40). Classification (NCBI taxonomy): domain Eukaryota; kingdom Metazoa; phylum Chordata; class Mammalia; order Primates; family Hominidae; genus Homo; species Homo sapiens. Next base: position 61,858,621 of record NC_000008.11, on the reverse strand, counting down.
AAAAATATCATTTGCAAATATTTTCTCCCAGTCTGTAGCTTGTTTTTCATCCTGTTGAAGGGTATTTTGCAGAGCAAGAATGTTTAGTTTTGACTAATTACACTTTATCAATTTATTTTATATTAATAGACCATGCTTTTTCTGTTAAGTCTTAGAGCTCTTTGCCTACCTCTAGATCTTGAAAATTTTCTCTGAAGTTTTACTGTAAAACTTTTATATTTTTAAATTGTAGATGTATATAAACTATACATTTATTTATACATTGATATTATGAGTTAATCTTTCTATATGATGTGAAATATAGCTCAAAGTTTATATTTCTGCCTACAGATGTCCAATTGCTCCAGCACTATTTGTTGAAAGGCTATCTTTTCTACACCTTTGTGCTTTTCCACCTTGTCAAAAATCAGTTAGGCATGTTTGTGTGTGTTTATTTCTGGGTCCTTACTTTGTTCCATCAATCTATGTGTCTTATCTTTCTGCCAATATCACACAGTCATGGTTATTGTATACAATGTATTCTATATACATTGTATTTTATATAGAGAAAGCTATATAATTACTCTTCAAATTGAATGAAATGATTCTTCCAGCCATATTATTTGTCATGATTTTTGTTATTCTAGAACCCATATATCTCTATATAAATTGTAGAATAATTGTCTGTATCTAAAAAACATTTTGAGATTTGATAGTGATTTCACTAACTCTGTATGTCAATTTGAGGAGAACTGAGATCCTTACTAAGTTGAGTCTTTCAATCCATGAACATAGTACATCTCATTCATTTAGGTCTTTCTTGATTTCTTTAATCAGTGTTTTGTAGAGAATAAAATCTTGTATATGAGTTATTCAATTTCACTTAAGTATTTCATTTTTAGAGCAAGCATAAATGAAATCAATATTTAATTTCAAAGTCTATTTGTTTATTGGTAGTATTTAAAAATATAACTGATTTTTGTATATTTATCTTGTATCCTGTAACTTGCTGAATTTACCTATTATTTCTAGGAGCTTTTATGTAGATGCATTGGGATTTTCTACATAGACATTCATGCTATCCGCAAATAAAAATTGTATTTTTTCATTTCTGACCTTTTCTTGCCTTATTGCACTGGCTAGAACTTCTAGCATCATGTTGAATGAGAATGATGAGAGTAGCCATATGGTATTAAACCTCAATTTTAGAAGAAAAACATTGAGTTTTCACCACTATTTATTATGTTTCCCATAGGTATTTTATAGATGCCCTTTATAAAGATGAGGAAGTTCCCTTTATTTCTATTTTTCCAAGAGTTTGTAAAATCACAAATAGGTACTGAGTTTCATCAAATTTTTTTCTGCATTGATTGTGATATAATCATGTAATATTTCTTCTTTAGCTGGTTAATATGGTATATTTTGTTAAATAATTTTAAAACATTTCACAAGCCTTACATCCCTGGAATAATCCCACTTGGACCTGGTGTAAAACTTTTTATATATAGTTGACCCTTGAACAACACTCTCCCTTAATCCCTGTCAACCAGTTATTTTTGTTTACTGCTACATAGTTTTTCCTTTTCCAGATATTATATAGTTGGGGTTATACAGTACCTACTTTTTTCAATTTAGCTTATTTTACTTAGTAATATACTTAATAGGGTTCTCCATGTTTTTCATGGCTTGATGGCTTATAATGCTGAATAATATTTTATTGTATGAATTTGCTGCTGTTTATCCATTCACCTTCTAGAAAACATCTTGGTTGCTTCCAAGTTTGGGCAATTATAAATAAACATCAATGTGCAGGTTCTTGAGTGGACATAAGTTTTTAGTTTATTTGGGTAAATACCAAGGAGTATGGCAGCTGGGTTATATGCTAGAAGTATGTTTAGTTGTTTAGTTTAATCACCCTTTTTACAATTTTACTTTAATTTAACTGCAGTATTTTTAAGTGTATTTCTTTTTACATAATTTTTAGTAGTTGCACCAGGTATTACATTATAAAAAACTAGTGTCAAATGTATATTGGTGTATGAGTGAAGCATAAAAACTTACCCCTTTTTAAGTTATTTATCCTCGCCATTTAAAATTGTTTTAAATATTTCCTATACATATATTGAGAACCACATCAGAAAATATTATAATTTGTCTTCAACCAACAACCATAATTTAGAAGGGAAAGTACATTAAATTTAGCCATTTTTGCTGCCATTTCCTTATTCCTCCTTGATTTTATATTTCATTTGTTATTGTTTTCTTTCTGTTTAGAGAATTTTCTTTAAACATTCTTTTAGGATAGGTTTCCTGATGACAAATTCTTTAATTTTTTCTTTATCTGAGAATGCATTGGTGTCCCCTTCATTCTTGAAGGATAGCTCCACTTAATGTTGGATTCTGGACTGAAAGTTCTTTTCTTTCAGCACTTGAAAAATGTTGTGTCACAGCCTCCTGACCTTCATAGTTTCTGATAAGAAATCTTTGAGTTATTTTCCCCCATGTTTTTTCTCTCTTGCTGATTTCAAAATTTTTTCTCTGTTTTTATTTTTCAGAAGCTAATGTGTTTGTGTGGTTTCCTTGAGTTTATCTTATTTGATATGCACTCAGCTTCTTGAATCTACAGTACTTTGCTTTTGTCAAATTTTGGAAGTTTTCAGCCATTATTTGTTCAAGTATTTTATCAGCTCTGCTTTTTGGCTCCTCGCCTTCCAGAACTTCAGTGATACATAAGTTATACCTTTTGTTTTAGTCTCACAGGTCTCTGAGGCTCTGTTCATTTTTTTTTTTCAGTGTAATTTCCCTATTGTTCAGATTGTATAATGTCTATCGTTCTATCTTCAATTTCATTGATATTTTTCCTCTGTCCTCTCTATTCTGTTCTTTAGCCCATCCATTTGGTTTTTACTTCTTTTATTGAATATTTTTAGTTGAAGAATGTCCATGTGGGGCCGGGAATGGTGGCTCACACCTGTGATCCTGACATTCGGAAGGTCAAAGAGAAAGGGTCACTTGAGTCCAGGAGTTTGAGACTAGTCTAAGCAACGTAGGGAGATCCTGTCTCTACAAAAAAAATTTAAAAATTAGCCAGTGTGGTGGTGCATGCCTGTGATCCCAGCTACTTGGAAGTCTGAGATAGGAGGATCACTTGAGCCTGGGAAATCAAGGCTGCAGTGAGCCATAGTTGCACCACTATACTCCAGCCTGGGTGACACAGCAAGACCCTGTTTCAAAAATAATAACATAAACTAAAATATGGCCAGGCACAGTGGCTCATGCCTGTAATCCCAGCACTTTGGGAGGCCAAGGTGGACGGATCACCTGAGGTCAGGAGTTCGAGACCAGCCTGACCAACATGGTGAAACCTTGTCTCTACTAAAAATACAAAATTAGCTGGACGTGATGGTGCAGACCTGTAATCCCAGCTACTCGTGAGGCTGAGGCAGGAGATTCGTTTGAACTCAGGAGGCAGAGGTTGCAGTGAGCCAAGATCGCACCATTGCATTCCAGCCTGGGCAACAAGAGCAAAACTCCATCTCAAAAAAAATAAATTAATTAAAAACAAAAATAAAAAATATATAAGATAAAATAAAATAAAATATTTGGTTATTATCTCTTCTATTTTTTCTGAGACTTTCTATATTTTTCATTTCTTCGAATGTGCTTGCAAATGCTCATTGAAACATTTTTATGATGGATGCTTTAAACTATCAGATAATCTAATATTTGTCTTTCAGCGCTGACCTCTGTTGTCTTTTTTCATTCAATTTCTTTCCTGGTTCTTGATAATGATTAGTAATGTTTTTATTAAAACCTGAACATTGTTTACATTTTTATTAGATTTTAGATCTTATTTACACCTTCTGGTTTGGCTGTCTTCCTCTGACACCAGTCTGGGGTGAGAAGAGGAGGTACCACCTCATTACTGCCAATTGGGTAGAGAAGTCCAGGTTCCCCATAAACTTTCACTGACACCTGATGGGGAAAGCTCTTTGTTATTGCTAAGTGGAAGTGGAAATTCTGGTGTCTTACTGAGCCTTCACTTATACCTTCCTGGCTGGTGTGGGCTGGAGTGCTTCATTAGTGCTCCATACTTTGTCACCACTGACATCATGGGAGAGGTGTGACTTCCTTACTGCTGGGAAGTTGTGAAAATATTTACAGTAGGTCTTTTCTGAAACTACCTCAGTGGGAAAGTGAAGGGGTACCTTATTATTGCCAGGTGGGGGTAGAAATCCAAACTTCTCACATACACTGATCCTGTGGGAAAGGGGGAAGGGGCTCATTAATGCCAGGCACAGATGGCCTTATCTGACACCACCCTAACGGGACAGTTGGGACCCTTTGCTACAGCCTTGAAAAAGTAGAAATCTAGGCTCCCCACTCATGTTTGCTGACAAGGGTGGGGCGGGGCCACAATTCTTTCCGTGGTTTTTGGTTGAAGTAGTCACTATTTTCTAAAGGTTCTCTCTTGCTAGGCTGTCCCTCTCCTACTCCTTACATAAGCGAGAAAGAGCTTTTGTTAGGGCATTCTTCATCTAAACGTGTTGGTACTTCCGGAGTTCTGGCTTCTCCAGCCTCTAAACTGGTATATATAAAACAAAAAATAAAACCTAGGGAACTCACCAATGTGTTGTTTTTTAATCCAAAGTACCTACTTGGTCTGCTTTCTTCTCTCCAACATTCAGGGTATTTTTGCATTTATTTTATATTTAATGTCCAGGTTTTTAGCTGTACTTAGTAGAAAGAATTGGGAGAAGTATGTCTACTCCATTTTCCTGGAAGCATAAGTTTGTCTCCTATTGCCTTCTTTTGATTTACATAACTGGAGCTTCAATTCTCATGTGTTATTCACTATCAATGCATGGACTGCAGGTATATGTGGGCTCCACCTGACCTATCAAAAACCGAGAAGTCAAGGGTTGTTAAGAAAAATAATGAACATGGTTGTGGAGGACTATTCCCTTCTGAGCAGAATCCACCATACAAGTTTTCTCCAATGTTGTCTTCCATAATTCAGCAATATAGAGAGACATCAGCAATTCTGATAGCAGAGCAGGTAGTCATCTAAGGAATTTTTTCTTGTAGGCACATGGATGCCCTAAGGCAGGCATCTCATTCTTAAGTCTGGGGAAGTGTTCCCTTCCCCAATTCCAAGAATCTTGGCCTCTTGAAAAATGAGACTTCCTCTTCTTCTGAGTCATATTACTATTGTTGGTTGGAGAGATGTCACCTCACAGCAATGGAAGGAAAATCCCTAATCTGACACTTCTAGGAATGTAGAACCTGGGGCTACTTACTTAGCACCTTTGTTCTCAGGAGTGGAAAAAGATCACCTTCTGCATTTGACACTATCATGCTCAAATGCAAATTAAAGGCTGGGTTACCAAGTCCTGAACTTTTCTCTTCAGGAAACTCTGAAGTCTACATTGAGTTTTCCACTCAATACAGGCCTAGGTCTAGTATTAGAGAGACTTATGAGAACACAGCAGAAGGAAGAGCTTATAATATCCTTTCTGTATGAAAAATATATGACTTGAGCTTGCTAAAGCTTAAGGGAGTAAATTGGACTCATTAATGCTGGTACTCATATAAAGTATTGATATTCTCAAATTTTATGCCATTTAAGTTTGAAAAATCATTTTTAAAAGATTTCAATATTTGTTCTCCATAAGTATTAGCCACTCACCTATTCAATCTCATTAACTTTCTATTCCTCACAATTGAAGTAAATGAACTTAATAAGCAATAATTCTTTCTCCTGACTCACTAGCTTGTTCCTTTCTCTCTGGAATTAATAAATAACAATCATCATCAAGATTCTTCTTATTCAAGGAAGTTAGAAAATATTATTGTTATTGCTTACCCTTTCAGTTAATGTAGTGGTTTCATTTTTCCTAGGTTTTATTGGAATTTATGGTCACAGTAGTAGTCAAACACTATACCCAAGAGGTTTGAGATGATGATGGAATAATGAAGAATATCTGCAAAAATGTACATATGAATAGTTAACAAGTGAATGGAAATGACAAACACTGTGACACTATGATATTTAAATTATTAAGATATTCTCAAAATATTTTGCATATTATTTATTGTATAAACTTACAATCTCTCTTTTTCTAATTTTCCTTTCTCTAAATATTTTTCCATGAGTATATCCTGTATTCTTATTTATAATCTTTAAGAAGTAATTACATTAAAACGGAACTAATTGTGGTAATTTCTGTACCTCTTAAATGAAAAGTATGTGCTTTAAAAAGGAAATATAGAGGTGCTATCTCTTTCCCCAATTCCACTAAAATAAAAATATCTGTGGCATTCATGGGAAGCTTAAACAGAATAATTTTATGTATAGCTCCAAACTTGGGAACAGTAATAGAGAATGAGTGGAGGCAATCTTCCAAAATAAAAAGCCTATCCAAATAATTTGTGAATGTTGCCAAAATATAAAGATGGTGTTGTACAGATCAGTCTATGTAGAAAACTCTCATTGGAGAAACATATTTTGTTTTATTCAGTCAGCAGAAAATACAAGAAAAATTGTAGATTGACAGAAAAGAAAAATTATAGTTCACTTTTCAATTTTGGTTTGATGTAGAATCCAGGTGAATAAATATTCCACATAATACCGTATACATTTAAAAGATTAGGCTTCTGGTTTCAGTTGTAACACATAAAAAGCTTGGAAGTCATTAATCCCATCTTACAGTAAGAAAAAAAAAGCTAAAGACACTGAAAAATAAATTTCCCAAGGCCCTTCAGAAAATTGGCCTGATGACCTAAAACAGAGAAGCTGAGGCAAAATTAATATAAGTAGAGAGTTTATTTGGGCCAAATTTGAGAAATGCAACCCGGGAGAGTAGATTCAAGGTGCCCTGAACACACACTCCTATTAGCAGCAGTTACAAGCAGATTTTTAAAGGCAAAAAATGGGGGAACAGTGAGTGGGCTGATAGAAACTTGTTTGTTTCTCATTGGTATATAGAAAGTTGTTTCTTATTGGTTTATAGAAATAACACTTATTAATGATTGGCTATACATTCTTAAGCTACAGGGTATAGGTTAGAGTGTCCTGTGTGGCATTATTAAGGTAATTTATAGCTACTTGTAACAATAGCAAGCAGTTTCAAGAGAAGAATACGTAACTCAAAGTGGAGAGTAGGATGGGATTGCTGTTTCATCTTATTGTCTAGGCCTGATAACTAGTAGAACTTGCCTTCCTCAGATAAAAGCTCTTTTATTTTCTCATTTCCCTTTTTTGATCAAAAATCTTTATTCTTCAAAGAACTGATGATCAAAAGTTGAGTGTCAAAATGTCTGTCATTGCTGGGAAGATTCGTTGCTGAGTAGTGCTGTCAAAGTCACTGATCTATGGCTGCTGTCACTTGTTGAATTATACCTACTCATTTGAGTACTAAGAATTTAGTTTTTTCAGAAGAAGAAAAACAACAAGAAATAAATAATGTTTAAAAATTAAATAGAGGGGGGAGGAGCCAAGATGGCCGAATAGGAACAGCTCCGGTCTACAGCTCCCAGCATGAGCCACACAGAAGATGGGTGATTTCTGCATTTCCATCTGAGGTACCGGGTTCATCTCACTAGGGAGTGCCAGACAGGGGGCACAGGTCAGTGAGTGCAGTGCACTGTGCGTGAGCCAAAGCAGGGCGAGGCATTGCCTCACCTGGGAAGTGCAAGCGGTCAGGGAGTTCCCTTTCCTAGTCAAAGAAAGGAGTGACGTAAGGCACCTGGAAAATCGGGTCACTCCCACATGAATACTGCGCTTTTCCGACGGCCTTAAAAAACAGCGCACCAGGAGATTATATCCCACACCTGGCTCAGAGGGTCCTACACCCATGGAGTCTCACTGATTGCTAGCACGGCAGTCTAAGATCAAACTGCAAGGCAGCAGCGAGGCTGGGGGAGGGGGGCCCACAATTGCCCAGGCTTGCTTAGGTAAACAAAGCAGCCGGGAAGCTCTAACTGGGTGGAGCCCACCACAGCTCAAGGAGGCCTGCCTGCCTCTGTAGGCTCCACCTCTAGGGGCAGGGCACAGACAAACAAAAAGACAGCAGTAACCTCTGCAAACTTAAATGCCCCTGTCTGACAGCTTTGAAGAGAGCAGTGGTTCTCCCAGCACTCAGCTGGAGATCTGAGAACGGGCAGACTGCCTCCTCAAGTGGGTCCCTGACCCCTCACCCCTGAGCAGCCTAACTGGGAGGCACCCCCCAGCAGGGGCAGACTGACACCTCACACGGCTGGGTACTCCTCTGAGACAAAATTTCCAGAGGAACGATCAGACAGCAGCATTCACGGTTCACAAAAAACCACTGTTCTGCAGCCACCGCTGCTGATACCCAGGCAAACAGGGTCTGGAGTGGACCTCTAGCAAACTCCAACAGACCTGCAGCTGAGGGTCCTCTCTGTTAGAAGGAAAAATAAGAAACAGAAAGGACATCTACACCAAAAACCCATCTGTACATCACCATCATCAAAGACCAAAAGTAGATAAAACCACAAAGATGGGGAAAAAACAGAGCAGAAAAACTGGAAACTCTAAAAAGCAGAGCACCTCTCCTCCTCCAAAGGAACGCAATTCCTCACCAGCAACGGAACAAAGCTGGATGGAGAATGAGTTTGATGAGCTGAGAGAAGAAGCCTTCAGACGATCAAACTACTCCGAGCTACAGGAGGAAATTCAAACCAAAGTCAAAGAAGTTGAAAACTTTGAAAAAAATTTAGAAGAATGTATAACTAGAATAACCAATACAGAGAAGTGCTTAACGGAGCTGATGGAGCTGAAAGCCAAGGCTGGAGAACTACGCGAAGAATGCAGAAGACTCAAGAGCCGATGCGATCAACTGGAAGAAAGGGTATCAGTGATGGAAGATGAAATGAACGAAATGAAGCGAGAAGGGAAGTTTAGAGAAAAAGAATAAAAATGAAAGAACAAAGCCTCCAAGAAACATGGGACTATGTGAAAAGACCAAATCTACGTCTGATTGGTGTACCTGAAAGTGACGGGGAGAATGGAACCAAGTTGGAAAACACTCTGCAGGATATTATCCAGGAGAACTTCCCCAATCTAGCAAGGCAGGCCAACATTCAGATTCAGGAAATACAGAGAACGCCACAAAGATACTCCTCGAGAAGAGCAACTCCAAGACACATAATTGTCAGATTCACCAAAGTGGAAATGAAGGAAAAAATGTTAAAGGCAGCCAGAGAGAAAGGTCAGGTTACCCTCAAAGGGAAGCCCATCAGACTAACATCGGATCTCTTGGCAGAAACTCTACAAGCCAGAAGAGAGTGGGGGCCAATATTCAACATTCTTAAAGAAAAGAATTTTCAACCCAGAATTTCATATCCAGCCAAACTAAGCTTCATAAGTGAAGGAGAAATAAAATAATTTACAGACAAGCAAATGTTGAGAGATTTTGTCACCACCAGGCCTGCCCTAAAAGAGCTCCTGAAGGAAGCACTAAACATGGAAAGGAACAACTGGTACCAGCCCCTGCAAAATCATGCCAAAATGTAAAGACCATCGAGACAAGAAAGAAACTGCATCAACTAATGAGCAAAATAACCAGCTAACATCATAATGACAGGATCAAATTCACACATAACAATATTAACTTTAAATGTAAATGGACTAAATGCTCCAATTAAAAGACACAGACTGGCAAATTGGATAAAGAGTCAAGACCCATCAGTGTGCTGCATTCGGGAAACCCATCTCACGTGCAGAGACACACATAGGCTCAAAATAAAGGGATGGAGGAAGATCTACCAAGCAAATGGAAAACAAAAGAAAGGCAGGGGTTGCAATCCTAGTCTCTGATAAAACAGACTTTAAACCAACAAAGATCAAAAGAGACAAAGAAGGCCATTACATAATGGTAAAGGGATCAATTCAACAAGAAGAGCTAACTATCCTAAATATATATGCACCCAATACAGGAGCACCCAGATTCATAAGGCAAGTCCTGGGTGACCTACAAAGAGACTTAGACTCCCACACATTAATAATGGGAGACTTTAACACCCCACTGTCAACATTAGACAGATCAACGAGATAGAAAGTCAACAAGGATACCCAGGAATTGAACTCAGCTCTGCACCAAGCGGACCTAATAGACATCTACAGAACTCTCCACACCAAATCAACAGAATATACATTTTTTTCAGCACCACACCACACCTATTCCAAAATTGACCACATAGTTGGAAGTAAAGCTCTCCTCAGCAAATGTAAAAGAACAGAAATTATAACAAACTATCTCTCAGACCACAGTGCAATCAAACTAGAACTCAGGATTAAGAAACTCACTCAAAACTGCTCAACTACATGGAAACTGAACAACCTGCTCCTGAATGACTACTGGGTACATAACGAAATGAAGGCAGAAATAAAGATCTTCTTTGAAACCAACGAGAACAAAGACACAGCATACCAGAATCTCGGGGACACATTCAAAGCGGTGTGTAGAGGGAAATTTATAGCACTAAATGCCCACAAGAGAAAGCAGGAAAGATCTAAAATTGACACCTTAACATCACAATTAAAAGAACTAGAAAAGCAAGAGCAAACACATTCAAAAGCTAGCAGAAGGCAAAAAATAACTAAAATCAGAGCAGAACTGAAGGAAATAGAGACACAAAAAACCCTTCAAAAAATCAATGAATCCAGGTGCTGGTTTTTTGAAAAGATCAACAAAATTGATAGACTGCTAGCAAGACTAATAAAGAACAAAAGAGAGAAGAATCAAATAGACACAATAAAAAATGATAAAGGGGATATCACAACCGATCCCACAGAAATACAAACTACCATCAGAGAATACTACAAATACCTCTACACAAATAAACTAGAAAATCTAGAAGAAATGGATAAATTCCTCAACACATACACTCTCCCAAGACTAAACCAGGAAGAAGTTGAATCTCTGAATAAACCAATAACAGGATCTGAAATTGTGGCAATAATCAATAGCTTACCAACCAAAAAGAGTCCAGGACCAGATGGATTCACAGCCGAATTCTACCAAAGGTACAAGGAGGAACTGGTACTATTCCTTCTGAAACTATTCCAATCAATAGAAAAAGAGGGAATCCTCCCTAACTCATTTTATGAGGCCAGCATCATCCTGATACCAAAGCCAGGCAGAGACACAACCAAAAAAGAGAATTTTAGACCAATATCCTTGATGAACATTGATGCAAAAATCCTCAATAAAATACTGGCAAACCGAATCCAGCAGCACATCAAAAAGCTTATCCACCATGATCAAGTGGACTTCATCCCTGGGATGCAAGGCTGGTTCAATATACACAAATCAATAAATGTAATCCAGCATGTAAACAGAACCAAAGACAAAAACCACATGATTATCTCAATAGATGCAGAAAAGGCCTTTGACAAAATTCAACAACCCTTCATGCTACAAACTCTCAATAAATTAGGTATTGATGGGACGTATCTCAAAATAATAAGAGCTATCTATGACAAACCCACAGCCAATATCATACTGAATGGGCAAAAACTGGAAGCATTCCCTTTGAAAACGGGCACAAGACAGGAATGCCCTCTCTCACCACTCCTATTCGACATAGTGTTGGAAGTTCTGGCCAGGGCAATTAGGCAGGAGAAGGAAATAAAGGGTATTCAATTAGGAAAAGAGGAAGTCAAATTGTTCCTGTTTGCAGATGACATGATTGCATATCTAGAAAACCCCATTATCTCAGCCCAAAATCTCCTTAAGCTGATAAGCAACTTCAACAAAGTCTCAGGATACAAAATCAATGTACAAAAATCACAAGCATTCTTATACACCAATAACAGACAAACAGAGAGCCAAATCATGAGTGAACTCCCATTCACAATTGCTTCAAAGAGAATAAAATACCTAGGAATCCAACTTACAAGGGATGTGAAGGACCTCTTCAAGGAGAACTACAAACCACTGCTCAAGGAAATAAAAGAGGATACAAACAAATGGAAGAACATTCCCTGCTCATGGGTAGGAAGAATCAATATCGTGAAAATGGCCATACTGCCCAAGGTAATTTATAGATTCAATGCCATCCCCATCAAGCTACCAATGTCTTTCTTCACAGAATTGGAAAAAACTACTTTAAAGTTCATACAGAACCAAAAAAGAGCCCGCATCACCAAGTCAATCCTAAGCCAAAAGAACAAAGCTGGAGGCATCACACTACCTGACTTCAAACTATACTACAAGGCTACAGTAATCAAAACAGCATGGTACTTGTAACAAAACAGAGATATAGATGAATGGAACAGAACAGAGCCCTCAGAAATAATGCTGCATATCTACAACTATCTGATCTTTGACAAACCTGAGAAAAACAAGCAATGGGGAAAGGATTCCCTATTTAATAAATGGTGCTGGGAAAACTGGCTAGCCATATGTAGAAAGCTGAAACTGGATCCCTTCCTTACGCCTTACACAAAAATCAATTCAAGATGGATTAAAGACTTAAATGTTAGACCTAAAACCATAAAAAACCTAGAAGAAAACCTAGGCATTACCATTCAGGACATAGGCATGGGCAAGGATTTCATGTCTAAAACACCAAAAGCAATGGCAACAAAAGACAAAATTGACAAATGGGATCTAATTAAACTAAAGAGCTTCTGCACAGCAGAAGAAACTACCATCAGAGTGAACAGGCAACCTACAAAATGGGAGAAAATTTTCGCAACCTACTCATCTGACAAAGGGCTAATATCCAGAATCTACAATGAACTCAAACAAATTTACAAGAAAAAAACAAACAACCCCATCAAAAAGTAGGCAAAGGACATGAACAGACACTTCTCAAAAGAAGACATTTATGCAGCCAAAAAACACATGAAAAAATGCTCACCATCACTGGCCATCAGAGAAATGCAAATCAAAACCACAATGAGATACCATCTCACACCAGTTAGAATGGAAATCATTAAAAAGTCAGGAAACAACAGGTGCTGGAGAGGATGTGGAGAAATAGGAACACTTTTACACTGTTGGTGGGACTGTAAACTAATTCAACCATTGTGGAAGTCAGCATGGCAATTCCTCAGGGATCTAGAACCAGAAATACCATTTGACCCGGCCATCCCATTACTGGGTATATACCCAAAGAACTATAAATCATGCTGCTGTAAAGACACATGCACACGTATGTTTATTGCGGCATTATTCACAATAGCAAAGACTTGGAACCAACCCAAATGTCCAACAATGATAGATTGGATTAAGAAAATGTGGCACATATACACCATGAAATACTATGCAGCCATAAAAAATGATGAGTTCATGTCCTTTGTAGGGACATGGATGAAATTGGAAATCATCATTCTCAGTAAACTATTGCAAGGACAAAAAACCAAACACTGCATATTCTCACTTATAGGTGGGAATTGAACAATGAGATCACATGGACACAGGAAGAGGAACATCACACTCTGGGGACTGTTGTGGGGTGGGGGGAGGGGGAGGGATAGCATTGGGAGATATACCTAATGCTAGATGATGAGTTAGTGGGTGCAGCGCACCAGCATGGCACATGTATACATATGTCACTAACCTGCACATTGTGCACATGTACCCTAAAACTTAAAGTATAATAATAATAAAAAATAAAAAAATAAAAAATTAAATAGTAGAGACAGTGCACAATCAAAAGAGGATTTGTGTGCCACAACAACAACAACAAAATCTATTTCATCAGGGCATCAACTAAAACTGGGTTCTTTTATAAAGAAAATTAAACTGGGATCTTTTATAGAGATTTGTTGTTGCCAAGAAGTGATTCAGCATCTACTCCAAATTGTAGACAAATAATAAAACTCAAGAATAACAAACAAAGCTATAAGCTAACAATAGATGTACTATAACTTCCTTCTGAAACATACTTTTTTTCTTTTACCACTTCTCCATTTTTATCAAAGATGATCTTAGCAGGACCAATTTATTTGCAAAACAAGTTTTAGTCTTATTATACTTGGCCTCCTTATTTGCATAAAGTGCAACAAGAATACAGAATGGCCATATAGGTTATTTTAAAGTTGGCTTTGCTGGGACTTATTTCATAGGAAATTTCAGATGAGACTTTTAAAACCCTTGAGGCTAACCAAGTGAAAGACTTTTCATTAGACTGTCTGTAATACTTGTACAAATTGAGTGAATTCCTATCTTCTCAAGGTGCCAAAATAACTTGAGGATCCTGGGCCGGTCAGAAGATAACACTCTTTACCTACTGCAAGAATAGAAACTTTGTAAAGGAATCACGTAAACAAGGTACAGGCTGTTTATTGGCTCTGTAAACTCAACCTGCATTCCCCAAAGCAGTCTGGTCATATTTGAAAATATGCCATTCCAGTTAAAGCCTTGGTAAAATTACCAAGGAGGAGGTTTAATAGGCAGAAGAGAAGAGAAGAGAAAGAGAAACAGCCCAAATAAGAGGTCCAAATGGGACCAAGTAAGCCCAAATAAGACCAAAATGTGAGAGGTCAAAATTCAGGAGAACTGACCAGCGACAACTGGTGGGACTTCTGAAGACAAATGGTCATGCTGGTACCAAATGCCACATTCAGATGGTTGGGGTGGTCACTCTGAATCCTGCTGACTTATGCCAGATATGTCAACCTAAAAGGTATTGATAAAAAAGGGGGACTATAAAATCCAGCAAATTTGCCACCAGCCAGTCCATTCCACTAGGAGACCCCTCTCTATATAGACAGAGAGCTGTTTCTCTTTCTCTTCTCTTCCACCTATTAAACCTCCCTCCCTATTAAAAAAGAGTAAAACTCTGTAAAATATTTGGAGGGATTTATTCTGACCCAACTATGAGTGGCCAAAGCCTAAGGCACAGTCTCAAGAGGTCCTGAGAACATGTGCCCAAGGTGGTTGGGTTACAGCTTGATTTTATACATTTCAGGGGGCAGAAGTTACAGGCAGATATCAATCTATTCATGTAAGATGTACATTGGTTTGGTAAGGAAAGGCAGGAAAACCTGAAGCAGGGTAGGGGCATGCCTCCAGGTCATAAGTGGATTCAAAGATTTTTCTAACTGGCAATTGATTGAAAGAGTTAAGATATTATCCAAAGACCTAGAATCAACAGAAAGGAGTGTCTGGGTTGAGATAAGGGGTTGTGGAGACCATGGTTTTTATTATGTCAATGAAGCCTCCAGTTAGCAGGCTTCAGAGAGAATAGATGAAAAATGTCTTTTATCAGACCTAAAAATGTGTCAGACTCAGTTAAATCTGTCTTGCATCAAGAAACGATCTGAAAACAAAGGGAGATTCTCAATAGGATGTAGACGTTCCCCACAAGAGACAGCTTTGCAGTGCTATTTCAAAATATGTCAAAGGAATATATTTTAGAGTGAAATACTTCAATTTCTTTCAGAGCCTGCTACCTATCATATGATGCTATATTAGAGCCAGGTTGGAATTTGATATTTTGTGCTACAAAGAGTCTGTTTTGTCACTCTTAAGATCTCTGTTTTACTGTTAATGCTGGTTAATTGTGCCTGAATTCCAAAGGGAGGAGAGTGTAATGACGCATGTCCAACCTGTCCATGCCATTGTGGCCTGAACTAGTTTTCCAGTTTTACTCTGGAATGTCTTTGGCCAAAAGAAAGGATCCATTCCGTTGGTTAGGGGCTTTTAATTTCATTTTTGGTTTACAAAAGAAGAGGCTGAGGCAAAATTAATATAAGTAAGAAGAAATTTATTTGTGCAAATCTTGCCAATTGCAACCAAAGAACATACATTCAAGTTTCCCTGAATACACACTCCTATTAGCAGCAGTTACAAGTGGATTTTTAAAAGCCAAAAAAAAAAAAGAGGGAGAGAATGAGTGGGCTGATACAAGATTGTTTGCCAGGAATTCTTGTTGGTTTATAGAAATAATATTGATTAGTGATTGGCTATACATTCTTAAGCTATAGGGTGTGGTTTATAGTGTCCTGTATGGCATTATTAGGTTAATTTTTTTTTTATTTTATTTTTTTGAGATAGAGTCTCTCTCTGTCACACGGGCTGGAGTATAGTGGTGCAATCTTGGCTCACTGCAATCACTACCTCCCAGGTTCAAGCGATTCCCCTGCCTCAGCCTCCCAAGTAGCTGGGATTACAGGCGCACACCACTACACCTGGCTAATTTTTGTATTTTTAGTAAAGACGTGGTTTCACCATGTTGGCCAGGCTGGTCTCAAACTCCTCACCTCAGGTGATCTGCCCGCCTTGGCCTCTAAAGTGCTGGGATTACAGGCGTGAGCCACGGAGCCCAGCCTATTAGGTTAATTTATAGCTACTTGGGGCAATCAACCAGTTTCAAGAGATGAATACATAACTCAAGTGGGGGAGTAAGGTATGATTTGCTGTCTCATTTTAATCTCTCCCTGGGCCAGATCTTTAAAAGGACTTGCGTTCCTCAAATAGAAGTTCCTTTTTGCCTTCAGTTCACAGGGAAAATTGCCAGCCCAAAATCTGAAGAGACAACTGCATATAGGGAAGTGCAGTCAAGATCAGCTTATCTGGTTCAAATGCCAGTAGAGCCACAAGCTGGTAGGAACACTTAAACAATAACCTTGAGGAAGTGCTAGAAGTAAAATGTACACTAGTATGAGAGGGAGAGATTCCTGGTATCTAGAGCCTTAGGGGACCCCTTTTTCAAGGCTTTTACCTCTAGGAACCCCACCATGTTCTCATGCTGAAGAGCCAAGAAAAACCCTTCATGTTTCTGGCAGGAAGAGGATAAGGAAATAACCATTTTGGAATATTTCTAGAGCCTTCTCCATAGCAAAGTCCAATCCATACAGAAAAACTTTACGAAAGCCTCATCTGAGAGGAGAGAAGGGAAATAACCCAATTCCCGTACATTCCAGCCTTTCTATCTCACTTAAGGAGGAGAGAAACTAAGACTTGAGAAGTTATCAACTGAAGAAAGACAAGGTTCATAAACTTGGAAAGGAGAACTGTATTTCTCATAAAGGGCTGCAGCCTGCAGGTTGGCCATTCTGGCAGGTTGGTCATTCTGACAGGTTGGGAAGCATAGCCTCTATACTTCTCGGGAGGGGCAAAGGGAACAGAATTTTTGCTGAGTAGGGTTTCCAAATATACATATTTGATAAGCTATAGGAGTCATGAAGACTTATAAAAGGGGAAACATACACACCTGAGGCTGAGCTTGATGCTCCTTCATGGGTCCTGTGAAAACGTAGTGGCATTAGCATGATTCAAGGGTGTTTTCAGGCATCCAACATCAAAAGGTAAAGCAGAGGACATGAAAATCCTCATTGTGCAATCTCTGTAGTATGGCCAGAATGACTCTGTGGTCAATCGTTTCTTATCAGGCAAAAAGGAAGGGGCATCATCAGGTGGTTGGTTGATATCAGACGTGGAGTCTCTGGAAAGGGCTGGTTTCTGTTAGGTCTTTAGGGAAGAAGCCTGATCCTAATCATGTTGAGCTAGGGAGGAAGTGTAACAAGGTGTGTCTGACCCCTCCCATCCTGTCATGGCCAAGAACTGTTTTCAAGATTACTCTCAGGTTCCCTTAGCCAAGAGATGGCACATTCAGTTGATTGGGGGCTTAGAATTATGCTTTTATTTCTCAAGGTACACAGCCCAGGGACATAGGCACACTGAAAGGCTGAATTTACTCACAGAATTATAAAACACTTACCCTCCCCTTGCACCTTACCACCACATCAATGAGGCCTCAGTATAATATCAGGGGATCTCAGCTTTAAAAGCTACAAGATGCACACTGTAGGGGCTAAGGGATTCCCTTAGCCCTCTGAAGGATCACTGAAAAATCAACTTACAAAAGGCAGATTTATAGGAGAAACGGCATACAAATTTATTAACATGCATGGGGAGAACCACAGAGTGATTATCCCAATGCCCCACTGGGATACAGAAGCTTGTTTACCATCTTGAAATTGCAGAAGAAATGGGGGTTCAGCGCATGGCCATAAACAGGTGATGATGGTAAGTTAGGATATAGTGGCCACACAGGTTATGGAGTGGAAAGAGCAGGCCTGGCTAGCAAAGGCAGTTTTTTTATATTGATGAAATCTCATAGGCAGCAGCCCTCAGAGAGAATAGATGGGAAATGTTTCTTTCATAACTTTAAAGGTGTCAGACTCTCAGTTAATCTTTCCTAGAGCCAGACAAACAAGGGCCTCAGAGAAAGCCTGGCTGCATCAATGCTGATTCTCTACAGATGCAAATCTCCCCCATAAAAGACAGCTTTTCAGGGCTACTTCTGTTTGCAGGCCATATGAACAGTCAACTCAAAATATGTCAAAGAAGTATATCTTGAGGTTAAATATTTTGATTTCCATCAATATGCTATTTAGAAAGAGATTTTAGGGAAAACCCAAGAATACAAAGGAGGCAGAAAACAAGGATACTATAGGAAATTGAAATCTCTGACACCTGCAGCAGCAGCAAATATTAAATGCAACCCATCCCCCTAACAGATTAACATAAAACCTCACAGGAAAGGCCTATTCGCCTCAGTTCCCATTACCTCATACGTCATGTCTGGCTTTCAAGAAAAAAGTTGCAAGACATATCAAGGGCATTAAAAAAAAACAGTCTGAAGAGACAAAGCAAGCATCAGAACTAGACTCAGACAAGACCCAGATTTTGGATTTATCAAACAGGGAATGTAAGATAACTGTAATTATAATTAATATGCTAAGGACTCTAATGGAAGAAGTAGACAAAATGCAAGGACAAATGGGTAATGTAAGTAGAGAGGTAATGCAACAGTGAAGTAGTACTACATATCCATTAGAATGGCAAAAATCCAGGACACTGAGAATACCACATGCTGGCAAGGATTTGGAGCAATGAGGATTCTCATTCATTGCTGGTGGGAATGCAAAATGGTGCAGCCACTTTGAAAGACAGTGTTAACAAAAGACCATGGTATCTGCAGAGGAGAAAAGGAGAGTTTTATTTTCTTAAAAAAAAAAAAAAAAAAATCTGTGGACTGGGGAGATACAGCCCCCACTGTAAAATGAAAGCCTTCCCTGAGGGGGTGAGGTTAGAGAATGAGTGATGATAAAGGCAAAACTTGCAGGGCAGGAGAGAGGAGTCAGGGGAATGAGAACAGAATCTTGATTGGGGGACCTTTAAGTCCCAAATCACCAGTCTCTCTTAATTGGCTGATTCCAGATGGTCAGTCAGTTGGGACCAGGTGGTTTGTTTGAAGTAAGTTGGGGAATTTCCAGCTGTAGTCTATCTCAGCACTGCCAACAAGAACTGATTTGGCTTAATTGTAGAAAGGGAGGTCCTGTGACATGTTTACAACATTTTTCTGCGAGCACAGAATACATAACAGCTTCCTCACCCAGACATGGCCACCTCATTCTGTTTTAACTTTGATCACCTCAGTTAGCCACAGGGAGTCCATTCTGCCTGTTGGCTAGGAACATACTGTAACAGCAGTTCAACAGTTTCTTACAAAATTAAACTTACTCTTAGTACTAGATAAAGCAATCATGCTTTTGGATATTGATCCCAAAGGGGCTGAAAATGTATGTCCAACTCCAAACCTGCACATAGATGTTTACAGCAGTTTTATTAATTGCCAAAACTGGGAAGCAACCCAGATGTTGAAGAAAATTCAAATATTTCACCCTAAAATATATTTCCTTGAAGATAGATATTAAGAAAGGCTGAAGGTGCAAGAAGAAATGAAAAGTTGTCTTTTGTAGGGGAGATTTGCTTTGTAGAGATCTGCATTGATGCAGCCTGGCTTTTTCTGAGGCCTTTCCTTGTCTGGATCTAGGAATGATAAACTGAGAGTCTGACACCTTTAAGCAACTGAAAGAAACATTTACCATTTATTCTTTCTGAGGACTGCCATCTGTGAGAGTGTATTTACATAACGAGTCCACCTTTGCTAGCCAGGCCTTCTCTTCTCCCCCTCCCATAACCTATTTTGCCACCATAATCTGTTTCACGATAATCCAAGCCCCCATTCTTTCAGTAACCTCAAGATGGTATATAAGTTTCTGAACCGCACTGGGGCTTGAGGTAATCACTCTATGGTTCTCCTTTATGTGCATATTAATAAATTTGATTCCATTTTTCCTAATAATCTCCTTTTGTGAGTTGACTTTTCAGTGAACCTTCAGAGAGTGGAGGGGAAGTTTTCTTTGGCTCCTACAATGTCTTTTAGCAGGGGAATGAATGAGTTAACTCTGGTACATTGAGACAATGAAATATTATTTAGTGCTAAAAAGAAATGAGCATCAAACCATGAACAGACATAGAAGAAATGGAAATGCATATTACTAAGTGAAAGAAATCAATCTTAAAATGCTACATACTGTATGGTCTCAACTGTATGACATTCTGGAAAAGGCAAAACTGTGGCAACAGTAAAAATATAAGTGATTGCAAGGTACTAGGGGAAAGGGAGAGATAATAGGCAGAAGACAGGATATTTAGAGGAGTGAAACTATTCTGCATGACACTATAATAATGGATACATGTCATTACAGATTTGTCAGAACCCATAAAATGTACAACCCCAGAATGATCTTTAATGTCAACTGTGAACTTTTGGTGATATTGACCAGTGAAAGTCAACAAAAGTTTATTGACAGTAACAAATATACCACTTTGGACCAGGATATTGGTAGTGGGGAGGCTATGTATGTGTGGCAGTGAAGGGTATATGGGAATTCTCTGTCCTTGCTGTCTGATTTTGCTCTGAACCTAAATCTGCTTTTAAAAAATATCTCTATAAAAATTTGTTCAGGGAAACATAAAATGATATATTCAGAAACTCAGTCTATGTAAAGAAACCATCAAGAAAAGATAAATAATATGTAGAGGTAAAAGTAAATTCTCTTATGAGACTTCCTGTCAAACAACTTTGTATCAGCCCATTACTTGTTCCCTTTTGCATTTAAAAGCCTGCTTGTAACAAAGGTGACAGAGCACTCCCCAAGGCCACTTGGAAGTGGTCCCAGGCAGCTGTCCTCACTTTGGTTCAAGTATACTCTTCAAATTACATTTTATGCTTAGGCTTCTTTCTTTTAAGCTGACAAAAACAACATATTGCATGATTATATTATATGAATATGTGTAATTAATGACAGCAATTTTATAAGGAAGAGATGAATTGGGAAAACTCTGATAGATATCAGCACTACCTATGAAGCATTTTAGTATTAAGTGTACTTTGTTATAAATGTACATTGCAAACTCTAGTGCAACCACACAAAACATTCTTTAAAGAATTATAATATTGTGAATGGGGTGAGTAATTCTAACCCTGAGGATCTAAAATCAATTTCCATGGCTTAAAAGCCAAAGGGATGGCAGAATTTGGCCACAGCTCAGGATGCCAAGAGCTTTTACTTTTAGATGCCATAGTAGCTGGGCTCCCACTGGGTTCTTTTTACAGAACAAATGAATGACACAGCAGCCTCTGCTTCCCGTTTTTAAACTATGTTTGGCTTTAAAACTCTTAATGACAAGAAATAACCTCCTACAGCAAAATTGAGGGCTTGGTCGCCAGTTGGGTGAGGGCTCCTGTAGCTGGAGTGGGAGTGTGAGCTAGGCGCAGGATACCGCTGCTGGAGCTGGAGAGCAAACCCTGCCTAGACCGGAGTGTGAGCGGGATGTGCATTTTCCACCTGCTGGACTGGGCTGTGCTCACTGAGGACAGCTCCACCTTCTCCAGTGGCAGGGCTTAAGTGCAGCTGCCACAACCCCTCACACAAGTACTCTGTCTGGCTGAGGACTGCACCATCCCCAGCCCCCATGACCAGTGCCGACTCTCATCATTGAGGGCCTCAGCACAAGCCTGCCCAGCCCAGCCCAGCCTTGCCCCCCACCCTCCCTAGACAGAGCACACAGCCCAGGGTCCTGGGGATTGCTCAAGCCGCCAACTTGGGCACCTGATCACTCTTCCCAGGGGCCTGAGGTTGTTGCTCCTAAACTCCCAGTCGCTACCAACACAGCTGGCACCTACCCGCCAGTACCACCTGCGAACTTGCAGACTGGGCCACTCAGCCCATCTCAGTCACCACCAACATCAGTGCACACTGCTGCAGATCCAGAGAATCATCTCACCACTGCTGCAGACATTGCCCATGCCACACTGACTTCTGAGGGCCTAAGAACGTGCCCCCCTGCTCAGTCTACTGCTGCCACTGCCAGAATCCAAGCAAGCCACCTTGAAGCCCAAGAATTAGCCTGCTGATAGCTATCAACACAGGTGCCAGAATACACTGCCCTGGGACACAAAGATAGGCACACCCAGCCCACCACTGCCACCACTGGCCTGCAGACTGGCCCACTGGCATCACAGTACCCAGCACAGCTTTACCACAGCCTTCACTAAAACTGCCACCCAGCCCACTGAGGAAATCACAGGTACCACTAACACTGTTTACAGCCAAAGAAATCAGAGACTACACTACTGCATGTACCCAGAATCAAAGGGAAGTATGCCACCCAACTAACACCGAGATACATCTCCAGGAAAGAGTCTTATCAGATGTGCAAATGTCAACATAAGGACACATGAAACAGGAAACAAGGAAGTATGACACCTCCAAAGAAACACAATAATTTTCTAGCAATAAACCTTAATAAAAAAGAAATTTTCAGAATCCTAGCTAAAGAATTCAAAATATTGAGTTTAAAGAAGCCCAATGAGGTTCAAGAGAATTCTGAAAAACAACACAAAGAAATCAGAATAATAATTCAAGATATTAATAGGAAATTTACCAAGAAGATAGATTTTTTAAAGGAACCAAATAGAAATTCTACAGCTAGAAAATTCATTGAAGGAAATACAAAATACATTTGAGTCCTTCAACAATAGACTAGAAATGCATCAAAGTTAAGGAATTAACTGTGGAAACTATTTTAAAATGATCATAGTTGAGATAATTTCCAACTTTTTATATTTATTTAGTTTACCTACATATTTTTTATTCTTTTAATTTGAAATGACTTTTAAGTAACTTCTAAACTGGACAAAATTATATGTTCTTGACAAATGCACATTTTTTATGCTTTTATAACTTTTCTTACCAAAAATATATCTTGCTATTTTTATACACTCTGTATACAGAATTGTTTCTTTTATATCTAGTAGTTTTAATTACATATATTAACTACAATTTTAACTCTTAGTAACCCTAATTGCTTGTGAAAACCCTAGGAAGTAATTTTGAATTATTTTATAAAACTATTTGAAGATGAAAACCACTTTATAATTTTTTGAAAGCTATGCTTCTCACTTTTTTGTTTAACAGATCTAAACATATGTAGCTGTTCTATATCATGTGAAAATAAGATAACAACATATGTTA
Source organism: Homo sapiens (assembly GCF_000001405.40). NCBI lineage: Eukaryota > Metazoa > Chordata > Mammalia > Primates > Hominidae > Homo > Homo sapiens. The sequence goes on along the minus strand of NC_000008.11, from coordinate 61,835,271 downwards.
ACCTGTATTTATGTTTAATAATTAATGTTTCAGTATTTTAACTTATTTAGAAATGACTCAGCCATTTTATGATTATCTATTACTTAATTTAACATAAGATGACTTTAAGATTATGAATTACTGAAAATAATTTTGAAACTATGACTACAGGTACCCTTCCTGTCTTCCCCAGTCATCCTGGATACCAAATAGCCATGTCTATGCCCAAGGATGCCTATAAAGGAAGAACTCAAAACAGAACTCCATGGAGCTTCAGAATCTAAGAGAAAACTTACCCACAATTCTCAGTTGCTTCGAGAGAACAATGGACACCCTGCGCCCGGTGGGTCCCAAGCCTGGTCACTCAATGCTCCTGGGGGTTGCTAGATGCCCCACTGCAGGTCCCACTTCTGATACCATCTGTTGGGGAATGATTTGCAAATTGAGCAGCCACCAGAATCAGAATAGGTTCAGAGAGACTCTGTGCTGCCACATGCTTGGAGGGGATTTATGACTAGGAAAAGGAAAGTGATGTACAGAAAGCAGAAGTGAGGTACAAAAACAACTGGATTGGTTACAGCTCAGTGTTTGCCTTATTTGAACCTGGTTGGAACAGTTGGCCACCTTTCATTGGCTGAAACTAGCTTATTGGTACAAGAGTACTTTACAGACTGTTTCCATATCTAGTTAAGTTACAGTTCACTATATACAGAGTAATGTAAAGGCTGAACTTGAAATCCATGAGGACACAGCTTTAGGCTAAACTTAATTTAACAAGACTATAAAGTGTTTGCACTAGAAAACAAAGCATATTTTGAGTAGCATTAGGGTAAACAAATGCCTGCAAATTTTACAGTATCTTACAGGAGGAGGTAGGGTACTTACCAGCAGCCCCAGTAGAAGGGGGAATTTGGTGAAGTAATTCCCTGGCACTTCTAGCCTAAGAAGCTGAGCTCCCAGAGGATCCCACAAAAGCCCTTGGAAAGAAAGGGCTTTTTCAGAAATACAGAACACACCCACCAGAATGATAGGATGATAGGGTTTGAGAAATATAGGAATCCATTGCCCAGCTTGATATTGATGTGGGCACACTGTGCCCACACGCAAAGCAAGAGAGTGAGTGATTCTGGAAACAGCACTCAGTCAATGACAGACGGACAGTGGTGGATGAATACCCAGCTTCTCATCTGCTCAGCGGCAAAACAGTGAGACATGTTCTACAGTGCCTCGCTTGGGTAGGTACATCACACATCCTCACCCTAATGTGTCATGACAAGGACTGAAGTGAAAGCTACACAATTTAAATGATTGGTGAGCAAGAACTATTCAAGGGCATAACACAAAAATAGTTTTGCCTGCTGTAACTGTACACATGATTTAAAAGACTTAAGCTTTCAGGACAAACATTATAGAGGATTTTAATTTCTTCCTAGATATACTTTTCAGCCATAAACTTTAAATAAACAAACTACTTGTTCGAGGAACCTAAAACCATTGGCAAAATGCATTACATTTGTGTTTTTTATATTTAATATATTTTCTTTATTAGTTTATATAAAATATACTACTTCCACTTCTACTTATAATTACATATCTTGTTAGAGCAACAGTTAAAAAAAATGTAGTAGATACAAGTAGTCTCCCCTAGCACCTAATCATCATCCAACATATCTACCTTTTTTTTCGTCTCCTGAAAGGTTATAATTTTCTCTCTCTTTGCCGCTGCTCAAGGTATCCCAGTTACATGCACAAAGTATATCTCTAGTGCTTATGAATATTTAAAAAGCCTCTGTGAGCTGAGCTGTGCAAACCCCAAAGCTTTTTGTTGATATAAAGTTAATATGAGTTTGAATGAGGATCTTTGGCCTCCTTTGCAATATATTTAGCCATGTTACAATAGTGATTGTAGGCCGGACACGGTGGCTCACGCCTGTAATCCCAGCATTTTGGGAGGCCGAGGCGGGCAGATCACTTGAGGTCAGGAGTTCCAGACCACCCTGGCCAACATGGTGAAACTCCGTCTCTACTAAAAATACAAAAAATTAGCCGGGTGTGGTGGCGGGCAGCCATAATCCCAGCTACTCAGGAGGCTGAGGCAGGAGAATCGCTTGAACTCGGGAGGCAGAGGTTGCAGTGAGCCAAGATTGTGCTACTGCACTACAGCTCAGGTGACAGAGCCAGACTTCGTCTCAAAAAAAAAAAATAAATAAAAAGTGAGTGTAGTGTCAAAGTGCTAATACAAAAAAAGAGTAACTTAGCTCTTTTTCCCCTCATTTTTCCAGTGTCTTTTCAAATAATAGTAATTTGTATGGCCAGCTTCCCTAGAAAACAAAGCCTGAGCAAATCTTCATAAGCCAAGATGTTTGAGAGGAGCTCAATCCCAGTGAAGCAGGAGTGAAGGGGAAATGCAGAAAGGCCGGGAAGGAGGGAGGGTGAACACAGAGAGTGCATGACTGGAGGACGGGACACATTTTGGTGACAAGTTGACTGTATCTTCAAACCGTCTATCTGAGGCATGATGCAAGAGTTATCTACGGAGGGTACCCACCGCTTCCAGCTCTCATTGGTCGAGCTCTCACAGGGGGCGGTAACGCCTCCCTTCCTCCAGTGCCAATCAGATCCTTCAGAGCCTCCAGTCTTTGCAGCCCTAAGGAAGCTTCCGCACAAGGCAGGAGTCCTGCAGAGCGACTAGCAGGGCGCATCAGGGAAGGCGCACGCAGGTTGGAGTGGCTGCCATGAGAAACCAGTGACGGCGCACGACTCTCTGGCCAAAAAGCGAGACTAGCGCCCCAGCCCCGGATGGTGAACCTACAGACTCCAGCACGGTGCTTGGCATAGGCCTATCTCCTGTATTCAATGGCACATTTACAACGCTTGTGAAGTTCATCTGTTAGTTACAGTGCATTGGCTCCACTTGGCGTGACCCACTACAGATGTTCAAACTTTTACGTGTTTTGAGACTAGGAAGAAATATGTTAATTTATAATTTAATTAAAATCAATAACTCATTCTTGAAAATTAATCTGAAGAAGTTCCATGAATTAGGAGAGGAGAGGAAATCTAAATAATTGACCGTAAGGAATTAGTTGAGTCAGTGATGATGCATCAACTTAAGGGACTCTTACCTCATTTTAAAAGGGCGATTAGTTTAAAATATTGCCATATGCTTTTGACATAATGTTAAATTTAAAAAGCGGAAGATGAAGCACCTTCCAATTGTGATTCAAAATTGCATTGGTCAGGAGAGTCAAAGTCACACCACAGTAAGAAACAATATGGTTACATAAACGGATACAACACACACTGGGGCCTTTGCAGGTGTATGGTGGGAGGAGGGAGAGGATCAGCAAAAACAGCTAATGGGTACTAGGTTTAATACCTGAGTGATAAAATAGTCTGTACAACAAATCCCCATGACACAAGTTTACCTATCTAGCAAACCTGCACTTGTACCCCTGAACTTAAAATTAAAAAAAAAAAAAAAAAAAAGAAACAACCAAAAAAATCCCAGCAGCTTAGGACAACAAGCCTTTGTTTATTGCACACACACATGCCAAGTAACCATATGACGTGATAGCTATGTTCAATGGCTTCACTATAGTAACCATTGTACTATCTACAGGAATCCCATAACCTCATGTTGTAAACCTCAAATATACACAATAACATTTATTTTTAAAAAGAAAAAGGAAGTCTCCTGCGTGTTCGGGAGGTTCTCCCAGACACTGTCCACACACATTGCCCATGATTCTTCCTGTTGGGTTGGAATCAGGTGGTGAATGGCACTGCTCCCTTAACCACCATGCTATCCAGTCACTAGAATTTCTGCCTATTCCTGCGAACACATGACTGTCCACAATCAGATAGCATCAGACATGTCAAGGTCAACCATCAGACAAACCAGCATTTAGAGGATAAGCAAAAGAACAGGGGACCCTGCCCTGGATGAGACTCACAGTGGTGCTGAGGGATGGAGGGAGTTTCTGCTCAGACAGCACAAGCACAACGGACACCGTAAGTCAGCCTGTCCTTGTCCGCTTCGACCCAGTGTGCTTACTGACACATACCTGGAGTGCCTGTTCATGTGCATAGCCCATCACCCTGACAGCACAACTACAATCTTTGGACTCCGTGTCATAGTTCATCTTGTGCTGTCAGTTTGGATCCCGGTGCTAATGTTACTCATGAGAGTCCAAGAAGGTTGAGTCCAAGACAATGGATGATAATCGCCCAACTTACTACAGCACAAACACTTTGTGGAAATGGGCACTTAACTGAAAATCTCTTATTCCAGCAAGAGAGGTCATATTTTCCATTTATTTTACAACACTTCTTCAGATCCTATGTGGAGGTCTGTTTTCCTAGAAAAGATCATTTATTCCAGTCATTTAGAACTAAAATTCAAAATCTGTGCACCCTTGGTTATTTAATATAGATAACGGGAAAAAAATCTGAGCATATTATGGGTTATTAAACACTAAAATGTGCTTCTGAAAAAAATTGCAGGATATCTTCATGTGAAATTCTTTGGTTCCCTATGGAGCCAGGGATCCTGACTAGTTGCTTCTTGAGGTGTTTCCCAAACCTGGGATGCTATGATAGGGGCCATAAAATCAATATGCTGAGTTGAAAAAGATTATATCTCAGCAGCTGGTGAAGAAAGCAAACCTAAAATATTTTAGATAAGCATTTATTGTTCACTAAATAAGTGTGCTGCCTTAGCAAAAGGAATTACCCAGACTGCAAAACTGCAACAAACTTGGAAAAACCTTTAAATATACAGAATATTTAATATATCATTTAATGTGAAAAAAACGAAGAAAGTCTTTCCTTAAAGGAAATATCAAATTTCTCTAATCACATTCTTGTTTAACAACAAGACTATAGTTTAAAAAAATTCAAAGGAATAGCACTAAATCCAAACTATAAAAGAATATTAATATATAAATTAAGTGGCACATATCATGCCATACAGTTTTTTAAAACGACATATAGTGTTTTTAGCCTGGGCACAGTGGCTCGCACCTATAATTCCAGCACTTTGGGAGGCTGGGGCAGGTAGATCACATGAGGTCAGGAGTTTGAGACCAGCCTGGGCAACATAGCAAGACCTTGTCTCTATTTTTTAAATCCAAAAATATTAGCCAGGCATGGTGGTGCACGCCTGTGGTCCCAGTTACTCAGGAGGCTGAGGTGGGAGGATCACTTGAGCCCAGGAGATGGAGGCTGCAGTGAGTTATGACAGTGCCATTGCACTTCATCTTGGGCAACAGAGTGAGACCCTGTCTCCAGTAAATAAATAAATAAATAACATATGGTGTTTTTACATTTCTTTATATTCATAGATAAAATATTCAAGCAATTATTTTTATGTGTGGGTTGTGTTCTAAAAGTCACAATGTATTTTTCCTGAAGAACAATGGTGTTTTTGAGGTCAGACTATCTTCCAAAAGTTCATTTAACTCAAAATATTATAGAAAGATAGTACATTTGCAAACAAAGTTAAAGTAGACTAAACAAAAGTTAAGTAATAAAGCAGACTGTCAAATTAACATACAAGAAACAGTAGCCTTCAATACAAAAAATAATCAGAAGATATAATGTATGAGAGAGCCCCATTTCCAGCAAGAAAATAAAATATAAAATACTTAAGAATGAGCTTAACAAGAAATTTGCAAAACCTCTATAAGGAAAACTTTAAAATACTCCTGAAGAAGATTTCAATAAACACAAAGACATCCTTTGCTCTTTGGGATAGGATGATTCAACCCATCATTAGTATATGAGTTCTTCCTCAGTTGATTTAGAAACTTAACATGATTAAAAATAAATAAATGACAGGCATTTTAATGGAGCTAGACCAGTCAATACTAAAATCAATAGGAAAAAATAAAATGTTAGAATAGTTATGACAACATTGAAAAATAAAAACCATAAGGAAGTGAAATCCTACCAGATACGAAAATAGACTTTGAAGCCTCTATAACTAAAGCAATGTGGTTCTGGCACCTGAATAGACTGACGGGCCAGTGGAATCAAATACAGAGTCCAGGAATTGATCCAAGAAAAAATGGGAATGTAATGTATGATGATGATGGTGTCTTACATTACTGGGGCAAAAAATTCAAAATAAGCCATTTGAGGACAGGGGCAGTAGTTCACATCTATAATTTCAGCACTTTGGGAGCCTTAAGCAGGAGGAACCCTTGAGCCCAGGAGTTCAAGACCAGCCTGGGCAATGTAACAAGACCTTTCCCCGCCAACAGCCTTCCCCATCTCTACAAAAAACAAACAAACAAACAAATTAGTTGGGCATGGTGGTATACAACTGTAGTCCTAACAGTTCAGGAGGCTGAGGTAGGAGGATCGGTTGAGCCCCCAGAGTTCAAGGCTGCAGGGAGCTATGATTATGTTACTGCACACCAGCCTGGGTGACAGAGAGAGAGCCTGACTCTAAAACAAGCAAAAACAAAGACATTTGAAAAAAAGATGAAATTGGATCCTTAACTTGCACCATACAAAATAAGAAATTCCAACTGACTTGAGAAATAATTGTTAAAAATGAAACCATGCAAGTACTAGAACACATGGAAGGGTTCTTCCATAACCCACCATGGATAAGGAAAGGTTCTATTCATTTATCAAATCTGGATGTGATAAAAGATAATAACAATATATTTAATTACATAAATATGTGGTTTTTATAGCTTATATGTATTCTATGTTATGTATAATTGTGTTAAAAAATAAATGATATTCAAATATATATTTTGCATTTCAGAAATATGTGATGGCAAACTGGGAGAAAATATTTGCAGCATGTATGTAGTAGGTGAAAAGCACTGTCTTTTGGTCTTAGGAACCCAGTTAAGGGATCTACTTGAGATTTAAGAAGCAAGAAATGGAATACCAGGCAAAAACAATAAAGTTGCACCAAGGTCTATATGGGATTGACAGCAAGACATTTTATCTGAGCCCTAGTCATTGTCCTGTGCATTCTGAACCAGGTAGGAACTAGAGTCTACATTTGGAAGGAACTGCAAATGAGTGCCAAGTGATCCAGTTGAAAAATTAGAGACATCAGCAATTCCATGAAGATGTCACCACCCTAAGTGTCAATAGAATCCCTGTTATAATAGTAGGATATTGACCCATGAGTTGGATAAAATTTGTTCATGACCTTATAATAAATGTTGCTGATTAAACCCCAGAGTTCCACTTGCCTTAATAACTGCCCTCTGGTTTTCATTCAATCCCCCTCCTCCTCCTACAAGTGCACTGTGCCCTATATCACTCAGTTCAGGCAAATACTCACCCATCTGCCTTTCTGCCTTTCCCAGGCCCAGCCATGTATGGTTATTTAGGTTGTGCAATCATAAATGAGCTTAAAAAAGTCTTTACTACAGATAAGTAGTACTGATAGATACGTTTCCAGCCTCTCATACAGTCCTGGTTGCGTGTATCAAACAGTTCTCTGTAAGAAGACACAAGCAAATCTCTTGGACCTTAGTTTGCTTTCTACAAAAAGATTCCTGTTATTTAATGCTAAGAAAAATCGTAAGTACTGAACTTATTTGATCATCAAATTGAAGATGTAATCTATTTACAGGGGTAACATTATTTTCCGTACTACTAGGAAGAAAAATAGCTATGAATTCAACAATAACATTTCCTTATTATTTTGAAACTTTAATTATATTTATTGAAATGTATTATTTAAGTTTAGACACAGATTTTTATCATATAGTACTTTTATGCATACATTAAAAGAAAAACATAAGTGAAATAAGTTGGTTAAAGTATTTCAAAGACTTCTTTGTATTTCCTACCCAACTATTCAGAATCCTATTTCAACACAAAGTTATCAGTGTCTGCTTTTCCACATACTGTGCCATTAACAGTATCAGTGATGTAGCACTTAAAACAATTCACAAAAATAGACTCATAGCCATAGGTTACTAGAGGATAAAAGTTGCTTCAATATAGCAAACCTGCACAAGTACCCCTGAAACTAAAATAAAAGAAAAATCTAAATGTTTACCATCACTTTGGCTATCTAAGAATGTATATAAATAAAGTTATCATTTCTTTAAAAAAAAAAAGCTGTTTCAATTTTGCTTTCTAGGTTCTCTTCTACTAGATTCCCCCTGAATGTGCAATTAACCTTCCTTTCTTATTCTTGGACACATTGACACATAATACTTTTCCATTTACTTTTAAATCCTATAAACCATTTCTATTGATGAGACAACTCTGCCCATTTTGAAAACATTAGGATTAGGCCATTAGTTTTTTGTTTGTTTGTTTGTTTGTTTGTTTGTTTTTGAGATGGGGTTTTACTGTTGTTGCCCAGGCTGGAGTGCAATGGCACGATCTCGGCTCACTGCAACCTCGGCCTCCTGGGTTCAAGCAATTTTCCTGCCTCAGCTTCCCTAGTACCTGGGATTACAGGTGCCCACCACCATGCCCAGCTAAATTTTTATATTTTTTGGTAGAAACGGGGTCTCACTATGTTGGCCAGGCTGGTCTTGAGCTCCTGACCTCAGACTATCCACCCGCCTCAGCCTCCCAAAGTGCTGAGATTACAGGCATGAGCCACCACGCCCAGTCTAGGCTGTTAGTTTTTAATAAAATGCCCACTGGGTAAGTTTTAGCCCGTGTCAAGAAGAACATGAAAGTTACCTATTTGAAGAAGGTTTAAAAAGTAAATACCCTCACTGTTTTGCCATTGACATCAAAATAACAAGTTTTTAAAAATGGCTACAATCTTTCTGAGTTTGTAGCAGTGGTTCACTTGGAGTCTCACACTGGTTTTTCTGGTCCTAAGAGTGGTGGTTTCCATACCCCACTCCCAGATGCTCCATGTTAGAACAGGTCTTCCCACTCTGCTGAAATAATGATAGTGTGTCTGTACTAAATGACAAGAACCCCTGTGGGACCTAGTGCTCATCTGACAGGTGTTCCCAGATCTCTAACCCCATATCTCTGCTGCTTATATTTCCCATCTAATTCTGGAAATTTACATGTGAGGAAGAGTAACTTTTGCTCTGGTCTATTGGGGATTTCTTATGAAGAACAGGTTGCTTTTTTTTTCAAAATTGTGTGATATCCCCATAGGCTTAGGTTAAATGAAAAGAATTTATGTAGCCATAATTGCTATCATATTTTCTAATATACTGTTTTATAAAAAGGTATGATTTACAAGTAAAAAGCCATATTAAGTCTCCAATAACAGTTTCCTAAGATTTCAAATGTCTGCATTCTTATAAACATTATACTGAGCACCTCATCATTTTCTCCCTGACATAATCTAATTTATCTCCCTTTAGACCACAGAAACCATCCTTTTCTCATTTTCCAAAGGTCTCTATGTTGTGAAACAATATCATTTATCTTGATCTTTCTCTGCCTTCTGGTCATTTTTAACACCATTAACGGCAACAGCTTCTGCAGAACCACTTTAACTCCTGCTTTCAAGTTTGTCACAAACCCCTCAGTTAGTTTCCTTAAATTTTCAGTGGAAGAGAATTTCCAATTCAGCACTCTGCTGATAACAAACACTGTGTCCTTGGCAGCCTGCATCTGACCCTGAGTGCCTTCATCTAAAGCAGTACAGTGTAGTTGGACTCTACTTGGAAACATATAGCTTAGCAGAGAAAGGACAAGGCATGGGGCCAGGCAGGACAGGATTCATTAGCTTTCTACTGCTGTGTAACAAATCACCACAACTTAATAGCTTAAAATAGCACACATTGGTTACCTTGCAGTTCCTGTGGATTTAAAGTCCAGACATGGCCTTAGCTGGGTCTTCTGTAAGCTGCAATCCAGGTGCCAGCCAGGATTGAATTCTCACCTGGAGGCTTGACTGGGGAAGGATCTAGTTTTAAGCTCACTCAAGTTAATAGAGTTCATTTCCTTGTAGCTGCAGGATTCATGGCAGCTTGTTCTTCAAAGCCTGCAAGCACACCAAGATTCTAGACTGAGTCAGCTGGTACTATGGAGTCTTCTATGACATCGCATAACAACCTATTACCTTTGTCATATTCTATTGGTTAGATACAAGTCACAGGTCCTACCCACATTGAAGAGGAGGGGAAAATAAGAGTGTAATGCCAGAAACAGGGATCATGTAGTATCACCTTAGGTTCAATATGTCACCATCACTCTCCTTACGTTCTCTTAGATTCCCAATTTTCTTATCAGTATTATCAGGGTATGACAGAATGATGGTCAGACATCTTTCATGAGTTCAGGCAGCACCATTTCTAATGAGCACTATTATGGTAAGTTTTACTTGTCAGCTTGATTAGGCTAAAACCTCAGTTATTCAACCTGGATCCCCATCTGGATGTTCTGTAAAGGCAATTAATAGACATGATGAAAGTTCATAATAAGTTGCCTTTCTGTAAGTGAGCTTGACTTAGAAAACCTGGGTAGCCTAATTCATTGTGTTAAAAGGCCTTAAGAGCAGTGCTGAGGGTTTCAGACAGAAGAAATTCTGCCTGTGGACAACAGGCTCAACTCATGCCCAGCAGTTCCAGTCTGCCTTTCCTGGTAGCTTTCCCTACAGATTTTAGAGGACATTGGTAATATGGCTCGGCTGTGTCCCCACCCAAATCTCATCTTGAATTGTAGTTCCAATAATACCCACATGTCATGGGAGTGACCAGGTGAAGGTAATTGAATTATGGGGGAGCTTTTCCCCATCCTGTTCTCGTGATAGTGAGTTCTCACAAGAGCTTATGGTTTTATAAGGGGCCTCCCCCTTTGCTTGGCTCTCATTCTTCTCTCTCCTGCCACCTTGTGAAGAAGATGTGTTTGCTTCCCCTTCTGCCATGATTGTAAGTTTCCTGAGGCCTCCCCAGTCCTGGGGAACTGTGAGTAAATTAAATCACTTTCATTGATAAATTACCCAATCTTGGGTATGTCCTTATAGCAGAGTGAGAATGGACTAATACAGTTGGCTTGCCCAGCCAGCCCCCACAATCATATAAGCCAATTACTCGTAATAAATATGTTAATATATATCTCCCACCATGTATATTTCTCTAGAGAACCCTAACTGATACAGATTTTGATACCGGAAGGGGTTCTAGAGCCAAATGAGTGAGTTTTCTGTATTGGTTCTGGGGTTTCTGAAATTGGTTCCCTAATATGGTTAGATTTAAAGACACCTATTGATCTATTCCAGTGGTAAAAAGGGCATTGGTAGTTCATGTCACAGTGTAACAATAGAGATATACAAAATATAGACACTGGATACTCTTAATCAAATACCTATGAAAGGTGAGATTTGGGTTATGGCGTATTTTCTACCTTAGAACATTTTAGTAAAACCAAAGAGTACAATGTGTTTGGCTGGTTATTCCTGATTGTACTAAAGAAAGTGGAGAAAGAATAGGATAAGCTCAGAGTTTCAAATTCTCAGTTCAATCTCTACATAAATAATCTGAAAGCTTCTTTGTCTGCCCTGAAAGAAACCTTTATCATCTGTAGCCCAGGGGCAAGAATTTCTGAAAACCAAATTCAGAGTCTAACCCTGTGAGTGGCTAAATTAAAATGCAAATTAGATTCTCAACATTGCAGGGTGTCTTTTGTTAAGCAGAGAGCTTTGACTGGGAAGGGAGGGGATCCTGAAAGTTTGAAGGGGGACATATGGGTAGATCACAATGAAGCTTAGTCTTCTTTGTCAAGAAGCAGCCTTTCTACACCCTGCCTGAGGAGATTAGCCTGAAGAAACTGTAATGGCTTTCCCTGAGGTAACTGCCGTGAAAGATACTGCTGATTCTCCTTAGGGCCCAAGGCCAGTACTCCTCTTTGCTTCTAGACCTATAATTAGACTCAACCACAGCAGGCCCCCAAGGGTGAGGTAGAAAATGTAAGCTGTGAGAAGGTGTGCCATATGAGAAAAGAACTGCACGATGTTTCCAGTTTATACAGACAGAAACCCGGGGAATTCATGTGGGAATGCATTGTAAGAATGTAAGATTGTAGTGGAAGAAATATAAAGTTGAATCTAGCCAAATTTCTTGATATGAACCACTAATCAAATATTTGGGTTAGCTTGAGTGGTTAGAAAAGGCTTGGTTTGGTTGGTGGGTTCACAGAAACATGAACCTGAAGGTGGCCTGTGCCAAATAATGCTGAATGTTAGAACTGACTTGTAACACTGTATCATAAGGTATCCAAAGGCTTAAGAAAAGTGGAATGTTCGAAAGATCATGTAAGAAAGATCTCCTCAACTGACCTGATAGGGTCCGTAAGACACAGTTTTCACCACAACTTTGAGAAATAGATTTTTGAAGGATGTCCCAGCCTCCTTGAAGAGCTCTCTCATCTCTCTTCAGGTCAGAAAGTACAGTGGGAACTGACATCATCAAAATGGGATCTCAGGCTGGCACAGTGGTTCACACATGTAATATCAGCACTTTGGGAGGCCAGGTGGGTGGATCACTTGAGGTCAGGAGTTTGAGACCAGCCTGGCCAACATGGTGAAACCCCGTCTCTACTAAAAATCCAAAAATTAGCCGGGCATGGTGGCAGGTGCCTATAATCCCCGCTCCTCGGGAGGCTGATGAAGGAGAATCGCTTGAACTCGGGAGGCGGAGGTTGCAGTGAGCCGAGATCGCACCACTTCACTCCAGCCTGGGCAACAGAGCAAGACTCCATCCCCATGCCGCAAAAAAAAAAAAAAAAAAAAAAAAAAAAAAAGGATCTCTAAGTGCAATGGGTATAACAATATCTCAGGGTGGCAGGGGCCAAGTGGTGGCTCTTCATTGCCTCAGACAAGGTGGGTGTGGCTACTGTAAAGGACAGCAGAGCCAAGGTAGTAGTAAAAAAATCTGATTCACCAAAACCCATGGGGTTTTCCAGTTTATCCTGATGTCCCTAGAAAAGGAATAGGGCTAGGCAAGTGGCTCACACTGTAATCCAAGCACTTTGGGAGGCCGAGGTGAGTGGATCACGTGAGGTCATGAGTTCGAGACCAGTCTGGCCAACATGGCGAAACCCCATCTCTACTAAAAATACAAAAATTAACCAGGCATAGTGGTGGGCACCTGTAATCCCAGCTACTTAGGTGGCTGAGGCAGGAGAATAGCTTGAATCCAGAAGGTGACAGTTGCAGTGAGCCAAGATAGCACCACTGCACTACAGCCTGCACCACAGAGTGAGACTTCATCTCACAAAAAAAAAAAAAGAAAAGAAAAGGAATAGATGGGCAGTCTACTAAATTAGTACTTGATCTATATTAGCAGAAGAGAGCTGTATCTAGTGAACAGAAGTCTAGCAGGAATCACCAAAACAGACAGACTGAGCTCCTTAACCCGTTTCCCAACTTGAGCTAATTTATAGACCCAGAACTCCTTGAATGAAAGGGAGGCTGGGTCCTTTTGAGGAGAATGCCTGGTACACGGTTAAAACTTTATATTGTTAATCTTTCTCTCTCAGCCTTCCACAAAGGAACTCATGGCCTGTTATCAAGGTGACTGTGCAATGAGGAAAAGAAAATGATGAAACTTTTGGAGAGTTACTGACTGAACACCAGCTGTGAATTGATACTAATTTCTGGAGACAAAACATGAGTTTGTCCACCAGTCAGTGTCAGAGCTTATGGAGGTCAGAAGATCAATGGAGTTTTAGCTTAGATCCATCTTATAGTGACCCAGTGGGTCGCCAAACCCATCCTGCAGTTACTTCTCCAGTTCCAGAATAAATAATTGGATAGAAATAGTCAGCAACTGGCAGAATTCCCATATTGGTTTACTGACCTCTAAAGCGAGAGCTATTATAGTAAGAAAATACCAAAAGGAAGCCAATAGAACTGCCTCTACTTTGAAAAATAGCAAATTAAAACCCATATCTTATTTCTGGATGGATTGCAAACATTAATGCCAACATCAGGATGCAGAGGTAACAATTCCCACCGCACCCTCACTCAACTTGCCTATTTGCCTGTGTGGAAAAGAGATGGATCTTGGAGAATAACAACAGATTATCCAGGAACAGAATCAAGTGAACTTAAATTGCAGTTGCTGTTTCAGATGTGATTTAATTGCTTGAGCAAATTAACACATCCCTTGGTACCTGGTGTGCAGCCATCGATTTGTCAAATGCTTTTTTCTTGATATCTGATAACATAGACAAGCAGAAGCAGTTTGTCTAGCTGGCAAGGCCACCGATAAACCTGCACTTGAACTCGCTTGAACTCGGGAGGCACTATCCTGCCTCTAGGGTATATCAACTCTCTAAACTTATATTTAGTCCATATAAATTAATTCAGCTAAAATTTAGTCCACAGGGACTTTGATTGCCTTTCCCTTCTACAAGATATCACACGGGCCTATTACAGACGAGTATTATGGCGATTGGACCTGCGAAGCAGGAAATAGCAACTGCTGTAGACGTAGTTGTAAGACAATTGCATGTCCAAGGATGAAAAATGAATCTAGAAAAATGCCACGGCCTTCTACTTCAGTGAAATTTCTGGGGGTCCAGTGGTGTACAGTAGGGCAAGATATCCCTTCTAAGATGAAGGATAAGTTGTTTCATCTGGCTTCTCCTACAACTGCAAAAGAAGCACAACACTTATAAGGCCTCTTTAAATTTTGGAGACAACATATTCTTTATTTGGGTATGGTACTCCAGCATTTACTGGGTGACTTGAAAAAACTGCTAGTTTTAACTGAGGTGTATAAAAAGAAAAGGCTCTGAAACAGGTCCAGTTTGCCGTGCAAACTGCTCTGCCACTTGGATCATATGATTCAGAAGATGCAATGGTGTTTGATGTGTCAGCAGCAGAAAGAGATATTGTTTGAAGACTTTTGCACACTTATGGGGAAATACAGTGGATGCCTTATATTTTGGAGCAAAGCCCTGAAATCCTCTGTGCGTTACTGCTCCCCTTTTGAGAAACAGTTTTTAGCTTGCTACCAAGCCTTAAACTGAACACTTAGCTATGGGCAACCAAGTAACCATATGACCAGAGCTTTCTCTCACATATTGGATGTTGTCTGTTCTACAAGCCATAAAGTTGGGAATGCACAAAAATATTGCATTATTGTATGTGGAAGTCCTATATATAAAATTAGGCTTAAGTAGGCCCTGGAGGCACAAGTTTAATCAGGAAGTGAGCCAAATATTCATGACCCCAATTCTTGCTGCACTACTTACTCTGTCTCCTAGTCTGCAGATATGGCCTTATAACCAGTTCCCTACAACTAGTTGACTGAGGAAGACAAAACTTGAGCTTGGTTTAGTGATGGTTCTGCACAATATGCAGACACTACCCAAAAGTGGATGGTTGAAGCACTATAGCCCATTGTGGACATTCCTGAAGACAGTGGAGAAGGAAAACCATCCCAGTGGGTGGAAATTTGAGTAGTGTACCCAGTTGTTTATTTACTCAGAAGGAGAAATGGCCAGAGGTTTAAGACTATATTAATTCATAGGCTATAGCCAATGGGTTGGCTGAAAGATCAGGAGCTTGGAAAAAACATTGTTGGAAAATTGCTGAGGTATGTGGATGGAGACCCTCTAAGTGGGCACCAAATCTGAAGATATCTATGTCTTATGTAAAGGCTCACCACGGGTTGCTTCACTAGAGGAGGGTTTTATTAATCAAGTGAATAGAATGATCCATCCCGTCAATACCAGTCAGCTTCATTTCCCAGCCATTCTTGTCATTACTCAATGGTGACAGTTACGCATGGGCTTACCCATGCATGGGCTCAGCACTATGTCTACTCACTAAGGCCAACCTTGCTATGGCCACTGTTGAGTGCCCAGTCTACCAGCAGAAGAGACCAACACTGAGTGCTTTATATGGACTCATTCGTTAAGGTAATCATCCAGGTAACCTAGTGGCAACTTAATTGCATTGGACCACTTCCACCATGATACAGGTGGTGGTTTTTTCTTAAAGAAATAGACACTTAGTCTGGATATGGATTTGCCTTTCCTGAATGCAATGTTTCTGCCAAAACTATGAGCTTACAGAATGATCATATTCCCTGCCATTCTGAAGCAGCTAGCTTGATAGAATGATGAAATAACATGGTGAAGACTCAGTTATAATAATAGTTGGGTGGAAATAAATTGAAAAACTGGGGCAGGGACTAGGACATCCTCCAGGATGCTGTATGTACTCTAAATTAATGTTCAATATATGCTGCTATTACTACCATAGTCATAATTCAAATAACCAAAATTGAAGGCAGGAAAATGGGAGTGGTTCCACTTACTATTAGCCCTAGTGTTTTACCAGCAATTTTTAAAAACATCTCTAAGACCTTCAGTTTTTCTAGTCTAGAGATTCTAGTTTTTAAGGAATAAATGGTTCTACCAGAAGACAAAACATGATCCCACTGAACTAGAAATTGAGACTGCCACACAAACAGTTTGGATTACTCATGCCTCTGAAAGAACAATAAAAGAATGAGGTTACTATATTTATTACAGTTTGGCCATGATAACCAAGGAAAAAATGGGCTTCTAGTACACAATGGAGGTAATGAAGAATATCTCTAGAACACAAAAGAGTCCTTGGGGAAACTCATAGTACTAGCATGTCTTGTAGTTAATGTCTATGGAAAAGTAACAGAAGTCAATTTAGGTAAGATTTCTAATGACCCAAACCCTTTAGGAATGAAGGTAGAATCACCCCCTCTGGCACAAAACCATGACCAGCTAAGATGCTTGTTGAGGGCAAAGGGAATATTGAATGGGTGTGGGAAAATATAGTATTATAGTGTAGTTATCAATATCAGCTAGGACCATATGATCAGTTGCAGAAATGAAGACTATAATAGTTATGAGTATTTTCCTTATTTTTTGTGAATGTTTGTTTTGAACTAAATA
Source organism: Homo sapiens (assembly GCF_000001405.40). NCBI lineage: Eukaryota > Metazoa > Chordata > Mammalia > Primates > Hominidae > Homo > Homo sapiens. The sequence continues at coordinate 61,818,435 of NC_000008.11, read as the reverse complement.
TTTGTTTAGTTGTTGTGAACTAAATATATTTGCTTTCCTCTTATTCACTTGTTATCTAATATAAGACATAAGAATGATAACTAACTTTATATTACAGAAGAGTGAACATCACCCGAGGACTTTGCATTGTCTTCTGGGGAAAGGGTGAGCATGTTTTTGGTTGCATATGGGATAGTTTTGCCACAGACAGCAGAAGTATGTTCATGTTATTGTCTGTATTTGGAGATTGTGTATAAACTAAGGACATGTGTTTAAATGCCAAATTGACCCATAGTGAACTGTGATGAACAGTTTTTGTGTTAATCCCTAGTTATTCAATCAAACTTAATCTAGAGTGTTGCTGTCATTGAAGAATTTTGTAGATGTAGTAAAAGTCCGTAGTCAGTTGACTTTACGCAAGGAAACTTGACTTAGAAAACCTGGATAGATTGCTTCTCGGCCTTTTGGCTAAGATCAAGTGTAGAAAACCTGGGTGGGACTGATTAAATGTGTTTGAAAGGCCTTCAGGGCAGAGTTGAGGCTTTCCAGAAGGAGAAGAGATTCTGCCAGTGGGCAGCCATTCAATTCATGCCCAAGAGGTCCAGCCTGCCCTTCATTAGGGCTTGCCCTGCAGACTTCAGACTTGTCCAACCAACCCCACAATTGTGTAAGCCAGTCATTTGCAATAAATCTGTTTATATATCTCCCACTGGTTCTTTTTCTCTGGTTGAACACTAATTGATACAGGCACCATTCACACTGTGAATGGAAATATTGCGAGCTGAAAAGTGTACAAGATCTGGCCGTACTTTACTAGCTGGTTGATTTAATTTTGTTCAGTATTAAAATGAACCAAGTCTAAATATTTCAAATCCTCACATAAGGGCACACCACTTAGGGACAACAACCAATATCTAAACATTTCCAAAGTTTTGTTTCCTAAATAATTATTTTAACACCATGAATGTTTATTTGTGCAAGCATTATGCCCTCTAGTACCTCTTATTTTTGGTGATTTTTATTAAAACAGTACAGTGAAAGATGATACTTATCTGTATTATTTTCAGTTAAATAATTGTTTGAATTATATTATACTAAGAAAACTAGAGTAGAGAAAATAGAATTGGGAAAATAGAATTAATAGGTGAAATTTTTTTTTTAGATTCTATGTATTTTACAAAATAACTGACTGGAAAATTTTCTACCAATTTCCCTTCCCTCCAGCATTTTGCAAGACAGTCTGACTCATTCTATTTTCTATTTATTTTCTTCAGAGTAATTTCTCTTACATCTGTTTAACTTCTTGATATCGAAGCCTCTACCTTCCATGCTAATCTTCTGTCTTAAGTAAGACAACCTTCCATTGGGATTCAGTTCGTCAAGCGATTCCCATTACTGAGCCATGATTTTAACAACAGGTTCATAAATATCCGAAGATAATGTTGGTAAAGGTAAACCAGACAATTTTGAGTCTTGTAAATATGCTAAGAAGTACCAAGCCCTGTTAAGACATTTCCATTATAAAGGCTTCTCACTTCCCAATAAAATTACTCCCTCCCTTAGCCCAAAGACCCTCTCAAATAGCTGTGTTTGGTTCCTAAACTTAGAATGGTGGAGCTGAAGAAGGTTTTTCCTTCTCTATACTTTTTTACTGATCTTCTTGGATTTATTAATATAAATCTTTTCATAGCATCCTTTCTCTGAGGACTTTAATACTGATTTCTTATTTTGCAAAGCCATTACAAATTTGCTTTCTTCATACACCTGTTGGTTAGAGTTTCTGTGAGGATAAGTAGAGTGCACCTGGTGATGCTTTATTACTCCAATTCCCTTTAGATTTCATTTGGCATTGTTTTCTTTTAACATCACCCACACACAGGGTGAGTGAGCCAAGAATAATGTACACTTCCCTTTTATGTCCTAAAACCACACTTCCATATCATCTTTAGCATTTCTTATTGAATAGTGGTATTTGACCACAGCTATTAAGCCTTACTTCTTTTTATTTTCAGTGGGGTATTAACTAATGATTAACCTTTCCTATTTATTATTCAAAATGTTCACATTAAGCACAACCTGCTTAGTTCCACAGCCCAATAAATCAGTACCTGAACAACTTTTTATCTTTGTCTTATCATTCTGTTTTACCCTTTTCAATATTTAAATGCTTATTATAACTTGGGAATGCTGTGACAACATATAAGAAAGGTGCCCAAAAATACAGTGTTGTCATAGAGAAGAGGAACCCAGGCTTCCACAGATCTTCCATTTATGGAGTTGGAGATGATCTGAAGAGAGCTAATTTGGCCTTAAAAGCTGGCCCTGGTGCAGACAAGTTCAAGTCCCTAGGTGTCCGAAGGGCCCCAGGATTCCCAGTTCCATTTCTAGAGTTTGTCAGCTTTAGGACTTCCAACCAAGTAGCTACCAGTAGACAGGGACCCAGGTGAACAGGTGTTATTGCTCTAGATTCTAGGTATCCAAGTCTGGTTGGAGCATAGAAACAGGATGAAGTGAGGGCCACTGAAGGGCTGAACAAGGAACTGAGGTGGTAAATGAGTACACGAGAGCTCAGGATGAGCCTCTAAACAAAACCAGCCAGGGGCCTGTGCAGTGCCACTTCTCTAAATGAGGATCATTGGGAGAATGGGGTAGGGGCTGAGATTGGGCCTACATAAGTGAACGCTGATGCACCCACTTATGTGACTGTTGCAGAGAGAACAAGCCCATGTTCTGGAAAATACTACTCCTCAATCAGGCTTTAGATCTCAACTTAATTTGGAGGTAAGGATTTTGAAGGAGGAAGGAGTGAGGTACAAGGACAGGAAAATGGGATAAAAGAGATGGGTCTCAGGATTAGCTAAGAAATGGAGCCAGGCCCGAGATCATAACTGAAGACAAGTCAGAGAAACTGAGGAAGCAGAGGGAGGGGCAACAAAGCAGAAGTGACAATGCTCATCTTTACAACTCACCTTCATCTTCGATTCCAGCTTCCCAAAAGGATCACTAGGGGATTTAACATGTGATGTAAATTTAACCTCTTTGCTCACTTTTCTATCCCTGCCTTTTTGAATTCTTTGAAAGCATTCTTCTCTTTATAGTCACGCTGCTGAACCCTGGAGAGTCTGGTCATTTGGCATCTCACACCCCACTGAGCACTGGCTCTCTGAAAGATACCACATCAGGGCCTATGAGCAGGGCAGGAGAGGACAAAATATATAATATTGTTGTTCAAAGAGCTAAAATCAATTTACACCAATAAAATGTGCACACAAATAACAGTACGGATCAGCTTGTAAAATTTGCCATGTCCAAATTTAACTGATGAATTTGGTTACATGTGTGCCACTAAGAGTCACACCACTGTCTCAGGAAGAGTGGTCCCAGAGAATAGCAATCCTTCCCATCCAGACTGGACATGGAAAGGACATTGGTAATGCATGGCAATCTTAGTACTCTGGGCTGCAGAAACAACTATATCCATTGTCAGGGTCATAGCTGGTACAAAAGAAGGAAAATCTCTTCATTAATCAAATTACAATAGCTTTATTAGTTTTCTAGGGCTGCCACAACAAATTATCACAAACTAAGTGGCTTAAAATGACAGAAATTGACTCTCTCATAGTTCTGCAGGCCAAAACTCAAAAATCAGATGTCAGCAGGTTTGGTTCATTCTGGAAGCTCTAAGGGAGGATCTCCTCCATACTCTCCTAGCTTCTTCTGGTAGTTGTTGGTGAGCCTTTGAATAGCGTGACTTATAGACTCCTCACTCCAATCTCTGCCCCTGACTTCACATGGCCTCTCCTGTGTGTCTTTCTTTCTGCTCCTCTTCTTATAATGATACATGCCATTGGATTTACGGTCCACCCTGAATCCAAGATAATCTCATCTTGAGATTCTTAACCTAATTACATCTTCAAAGATCCTATTTCCAAATAAGATCACATTCATAGACACAGCAGGTTAGGGCTTAGATATATCTTCCTAGAGACCACCACTCAACCCACTACAATAGCCAAGCCTGCTTACCTCCACCATATTTTTACCTCATAGTAGAGAGGAAAGAAACCTAAAGCTTTAGAACAGAGGGGATTTGTTTTCTAAAATCTAAGCATCGGGAGGGAAATTATTGTTGAACCCAAGAGTATCGGGACCTTTGCAACTAAGTTTTGGCCACTGACAGCTACACTCTGGGAGCCTGCCAGATCTTAGCAGCATCTGTTACCTGTTTTAGAAAGCCCTGGAACGTGTGATATGTGATTGTTGTTTAAGAGATGCTATTGAAGTGGGACTGGCTAGCATAAAAGATGAGGTTTTAATTGAAGGTGCCTAACTGACTGGGGAGTGTTTATTATGTGCAGCCCCCACACTTGACGGGCCAGTGAAACAAGCATCAAAGATAACTTCGGGGTCTCTAAGAACTTACAAAGGGAGTAATTGGGGGAGGGAGGATTAAGCTAAGGGGCAGAATGAAAAATGTGCTCAGTGGAGAAGGGAATTTGGGAGAGTGGACAGGAGGAAAGAGATTTTCAATGAAGGATGCCCTCAGAATGAAATGAGTAGAAGATATAATGTGTTAGACATTCATACACTGGGACACTCAGACCTATGCACTGAGTGCTATTAGGTGTACTTTGCAAAGACATCAAGAAGAAGAAAGAAAGAGAAAGAAAGAAAGAAAGAAAGAAAGAAAGAAAGAAAGAAAGAAAGAAAGAAAGAAAGAAAGGAAGGAAGGAAGGAAGGAAGGAAGGAAGGAAGGAAGGAAGGAAGAGAAAGAAAGAAAGGAAGGAAGAAAGGAAGAAAGAAAAAGAAAGAAAGAAAGAAAGAAAGAGAGAGAGAAAGAAAGAAAGAAAAAGAAGGAAGGAAGGAAGGAAGGAAGGAAGGAAGGAAGGAAAGGAGGGAGGGAGGGAAGGAAGGAGGGAAAGAGGAAGGAAAGGAGGGAAGGAGGGAAGAAGGGAAGGAGGGAGGAAGGAAGGGTTAGTTCATTCTTTTTTTTGAGACGGAGTTTCACTCTTGTCGCCCAGGCTGGAGTGCAGTGGCACATCTCAGCTCACTGCAACCTCCTCCTCCCAGATTCAAGCAATTCTCCTGCCTCAGCCTCCGGAGTAGCTGGGATTACAGGCGCCCACTGCCACACCCAGCTAATTTTTTGTATGTTTAGTAGAGACTGGGTTTCGCCATGTTGGGCAGGCTGGTCTCGAACTCCTGACCTCAGGTGAGCCACCTGCCTCGGCCTCCCAAAGTGCTGGAATTACAGGCTTGAGCCACTGTGCCCGGCCAGTTCATTCTTCTCTGAGGGAAGCTCAGGTTTAAGACCAGAAATGAGACCAGAATTTATGATACTTGCTATTCCCCCTTGTCATATATTTACTTATATTAAAGACAGCACTGGCAGGGCACAATGGCTCACGCCTGTAATCCCAGCACTTTGAGGTTGCAGTGAGCCGAGATTGTGACACTGCACCCCAGCCTGGGGGACAGAGTGAGATCTGTCTCAAAAATTTAAAAACTAAAATAAAATAAAGAAAGCACTGAGGTGAACATTACCACTTGATGTGTTTTAGGTTCCTAAAGATTAACTATGGAAGGTGCAATGAAGAAAAATTCTAAGTAGCACTTTGTTCTGATTTCTGCCTCCCTGTAAGCTGGAGTTCTTCTTTACTGCAGCTCAGTGGCCATAGGCCCCCAGGGATTTAGAGAGAAGAGCATGACCCTCAAGACTCAGAGGTCATGGTAAAGGAACTGCTGAGGGACTAGAGTAAAAGAAAAGCTCCTCACTTGTTATCATATTGAGGGGGGATGATGAGTATGGTTGGAGAATGTGCTAAAAAATGTGTTCTTGGCAGGCATGTACACACACACACACATGCACACACACACACACACACACATCTTTTTCCTTCAGTTTAGAATTATGAGCTTGCCATTAGGATAAAAAATAAAGACAGAGGTGTGTCCCAAAGCAAAAATATGGAGAGTTTTTTCTTCCCTATCAGCAGCATCAGAAAGAGGGTGGAAGGCTGGGTGCAGTGGCTCACACCTGTAATTTCAAAACGTGGGAGGCCGAGGTGGGAGGATTGCTTGAGCCCAGGAGTTCAAAACCAGCCTGGGTAATATAGTGAGACTTTATCTCTACAACAAAATAAACAAAATTAGCCAGGCATGGTGGCCTGCTAATTCGGGAGGCTGAAGTGGGAGGATTGCTTGAGCTAGGGAGGTAGAGGTTGGAGTGAGCCAAAATCACACCGCTGCACTCCAGCCTGGGTGACAAAGTGAAACCCTGTCTCAAAAAAAAAAAAAGGGAAAGAAAGAAAAAAGAAAGAGGAACAAATGTGTGCCCTGTTCGTAGCCCCAGGATCTTCTCCACCCCAGGACTTTTATCCCCACCTCTAAACCCTGAGAAGAATCTTCATTTTCCTAGACAAAGAAGCATTCTATTTGTCTAGGTCTGGAAAGATCTTTAGACTAGAGGTTTAAAAAAAAGATGATGGATACTTTAAAGGGCAGCGTAAACAATAAAAACTATTAAAGGTCAATTGATCTGAGCTGTCTGGCAGGGAGAGCTTACAGACTCTCCACAAAGGGTGAGCTGGGCTGCAGTCCACAAAATGCCGGGTCAGAGCAAGCTGGAGATGACTGACAGGGAGAACTCTCCTGGGCTCAGAGTGTCTCAACGCCAGGAACCTCATTAGGACATCTTCCCTCCACACTGTGACTTGACACTTCTTTATCAAATGATTCTTCAGGTAAAGACCCTGGAATTTGAAAATGATTGACTACACTGGGCAACAGATATAATTGGAAATTCAAGAATATTTCCTTTATTAATCCTCTCTTTTAGAGGAGTGCAGTCTTCTTAAGGATCCATATGCTTGGAGTGTCATGTTAGACAAAACAGAAAACAACTTAGTGATTGCTCTCTAGAAATGTATGAACTAATAAAATTGAATGAAGAAAAAATATACATACTTTTTAAAGGGAAAAAGATGCTTTTATTTTTTTATTCAGTCTGGAAGTTATTTTCATATAAGGTAAGAAGTACATTTTATCTGCAGAGAAACTCTTTTCATCTGAACTTGACCCATGTTAACCTCATTGGTTATAGGGGGTCACAGGAATATGAAACCTCCCCATATGTTCTTTGGAATAGTTTCAACTTTAGTTTCATTGTTTAAAAGTTGTTCTTCTTTGTGCTTTTACTTCCTTTTAATATTCTTCCTGCTGCTATTTCCAAGTAGTTAATTTAACTGGCAGTGGATTAACTCACCTTGGCTAGCAATGGAACAATGAAAAATTTAACACAGTGTTTATTTATTCCTGTATGTGTGTGTGTGGTTGTACATATGGCACACTGGAATAAGTAAGGAAGCCGAACTTATTAAAGTGCAATTCATAAAATACATCCTTATAAGTGTGTCACAACCTGGATACTAAAATCCAGCAAGAATTTTGTTAATTCTACCTTGTTATAATTTATTTTTATTTGATTTTCAAGAGTTTTCTGAGACTGTAGGAAGTCATCATTGCTATTCTTGTACTTATAATTTTTATTATTAAGTAATATGAAAAAAGAGGAAGGGAAGAGAAAGGAACTGGGACAGTAAGCATAAGAAAAGGTGCATTGCCTATTTAGGCTAAAAGAATGCAGATTACTAATTATCATTCATTTGATTGTGAATGTTATATTTAAACTTTCCTCAAATGATTATTTGTATTGTGTGATATTATCAGGAAAATCTTTGGAATAAGTATTAAAAGTATGCTGTTTAAAACCTTAATTTTTAAGCTTTTAGGAAAGATGTTTCATTGTCAACAAATAGTGAATGTAGGTTAAAGCAATAATAATGATCATTCAAAAGACTCCATCAAAAACAGATATCTAAATATCTATGGTGCATAATACCAAGGCTTGTTTTTGAACTTTTCTTTTTTTTTGACAGGGAGTTTCACTTTTGTCACCCAGGCTGGGGAGCAATGGCGCGACCTCGGCTCACTGCAACCTCTGCCTCCCAGGTTCAAGCTATTCTCCTGCCTCAGCCTCCGGAGTAGCTGAGATTACAGGCGCACGCCACCACGCCCAGCTAATTTTTGTGTGTAGAGATGGGGTTTCACCATGTTGGCCAAATTGGTCTCAAACTCCGGACCTCAGATGATGACGCCCTCTTCGGCCTCTCAAAGTGCTGGGATTACAGGCGTGAGCCACCGCGCCGGCCTTTTTTGAATCTTTACGCAGCGTAAGACAGCAGCAGCTTAAGTTTGAGCGCTAATGGAAAACACATCTATTCTTTGCTGACCCCTAGTGTCCACAGCAAGTAAGCGTGGAATCTAAAAATCCCAAAGGAAAAACATGGCAGTTTGAGAAATGACATTTTGTTTCATTCAAAACAAGAAAGAAAGAAAAAATGCGTTCCAAAATAAAATAATTCACCTCCAGTAAATTATATAGTTAGCACAGAAACATACATAAAGAATGAAACAGATATTTTCAAATTCAGCTTCTGCTTTTGATAGAGGGTAAATCTGAGGAAGACTTTTCAGGGCTATGGAGCACAATCTGAATTGTTTTGTGGGAACCACTTCTTTCTCTCTGGCTACACTGGCCTCAAATCTGTTCTACAAGCATGTGAAGATAATCTTTGGGTTTTCAAATCCTTCCAGCACTACCCGACCACCACTCTGGGCAGCATCACCGCCATCACCAGGACCAACAGCCTTGTCGACATGACCACCCGCTGGGAGCAAGAAACAGGTGGTCTCCCCTCCATGAGGCTGTGAGGACAAATAAATGTTACCTAAGCAAAGTGAAAGAGACAGAGACAGGCACAGAATTCTTTCTTTCTTAGACCAATCAAAATCACACATTTTTGCTTCCCTTATGGTGAACTGAAGCAATCACTCAGTAATTGTCTGCCCTAACTACAGTTTACAAGGCTGTCTTTTTTTTTTTTTTTTTTTTTAAGACAGTGTCTCATTCTGTAGCCCAGGTTAGAGGAAGCTGAGGTTTAAGACAGCTTAAACCTCTACCCTGGGCAACAACTATGATCACAGTGGTGTTAACATAACTCACTGCAGCTTCAAATCCCTGGGCTTGAGCTATCCCCCTGCATCAGCCTTCCATGTAGCTGGGACTGCATGCACCTGTCACCACATCCGGCTTATTATTATTATTATTATTATTTTTTTTTAGAGACACAGTCTCTATGTTGCCCGGGCTGATCTCAAACTCCTAGCTTCAAGCCATCCTCCTCCCTCTGCCTCCCAAATGCTAGGATTACAGATGCGAGCCACTGCACCTGGCCTAAGGCTTTCCTTTTTGAGAGAGGGATCTTTACAATTCAGCCAATTAAGTTTTCTTCACCATTTTCTCTGCTTGTGGATAATCTCTTTTTGCAATTGGAAGCCCTCTGAGGGTTTACATGGAACATCACACCACGTGAAATTATCAACCACTAGGCTATATTTTTTCCATGGTTTCAAAAATAGAGAAAGAAAATGAAGCCTATTGTTCTTGCATGTTTGTTTGTTTAGGGTTTTTGTTTATTTTTTTCCCATAAGATAAGTAGCATCTATGATTTTCAGTCTCTTTGCTTCTTTGTACTTCATACCATCCTCCATTTAATTGCCACAATCTGAATTCCCATTTATTTATTTTTAAGATGGAGTTTTGCTCTTGCTGCCCAGGCTGGAGTGCAATGGTGATATCTGCACTCACTGCAACCTCTGCCTCCCAAGTTCAAGCGATTCTCTTGTCTCAGCCTCCTGAGTAGTTGGGATTACAGGCAAGCACCACCATGCCCGGCTAATTTTTTGTATTTTTAATAAAGATGGGGTTCCACCATGTTGGCCAGGCTGGTTTCGAACTCCTGACTTCAGGTGATCCACCCGCCTCAGCCTCCCAAAGTGCGGCAATTACAGGCATAAGCCACCACACCGGGCCATCACAATCTGAATTCTTAAAATACTCTTAATTCAAATATTTATTCTCTTCATTGGATGCCGAGTTCAGTCAGCTCATAGATGTTTTTCCAAAAGTGTTTGTCTGATTTTAAATCTTCAAATAAACCATTTTGTTTCTGAATTAATAAGAACATTTGTCCTAATTAATTTATCTAATTCTGAACCAAGATGTTGTCCCTTGGGTATTCTAGGATACGTTGAACCATGAATGTTCAGGTTGATTGTTTTATCATATGTCTATGTATTTATTGTCTCAATTACATGCAATTCTTTCTTTGGGAACTTTGATAAATGGCCCAAAGACATTCATGCTTGGAAATGGGAAAATTTTTAATGTCTTTCCTCTCTTGTGTGTTTGTCTAGTAGGATGGATATTTTGAATATAAAAACTGTTTTTAGAGGTAGTGGAAACGACTTTTAATTAAACTAAACTCTTCAAATATTTTGAAGGATATGTGTACATTTAAGTTTGTTTGCTGAGAAGTCTGTTTGTGTTTAGAAGTCTGCCAGGATCAAAAGAAGTAAATACAAGCTAAGAATAATCACTTCTAAGAGTAGACCTACTTCTCACACTGTGAACCACAGTGGTCTGGCCGCCCTGCCCCTGTCTTAAAATATTGTCACCTCTCCTGCCCAGCCCTCTGAACTTCCTGATCCCAGCATGCCCTTTAAGCCTATGGTCTAGCCCCCATCAATTTTGCAAGTTCCAATAACATTTTAATATATCCCTCTTTTTGCTAAGAGATTATTTTTGCTAATTGCATCCAAAAATCCTACCTGATACAGAAATTATTTCCAAAAAGTGAGGTGTAGGTAACAGGCTCCAAAGGGAATATGGAGAATTTGAATCTAGTCACCTGTCTAAGGTAAAGCAGAAAGCAATGAAATTCTCAATAATAACCCCAGGTGGGAATGCAGGACTTTACAAAGTAGCTACAAAACTAATTAAATTGTCACCTATGGTCCCCCCAAATCAAGTTCTTTTTAGGGTAAGGCTTTAGGTGGCTGCATTCCTGCTGACATGAAGAGTATAGAAAGCCGGGTGCAGTGGTTCACATCTGTAATCCTAGCACTTTGGGAGACTGAGATGAGAGGATCGCTTGAGCCCAAGAGTTTGAGACCAGCTGGGCAACGTAGCACAACCCTATCTCTAATAAATAAATAAATTAAATAGCCAGGCATGGTGGTGCACATCTGTAGTCCCAGCTGCTCAGGAAGCTGAGGGGGGAAGACTGCTTGAGCCCGGGGGGTCGAGGCTACAGTGAGCCATGATCATGCCACTGCATTCCAGCCTGGGCAACAAAGTGAGACACTGTCTCAAAAATAAAAAACAATAAATAAATAAATTCAAGGACTTTAGGCTATCAAAAGTCAAGTAGCAGCATTTAAGTAAAAGCAAAGTGGGCATGGTTATCCTGATAAGAACCAGGTAGCCACATGGTAATCACATGGTCTGAGCACAGTAATATCCATCACAAAACAGGGATTTTCTGGACCCAACAGAGATAAGCAGCCCAATAAGGTCCTGCTTTATTTGTATAGAAAAAAAAAAAACAGATCTGGTGAGCAGAATTCAGTCTACAGCAACCACAATAGAGAATTGTAGTCCTCATTCAATCCTTAGGGTTTAATTAATTCTTAAACAAAGAGGCCCTTGAATAAAGAGGAGACTGGGTACTCTTTGGGAAGAACTCTGCAGTTAAACCCCATTGTGTAATATATTTTGAAAGGATATCTGTAAAAGTTGTCAGAATTCCCACATTGACTCCTTCATCAATAGGTATTGTGGTAGAAAAGGTCAAGTGGAAGCCCTTGGAATTCTCATTCCCACTAAAAGCACATCAAAAACTCTCACATTCCCAGAAAAATCACAGGGATAGGGACATCAATAAAACTTCAATAATACCAGGGTGGTAATTTATCTCATTTCCATTTAATTTTCCAGTGCAGTACACCAAAGATAAATGGGTTTTTGAGAACGACAGTGAATTGTCCTAAACTTAATCAGATGATGACACAAATGAAAGCTGCTATTTCAGATTTTATCTCATTAAAGTAATCTACACAAACTCTAGTGCTTGGCATATAGCTATTTATCCTGAAAATATTAGCTTCTCTTTTGCACTAAATATAAACATTTCTAAACATTTTGCTTTCACCTGAAGAAACTTAAATTTAATTTACAGTTAGGTCTGCCTCCTATACTGATACAGGCCAGAGGAGACCTGTGCAGTGTTACGGGCCTCTCAGGGTGGGCTTAGAGGACAATGATGAAGTGAAACACTTTCACTGAGCAGAACTTTGAACAGCATACCTCAATGTCCACTTTTTCTAGAAGAGATGAATTGTTAATGTCTACATTAAATTATGAGAAATGGAAAACATTTGACCAGAGGGTCAAGGGCTTGGAAAAAGCAAGAAGAGAGGAATGATGACAAAGTGGCTTGGGGAAGGAGCACGTGATTAGACCTCTCAGAATGGGCCCAAGGTGTGAGAGTGTGAGAATATTTGTGTCTCATATGAATGCCTGCCAAAAGACCACTACTATATAGAAGGCTTTCATGAATCAAGTGGACAAAACTATTATTTCTATTAATTTCTTCTTCAATATTCCTCCCCACCTCACCTGTTTATTCAACAGACTCATGAAAGCAGTGGCCATGGGCAGAAGAACAGAGGACATAAATGGATCCATATCTTGCTTATCTGACCAGAGCCTCTGCCAAATATACAGCTTACCAGAAGTAGTGACTAACCTTGAACTCTTGATAAGATCTTGTGCTTCAAGGTAACTAAGCAGCTGCTTGGCAATTGTTTACATTGGACTCTTTCCACCATGAAATAGGGAGTCACTGGCAATAAATGGAATAAACACTTATTCTGGGTTTAGATTTGTTCTCCACACCTCTCACAACAGAGCCAACACCAGCATCTGCAGAATAACAAGTATCTGATACAGAAGTACAGTACTGGCCACAGCATTGCTTCTAAGAACTTCACTTTACAATGATAGAAATATGGCATGAACTAACACATGTGGAATTCATATGCACCTTCATTCTCCAGAAGTAGCTGGCTTTGTACAACCCTGTAATGATCTATCAAGTTCTTAGTCACAATGCTAGCTCTAGTTTTAAATGTTTGGTTCTCTCTCACAGGGTATAGAAAATTATCTGAACCAGTGAACATAATATGGTAATATAATGCTTTCTCCCATATCTAGAATATCCAGGTTCAGGAGCCAAGGAGTGGAAGTGGAGGTTGTACCACTAACAATTGCATCTAATCACGCTTTCACAAAATGTTTGCCTTCCATCCCAGAAACTCTGGGCTCTGCTGGTTTAGCGATTATAATATCTACTTGGGTTATCTATTTCTCCATATAAATCCTTCCCCAGTATATATTGGCTTTACAAATCAAGAACATTTACTTTTCTCATGAATGTGCTGTTTAGACTGGGCTTCTCAGGAATAGCAACAGCTGAAGAGGCCCAAAGGCTAAGCGCTGAAATCATCTGAAAGCCCGCTCACTCACACATCTGAACTCTCAACTGGGAAGACCCAAATAGCTGAGAACTGGAGTAGCTGGAACTCCTTGAGCATTTCTAGCTCTGCGCTCTCTCTACAAGATCACTCCTGCATGGTGGCTTCAGAATAGCTGGGCCTCTTTTATCAAGCCAAGCATGACATGTGCCTCTTCCAAGCATGTCTTGAGAAAGAGAGAAAGCCAGATGGAAGCTGTATTGCCTTTCATATCCAAGACTGAGAAGTCACACAGTGTTACTTCCCTGGGAGTCATGGCCCATTAAGATTCAAGGGAAGGGAACATAGACCCCCACATATTGATAGAGGACTATCAAAGTTACAAAATAAAATGAGCATGGGGGAGGGGATATATTTATGTGACCACTTTTGAAAACCCACTCTGTCAAAATATCCAATGGAGAGAGACTTCTACCAGGGACACCGCATAGTTCCACCAAACAAGAAGATGGAGCTGCCATTGACACTTGACCGTGTTAAGATCCTTATGCCACTGAAAAAACAAGTATGGGAGGGGTCAGCAATTGAGTAAAATTCTGAGTATAAAGGGGGAAAAGGTACAGTGATTATTGCACATTGAGCACAGGGAGAAGAGAAACCAGGGGAATCCTGGGATGCCTCATTGTACTGCCAGGTTTAAACACATAATTGAGTAGGAGGCATGGGCAGTCCTACGTGAGTGTAATCCACATGAATGCAGATACCTCAGGAATGAATGTTTGGGTCACTCCATTGTGAAAAAACCCATATAGACTAGCGGAGGTGAAGACTGAAGGCAAGAGGAACAGTGAATGAATAGTAAAGAAAGGACATAAAAACTAGCAGCAAAAGCCTTGTGATAAATTGTAGAAGCAGAGACTACACCCTCCTCTTATATTCCCTCCTTTTTATGTCATGACTATATTGATATTAATCATTTCTCTCTTCTTTTTTCAGTCTTTCAATATACATAACTTGTGGGTAGTTAACTTTGCAGTTTTGCATATAATTATCCTGGGATTATTCAGATCTGCCTGTAGGAACCAACTCGACTTTGGATCATTTCCTGTTAGTTGTGTGAGAGATGTCTCACTCTGCTAGGTGGAGATAAGTTTTAACGTATGAATATATTAAGATGGTGTGTATGGATGTTGGATGGGCAAATGTGAGGCCCACAGTGGTCACTGGTAAGTTTCTAGCTATCTATCACTCAACCACCCACTTCCTCCAGCATCACAAACTCCTCTGGGGAATTCTCCACCATGACAGTCCAGGGAAAGAAGTAGTAGCCTCCCATTGTGGAAGCCAGAATTGCTGATTCCATCTCTCTCTCTGGCTTACAGAAAATTGTATTCTTTGGCTGCAATTAAAGTGACTGAAGGAGGAGGAAACAGTTGGGAGTCTGATTCATAAGCTGACATCTGCTATGTGAACAAGGCTGAAGAGCATGTTGTTTAGTCCTCCAGAGCTCCCTGGGTTCTTGTCCTCTATTCAAGGCTTCTCCATTATCTGAAACCCTGATATATAATAATGTATTAGTCTGTTCTCACACTGCTAATAAAGATATACCCCAAACTGGGTAATTTATAAATAAAAGAGGTTTAATGGACTCACAGTTCCACATAGCTGGGGAAGCCTCACAATCATGGCAGAAGGCAAAGGAGAAGAAAAGGGATGCCTTACATGGTGGCAGGCAAGAGAGCTTGTGCAGGGGAACTCCCATTTATAAAACCATCAGATCTCGTGAGACTTATTCACTACCATGAGAACAGTACTGGGGAAATGTCTCCTATGATTAAATTATCTCCATCTGGCCCTGCCCTTGACATGTGGGGATTATTACAATTCAAGGTGAGATTTGGGTGGGAATGCAGCCAAGCCATATCAAATAATAAATTTGGTTTTCTGGCTAAAGAAAGTCAGACCTCAAGTTTGCTATTTACATATGTGGTCATTGGGGGGAAAAAATAAAGGATATATAGTATAATATTAATACTGATTATCTCTGTATTATGAATTAAGAGTAATATTAATTTTTCTCATACTTTTCTATGTAATAAACAGGAAAAAAGCAAATATTATTTTAAATTCAAAACTCAATTATTGAAACTAGGGCAAAATAAAGAAAATAATTCTCCTATGCCTATATAGGTGACAGGAAGATAGAAAGATAGATGTATAGATAGTTAGATAGACAGAGACAGAAAGATAGGAAATTTGGGCAACTTAAAATGAGCACTCTTATATGCTATTTAGAAGAAAAATCACCTCGCCATATAGTCTGAGGTTTTAGGTAGCCCGCAATATATTTGTTTGTTAAAAGACTTTTACTGCTCATTCAATGCGTAGTATAGTATGCTATTATGATAGAAGAAACTTGCTTAAAATGCTCTGTGATTATGGTAGAGAAAAATTTTTTCTTCGCCTATGCTGAGTAACCAATCAGTATTGTCAACTTGGATATATAATAGCTTTTTGCCAGTAACAAAATCATGAATGTGTCTGTAATATAAAAACTATGGAGAAACTTTGTATGTTTATTCTGTGATTTTCTTAGTAGATCAATCTCAAGTTTCCATATTTTGATGCATGGTTACTCCTCCCCCAAAAATATTTATATTTTGTGTAATTTGTTAAAATTTTATTTGGGTGTTTTAAAATTTTAATTTAAAAATACTCTTTGAGAAGAACCCAAATTTACTTAACCTTCAAACAACAATAAAATATGTTCTAAAAGGAGTTCAAATTTTCTTGTGAAAAAACTTAGGATCTTTTTATTTTAAAGATATAGCTTCTGTGAAAATGGAAAGGTACCTTTCTTCAGGCCAAGAAAGATGACGCAACGAGCACAACAGCCACTTTTATCACATGCAGAAGTTTCCAACCCCATGGGGTTCTTGTCACCAGACAGTGCCACCTGATGCATGGTGAGTGACAACAGGGTTATGGTAAGAAGCAAAATGAGAAAGAGGTATGTCCACAATACTTTATCTTGGAAGTAAGGAAAGAACTAGGTCTATTCCTCAATTTCTTCATTCCTCACAAAGTAAACAACATACTTTCTAAAACCTGTATTGTTAAACCAACTTTAGTGAGATACAATTTACATTCAATAAAGGGCCTTCATTTTAAGCATATAATTCAAAAAGTTTTAAAAATGTATATATCAGTGAATCCACCAACACAAAGAAGGTATGGAACATTTTCAGTACCCCAGAAAGTTTCTTATGACTCTTTCTAGTCAATATCCCCCCATCCTAGTATGCAGGCAAATCCTGAATTGTTTTCTGTTACTATACTAAAGTTTCAAATTAGAATTTAAATACTGAATGAGTAATAAGTAATTATATAAAGCCACTTCTGTGGAGGATGGTGGAAATTTGTTACCACTTACCTAAGAAACCAGTGTCCTAAAGTAATCCATGGAAATAGTTCCATCTTAATGTGCTCTATATTAGTGCTATCCAAGGTACCATTGCACAAATTATTTGTTACCAGTGCATTTCAAGATATGGAATTTAAAAGTAGAAGCTTAGAAATTTTTATGGCAATTTGACATTACTATGTCATCTACTCGCATGATCACCTTTGTTAGAAGTTCAATTCTATTGTATTTAATAAAAGTATTGGTCAGCAACAGGGTGGAAATTTTTAGAAATTTAAAAAATTTTTAAAAATCTAGAACTTCACTACAGTTAGAAAAACAGTCCATATGTACTCTCCATCTGCCCTGACCTCCAATAATTTAGTTTTCCTCCCTCTGTTCTTTAAGTAAAAGCTTTTAAAAGATACGCACTGAATTTGGAGCAGGAAATGAGCTAGAATATTAGTATTTGTCAAGATTTCTTATAATATATAAGTAGAGAAATAAATCCTTAATGATTTTTTTACATTTAAACCCAAATAAGTGTCCAAGCAGACTAAAAAGTCACTTATAAAAAAATACTGAGGAAATTGCTGCTGCCTGTTAGTTGATTTAAGCTAATGGTGCAAGTAGCCATTAGTTCAACTAACGGTAATGGACCTTCTGATGAATGATTTGGTGAAAATGTCCCAGATGCCTCCATTCTACAAAAAGCTCAGAAGAAGTAAAAATGGTATCTATTTTTAAATTAATGGTGAATAGATAATTAAAGTAAAAGCAATATATAAATATATTATTTAGCTATGACAACTAATAGATTATTCTTAAAATTTCTAATGTGTTCTGTCCTGTAAAATAATATAATAATAGTAATATTGACAAACGCATATAGTACTTATAATATGCCAGGCACTGTTCAAAATGATTGACATATTCTTTTCATTTAACCTTCATACCGACAATCTGAGGTAGTGAATATTATCCCCAGTTTACAGAAAAAGAAACTGAGAATAAAAAAGTTAAGTTGAGTCATCTTGCCCAAGGTTACACAGCTAGTCAGTAGACAAGCTGGGTTTTAAACCCAAGTACTAGGATTCTCAGGTGTATGTGCCCAACATCTATGTCTGTAGTCTCTTTGCTGTTGAGAAGCTTAACTTTCACCACAGAAGCCATTAAATGAGAGAGCTGGCAAAAAATAAGTAAATCAATGCTCTGTTCCACATATTTTCTAATGAATTGATCATATCATTTATTAAGTTAAAACACTGAGAATTAACTTCTTTTTCTTTCACAGGATATTTTCTCAGTTGCTTTTGCTAATCATGCTGGGATTATGTAATGATATAACAATCAATTAAAAATTAAATAAATAATAAGCCTCCAATCAATTTTCTTTTTTCTTTTTTCTTTATTTTTTTTTTTTGACAGGGTCTCACTGTTGCTCAGGCTGGAATGCAATGGCATGATCATGGCTTACTGCAGCCTTGACTTCGTGGACTCAAGCTATCCTCCTACCTCAGCTTCCTGAGTAGCTGGGACCACAAGCATGAACCACCACACCTGGCTAATTTTTTTTTTTTTTTTTTTAGAGCCGGTGTCTCCCTTTGTTGCCCAGGCTGTTGTCAAACTTCTGTGCTCAAGCAATCCTCCCACCTCAGCCTCTCAAAGTGCTGGGATTACAGGCATTAGCTAACAGACCCAGCAAACTGGTATTTCTAATAAGATTAAACAACTTATTATTTTTTTCTACTTAAATATTCATCTACTTTAAGTGCTACTAAGTTGTTATCAAGGTACTCTATATTGATAATGGCATAAAGTCTCATCCAGAAAAGAATGCTAATATCAGACTGCTGAAATTATGGTTTATATTTGATGGAGCAAAGGGTCAGTCCTACGACTGAATTTCTTCTCTTATTTTACAATATCTCTGGCTCCAAGCACCACAAACTATATATGCTTGGAGGACATTCTGGTTTATATCTTATATGATTAATATAAAATTACTCTGAATGTTAGTCATATTATAGAAGTTCTATGACTTGAATTTTTTAAGCCAGGAAGATTTTGAGGGAGTGGAGAACATTTAGATAATTCAGATTTCTTCATGATATATTCATTAAAATAGGACCAATTACTTCTGTAATGTATCTAAATGAGATGTTTCGCTTCTTGACATTGTATATATTGGTGTATTCATTTTCTATCAATCAGAAATTGGACTCAAAAATATCATTCAATCATATCAGCAACAAAGAAAGTATATCTTCCTACAGTTTTCCATAAAAACAAATGCCTCCCTTGCAAATTTTTAATTCCTGTAAAGTTAAAGCAGTCACTTAATAAAAAGAAAAGTATAGAACTTTACATTACATTTTTCTTAGGCTGGTGCGCAAGCTAATTTGTTAATTCTTTTATATACATAATTAAAATAACACAGATGCAAATTTTGAATTCAATTGAAAGTAAATTTGGAGGTTAAAAAATAAAAGATGATTTTAAATACCTATTGATTTCATTTGAAAAGCATCATTAGACATATACAAAATACAGTAATAATGTTAAGTATTATTTTCCACACATGGATTTTCTATCTGAAAATGACAAAACATAACATGCAAATTTCAAAACATTTCTATTGAAGGCATCAATAGAATGCTTGACAGAAGCAACCGGTGAATTTTTGTATACCAGATTAGTGACAGGTTAGTCTTGTAAACATCTTCCTCCTCTGACAATTAAAGATTTTCAGTTAGCAACTGAGCTGCTTGATGCTGGCTAGGGAGGAGTTTCTTCCATGGTACACAGAAATATCTCATGAAAACAATGCATGCTGAAACATGAGAACTTCTATGGAACGTGTCAGAAGTTGTTTGAAATATCACACACACTATTGAATATTTTAGCTCAGATGGCTTTTTGTTTGTTTGTTTGTTTGTTTGTTTGTTTTGTTTTGAGACGGAGTCTCACTCCATCACCCAGGCTGGAGTGCAGTGATGGAATCTCGGCTCACTGAAACCTCCGCCTCCCAGGTTCAGGCAATTCTCCTGCCTCAGCTTCCTGAGTAGCTGGAATTTTTGTATGTTTCGTAGAGATCTGGTTTCACCATGTTGGCTAGACTGGTTTTGAACTCCTGACCTCAAATGATCCACCACCTCGGCCTCCCAAAGTGCTGGGATTATAGGCATGAGCCACTGCACACAGCCACTCAGATGGGTTTTTTACACAAATGACAAAAGCATTTTATCTCACATTGCAGTTATCACCAAGTATGAAAGTATTAAGATGTTTAGGCATTTCTTTAAAAGAAAATCAATCATAATATTTGCTTCAATAAATTCTTCTGCTAAAATTTGCCTCTATGTATTTATTGACTGAATAACATGTGTCAACCAACGTGCTAGTTTATTGTACACAGAATGGTAAACAAGATATAATTCCTGTCTCCAAAGACCTGTCAGTAGAGAAGGACAAGTAAAAGGCTAAATATTTATAAGTTTTTTAATCATCTATACATACAAAATGTGAGTAAATGTGTCTATGAAAATATCAGCACATTATCTGAGTATCTTCTGTCTAGGAAAAACACTCAACAAAAGAATATTTTTCAGTTTTTATTGCATAAAAGTTATTTAAAAATTAAAACAAAAAAAGTAAGATTTTTAAAAGGTGGGCCAACAACAACAAAAACAAAAACATAAATGAGGTCTTGGGGGCAAGATGTCCACAAAGTTCTTGGAAAAGCTCTGACATATTCAGGGAGATCTAGAAAGTCACATGCATGTGTGAGGCTATGTGTATTTTCAGGAAAGACCTAAGACTGACTTAATATATCACTTTTCACTGACCCTTAGGGTCTTTGAAAACAGGAGTGAAGGCTAAGTTAAAGCTGTCAACTTCCATTTGAGGCATACTCTAACATACACACATACATGCATGCACACACACACACTCACTGAGAAACCCTTTGGAAAGGATAGGACACTTATTAGTTCAAAGCACTTAACCAACCTTCTGCCCAATTATTGGCTGACCACTAAGTTAACCAAGGAGAGATTTCAGTGGTTGCACATGATAAAGCTTACAGACTTTATTGAATTAGGCCAGAAAAGTCACTAAACAGTAAATAATGAAAACCAAAACAAAAGCAACAATGAAAAATTATGGTAAGTAAGGGGGGAGTCTGATTTTCAGAATTGCCACATAATGTTATTTTAAATGTCCAGCTTTAAACAAAGAATTATGAGGCATACGAAAACACAGCATGGCCCATGCACAATGGGGAAAAATGTATTCAATAGAAATATTGTGCAAGGAAGCCCAGATATTGGACTTACTAGACAAATGCTTAAAACCAGCTGTTACAAATACAGTCAAAAACTAGAAGAAACTGTGTCTAAAGAAATAAAAGGGAGTATATGAATAACCAAATTGAGACTATCAATAAAGATATAGAATTTTTTTAAAAAACGGGCCAAATAGAAATTCTAGACTTGAAAAGTACAATAAGTGATGTGTGAAATTCATAGGAGGGTCTCAGAAGCCGATGTAAGCTAGCAGAAGAAAGAATTAAGTAAACTTGAAGATAGATAAAGTCTGGAGAAATTTACAAAAATTAAGAGTACCCAGATACACATGGGATATTTTCAATATGCCAACACATGTATAATGTGAGTCTCAAAAGTAGAGGAGAGAAAGAAAGGAGCATAAAGAATAATTGAAGAAATAATGGCACCCTTTACAAATTTGATGAAAGTTTTATCTATGAATCTAAGAAGCTCAACAAACTTCAAGGAGGATAATCTCAAAGAAATCCACATGTACACACACTATAGTCAAACTGTCAAAACCTGGAAAGGAAAAAAAATCTTGAAAGCAGTGAGAAAAAAACAACTTATTACCTACAAAAAAATTCCCCAATAAGTTAACATTTGACTTATAATCAAAAACAACTGGAAGCCAAAAGGCAGTCACATGACATATTCAAAGTGCTGAAAGAAAAAGACCCTCAACCAAGAATCCTATATTCAACAAAACTATCCTTCAAAAATAAAGGAAAATGTAAGACATTTCCAGATAAACAAAAACCAAAAGAATTTTGTTGCTAGCAAACCTGGCCTAGAAAAAAAAAAAAAAAAGGCCATAGGGATTTCTTCAGGCTAAAATGAAAGAACATGATACAGTAAGCTGAAGCAACATGAAGAAATCAATAGCTCCAGTAAGTACCTACATAGGTAAAAATAAAAGACAATGTAAATGCATCTTTTGTTTTTAAGTCCTTTGTTCCCCTATCTGATGTAAAAGACAACTGCATAAAGCAATAATTACACAAGTGTGCTTGTCGGCTTACAATGTATAAAGATATAATTTACATGAGAAAATAGCAAAAAGGAGGAGGGAAGAAATAGAGTTAGACTGGAGTAAAGTTTTTGTATATTATTGAAATTTAGCTGATTTTATTATGCATTAGATTTTTTAAGCTAATCCGCTAATTGTAATACTAGGCACTAAGAAATAACTCAAAAAATTTAGCAAAATAAGAAAATTAAAATAGTGCAATAGAATAATGCATCTATTTAACACAAAACAGACAGTAATAGAAAAATATAAGGGCAAGAAAAAGATATAGGAAAGACAGCAAAATGGCTGTCATAAATCCTAATATATCAGTAATTATATCAAATGTAAATGAATTAACACTCCAATTAAAAGGCAGAGATTGGAAGATTGAATTTTTTTAAATGATACAACTACATACTGTCTAAAAGAGGTACACTTTAGATCCAAAAACACAAATAGTTTGAAAGCAAAATTTCTGAAAAAAAAATGTATCATCTAATCTAACCAAATGAAGGCTGGAGTGGCTATAATAATATCATACAAAAAGAAACACAAGATACTATGGAGCTATAAAAAGGAACGAGATCGTATTCTTTGCAAGGGCGTGGATGGAGCTGTAAGCCATCATCCTCAGCAAACTAACACAGGAACAGAAAACAAAACACCATATGTTCTCACTTATAAGTGGGAGCTGAACAATGAGAACACGTGAACACAGGGAGGGGAACAACACACACTGGGACCTGTTGGGGAGGCCGGGGAGAGGGAGACCATCAAGATAAACAGCTAATGCATGCTGGGCTTAATACCTAGGTGATGGGTAGATAGGTGCAGCAAACCACCACTGCATACATTTACCTGTGTAACAAAACTGCACATCTTGTACATATATCCCAAAACTTAAAACAAAATTTAATTTAAAAAAATTGCACTAGAGACAAAGAAGGACTTTTTATAATTATAAAGTGTCAATGTCCATCAAGAAGATATAGCACTTATAGACATATTAACAAAGTAAAATGCAACATATAGAATGGTAGAAAATATTTGCAAATCATAATTCCAATAAAAGTGTAGTTTCCAGAAAATACAAAGAATCCTCTCAACTTGCAATAAAAAGACAAATATCCAATTAAAAAATGGGCAAAGGATTTGCATAGTCATTTTTCCAAAAAAAGATATACATATAGATAATAAACACACAAAAAGATGATCAACAGCATTGGTCATTAGGGAAATGCAAATCGAAACCACAAGGAGATAGCCCTTCACACACACTAGAATGGCTAAAATCAAAAAGAAAGACAAGAACAAGTGTTAGAAAGAAGTCAGAGAAATTACAACCATCATACATTGCCGGTGTAAATGTAAAATGATGTAGATATTTTGGAAGACAGTTTGGCAAACGTTCAACAAGTTATTTATGGAATTTACTATATAACCCAGAAATTCTAATACTAGGTATATGCACGCACACAAAAAAATGAAAACAAGTGTCAAACAAAAACTTGAACAAGAATGTTCATAGGAGTAATACAATAGCCAAAATGTGGAAACAATATAAATTTCCATCGACCAATAAATGGATAAACAAAATGGGATGTATCCATGCAATGGAATATTATTCAACCATCAAAAGGAATGCAATACTGATACATGCAGCAACATGGATATACCTTGAAAAGACTATGCCAAGTGAAAGAAACCAGTCACAAAAGGCCACCTATTGTATAATTACATTGATATAAAATGTCCTCATATATATTATATCTGTGGAGGACTATCCACTTTTGTTCTAAAGAGAAGAAGTAGAGTTCCAAGTTACCCAGGAAAGACCTCCTCAAAAAAAGAGTTCAAAAACTATTGATTAAAAAGTCATAGCTACAAAATTGAGGAATCTTGATGACCCAATGTGTTTCATATTTCCACAGATATTTAAGGAGAGGCTTTACTTTACCCTCAGAAGTTTAGAAACCCTCCTTTTTTTTTTTTTTTTTTTTTTTTTTTTTTGAGACAGAGTCTTGCTCTGTCCCTCAGGCTGGAATGCAGTGGCATCATCTCGGCTCAATGCAAGCTCCGCCTCCTGGATTCATGCCGTTCTCCTGCCTCATCCTCTCGAGTAGCTGGGACTACAGGCGCCCGCCACCACACCTGGCTAATTTTTTGTATTTTTAGTAGAGACGGCGTTTCACCGTGTTAGCCAGGATGGTCTCGATCTCCTGACCTCGTGATCCACCCACCTCAGCCTCCCAAAGTGCTGGGATTACAGGCGTGAGCCACCGCGCCCGGCCTTAGAAACCCTTCTTAGGTACAGTCTCCATGTAACAGTTTCCTCAACTTCACAGGCACAGCCTTTGTGCCCTGGAAGACCATCCTCTTGAACATACGCCAAATTGTCTATGGAATGGTATTTCATATAGTGTGGAAAATGCTTGAAATATAAGCAAACTCTTTATCCTTATTATTAAAACATAAGCTTTAAAAAGAAGAGTTTTATAGTAAAGTTTTTACTACAGTTTATATAGTAAAAAGCCTATGAATTTGCTGACTGGGAAAGATTTTTTTAATTAAAACTATGAACATCTCAGGACCAACACAGGGCTGTTGAAATGTGGGAGTCATTGCCTAAAATCAGAATATCTCTGTTATAATTCTATTAATAGGGGAAACCTCAGCCAAGGTAGTTGGCCCTCTCAGACTCAGTTTTCTCTCTTGTGAAACTGAAGGTTTGAGCCTGAAATTTTCTTAGGTTTCTTTTACCTTCAATATTCTACGTCCCTGTGAATTTGGAGAATACCTCAAATCCTTGACAATTCAGGCAGTACATCATGTTATCCCAGGGTCTTAAATGAACCAGCGCACTGGGAGGAGACCATCCCCACATGACTCTTCTGTCCCTATCATCAGGGGTGAAAAGGCCTTACTGAGGGGGTACATCAGGCTTTCCCCAGAAGATTCCCTTCCATCCAAAGGGATGAAGATGGAAAATATACACTTCCTGCTCTACCAATAGGTATTAGAAGTCAAACAGGAGTCTCCTCCTTTAGACCTTCTACACCTCATCGAGACGAACAGGAAGCTGCTGAAATGCACACTTTTTTATCCTCCAATATCGTAGTCTCTGCCTTGATTATGCATTGGAATTAAACTCATGCCTTTTTTCTCTTTGTCACCCAAGGCTGGACTCCCAGTCATCCCTCAATCATCCACCAGCCCTTCGCTGATCCTTTTATTTCTTCTCTTCTCACCTTTCTCCATCTCAAATTCCAGAAATCCTTCTACTGTGCCTTTTAGAACTCCCCATCCATTATCTGCAAAATCCCTATATTCTTTTTTTTTTTTAATTTCAACTTTTATTTTAGATGCAGGGGATACATGTGCAGGTTTGTTGCATGGGTATATTGCACTCAGGTAGTGAGCATAGTACTGGATAGGTAGCTTAAACCCTTGCCTCTCCTTCCCTCCCACCCCAGTAGTCTGCAGTGTCTCTTGTTCCCATATTAATGTTCATGTCTGCTCAATGTATAGCTCCCACTTCCGAGTGAGAACATGCAGGACTTAGTTTTCTGTTCCTGTGTTAATTCACTTAAATCCCCCATATTTGTAACCTCATCTCTAAATCTTCATTTCACCTTCAGTGTAGAACAAAAAACTGGCTTTCCCTGAAAATATTACTTCTCCTGTAATCCTTCTAAGAATTACCTGTTTTTCTCCCACCAGCCTTATACAGTTCTACTCAGAGGTGGGAGGATATTCTTCTTGTTCCTCCTTCCCAGTTTTAAACCACTCTCCCTCCTTTTTCCCTGAAACACTCCAGCTTTGAAGATTATGTCATAAAATAACACCACTGTAACTCCTTATTTTTCCTGTCACCTATAGACCCCCTAGGAGCTCCCATCATTCTTCCTAGAATTGAGACTCTCTCCTGACTTCACTCTTAGAAGTTTTAGTCTACAACAGAGATGATCCTTACAACACTCCGATCCCTTGGTTTCTTGGTCTCCTCTTTACAACGGCCTTGTTCACCCACTGCATGCCATCTGCTCCCTCCTGTGGTGATATACTAGATCTGTCATTATCAGTAACTGCTAAACAAAATGACAGCCTCTGCTGAGACCTCAGTCTACAGCCTGAGACATAGAAGAAGAGAGCTGCCCTTCTTATCGACAAGAGCCCTTACGGCAACACTTAGGAATAAATGTCCACAAACATTGAGACACTGACCAACTCCACTTCCCCTACTTGGAAAATAAAAGATGGAGGACTTTTGGGTTTATACAGAGAAGCCCACAGGAAGATGAACATCAAGGCCTATTTGTATTATTTACACCATTCCTCTCTTAAATAAAATACATAGCCTGTCTAGTATCCACTCACATTCCCCACAAGTGCATTTGAATCAACAAACAAATATAAATAAATAAATAACCAGAAGACATGAGAGATCCCCCAATGTAAAGGACAAAAAGATTTTACAGCCAGTGCCCGCACCTCCTTCCCATAAAGTCAATTCTACTAAGCTGCGATGTCAACTTACTTTTTATTTTATTTTATTTTTTTATTTTTGAGACAAGGTCTCACTCTGTCACCTAGGCCGGAGTGCAGTGACACAATCCTGCTCTCCTCTCAGGTGATCCTCCCATTTCAGCCTTTGAAGTAGCAGGAACTACAGGTGCACGCCACCATGCCTGGCTAATTTTTTTTTATTTTTTATAGAGACAGGGGTCTCGCTATGTTGCCCAGTCTGGTCTCAAACTCCCGAGATCAAGCAATCCTCCCATCTCAGCCTCTTAAAGCACCAGGATTACAGGTGTGAGCCACCATGTCCAGCCATCAACTTACATTTTACAAACATTCTGTGTGAGAATGACTTAGTTGCTACCCTACAGTTATAATTTTCTAGCTTAGTTTAATTTAAATTCTGAATATGTTATTGTCAAAATGCAAGGGGTTTTGTTTACACTAGCAAAAGAGCACTGTTCACCAATGACAGGCTTAATGTTAAATTGGGCCCTATTTCTTTGCAGCAGTAAAGTAATCAAACAAGAATGCCATGCCTCTATTAAGCATTTACATTAGGACTGCCTAACTACACCAGGATTTGTTTGGGTAGCACTGGCAGATGTTCTGAAAGACTGTGAGAAAGGCAGCTGGGGCTTCACAGAAAGCAAACGCCCACCTAGGACCATTCTAACATTAGTGCAGGGAACCTGAGTGCTTGTGTGGAGCAAGACATGTGCTGGGTTCTTCTTAATATAATTCCCCACAGTAGATTTTCTGAGCACCTGCAATAGAGGTATTTGTTCTCCATCTGCCTCAGAAAAATATTGAAAGAATTCACAAAGAAAGCCGGGTGTCGTGGCTCACGCAGGTAATCCCAGCATTTTGGGAGGCTGAGGTGGGTGGATCACCTGAGGTCAAGAGTTGGAGACCAGCCTGGCCAACGTGGTAAAACCCTGTCTCTACTAAAAATATAAAAATTAGCCAGGAGTGATGGCCGGCGCCTGTAATCCCAGCTACTCAGGAGGCTGAGGCAGGAGAATCACTTGAACTCAGGAGGTGGAAGTTGCAGGGAGCCGAGATTAGGCCATTGTACTCCAGCCTGGGCGACAAGAGTGAAACTCCATCTCAAAATAAAAAAAAAAAAAATTCACAAAGAAAGTCCAGAAAACATTGAGTTTTTTTGCAATGAAGTGTTATGAAAATAGATTATTTAAATTATCAATGGGTTTTAATCTTATTTAAAAATTAGTAAATCCATTAGATTTTCATTGTGCCAGCTGACAGTGTATTTTCTGACTTTTTTACACAACACAAGGCATAAGATTTGAGAAACTATGAGATTCTGCTTGTTTTAAGCCCTGGTGGTTCATAGTTGAGTGTGAGGCAACCTGGCAGCCATATCAGTGTAACAAAGGACTGAGCAGACCCGGGCTCTGTTTTCTATGTTTCATCCCACACCGGCATGCTTGAAGGGGTAGTTGTGGGCCAGACAAGTGACAGATGGCACATTTGCACCAATCAGATTTGCCAGTGCAGGAGGTTCTCCTCTCACCGCCATACCCAGGAAACAGGCCATGGCTCCATGTCCATATGGGATCGCTCCAGGAGTGCAGGCTTTAGGGCACAATTATTTGGATGAACAGGTTTGGCCTTGACTCTGAGTTTGGGAAATGTCGTGGATAACCCACAATTGGCTTACTGTAGTTCTGAGTCATCACTGGACATTTCCTTTCTCTAGGAGATAGCCCAGGGCATTAAAACTACTTTCCACTATCAGCAGATCCTGGAAATAGCCCTGAGCCTCAGCTCTAGTTCCTCTCAGCTGCAGTCTGAAAGCAGCCTGCTTTTCCAGGACCCCAGAGAGAGACACACTCATCTGTGTCCCCCAAGGGTCTGTGCCCTGCAGACCTCGGTCTCATTTGTGGACCCTGTAGCAGCCCTGTGACTCAGGTCGAGCCCCTCTCAGCCATGGCTGAGGGCCAGCACTGCCTGCCCAGGGACCCACCCAGTGACCCAGAGCAAACCAATCCAGAAACCTGGAGGAAGCCACACCTATCCACATACCAGGTTATAGGACTGCCATCTACAGACTCAGAAGTAGACCCTCATTCAGCACCAGCCCTACTGGCCATGCTTCTGGGGGCAGCCCAGTCCACCCAGAGCCCAGACAGGATCCATGTTTGCTTGAGCCCGGGTAATAGGCTCACCTACCTTATACCTCACTATGCACTCAGTAGAAGCCACATGACCTAGCTCTAACCCTGCTCAACTGTGATCCCAGAGGAAATCTCAGAGTCAGCCTGGGGACCTAATAGAAGAGGGCCTTTATCTACAGAACCATCTATACAGACTGAAAGAGGTATTTGGTACTTGAAATGCATAGACAGCAACACAAACCTACACAGATCATATGATCCAGCAATCCCACTTCTGGGTATGTATCCACAGAAAACGAAATTAGTATGTTGAATTAATATCTGGTTTGATTCCATACCTTGGCTATTGTAAATAATGCTGCACTATTTACAAGAGCCAAGGTATGGAATCAAACTAAATGTTCATGAATTTATAAATGGATGAAGAAACTGTAGAATATTACTGGACCATAAAAAGGAAGAAAATCCTGTCATTTGCAACAACGTGGATGAAACTTGGGGACATTTATGGTAATTGGGATAAAAAAGTCACAGAAAAAAATGCTATATGGTCTCATTTATATGTGGAAATACTATATGATATCACTTATGTGTGGAATCTAAAAAAGTTGAACTCAGAGAAGCAGAGAGTAGAATGGTGGTTGTCAGGGGCTCAGGGATAGGGGAAATGGAGAGATGTTGGTCAAAGGGTACAAAGTTTGTTATAAGATGAATAAGTTCTGGCTGGGCGCGGTGGCTCACGCCTGTAATCCCAGCACTTTGGGAGGCCAAGGCGGGCAGATCACGAGGTCAGAAGATGGAGACCATCCTGGCTAACATGGTGAAACCCAGTCTCTACTAAAAATACAAAAAAATTAGCCGGGCGTGGTGGCACGTGCCTGTGCAGGAGAATTGCTTGAACCCCAGAGATGGAGGTTGCAGTGAGCCGAGCTTGCACCACTGCACTCCAGCCTAGATGACAGAGTGAGACTCTGTCTCAAAAAAAAAAAAAAAAAAAAAAAAAGATGAATAAGTTCTGGAAATCTAATGTACAATCTGGGAACTACAGTAAATAATACTGCCTTGTTTACTTGAAATTTGTAAGAGTAGATTTTAAGTGTCCTCACTGCATGCACGTATACACACACACACACGCATAGAAAAGGGTAACTATAGGTGGTGATGGTTACATTAATTAATGGTTGTGGCTATCATTATACAGGTACATGTATATCAAATCATCACATCGTGTACCTGAATATATATAACTTTTGTCAATTAAATTTTAAAAAACTACTTTCCACTAGAACCAAGAAATCCCAGCACTGACTCCTCCTTTCTTTAAACTCAGATTATTCCTGAAAAAAAAAGAAAAATTAATTTTATGTCTAGAACAATGAAATCATCCCTTATTGGTAGCTTTTGAAAACATCAGAGAATATAATCCTGCTTCTTCCAACCAACTTTACCATGTTGCTAGCTTTCTACTGCCACCCTTCTATCCTGTTATATCCTGTTGTATTTCTCCCCCTTCCTACCCCACCCATAGACTCACTGTTTACCTGATTTTATAGGAAATAAAAAGAAAATTCCTTTAAGATTACCTATAATCTTGGTCACCATAATATCCCCAGAATCTAGCACACTGCCAAGAAAATAACAGGTGCCTAATAAATGCTTACTGAATAAATTTTGAAAGGCCTATGTGACATCAAAAATAAGCATAAAGGACCAGGATAATCTATGTAACATAATGCATACCCCAAAAGAGATAAGCCATGTTAAGAAAAATATTCCCTGTGTTAAAGTGTTACAATGAGGATCCCCAATGAATCAGACCTCCCCATGTCCACACTCTTTCACAATGTGTGGTTGCTCTTCTTCCCATCAAAAGGTAGTCTATTGCTCTGCTGCCTTGAATCTGCCCTGACTCCAAATTTATTTGGCCAACAGAACATAAAATAAGGCATCCTATAAATCACAAAGCCTAGTCCTT
The DNA here is from genome assembly GCF_000001405.40 of Homo sapiens. Lineage (NCBI taxonomy): Eukaryota > Metazoa > Chordata > Mammalia > Primates > Hominidae > Homo > Homo sapiens. The sequence goes on along the minus strand of NC_000008.11, from coordinate 61,787,642 downwards.
CAAAGATTTGGCAGATTCTGCTCTTGCTCTCCTGGAAGCCTGCTACCAGTACATTGTGGAGAAGCTGACTCTAGCCTAGTGGAGGATGGGAGGCCTCATGGGGAGAACAAAGTGCCATAGTCAACAGCCGGTACCAACTGTCAGGCATGTAAGTGAGGCCAGCCTGGCCACCAGCTCCAGTCAAGCCATTCATGATATGCAGAAGAACCACTTAGAGTGCAAACCCACAGAATTATGAGAAAGAGTAAACCACTGTTGCCTTGTCAGAGGGCAGACACCCAGCAATGGAGCACTGAAACACTCTATCGTGTCCAGGTTGCCAGTACCTCTCCTCCCACCACAAATGCCTGAAGCCCAGTGTCCTTGTGAGTAGGATGCGGCTACTGTGTTAGGTTCAGAACATTCATCAGGCTCTCCCAACCAGCCACTGCTCACAATCCACTTGCTCTCATCCATTTTCCTAAAATTCTGTACCTTTTCCTTGAACCTGGATCCTCCCACTCTGTCTGGCTGTCTCAAGCCAACTGTTCCATGATCTACCTGATTTTCATCTGAAATTTCTCCCTATGGACCTCCCATTTATGTCACCCTCCTGGGCTCCAGAAAGTGCAGGCCATGGAGGACTGGCCCTCTTCATACACACCCATCGAAACTTTGAAACTTCCCATTGAACCTGACCAGATCCCTGGGACACACAATGCCCAGGACCCTGGCTCTTCAAGAAGGGGGCTCATATGAATATGTTAACTTGGGATATTTTGAAGGAAGAAAGAAGAAAAATGAGCTGTGGATAATGATAACTCACCTAGTGGAAAAATAATTGTGAAACATGATCTTGAACACAAAGCTATCCCCTCTTTCTATGTTCCCTTGGGGACTTTACTATTATTTGTACTAAATTCTTAACCTTTATATCTGCAAATGCTCAACAGTGATTTTTCAGGAAGCTTTTTACCAATTGATTATGCTGCTATTTATTATTCCAGGCATTTATTATTCTTGACTGTTTACTTGGTTCTGTAGTGATAGTTACAAGCCAAATGCCTTTTGACCTGGGTCTAGAGTTTTCTATGGTGACATTGTGTGCTCATTAGTTTTCTAGGAAAACTCTGGAAAGATAATTGTTTCAAGCTCTTTTTAGTACCAACAGTCATTATCTTGTTGGAATCCCAGCTGAAAATAACAAGAACCCCTTCCAGAGTTACACCACTCACCTGCCCCCTGGCCACTGCTACATAGGGTTGTCCTATTTGAATCTTTCACAGCATAATCACTGCACCTGCAGACTCAGCAGCTCTGCCAGTGGCAGCCCAATGTGGCAGGTGGCAGTGGCAATCCATTTGTTTGCTCTTCCTGGCCACTAGCTCTCTCTCCAGGCCATGGGCTCTTCCCAAATGTTCACTTGCAACCCAAGGTAAAGATTTAGGCTCTCAACCAAGCACTGACCTTTCCTTGAGTCTTACTCCTTGACTGCCACTCTCCTGAAGAGTGATGGAGGCTGTAAGTTTTCCTAGAAAAAAAATGACTCACTCATTGGCAATTATCTTCCTACAGAGATATCGTGCCTCTGTGCCAACAACAAAGGAAAGGGTGTGGCTCAATATTCACCAAATCTAAGTGCTTCTAGGAGAGTGCACATCTCCTTGTAGTTTAAATTTTGACATTATAATATTAAATAAATAACAATCCTTATGAGGACACCTGCAGGGATAAGCCACAGGGATGGTGCCAGTATAAACATATTTCCTTGGCTCTAAATTTTGGTGTTCTCTGTAAAAGTATGTCTGATTGTGCTATAATTAAGGACTAGGTAGGGGAGGAATGGGTGGGAGAAAATGAGAAAGGTGAGTTTCTCTCTCTTTCATAGTCCCAAGATTGGCACAGAGGAAGATGCTGTGATCTCTACCTGTCTGATGCCCATATTTGATCAAATCTGCTGTGAAGAGGAGGCACTGGGGCAAGGCACCAGGGAAAGTGAAGTGTAAGTCCCACCTAAGCAGATACACCTGGAGCATCTATCCCCAAAAAGGGGCTCCCATCCTCCAGGATGTTGACATTTTCTGGGATACTATAGGTGGGGTAAAGCAAAAATTGCATGAGTTTTAGAGTCAGAAAGACTTGGGTCCTCATTCACCTTCTGCTTCTGATTATAGGGCAGTGTTTTCATATTTACAATGTTACCTTGCAATGTGTTATGGGAATGGGAATTTAAAAATGCAAGTAAAGTGATAAAATATGGTAGCTATTATTGCATCTGTAAATCATTTTATGAACTAATCAGTTTGTGTTAAATATAATTCACAAAACTAAAATGCATCCTGTAATGATTTCTCCATGGCTTTTTTAGCTCTCTCAGGATCCTAAGATATTTTTCCAAAACACTTGCTCACCCAGCTTAGTTTATTAAAAAGATAAGTATCTAAAGCAAACTACACCATTATGTTACCCCAGAGCTTACTCTCAATACAAAAAAAAAAAGTTCTTACCTCCCAACCTGTGCAGTTGGTTGTCCACGACTCTACTTTCTTGAGAAAAGTGCTGCCAAAGGGACCCCAGGCCTCTATAGGCAGAGTCTGCTATGATCCAGGGATGCATTAAGGAGCAGACTCTGCTCTATGCTAAAGCTGGACACAAGGATAACTATGACCTCATAATGCTGAAGACCACTCCAGACTCTTCCTAAACTTCTAGATCTGATAACATTACAATAGTATTAACAACCACCACTGTGTTTTGAGCACTAAGTGTCAGGCATTCCAATAAAAGTTTTATGTTTATGAACTTTTGTTCTCTTAAGAGCCCTGTGAGATGTTACTACTCTTCTTTTATAGTTAGATAATTTACAGTTTAGATGAGTTAAACATCCAAGGCCACAGGGCTAGACAGTGTAAAGCCAGGAGTAAAATACAGGCTTTTAAGGCATTTTATTCATATTTTCTAAACTTTTTTTTCAGCAGTTAAAGCCTTTTATCTAAAGAGTACCCAGCTTCATAATAAATAGATTGACAAACCCAGCTGGTGTGGTTTAAGTCGTGTGTGGATGCTAAGAAATCCCCCACAGAACCCTGGGATCTGTAGAACAAAGTGAAAACCCCTCCCTCACCCTGGGATCTGTAAAACAAAGTGAAAATCACTTCCTCACTACGCCATCTCCAATGATGTGCATGGAAGTACTTGGAGGGGTATTAAATGCCACAAACTTCATAATGAAACATCTAAAGTAGCAGAAGTGCTGCAGTGTTGAGAGTCCAGCGGACTGGATGGTTTCCCACTAGCAGTTTAGTCAGAGCCTGCCCCTTCCCCTGCATTGGGTCAGACTATGGTGCCATTTCTAGTGATGACAGAAGGCCCTTTCATCTAGTCTACAAGAGAGGAAAAATGTGGATTATCCACAGAGATGGTTAATCTTATGTGTCCACTTGACTGGGTTAAAGGACACTCAGATGGCTGCCAAAACATTAGTTCTTGTGTCTATGAGGGTGCTTCTGGACAAGATAAGCATTTAGATTGGTGAGCTGAGTAGCACAGATGGCCCTCCCCAGTGTAGGTGGGCATTGTCAAATCTACAGAGGGCCTTATGAGAACAGAAAGGTGGAAGAAAGTTGAATTCTCTCTTTACCTCACTGCTTCAGCTGGGACATTAATATTTTCCTGCCCTCAGCCTTCCTGGTTCTCAGGCCGAAAGATCCAGACCATCATGGACTATCTACACACACACTAGTCTCCCCACAGAGCCGCTCCAGTGGTTTAACACAATAGGACCACCACCCAGAAGGAACGCAGACCCAGCTCATCACAAGCATCACTGCAGATTTCTAGTGTCCCTCGTGTAGCACTGAGTTGATGCTGCATTATTCAGCCCAGGCTTTTACTCAATATTGCCAACTTTTTACTTGACACTTCCATCATTCGTGGGTCTTAGTGGTCCATTTCAACCATTGCTTCCATTTTCACTGCTTTTCTTAACTTCAGCATTCCAACGTTTGATGTCAGAAATGGTCATTTTCTCAGAAGCTGGAATTTACAGATTACCTTTGAGAACTGTCAGTTTGCTGAAAAGTAGCTCTGATTCTCAGGGAAGTCCAAGAGGATTGAGCACTGTTTATTTGATAAGCATAGGAAAGTCCCTTCTCTGTGGTCTGGTAATTGGGTGTGTTTTACTGATTACTTTGTAGAGCTTTGTTGGCACTCATGGTTGTCAGCTTAGGAAAGCTGCTGACCCTGCCTTCTGCATCCTGAATGACAGAAGGCCAAATAGTGGTAAAGTGGTTTGAAGTCTAACAGTGCACACTTTTTAATATTTTTTTCTGTAATTCATTTGTTAAGGTGACCCAAACAAATCAGAGGTAAAAGATGTACAACTTTGAATAAAAACACATATGTTAGAAAAGAAATTAGAATGTATTTACAATTAAGCCCTATGTATGATACATATTACTGTATAACCTCTTTCTCGGGTTAAACAGTAATAGCCCTCAAACTGCTGAAACCAGTAACAGCTAAATGGAGCATTAGCTTTTACTATATTCAGGATGTATTACAGCTGGAAGATGTGGAGTGGAAATGTGTGCATACACACGGGTACAAATTTTAAAAGTGTACTTTTTGATCAGTGTAGTGCCTTTCTAAGATAGAACACATATCTAGCCTGTTACTAGATTGTTTGTCTTAACTTTTAAGCAATATCTCTTGGGAAATAGCAGGGCTTGTTTAAACATCATTTTCATGTACCTTAGCTGGGAATCATTCCAAAATGTTCCATTCTGCTTACCTGTAATCCACATTTGCTCTGTAAACAACCACGACTGCTTGCTTGAAAAATAAGCACCAACCTTGATTCTAAAGCAACCAAGGAAATTTTTCACATTAAAATATTAATAGAACTTCTAGGCTGGGTGCAGTGACTCACGCCTGTAATCCCAACAGTTTTAGGGGCCGAGGTGGACAGATCACTTGAGGTCAGGAGTTCCAGACCAGCCTGGCCAACATGGCGAAACCCTGTCTCTACAAAAAATACAAAAGTTAGCTCGGTGTGGTGGTGCACGCCTGTTACCCCAGCTACTCAGGAGGCTGAGGCAGGAGAATTGATTGAACCTGGGAGGCAGAGGTTGCAGTGAGCCGAGATTGTGCCACTGTGCTCCAGCCTGGGTGATAGAACGAGACTCCGTCTCAAAAATAAAAAATTTAATAGAATTTTTAAACTATTATTTTACTTTTTTGCTATTTTATAGATAGGTAATTTAAAGTAGGAAATACTGAAAAGAGAAAAACAACTTTAAGTTAAGAGAATTATTTTAGCAAGACAAATATATATATATATTTTTAAATTCCTAAAGTAATAATTCAGAGGATTAATATTTTTAAAATTACGATACATTTCACCTAGGATTTTTGTCATAGTTTGATGGATGGTTCTCCTATCACATTTAAAATTATTTAAGATATAAAATTAAAGGTTTAATGTGCATCTATACAAACTCCCAAAGAACAAACATATAGTCCTGGCAAGAAATTAGTCATTGCCTGAGAAGAGACCCAAGGAAACTTTGGAGGTGATAGGAATGTCCTATACCTTGATTGTGGGGGCGGTTTCATGGAAGTGTACGTTACTCAGAAGTCACTGAATTGTTTGCTTAAAAGAGGTAACTCTATTGACAGTAACTTATGCTTCCATAAAGATGGCTTTTTAAAAACCAAATGCACACGCATTTTAAGAATGTGTAGTTTAAGACAAGGCATATTTCTAACTCGATTTTTTGAGACTCATACATATAAACTTTAATATTAATGTCTCCAGGTTTTTCACATTTATTGTTTTCATTTTTTTATCTCTTTCTGTCGTGTTCCATTACTGACCTCTACTGAGCAGTAAGTAATTTTACAAGAAAATTTAAAAGTCCTATCTTAATAGGTTTCCTTCCTCCTAGTTATTGTTTCTCCACAAACGTATATTTTTATTTAAAAATCCTGCATCTAAGGAATACATTTCTATTAGAATGCCTAGTAGAGGAATCTGTAGGGTCAGGATAACCATGAGTCCACTGGAGGTGTTTTGTAGACTTACAGTGTATTTACCTTGGACCATAATCTGTGCAAATCTTTCTCCCATCTCTTTCTAAAGAACTTTAAATATTTACTACACTTTCAAAATATACGTCTTGTCTTCAAAAATACTGGATAGTTGCTGATTGCTGTTGGAGCAAATTACTCTACATTCCATGGCTCAAAACAATATCAATTTATAATTTTACAGTTCTGACTGTCAGCGGTCAGAAAGGAGTTTTACTATGCTAACATCTACATGTTGGCAGAGCTGCATTTCATAGTGGAAGTGCTAGGGGAGAAGCCATTTCTTTGCCTTTTCTAGCTTCTAGAGACTACCTGGTTTGTGGCCTCTTCCTGTATTTTCAAAGCACTTCACTCCAAGCTCTGTTTCCATTGTCACATAATCTCACTCTGACACTTCTGCCTCTCTCGTAAGCATCCATGGGATTACATTTGGCCTACTCGGGTAATCCAGGATAATCTTCTCACCCCAAAATCTTTAACTTAATCACATCTGCAAAGTCCCTTATTCCATGTAAGGCATCATACTTGCAGGTTTGGGGATTTGAACTTGGACATCTTCAGGAGATCATTCCACCTACCAAAGTATCCGAAAATAGATGGGCAAATAAATCTCTCTTTTTTAAAAATAAAATGGACTCAGCAACAGAAGTCAAACAACCCAATTAAAAATGGACAAAATATTTGAATACACATTTCTCTGAAGAAGTTACACAAATGAGCAGTGCATGAAAAGGTGCTCAGTGACAATTGTCAATAGAGAATGCAATTCAAAACCACAATGAGAGGCCACTTCACATCTACTAGGATGGCTATTTCCAAATAGTAATAATAGTAATAACAATAATAGAAAATAACAAGTGTTGACAAGAATGTGGCAAAATTGAAACCTTCATGCTTTGCTGATGGGAATGTAAAACAGAGCAGCCTCTGTGCAAAACAAGTTCGGTGATTTCTCAGCAAGTCACATATAGAATTACCACAAGACCTGACAATTTGACTTCTAGGTACATACCCAAAGGATTGAAAACCGGTGTTCAAACAAAATTTTATACAAGAATGTTCATAGCATCACTACTCACAATAGCAAAAAGTGAAAGCAACCCATGGCTCTCAGCTCTGGGAAGCCTTGTCATTTCATAAGTGACTTAAGCAATAAGGATATCTTTTGATAAAGTATTTGACCCTTTGACTTCAGTTACTAAAGTAGCTCCTGAATGATAAAAGTGAAAGAGTCTTCTGTGATTTACAGCAAGCCCTTTCAACACATCTGAGCTTATGTTAATAAGGCGATTTTTGAAAAACCCCTAGAAACCACAGGATGTGGGGCTGGTTGCCAGGGAAGCCAGTTCGGTGCCCAGAGGGCTGAAATTTTAAGACCACCTACCAACCTCCAGAGAGGGGAATGAGGCTGAAAGTAACTTGATCACCAATGACCAATGATTTAATCAGTAGTGTTCATGTAATAAAGATTCATATAAACCTAAAAGGACAGGATTTGGAGAGCTTCCAGAGAGCCCAACATATGGCAGTTTAGAAGAAAGTGAACAAGAACTTATCAATGTGCTGGGGAGGGTGACACTCCCCAGCTCCACAGTGACAGAAGTTCTGTGCTTGGGACCCTTCCAGGCCTCACCCTATGTAGCTCTTCATCTGGCTATTTACTTGCATCCTTTAAAATATCCTTTGTAACAAGCCGGTAAACATTAAGTAGGTGTTTCCCTGAGTTCTGTGAGCCTTTCCAGCAAATTAATCGAACCCAAAGAAGGATCCGTGAGACCCCAACTTAAAGCCAATCAGTCAGAAGTTGCAGATGCCTGGACTTGCAACATGTCTTGAAGTGGAGAGGCAGGAGGACTGACGCCTCCTCAACCTGTGGACTCTGAGGCTATCTCCAGGTAGATAGTGTCAGAATTGAATTGGAAGATACCTGAACACCCTACTGGTGTCTGCTAGATAACTGATTGCTTGATTTGTGGGGAGAAACTCCCCCAGATTTGGTCACCTAGGCTTCTGTGTTGATGATTGTTGTGGTGTAACAGCAGAGGAAAAAGTTTGAGTTTTTTCTAACATAATGGACAAACCTTAAAAAATATTACGCTAAGTGAAAGAAACCAATCACAAAGGGCCACATAATGTATAATTCCATTTATTTGAAACACCCAGAACAAGAAAATCAGAAAAAACAGAAAAAGGACTAAAGGTTACCAAAAGCTTGAGGGAGTAGGGAAAGGGGAGTCATTGCTCAATGGGTAAGAAGTTTCCATTTGCAGTAATAAAAAATTCTGCATCCAGTGAGCAGAGATTGCACCACTGCACTCCAGCGTGGGCGACAGGGCAAGATTCCGTCTCAAAAAACAAACAAACAAAAAAAAATTCTGCATCTAGATATTGGTAATGGTTGCTCAACATTGTGAATGTACTTAATGCCACTAAACGGTACATTTAAAAATAGTTAAAATAATAAATTTTGTGTTATGTATATTTTACCACAGTTTCAAAAACTAAATGGTAATGTTTCTTAATTCGTGTCTTTCAGAGTTCCTTCTTGTAAATACGTACATGCTGGTATTCTGTTGTTCTTACTCACTTAAAACGTTTCAAACCCTAAGTCATTCTTTTCTCCATCCTTAAGCAGAGTTTACTCAGCAACCTGTAGGTGGGACATGCATCAGTAAAATGGGCTCTTTCAGCTCCTAGACCTTTACATGAGCAGGCTTCAAAATCTGATTCCAACAGTAACACTCTGGATATTTTCTATTGTGAGTCATTAAATGTTTAAATGACATTCTGATGAAATATCTCAAATGAAAAGGAATGCAAATATTTGGCTAATAGGTAAATTTTTCAAGGTTAAGACTGTATAACTGGAGATAATTTTTTTATTTTTTTATTATACTTTAAGTTCTAGGGTACATGTGCACAATGTGAAGGTTTGTTACATATGTATACATGTGCCATGCTGCTGTGCTGCACCCATTAACTCGTCATTTACATTAGGTATATAACTGGAGATAATTTTAAGGAGTCTTTTTTCATTAGATGTAAGCAGTGGCTCTCAGCTGCCTTGGTAAGAATTGCCAGTCCAGCAAGCTGCACATGCAATGTTTGCCACTGCATGTCCTTCAGGATGCAAATGAAAAGCTACTCTTTGAAAATTTGGTCTTCAATCTGCAAGCAAAGTTTACAGATTATAAAGCTATGAGTATGTTTTATAAAGTGGATTCTGTGTGAGATGTACAGCTCAAAACTATTGTTATACTTTACACTTAGAATGCTTTTATGTGCTTATGCAAACCCAACTTACCAACAGGCTTCCTGAGTCTTTGACAGATAGGGGTGATTATCTCCATTTCAACAATGAGAAAGAACAGCAGGGAAAGTACTAACATTTGGTTCCTAACATCATAGCTAGACTACAAAAGAACCCTGCCTTATAATTTGTGAACATCAGCCCAGTTTGTTTTTGAAAGTAAAAGTTTCTAAAATAAAGTTTAGAAAATACTGAACTCTATGGCCCCCTTTGGAAGCTTAACCATTCATATAAGCATATTAAAGGCTCAGAGAATTCCTGCAACAGAGAAACTTGTTAAGTTTCACTTAGTCTAGCATTTGTTTGTTTCTAGAATTCATAATTACCAATAATACTGCTTGTGCATTACAGAAAGCTCATAGGAAATGTTTATCCTTGTGAAAGTTGTCAGCATCAAAAAGAAGTCATCAACATTAACAAGTCATTAATGTTAAAAAAAACTCTGACAAATAGAGCCAGGGAAGACCATGAAGAGAGGATTCTTATGCATATATGCTTGATAATGAGAAAGAGTCTGCAACAACCATAACTTTGCACAAATGCCATCACAACCTTATACAAAAGATCCTTCTGCAAGGACATCTGCCCAGCATCTGCCTGTCTAACCTCAGACTCATCCCTCTTGGCTTTGGTCTTTGTAGCCAAAGATAATGATTTCAAAACAGTTATCGAGTCCTCCTCATTTTTTCCTTTAAAAACTTTTGTCTTCCTTGGCCTCCCCGAATATGCACATCGTTTACTATGGCATGTGTGTTCCCATTACATTGCTGTATTCCAAATAAATATCTTTTCTTTTAGAAAGCCTCTTTCTGTTTGTAATCTAGGTTAACATACTTATTAGAGTTTCATATACACATTAGTATTTGTTTTTATCTTATCTTATAGTGTGCACTTATTTATTAGCCCCTAGACAGTAATGTTGTCTAGTGTAGTTTAGAACGCTGAAGCTCATCTTCTTACAGCTCCCAATGACGTGCTACCATGCTGCCAATTATGGTTGCAAACAGGTAAATTGCATTAATACTAAGTATAAAAATTATATTATCCTCAATTATGATTGCAAACAGGTGAATTGCATTAATGCTGAGTATAAGAATTATATTACCACTACTTATATATCTACTAGACAGAGCAGGTGTCTATAAATGCAAGTAAATGAACACATGCCCATTTTTCACAGGCTCCTCATTAGTTATACAATAAAGAGTGAAGAGACATGGCCAAAAAGCATGTGCTCACAATCATGTCACAGCCCAGGGGTTCTGCTGGGATAGGTGGCCGAGGAAGATGCCTGCCTCAGGACTGACCTACAGGGACTCCAGTAAAATAGATGGCTTAGGGAAGCCAGGGAGAAAAGAAGGTGCCTCCTCAATCCTCTACTGCAGCAATCGCTGAAGTTTTTCCATCTCAGCAAGATAGAGGCCTTACCCTGAACAGAGCAGGGTAAGGTCACCATCATTCTGACAGAGGCTGGCTGCAAATGGAGAGGATTGAGAGGTGTGTGTGCATGTGCTCGTGTGCGCATATGAACTCACAGGTGAGACATCAAACACACCTGTAACTCTACTCCTTACTCCTCTTAACCCATTCTCTATCATTTGTCTAATTAAAATCTAAAAATAATTGGTCACAGAAAAAAAAAATGACAACCTGTTAGACCATCTTTACTAGGTATAGCCAAGAAAAATGCTTTACTTGTTTACAGTTGTCTGAATAAAAAGAAATGTCCAGCTTTCTGACCTAACATCTGACAGTAGCAATTTGCTTCCCCCAAGGCTCATGCATGTAGAAATTAATATTGTAATAAAGAAAGGCATGTATAATATACACCGATAGATTTGTGCATTTAAACTGCATGGCAAGTTGGTATGAGCTGCTAAATAGCAACAAAAAATAAATAAATATTTTAAAGCTTGTGAAAGCATATATTCATGATAATCTGATTTTCTTTAAAATAGCTACGGCTCCCAAAAGGTGCTTCAGGATATGCCATGGTGCCACAATAGATTCACAAGGATTATTCATGATGTTTTAAATTTTCAGGGGAAACACAGAGCTACTCAACATCTGTTTGACATCCTGCAAAAGACTAGCTTGAGTTAGTTCACATTTTCAATATTACATTGTGCTACATTCCTTCAGATCCTATTATTGTCTTTGCAAAGCTATGTTTTCTTACTCATTGTTAATAAAAAGCAAATGTCTTGACAAAGATCAATGTAGAACAGAAAATGGGGGTGGCTGTTTCCAATCTGATTTCTGTCTCATTGCAGGTGCCACTCTGTCCTCCAGTCCCCATTGAAAACAGGAATCATTTCTTGTCTGTCTTTGTATGACATCCAGTAGGAATACAATGCCTTGCATACAGCAGGTGCTCCATAACTATTTGTGACATGGATTATTGGATAATGCAACAAAAACACATCACTACCCAGCAAAGTATTTACATTGTGTATACAACATTGATAAATGTATTTTTGAAAAGTGGGGCCTATTTGAAGGCGTCATGGGGGAATCCATTTTGCGCAAATGAGATGAAAAAGGAAAAATCCACCTAGTCTTTTCTGATCACTCTGAGATGTCATATAAGCCATGGGGTTCCCCAAACTGTTGAAATAATGTGTGCAAAGGAGTTTAGTAAGGGAATGGGAAAATGCATCACCAATAAACCACTCAAAGTTAAGAACAGAACCAAGTTTCTAAATGTTCCAAATGTTACGTGTCCCAGGAAAAAGACAGTGAGATGATATGCAGCCTTCTGGGGAAAGGAGATGGTATGAGGGTCACAGAGAACCCCCTGAAGGAAAAGGAAGGGAAGAGAACATTGTTAAAATTAAAATGTCAATCTGTGCCTGTGTGATTTCAGTAGCCAAGTCAGTTATGGGCAGGTGGAAGGAGTCGATTGCAGAGAGAGAAGCCTTGGCTGAGGCTGCCACAGTTAATGAGGGAAAAGAACTTGGCACAGATGGCCAGAGCCACTGAAGATGCAGCCTGGTTGAGACCCAGGAGGCAGGGAGGATCTGGCCTCACTGCTGCTATGGTCAGTGTTTCCCTAAATATGGTAAACAGATTGCTGTGGACATTATCGGACTTAGCTGGTACCGGGAATGTCCATTCATTGTAATGGCTAGGTATATATATTTCCATACATTTTAAATATATACCTAGCATCAGATGCACAATTTCACAATATTATTTCTAACCTGAGGCTGAAGTAGGTAAGCTTTGCTGTTGCTCAACTGGCACATCCTGCTTGGACTTCAGGCTGCCCCAATGCTGCCAGGGGCATCTGTTTGAACTCAGGAAGGTGGTAGGGGAATGTCAGACATTTGAACAACACTGCTTATAATCATGCCCCAAGAAACTGGCCAGAGCTTTTCACGAAATTTGAGGAGCTTTGTTACACTAATTATTTTAACATGCAATGCCTAATTTTGGGAGAAGGGAGTTTATTTGCTGATGAATCTGGGCAGGAGAATATTTGCTCGGAAAACTGTGAAAGATGTGAGTGAAATAAACATTCCATGTCCAGGAAAATGCAGGCTAGAGTCCACAAGATGTGAAATGAATGAAGAACTCATAGGTGTATATGGAAGTTATATCAGGATCCTGTGTAGTTTGAATATCTAATGTGGCATAAGTTCAATAGGAAAAAAACTTTCTTTAATCATGAATTGTACCATTTTATGTCTGATCTCTCTTTTTACCACAAGGAAGGGAAGAGTTTGCATTTATTAGGATAAGTTTATCATTCTAAAAGAATAATATAATAATTAAATTCAAGATAAAAATATTATTATATTTGTTTTCTTCCCTAAAGCACAATCTTCAGAAAGAACTTTAAAAGCATAATATTTTGTTATGATTTTCCCACACTAATTTTCAGCAATTTCCAAAGTATTTCCTGTTTTTGGTGCATAATCCACTTATACTCTCCTCAGGGAAAATGATGATCAAGGACTATTTCTTACTAAATGCTCTGGATTTATTCCAGTTTGTTTTGTAATAAAAAAAATTCTGGAATATATTAGTTGGTAGAAGTGAAGCAGGGGTAGTAAAACTAAAACATATGCCCCATGTAGAACATTTCAAAATGCCACCGAAGCAGAGATCAAAACAGAACGGAGTACTGTGAATTACTGAAAGCAACTGTGTGTGTGCGTGTGTGTGTGTGAGTAAAAGCATATATATAGAAAGAAAGAGAAATATCCCTACTCAATTTTTGAATGTGGATTGTCTTTTCATATTAGGAAGCAGTATTGATTTCAAATATTCTAATTTGCGGCAAAATGGTTTTCCCTAAGGAGAGGAAAACAATACAATAGAGCATTTGTTCATATGATGAATTACTATTTAATTAATAAGCCACAAATAAACCCTCCTCTGTGGATGCAGATGTGATTTATTAAGCACAAAGAAAATCATAACAATATTCCCAACTCCAAATCCAAATAAACGTGAAAATTAGGACCAGCAGCTAACTACAATGTTTATAAACTAACTTCCGAGTTCACTCAACAGTGCACTAGTGTGTAAATGAAAGCCACAAAACACAATAGAACCCATCATTGCCAGTGTTGGGAAGGGAGGCGTGTAGAAGTAATTAAAACACAGGTTAAAAGTACTTTGATTTAAAATGAAATTATAATGATGGTGGTAAGAGCTGAGAACGAAGAGATCACTGAGCGAGGTGGGGGGCAACTGGGAAGGCAACTGGAGGAAGCGGCATTTATTTGGACTCTGAGGACAAGCATGACTTCATACAGAGATAAGTAGGAATGGTAGAAACAAATTCTAGACAAAGGAGCCGCAATAAGCAAAGCAACAAAAATAGAAAAGCACGGCCTGAGCAGCCTCCAAGGAGTGATGCAATCAGTTTGGAAAAAGCCAGTGTATGTGAAGGCAATTATTCATAATGGTTAATATTGAGTACAAACTGTATGCCAGACAGGGTTGCAAATATTTTTTATATAGTGTCTTATTCAATCCTTGCCACAACCTTATGAGATGGGTACTATTTTTGTCGCAATGTTAAAATGAAGCAACTATGTGCAGTAAGGTTGTGAAAATTGCTTGAAGTTATTCAGCTGGGAAGAAGCAAAGCTAATGCTCAGACCCAGGAAATCTAACTTCAGAGCCTATATTCTTAACTAAAGCAGCATATTCTACCCCAAAATGAACTTCGCGCCTTCTGCTTAGTTGTGCTTCTACTCTTGGATTTTTTTTTATCTCAGTAAACAGTATTCCTTCCACCCAAGGTCTTATGGCAAAAATTGGTTGCCGTCCTTGACTCCTTCCTCCCCGTCACCTCCACATTCCATCCGTCTCATACCACGCCCAAATCTAGGCGTGTCTGATTCCCATATCCTTCTCAGGCCTCTCCTCTCTACCACCTCTGCCTTGCCTACAGTCTAGGTCACCCTTGTTGCACACCTGGGCTGCGAGGCCCCGCAGCCTCTAGTCTTGCTTACCTCAGAACCGTGGTTCTCTAAGTGCAGTCCCAGGATCAGCAGCTTCAGCTTCTCCTGGGAGCTTGTTAAAAATGCAGATTCTCGGCCGGGCACGGTGGCTCACGCCTGTAATCCCAGCACTTTGGGAGGCTGAGGCGGGCGGATCACCTGAGGTCAGGAGAGCAGCCTGCCCAACATGGCCAAACCCCGTCTCTACTAAAAAATACAAAAAATTAGCCAGGCATGGTGGCGGGCCCCTGTAATCCCAGCTACGTGGGAGGCTGAGGCAGGAGAATCGCTTGAACCCGGGAAGCGGAGCTTGCGGTGAGCCAAGACGGCAGCACTGCACTCCAGCCTGGGCCACAAGAGTGAAACCCCGTCTCAAAAAAAAAAATGGAGATTCTCAGGGTCTCCCCCAAACCTACTAGGAGAGGGAGTCCTGCAGTGGTGTTCTACAAAGCCCTCTGGAAGATTCTGACTCACACTCAAGTTTGAAAGCCACTGGCCCAAATCATTTATCCACACCGTACACACCGCAACCTGAGCACACATTCTAAGACGGAAAGTAGATCAAGCCCCTTCTTCTGTTGATCAGTTTTCACACATTTCCACTGACGTGTTCCTTCTTCAGAGAAATCAGCCTGGTCAATTTGTTGAAGTTCCCTGTGCATCCTCCTGTTGCCCCGACACTGCCCTACCAAATCACTCATCCTGCTTGACTTGAATTACTTCTCTGTGGATCTCTCTTTTATCTGCACACTTTACAAAGGCAGCTTGATCATCAATATATCCCCAGCACTTAATATAGAGGTTTTTACAGTATTTCCAAATCATTTGTGGAAAATATGGAGGGAGGGAGAAAGGATAACAAGGAGGAAATGACAGCAAAGGCCATATCCTGGAAAACCTGAATGTTTCCATTCAGGTTTGTATGTAAAAGTTAAAACTTCAGCGGATAATGGAAGTCATTGAAGTTTTCTGAGCTGAGAACCGGCATGGGGGATGGTTGTAGAGAACAAGGTTGAAGCTACCAAACCACAAGCAGATGACTCCTTGGGCTGTAGTGTGTGGAAAGACTGCGCAGTGTGAGGGCTGCCAGGACCAGCAGGGACATCCTCCAAGCAAAGGCAATGAGGGTCTGAAATGCAGAACAGGTTTTATAAAAAATGGAACAGAAATGGATTATTGTTACCTGGCTTTTGTTTAGCTGGCCAAAGCAATCCAGAGGTAATTCAACCCAGAAGATGCTTATGTTTCAAATCAAAGTGAATATAAATGGTGACACTGTTAACAAATAAAATGATAATATGGAAGGTAAACTGAATTCTCACTGAAGGGTTGATGAGCAGAGGGATGTATTGCATCCAAGGCGGCCATGTGCTATCTGGATGAAAATGTCTAGTGTAAATGTGAGAGTGGATGAAGGACAAAGAGAGACCTAAAGAAACAGGCTTGGGACGCATCTGTAGAGAGATCAGCATTGAAGCCACAAGTGACCTTGGGGCCTGAGACAACTGACAAAAAGCAATAACCTGTAAATCCATCAATTAAAAAATTCAGTAAAGTCAATAGTATCCCTTAACTGATTTCCACTCCTGAGAGTAACAATACTAAAGTGTTGTATGTACTGTGTAGGCTTCATTTGCTTATTTATATATAGCTCAATAAAGCTCCCACTGGAATATACTCTCTGTCTCAAAAATCCATATCCTTCAAATCCATTCTCTAACAACACTTAACAAATACTACTCAGAAATGAATTTCTTAACTCAGAAGCATGCAAACCTGTAAATATGGTGGTACAGAGGGAAATACATAAAACATCAATGTGCCAAATGTATAGGACTGTAGTACCTTATTAAAATGTAAAACTCTTAAACCCTACTCTCAAATAATGAAATGTCAATTTTTAATAAGAAAAATAATTATAAGTATTACATTAAGCATTTAAACCCTTCAGATAGCTGATCTGATATTCAATTGTGGCTGCTTTACCTTCTTATACATATTCAGAAAAAATACTTATACTAAGAAATCTATAAAAGCTTTCATGAATTTCATGTTTTTCAATAGAAGTAGAGGTACAAATATCCAATGAGGATATTCAGATCACTAAAGTGGACCCCACTCTGACAATTCGGAGAGTTGGCTAACACATCAGCCCTTTGGATAGTACAGACAAAGATTAAGAGAGAGTCTTTTTGTTCCATTCAGATAAAGAATCTCTAGATCTTTGACAAGATAGCATCAATGGGAATAGTAAACTTCAAAAGAAGAGTACTTATTTGTCCTACCATGTGATGAGTGGCTAATGTCTATCCTTCTCTTAGAATATAAATTTCATGAGGATGGTTCTGCATACCTTTTCTGTTGTATCTCCAGATGTTAGTAGAAATAAACAGAGTAAATGGTCAATATAAGTGGAATGAATGAATAAATAAATGAATGAAATCTCCCCATTCAAGCCTACTAAATCTCCCCATTCAAGCCTACTGTAAAAACCAGACCACCTCAGGCTATATTCAGGTACATAAGATATGTATTTTTTCTTTTTCTTTTTTTTTTTTTTTTTTTTTTTGAGACAGAGTCTTACTCTGTCACTCAAGCTGGAATGCAGTGGTGCGATCTCAGCTCACTATAACCTCCATCTCCCATGCTCAAGCAATCCTCCCACCCCAACCTCCCAAGTAGCTGGGACATGCCTGATGTGCCACCATGCCTGGCTAATTTTTTTTTTTTGAAGGGATGGGGTGTCGCCTGGTTGCCCAGGCTGGTCTTGAATTCCTGGGCTCAAACTATCCACCCACCTCGACCTCCCAAAATATTGGGATTATAGGCGTGAGCCACTGCACCTGGCCACATAAGGTGTATAAATATATATATATATATATGTGTGTATATATACATATATTTGAGAAGAGTCTTGCTCTTATTGCCCAGGCTGGAGTGCAGTGGCATGATCTTGGCTCACTGCAACCTTCACCTTCTGGGTTCCCAAGTTCCCGGGTTCAAGCGATTCTCCTGCCTCAGCCTCCCGAGTGAGTAGATGGGATTACAGGCATGTGCCACCATGCTTGACTAATTTTTTGTGTTTTTAGTAGAGATGGGGTTTTACTGTGTTGGCCAAGCTGGCCTTGAACTCCTGATCTCAGGTGATTTCCCCACCTTGGTCTCCCAAAGTGCTGGGATTACAGGGGTAAGCCATTGTGTCAGGCCCACGTAAGGTATATTTTTATTGGTTGCTTTTTACTTTCTTTATGCTTCATTCTAAATGGTAGGAAGAAACTTTCCTGGAAGCTTTTCCTCCTGGCCTAACATCACCAGGGAGCCCCACTTAGCCTTTGGAGAATAGCTTCTCAACAATTATTTGCAAAATTATTAAGTCACCCACTCCACATTATTTAAACATCTTACCAAAGCTCTCATTTATTTTTTCACTCCACTATTAATAGAGTATCACTGTTAGGAAAATACACAAAAGGTCTAAAAATTCTTTTTAGCAGAGCAAAAGGTGGGTTAAGTGTCAATTTTATCATGTTTATTTTAGGAAGATGAGAATGTTCCTATTTGAGTCCTATTAAAACTAACTTGGTGAAACTTTTCCTCAATAATCTGAGCAGCTTTTACATAAATTATATAAGAGGATTTCAAAAAGTTCATGAAAAAATGGAATTGAAAGAATAAAAATGTAAATGTTATTTCTTAACATAAGCTCCATCAAGTTCAAGACACTTTTGTAAGTGATGATACCAGCCACTTAGTCCGTCTCTAAAGAACTGAGGGGCCTGGGAATTTAACCATGTCCATGTGGCCTTTTTTACATTACTAATTGAACAAAAATGGATGCCCTCTGAGTATTTTTTAAGATCAGGAAAAAAAAGGAGACAGAAGGAGCCAAATCATGACTCTAAGGTGGATCCCTAATAATTTCCCAACAAAAATCCTGAAAAATTGCCCTTGTGTGATAGGAGGAATAAGCAGGAATATTGTTGCGGCAGAGAAGGACTTTCTGGTGAAGCTTTCCTGGGAATTTTTCTGCTATGGTTTTGACTAACATTTTCAAAACACTCTGGTCATAAGCAGGTGATATTTTTTCTCTGGCTCCCTAAAAAGTCAACAAGCAAAATGTCTTTAGCATCTCAAACAAACAAACAAACAAACAAACAAAAATGTTGCCATGGCCTTTGCTCTTGACCAATTCACTTTTTCTTTGACTGGACCACTGTGACCTCTTGGTAGCCATTGCTTTGATAGTGCTTTGTCTTCAGGATAGTACTGGTAGAGCCGTGTTTCATCTTCTGTTACAATTCTTTAATGAAATGTTTCAGGATCTTGATTCCACATGTTTAAAATTTCCATTGAAAGCTCTCCTCTTGTCTGTAGCTGATCTGGGCACAATGGTTCTGGCATCCATTGAGTGGAAAGTTTGCTCAACTTTAATTTTTCAGTCAGAATTGTGTAAGCTGAACCAATTGAGAAGCTTATGGTGTTGTCTATTGTTTGTGCTGTTAATTGTCAGTCTTCTTCAATTAGAGCAGAAACAAGATTAATTTTTTCCTCACAAATTGATGTGGATGGTCTGCTGCTGCAGACTTCATTTTCAACATTATCTTGTCCGTTATTAAGATGAGTTTCCCATTTGTAAATTGCTAATTTTGGGGGGACATTGTCCCCATAAACTTTTCACAAAGCAACTATGATTTCACCATTCTTCTTTCCAATCTTTATAAGCATAATGTTTGTTCTTGCTTTAATTTTAGCAAAATTCATCTTGCTCTGATAGGGGTTCTTTTCAAACTGATGTTTTATCTTTCTTAGTGTCCCAAACTATATCCTGTTCGGATATGCTATAACAAGTTAGTTCAAGTTCATTTTGGTGCAAAACAGTTTTAAACTCTGGGCATAATGTTCATTATAGCATATTCCACAAACTTTTTGAAGACCCCTTTTATATTTAAAAATATATGGCTATGTGCAATGTACACTTAAGTACATTTTATTTTCCCAACAATCATGTGAGAAAATAGAGATTTCCATTTTACAGATAAGCAAATTGAGGCTCCGAAGTATTTACTGACAAAGTTAACAGAACTAAAAAGGGGAGCAGATAAACAAACCCTAATCCATCTGCCCTTCCCACCAGGTGACTCTCAGGAAAAGTCTTTTTTCAACTATTAATATTTAACTCTTAAACCAAGAAAAGCATTCTTTCCACTACACTTCACTGCCTAGTCACTCATTAGGGTATTATAGAAGATAATTGCTGTGTATGAATGGATTAAATACTCACATGAGAGTTTCCCAGATATGGTTAAAAGCCACACAAGTCATCAATACTTATGCTTCAAATCACTTGAGCATATAAGTCATTTACTTGCATTTCAGAATGCACAGTTGTTGAATTGCTCCATCCACTTTATTTGTTTTGAAATTAACTTCTGTGTACTCTCGCATTGCTAATGCCTGTCCGTGACCTTTTAGGCTGATGCTGCCTTAAAAGAACTAGAAAAACTGCCTGCTCACTGCATTAGTCACCAACAGAAGAAAAATTCACCATTTCCAGCCCATCAAGGTTTTTAGATTACTTCAGCTGGACAAAGTCATCACACAAATATATCTTAGTCAAGTACTTACGAGGTTGGAAAAGAATCTTAGGTGAAGGAGAAGTTTCAAGTCTCTCACAGTCACAGATAATAAGAGTTTTAGGATCCTATATCTTCTCTAGCCAGCAGACTCTATGTTGTGTCTCCAGAGGTCACACTTACTGTGGAAGCTCCACCAGAAGCTGTTTGATACTGTGGAGAGAGAGGCATTCTCTTCTGGAAAGGATGCTACTTTGTAAGACATATTATTTGGAATCAGCATTTTTATTGTATCATAGTCTGCTTAAAAAATAGATCACATGTAACACCATATGGAACTAAATGAGAGTTGTTTGAATTGGGTCAGTTCATGGGTTCTGATGCAATGGACAGAGGGCCAGATTTGAAGTAAAGCCTGGATACAAACATAGCTCTTCCATTTATGCACTGGTAACTATAGGTGAGTCCTTCACTTTCTCTGATCCTCTTTCCTCATCAATAAAGTCAGGAATTTAACACAGGGAATTATTAACATGGCCTTCAGAGCTAATGCCTCATAAATTTATTATTTTAAGCATTATGAAATGAAATAGCATTCATAAAAGCAGCACAAACTGCTAAAAAAAAGGTTTGTTTATAACCATTTCATGAATTAATCAATATGAAACTCTCAAAAAGAAACACGTTTACACAATTTGTTTGAATTAATTCTCCATTTTGAAGGTAAAACTGAGTATTTATGGAATCACCCTGTTGATATTTCTTCTAAGATTTTCAAATGGGGTTGAAGAAAACCCAGCTTAAATTTCAAATGGGGTTGAAAAAAACCCAGCTTAAATGGGTAGCCTCCATTGTTCATTTATTTTATTGGGTTTATAAAAGTTGAAGACATGAAGGTAGAATGTTAGAAAGTAAAATCTCAATGTATCTATATTATAGCTGATCACCACTAAATTTTCAGACATCTAAAAAAACCTACTTCCTTCCTATATTACTTGACCACAAACAGTGTAATAAGCCTGATTTAAAGGCCCTTTCCCTCTAAAAGTATTATTTTCAATGTTCACCAAGACTGAGTTTTATGAGTAAAATTTTCTCCCCTCCAATGTCAAAGGAACTCAGTGGTAAGAGTATAAAGTGACTAAACAGTTTTAGCCCTATCCTTCTTATGAAATAGCTTTGTGACCTTAGGCTAATCACGTCACCTCTCTGAGCTTCCAAGTTCTAATTTTCTAACAATGAAGTGCCAGGGAGATGAGAATAAACAACTTCAACGGCCTTTCCATGCCCAAAGACACTGCAGCAGAGCCGTCTATGAATGACAGATGAAATGCCTTAGAGGTTGTTACAGACTGAATGTTTGTATTAGACAAAAATGTATATGCTGAAATCTTAACCCCCAATGTGGGGGCATTAGGAGGGGAGGCCATTAGGAGATTATTACGTCATCTTTGGTATTAGAAACCCGTAACATCATTTTCTTTAGGTCTCTTATATTCACAGAGTGTCCTCAATTTTGTCTTTCATTATCTTATTCATTATTTATTCACTTTTAAAAGTAATATAAAGATATTCTTGTATTTATGCATTTAAACATACATGAATATATAACTAAGCAAACAGATAATAAAATTATTAAGTTTAGCTCTAAAATGCAGTTAACTGTCAGCATGCTAAATTTTAAAATATATAGTATTTGCCTAATGGGATTTTCCATTTTAATAAATTATAATAATTCCTTTAAGAAGAAAACAGACAAAATATATTATCATCTTGTATACTCATTTGTCTTACTCTGTAATTATAGTACTTAGTGTCATCTCAAACATTTATATTAATTACCACCTTTAACTAATCAACTTTTGTTTTCCTGGCCACAAGGAAACTAGAAGCAATATCTACTTAGATTTTTTCCATGAGTACACATTTTATACTGCATTTTAATAAACTTGAGATAAACACATTCAGATATATATATAATTCAAAGGCATTCAAATGCCCTATTAGTCTGTAGTATTTTGTAAAGATTGGAAATGAGTAAAACCCAAAATAATGTTTCTTGAATGATATTTAAACATTTTATTTTTATTTAGAAATAGTTGTGGTATACATATACCTTTTATTAATTAGCTTAATTTTATATTAGTCTAAGGTCTTAAAGCTAACCAAAGATCCAGAAATTACAAAGTTTACCAACACATTAAGCCCTTATGATCTGTTAAATAAGTATTCACAATATTAAATATCTAAAAGACACTCACATTTACAATTTTATTGGACTAAATACAATTTTATATTTCTTAACTTTATATAAGTTGCAGATATAATAACACATTATTGGGGCCATAGAACTAACATAGAATATTTTCAAATTTTAATCATGAGAAATTATATTCAAATCTTGTCTTAACTAAATACTAGGTGAACGTTTTTTACATAGTAATAAGATCAGAGAAAAACATGTAGAGCCTTTGTAAGCTAAAATTTAATTACTCATATTTGGTAAAATAGTTCTTTTCTTAGTAGAAGTAAACCTCTATGAGATATATCAATAATTTATAATCTATCAATCTCCAAAGTTTTCTGAGAGAAGTTAAAAACGGAAGGAAAGAAAAGAAGAAATGAGAGGGAACTGGCTTCTAATATAAAATCATCTCTGTAAAAAGGCTACTTACCCTTCTTTCTGCAAGGAAAGGAAAAGCCTAGACACAAGAAAAACCATTTCTCTCTCATGTACACATCCACATGTACTCACACTCATACATACTTGCACACATACACTCTTACACACACATGCACATGCACATACATATTCACATACATAAAAACAGTCACACATGTGCACAGTACAAGAAGAAAAGAAGGGGTCTCCTATTTCAAGGTCATCTCTCTCTTAGACAAGGCAGAATCACCTCCTGAAGGTTTCTTTTCTTTTTTGTTCTAATGTGTATCTCTAATAGACAATCATGTTTATGTTACAATTTTCTCAAAGTGATCATTGCAATTTCAGTTTGACCATGGTGGAGTCATGACAGAGACATGCACTTAAATGAAAGCTTTAAGGGAGCAGGTGTTTGTCCCAGAGGGCCAAACACATTGAGTAGAGCCCATGAGAACTACAGCAGACAGTAAGAATGGGTCTTGTACCACTTCTTATCTCTAGCATATGGCCACAGAGCAGTCATCACTGATAAGAGGCCCAAGGAAACCCCCAACAGTGGGCAGAAGAAACTAAATAAAATATTTCTCAGGGATGCAAAGACAAGACAATGGAAATTTCTTACAAGTTTTTGAACAGTATCCCAAGCCAAAGTTTGTCAAAAAATTATCAGTCTCATGAGACTGAACTCGTCAGTCTTGGAGTGGTCTGAAAGACGGACTTCGAGAGCCCGTGTGGTCCCTCTCTCTAGACTTCCTCCTGCAGACTCACAGGAGAAAGGGAGGAGTGTGGACAGCAGGAAACAGGGAGGAAGTGTTGGTATTTAGGCAGGTTTTCACCATGAATAATAATTTTCAAATTTAATTATCTAAAGGAAGGATACTTAAAATGATTCCTCATTCCTAGGAGAAAAAATGAATTTATTTGAAAATCAACTCAAGCAAGAGCAAATAAGAAATCAGGAGATCAGACATAATCAGGGCCCTACCTATCTTACGGTTGGAGAGATTTCTGAGTGGAAGGCTCAGAGGCCCCAAGGTAGCACCCTCTCCTGAGTGAGGAGTCTTGAGCCTCAGCAGCAAGGGGGAATTTAGTGAATCTCAGTGGTAGTTTAAGTATTGTTGAGTACTGACTTCCCAAAATATCACCAGAAAAATCTGCTGCTCAAACAAAGCTAAGTTGGTTAGGCTTGCTGCAGTAAGGGAAAAGACTTCTTTGACAGCTTTAGTAGTGAATCAGAAGGGAGAAGTCAGGGGAGAATATTAATAGCATTTGGAGGGCAACTCTGAGTTGGATGATTTTCTGCAAAGCAAGACTCTAGTTGGGATTGGGAAATGTATGTCATAATATTTTTGAATGGGTAGCTGTAGTGAGGAGAGGGTCCTTAAAGGCTATTGATGAATAAGGAGTTTGAATCGGTTCACTGTCTTGTCTTTCAGGAGCCTTATTTCCAGGAGTAAGTAGCTACGTTGTTTTTGCCTGATCACAGTATTATTTAGCACATGAATGAAAACTTCATTAGTTTTGGTTTTCATAACATACAATGATATAGAGGTCACAAGTATGGGCTTTGGCGGTGTACAGCCGTTTTCAAATCCCAGCTCCTTAGTTTACTAGCTGTGTGCCTGGAGCCACTGAATCACCTATACTTAGTCTCAGTTCTTTCATCTGCCTAATTATGTCATGTATTTGTTGACCTATTTCTGACACTGTTTTCATCATAACATATGTATTGACAGTTTCAAACACTGTTTGCAATATTTTATTTAATCCTTTACAATAGCCCAATGAAAAAATACACTCAAGCCCTTTTGCTAGATGAGGAAACAAAAACAGAGAAACATAGAGGCTAAATAAATTTCCCATCAGGAGACAAGTAAGTGGGCAAGCCATGACTTGGCCCCTGGTAAACTCTGGAGATGTCACAGTGAATTGCTATGCTATATGGCCTCCTTCAGGCTCATTGGGAGGGTTGAATGAGAAATTCAATATGCAGCAGGTCTTGGAACAGTGCCATTTGTTCAACGTGGTTTTGTTATATGACTGGGCCCTGCAATAGGATGGCCTCCTGGCCAGGGTTAGGTCCCTCTTTGCACTCTGAGCTGTCAGAATAGGCTCTGGCCACCCGTGACCCTGAACTGCAATAATTGGGTAATTATCTTCCTTGTTTTTATTAACGTTTCTTAAATGTATGTATAGCTCACATTTATTTTAGCTTTAGTATTAGAAGTGTTTAGGGGGTCTTTATTTTGAAGATTGGTGAGGTCTTCGTGATGTTATAGAAACTTAACTCTTGTTTATATCAATTAGCCTGTGGGAAAATTGGTTTCATTATATGTCATGTTGCTTATAGCCAAAGTTTCCAAGAAACTATCTAGGACATTAAATGAGAACTTAACTGTGTAACACTTAGTCCCTGGCACATGATAAAGGGTCAATGTTAGCTGCTACTATTAAACTATTGAAATGAAAATTCAGTAATAGTGTAAAGTCAAGAAAAGAACAGGATGCAGAGAATGCTTATTTTCTGACTTAGAGATTTCTGAAGGTGCAAAGTGTAAAAGTCATGACTATTCTGTAAAAATAGAAGAAAAACTTTCCCCATAAAGTAAAAACTGGTAGCATCCAATATATTACAGTCCTTCTCATTGTACCAAGTGGTCAGAGATTACAAGGCTTACAGAAACTTTGTATTATGCACCCTCTTGCTGCCTCCACTGGTGAGACAGTCAAGTGTTAGTCTTCCAAGTTGAAATGGAAAATAGATCGTCTCCATGGAATATATCAGTATTTTCTCTTCATGTTAAGTCTTAGTTCCAAACCACCTCCCCGGACAGTCGGAAATCCCACTGGCTGGAGGAATAAATAAATTCCTTATCTTGTCAAGGAAGCTCCTCCCAAGCTACAAAAGTTGCAGACAGCAAAGGGATCAAGTGACCCCAGAGATGAAATCTGTGACTCTCTGGTGGAGCAACATGATAGTAATAAACAAAGGTTGAGTGCCTGCTGTATAAAGCAACCTCTGGAGTGCCTGATATCTACTAACTCTTTTAGCACCCACTCGACCCTGTGAGATGCGTATTACTTTATTGTATCTACCACTGTAAAAAAGAATGAACCAAGCTACAGCAATATTATGTTGCTTGCCCTGAGTCACACAGCTGAGTAAGTCACAGGAGTTTGTGCTCATAATGACTTTGCTATGCTGATGTTTGAACCTGGAACCATTCAGCAACCCTCCAGCTAATATGGCTCCATGCTCTACTTCTGGAAAAGCTGAGTTCCTGCAGCCTTGTCCTACATCACCCAAAAGAGCTGGAAAAGAATGCAGTGAGTTCCATTCTATTTGTTCCGAGAATAGGAAAGCCACATTGAAGCAATATCTTAAAGAGAAATCTATAGTTAGGAGTGATGAAGATTTGAAACAGATGTCAGCAGAAAGAAAAAGGGAGAGGCACCATGATAATTATACTCAGTGATGCTTTTTAAATGACATATATTCAGTTAAATATAGGGAGGTTTGCTGCTAGCCATATGAACAAAGCACAAGAGAATTCCTGGATCAAGGCAGACTTAAAGAGACATTGAAAAAAAAACAAAATTCAAAATTTTGACCTAGTGCAGGAAGAAGTGCAAGTACAGGGGAAGTGGAGGGAAGGAGTGGGGAGGCTGGCACAGAGATGGCACGGGCAGATACGAGCAGATTGACTCGCCAGGACTGTCATTGGGCCACCGCTCTTAGCAGGAATTTCACCATTGAATGACCTAATTATTGTCTTGGGAAAAACACAAGAGCTCCTGTCCATAACAGGATAACAGATGTATTTCAGTGGAGCACAGAATAGGCCGGATGGTGACTAGCAAGAATAAAAGCCCAAGTGGACTGAAGAATCCATCCAAGATATGGTCAGGACGGGCTTGTGGAAAACTTGTGCAATAATGAGAAGAAATGTTATTTGTCACTACCTTTTTTAGGCAGCTGTGTGGATAAACCTACTTTGGGGTAGGAGCTGAGCCTCAGGCCTGTGACCGCTAGAAGCCAGACTTGAAGCCAGGAAAGAGGCCGCTCTTCCCAGGAGTTGGGAGAATTTGACTTTGGTGTAGAATCCAAAAGGCGGGAGAGAGGGTTCCAGGGAGGAGCTGGGGGTGGAGGCTAAAAAAGGAGCCCTGGTTGCCAAAGCCAGGAGGTGACTTTACAGGAGAGCAGCAGTGACTAAGCCAGGAAGTGACTTTGCGGGAGAGCAGCAGTGACTAATTCAGGAGGTGACTTTGCGGAAGAGCAGCAGTGACTAAGCCAGGAGGTGACTTTGCGGGAAAGCTGCAGTGATTGTGAAGTTGTTCACATACAGGGGGTCATGGGACACCCTCTACGATCTCCCGTGGGAAATCCTCAGTAAGCACTCTCACTCTAGCAATAAGCACTCTCACTCTAGAAAGCCCTTTTGGTGCTTCCAGTCACATTGCCTGGCCCACGCTCGGTGAGAGCTCACATGCGCTTCTGGTCCTGGCCTTCTCAGACGCCACAGTAGCTGCCCACCCTGCAAAAGACCTGGAAGGGGAGGGGAGCCTGTGCCACAGCAGCCAGAGGATGAATGTCCTGTCATGAACAATTCCTGGGGGCACTATGTACATTTTGTAGAAGTCCTGCCAGAATGGAACCTTGCTGTCTACAGCAGCGACCTTGATAACACATCATTTGATTTTTCCTCCTTTTGTGACTCATGCTTCTGCTACCTCACCCTGGCTTCCTGAGATCACCTCCCAGATGAACTCCCTGCACTGAATTCTGGTCTCAGTTTGCTTTGGGGAGAACTCAAAACTAAGACATTCACCACTGTGTTTGTGTGAGCCAAATCTTCACATCATGAGCAGGCGCTATGTCTGCGTTCAGCCAGACAAACAGCAAACCAGCAACTGCCCACATGAATACAGTCCATGGACAAGAGGAGAGTGATAGCTGAGCGACTTTGGGACTTGCTGTCAAAGATACCTGTCTCCCTCTCTTTCATTCTCTTTACCTTTCCATCAGACTATGTGGCTGCCTCATTCCCCCGTGTCCTGCAAGCAAGGATATTAACTATACAAACAGTCCAGCTTAAAACAAAATGGGCAGAATATTTGAATAGACACTTCACAAAGGAAGACAAACAAATTACCAATAAGTGTGTTAACAATTCTTAACATCGTTAGTCATCAGGGAAGTGGAAATTAATACCACAAGGAGAAATCACTACACACTAAAGTGGCTAAAATGAAAAAGAGTAATGACATCAAATTCTAATCTGAGTATAGAGCAACTGTTGATGGAAATATAAGATGGTACAGCCACTTTGGATATAATAAAATGATGCAACCACTTTGGAAAAGTTTGGCAGCTTTATGTAAAACTAAGCAAATACCTTTGGCCCAGCAATTCCACTCAAGCAATCCTTCCCTAAAGAAATAAAAATATATATCCGCCAAAAGATTTGTACAAGAATGCTTCTAGCAGCTTTATTTATAATATAGGATTCAAATCCAGGTCTTTCTGGCTCCAAAGTTTGTTCTGTTAAGTATCATGATATATTGGTTTAAATAAATGGGGTCATAATCTTTGGAAAACAGTTTAGAAGTTTTACATAAAAATCAATAAAGGCCGGGCACAGTGGCTCATGCGTGTAATCCCAACGCTTTGGGAGGCTGAGGCAGGTGGATTGCTTGAGTCCAGGAGTTCAAGACTAGCCTGGGGTTTATGTGAGACCCTGTCTCTATGAAAAAAAACTTAGCCAGGGATAGTGGTGTGTGCCTGTGGTCCCAGCTACTCAGGAGGCTGAGGCAGGAGGATTGCTTGAGCCCAGGAGGTCAAGGCTGCAGTGAGCCATTATAGTGCCACTGCATTCCAGCCTGAGTGACAGAGCAAAACCCAGTCTCTTAAAAAAATTATTAAAAGTAAATAAACAGAAACAAAACAGACAAAAACTCAATAAACACTTTTGGCCTAGCAATTCCACTCAATAAGACTTCCCCAAAAGAAACGAAAACATATAACCCAAAAAATTCCTGGAGGCACTCTGTATGTTTTACAGAAGTCCTGCCATAATGGAACCTTGCTGTCTACAGCAGCAACCTTGATAACACATCATTTGATGGGAGACTGAGGCAGGTGGATTGCTTGAGTCCAGGAGTTCAAGACTAGCCTGGGATTTATGTGAGACCCTGTCTCTACGAAAAAAATAAAAATAAATAATATTACAAAATAATATTCATTGCAGCTTTA
This sequence comes from Homo sapiens, assembly GCF_000001405.40. Taxonomy (NCBI): domain Eukaryota; kingdom Metazoa; phylum Chordata; class Mammalia; order Primates; family Hominidae; genus Homo; species Homo sapiens. Next base: position 61,758,316 of record NC_000008.11, on the reverse strand, counting down.
TTTATAATAGAAAAAAAAGAAAGCAGTCCAGATATATACAAAGTAAGAGAATAGGTGAACAAACTCTAGCATATTTATATAAACTAATTATACTCAGCAATAAGAAGGAACAGTTACTCTCATATACAACATGGGCAAAATATGAAAACATGCTGAGTAAAAGGAGCCTTATAAAAAGAGAGCATACTGGATTTCACTTACATGAAGGTTCTAGGACAAAATAAACTGATCTATATACCTGAGAAAATGAAAACAAATGGTTGCCTTGTTGAGAGTGGGTAAGGACAATGGTTAACTAGGAAAGGATAAGGGAGAACTCTCTGGTGTGAAGAAAATTTCTGTATCTTGGGGTTTTGAGTTACATAGCTTTCTGAGTTTGTCAAACCTCATAGAATGGTACATTTAAAATTTGTGCATTTTATTCTCTGAATTTTACCTCAAAGAGAACAAAAAGAACTGTAAACAAATATTGAATTCTAATAAATGATACATTAACTAGATTACATATATTGATGATTAAGTATTTAGTAGGAAATATACTAATGTCTACCATAAAATGCATTAAGAGTGGATTAATGTGTGGCTAGAGAGGTGATGAATTAAAGGTAAAATGTGAATTATACAGTCTACAAGTTGGTGTATGGGCGCTCACTATCCTTTCAATTTTTTTTTTTTTTTTTTTGAGATGGTCTTTCTCTATTGCCCAGGCTGGAATGAAGTGTCACAATCATTGCTCACTGCAACCTCCAACTCCCTGGCTCAAGCCATTGTCCCACCTCAGCCTCCTGAGTAGCTGGGACCACAGGCACATGCCACTATGCCCAGCTAATTTTTGTATTTTTTGTAGAGACTGGGTTTCACCATATTGCCCAGGCTGGTCTCAAACTCCTGTACTGAAGCAATCCTCCCACCTCGGCCTCCCAAAGTGCTAGGATTACAGGCATGAGCCACCACAACCAGGTTCTTTCAGTTTTTTGATAGGCTTGAAATTTTTCATAATACAATGTTCAAAAACTCAGGAATGACAACAAAGAAAAAAAGAATGCTTGCTGTTATTGAGAAATTACTGTGTCATGCTCTCCGTTAACATCATAATATCTTGTTTTTAATCCTCTCAACATCCTGTGGGGTAGCTATTACTATCCCCATTGCCCTCAGAAGAAAACTTATGCCCAAAGAGGTGGAATTAACTTTTCCAGGATCCAATGGCAGAAAATAAAGTGATGCAACCACTTTGGAAAAGTTTGGCAGCATTACATAAAACTAGGCAAATACTTACTGACCAACAATTCCACTCAAGAAATCCTTCCCTAAAGAAATGAAAACATATATCCACCAAAAGATTTGTACAAGAGCACTTGTAGCAGCTTTATTTATAATATAGAATTCAAATCCAGGTCATTCTGACTCTAAAGTTTGTGCTGTTAACTATAGTGATATACTGGTTTAAATAAATGGGGACACAATCTCGACTCCCAAGCATCTCTCCTTTAGGTGGCCAGTCAGGTCTGTATTCATAAAAGAATGAGTTTATCTCTGCTTTGCCTGCCTCTGAATGTTTGTCTTAATCATGGCTCTCAGAGGTGCTAGGACACAAGGCTAAGGATAAAGAATAGGAGGCAAGGAGATGCGATGCCATCCACCAGCAAGCGGCGCCATGCAGCAGGGCAGCTGGGAAAGGCCAAGGAAGCAGAGGCAGCTGGGAAAGGCTGGCAGCAGGGCCCTGGAAGCCAAGCCAGAAAGGCCGTGAGTCCACACAGGGCAGCCAGCCAAAAGCTGCAGGACTGAGCCCAGAAGCAACTGCTCAAGGAAGATATTAGGCTCAGGCCAATCTGAAGCTTAGTAAGGCAAGAGGTCAGGACAGAAACAAAACAAAACAAAACAAAACAAAACAAAACAAAACACTTTACTTACAAACATTAGGGCTTAGTTATTGTTGTTTGTGTATAGATATATTTAAATATAAATGTGTGTGTATCCTATATGTATACATCATGTGTGAATACACACACAAACACACATACACACATACACACATACATATAGAATTTCTCCTTAGGGCCTAGTCTTGAGGACCAATTTTCCCACATATCCACTATTCAACCTTACTGAAACTCTCCATTGTACAATGCAGAAAGTAATAGTGCATGGTTTTGTGAAACCAAGTGAGGTAAGGAATACAGGGAGTCTCTGTATATTGAGAAAGAAAATTAATATTTTAGGTTTTGAAAGCACTGGGAATAACATTTTGGAACTATGTAAAAAGCAAGAACCAACACTAAGGAGATTTAACACTGAAACCACTTCCATTTCACCCTGCTTTTTGTGTGGCATGACAAAATGCTAGCTGAAGCTAACTTGGGACTTGCAAACAGGGACCCCTGTTTTTACCAACTGTGAAGACTTGGGCAAATAAATTACTCTCTTCTGCCTCAATTTCCTTCTCTGAAATAAGGATAATGATAGTTTCTAGCACTTAGACTTGTCATATTAAATAAGTTAACACATAGAGGTCCTGGCACAAAACAAGGAGTCTTTAGAGGCCAGTAGATAATATTAGTGATGTTGTTATTGTTGTGGTTGTTTTCGTTGGCCAATTGGAGACCTTGTCTGAGCTGTTAGGACTTAGAAGCTTCTGGTTAGTTACTCCTGCCCACCCTCTTCTGTCAGCCTTTCTGGCTCTATGTGTCTTTAACTAAACATACTCACAGTATGAAGTTGAAATGTGTGTGCATGTGTGCGTGTGCATGCATGTGTTTTAATTTGTGCATTACTTATTGCATAAATAATGTATTGCACAAATAATAATTTCTTGTTTCTAATTTTTACAGTGAGTTATAATTCTTCTATATTTCCCTATCCACTCACATTCACTTCCTTTTCCTCAACCTAACTCCCCTATCACTACCAAAGTCAAACAAACTGAATGTAGGTTACGCTGCCTTTTATTGTGAATTGCGTATCCTGGGTCAATAGCCTTCAGCAGAACAAAAACTTTTCCCATCTCTGAAACTTCTCATCTTTTGTTTCTATACCCCTTGCATTGCTAGGAAAATGGTATCGTTTTAAGGTTAATTTTTCTTGCAGGGATATTTAGAATGACCAAGTTTGACTAGATCTCAAAATCAACATCAATTTGACATTTAAAAAAAAATTTAAAAATAGAAGGAATATCAACAACTATTTAACAGCTAAATAGTCTATAATTGCAGAAAACATAGACATAATAGGCAGCATAAAATATTTAAAAATGTAGATTTGAAACCCTCACCTACCACTATTAGCTATGTGATAATGAGCAAGATACTTAACCTTTCTGAACCTCAGTTACCGTATCTATAAAAGGAGGATAGTAATATGTACCTCTTAGTGCTGTTGTGAAGATTAGATGAGATAATTACCTTGAAGTGCCAACTATACAGGCTGGCTTTGTGAAATACTAATAAATGATTTTAAGTCAAATGATTTTAACTTTGAATTATCACTTTTATACACATTTGAACTTTGAACAGTACCAAAGCTTTTCTAAAAATCTTTAATTCCTTAGATATGTGCAAAATGCAGGTAGTTTTGTCCTAAGCTATGTCAAGTGACCTATGGCCATGGGCTCTCTTGTTTATGTGTCTGACTCATTTTGAGCCCTATTATCATGCATGATCAAGAAGAAATCAAAGTACCCTTTATTTTTCTTTCTGAAACTTAATACAAACTGACAGACCGTAAGCAGCAATTTCTGCAACCTGTGTCTGTGCCAAGAAGTATACCAACCGCACCTCCTGACCTCCTTCTGACTGTTCACCATTTCTCTGGGAACCAAAACAAACTTTCTCCCCAACTCGCTCCCTTTTTTGCTTCTTTACCTTAGAAGATATAATAAAAATTGTCAAATTTCAAGGTTCCTATCAAAACATGTTACAGTACATTGTAGAATAAAAAAAAAGAAAGGGGGCAGAGAGGAAAGAGGGAGGAGGGGAAAGAAGGAAGGTGAGAGGGAGGGAAGGAGGAAGGAAGGAAGGAAGGAAGGAACGAACGAACGAACGAAGGAGCTCCTGCCTCCAAGAAGTAGCTGATAAGTAGGATCATCACAGAGTCTTCAGCAAGGGGTACGCAACTTGCAGAAAGGAGCTTAGCTGAAGATGAGTTGAGATTTTGGGGAAATAAGTGTACCCCTAGCTCCCTACCCCTACCCCTACCCCTACCCCTACCCCTACCCCTACCCCTACCCCTACCCCTATCCCTATCCCTATCCCTATCCCCACGGTCTCCCTCTCATGCGGAGCCGAAGCTGGACTGTACTGCTGCCATCTCGGCTCACTGCAACCTCCCTGCCTGATTCTCCTGCCTCAGCCTGCCGAGTGCCTGCGATTGCAGGCACGCGCCACCATTCCTGACTGGTTTTGGTGGAGACCGGGTTTCGCTGTGTTGGCCGGGCCGGTCTCCAGCCCCTAACCGCGAGTGATCCGCCAACCTCGGCCTCCCGAGGTGCCGGGATTGCATACGGAGTCTCGTTCACTCAGTGCTCAATGGTGCCCAGGCTGGAGTGCAGTGGCGTGATCTCGGCTCGCTACAACCTACACCTCCCAGCCGCCTGCCTTGGCCTCCCAAAGTGCCGAGATTGCAGCCTCTGCCCGGCCGCCACCCCGTCTGGGAAGTGAGGAGTGTCTCTGCCTGGCCGCCCATCGTCTGGGATGTGAGGAGCCCCTCTGCCTGGCTGCCCAGTCTGGAAAGTGAGGAGCGTCTCCACCCGGCCGCCATCCCATCTAGGAAGTGAGGAGCGCCTCTTCCCAGCCGCCATCACATCTAGGAAGTGAGGAGCGTCTCTGCCTGGCCGCCCATCGTCTGAGATGTGGGGAGCGCCTCTGCCCCGCCGCCCCATCTGGGATGTGAGGAGCGCCTCTGCCCGGCGAGACCCCATCTGGGAGGTGAGGAGCGTCTCTGCCCGGCCGCCCCGTCTGAGAAGTGAGGAGACCCTCTGCCTGGCAACCACCCCGTCTGAGAAGTGAGGAGCCCCTCCGCCCGGCAGCTGCCCCGTCTGAGAAGTGAGGAGCCTCTCCGCCCGGCAGCCACCCCATCTGGGAAGTGAGGAGCGTCTCCGCCCGGCAGCCACCCCATCCGGGAGGGAGGTGGGGGGGGGTCAGCCCCCCCGCCCGGCCAGCCGTGCCATCCGGGAGGGAGGTGGGGGGGTCAGCCCCCCGCCTGGCCAGCCGTGCCGTCCGGGAGGGAGGTGGGGGGGTCAGCCCCCCGCCCGGCCAGCCGCCCCGTCCGGGAGGTGAGGGGTGCCTCTGCCCGGCCGCCCCTACTGGGAAGTGAGGAGCCCCTCAGCCCGGCCAGCCACCCCGTCCGGGAGGGAGATGGGGGGGTCCCCCCCACCCGGCCAGCCGCCCCATCCGGGAGGGAGGTGGGGGGGTCAGCCCCCTGCCCGGCCAGCCTCCCTGTCCGGGAGGGAGGTGGGGGGGTCAGCCCTCTGCCCGGCCAGCCGCCCCGTCTGGGAGGTGAGGGGCGCCTCTGCCCGGCCGCCCCTACTGGGAAGTGAGGAGCCCCTCTGCCCGGCCAGCACCCCGTCCGGGAGGGAGGTGGGGGGGTCAGCCCCCCGCCCGGCCAGCCGCCCCGTCCGGGAGGTGAGGGGCGCCTCTGCCCGGCCGCCCCTACTGGGAAGTGAGGAACCCCTCTGCCCGGCCAGCCGCCCCGTCTGGGAGGGAGGTGGGGGTGTCAGCCCCCCGCCCGGCCAGCCGCCCCGTCCGGGAGGGAGGTGGGGGGGGTCAGCCCCCCCGCCCGGCCAGCCGCCCCGTCCGGGAGGGAGGTGGGGGGGGTCAGCCCCCCTGCCCGGCCAGCCGCCCCGTCCGGGAGGTGAGGGGCGCCTCTGCCCGGCCGCCCCTACTGGGAAGTGAGGAGCCCCTGTGCCCGGCCACCACCCCGTCTGGGAGGTGTGCCCAACAGCTCATTGAGAACGGGCCAGGATGACAATGGCGGCTTTGTGGAATAGAAAGGCGGGAAAGGTGGGGAAAAGATTGAGAAATCGGATGGTTGCCGTGTCTGTGTAGAAAGAAGTAGACATGGGAGACTTTTCATTTTGTTCTGCACTAAGAAAAATTCCTCTGCCTTGGGATCCTGTTGATCTGTGACCTTACCCCCAACCCTGTGCTCTCTGAAACATGTGCTGTGTCCACTCAGGGTTAAATGGATTAAGGGCGGTGCAAGATGTGCTTTGTTAAACAGATGCTTGAAGACAGCATGCTCGTTAAGAGTCATCACCAATCCCTAATCTCAAGTAATCAGGGACACAAACACTGCGGAAGGCCGCAGGGTCCTCTGCCTAGGAAAACCAGAGACCTTTGTTCACTTGTTTATCTGCTGACCTTCCCTCCACTATTGTCCCATGACCCTGCCAAATCCCCCTCTGTGAGAAACACCCAAGAATTATCAATAAAAAAATAAATTAAAAAAAAAAAAAAAGATAACACAGTAGAAAAAAAAAAAAAAACAATAAAAAAAAAAAAAGTGTACCCCTAAAATGAATCTAATTATTTAAATATTAGGTAGCTACTTAACTGGTCAAGTGGAGGAGAAATTTTCAGTCCAGTCATAGACTGGTAATTGTGAGAGCTTAGACAAATTTTATATGGTAGCTAGTAGTGGTGATGAAAACTGCCTTCATCAAATACTCTTTGCAGAATTTCTTTGGGAACTTAAAAAAAATGATTTCATTTTTTCAAAATTCAAAATGCTAAAGACAATTAGATTTTTAAAAAGTAAACCTTGAATGTCTCCTAATCTACTTCAAAACTCACATCTTTGGTGTCAAATGTCATGCCAAATCTAGCATTCAAGTTAAACACTGCATTCAGTATCATGATTGATGTTTTTACATGAAGAAGCTATGTGTCGTACCTGAAAATTTCTAAAAGCCAGTTATTCATTTTTATTACTGGAAGAGTAATTAGAATAGGGCTGCCAGACTTAGCAAATAAAAATACAGAACTCCAGTATTCCAAGATTTAAAGTTAACCAGGGACCCTGTATTTTATCTGGTGACCCTAAATCAGAGAACAATTGAAAATAAAAGAAAATTTTAAAAATTACAAAATTAAAATGCTGACAATCCATAGAAAAAGGCTAGGCAGGGGCTGGTATTAGTTTTATTGGTATAAGGAGATCAGTCTGAGGTAGACACTGAGATACTGCACCCTGATTCTGCAGATTGAAGAGTCCCAGGTAGAACCAGAGAAATTAGTTTTAATATTAAAAACAAATTAAGACTTAATATTTATAATTAATTTATAAATGCTTAAAAATGTATAAGGAAATAGCAGCAACCTATTAGAAATATGAGAAAAAGCTATGGAAATAAACTTCACAGAAAATTAAGTCCAAATGGCTAAGGAATATGAAAAAAAAAATGAGGAAATACAAAATAGTAACTGTGATATTGTTACAGCCATCAGGATGGCACTTTTATCCCATTAAAAATGTCTTTCAATAGGATTATATGAATCTATATTCACCTCAAGAATGTTTTTGTAAAAGATTATTTGAAAAGAACAAGGAGGGGTATCCAGTTCTAACCCTCACTGGTGTACTGTGATTCAATCCTGGCTCTAACCCCCTGAGCTAGCACAGACCCCACAAGGTAATGTCCTCCACATGCCAGTCCCCATTTCAGACACCAGCCACAAGTCCAGCAAGTCTTCCAGCCACCCTCAGTTTTGGCCAACTGACAAAAATTTGGGGTTTCACACAATCTCTCTCAGGTTCAATAGTTTGCTAGAACGACTCACAGAACTCAGGAATAGACTATATTTGTGATTCCCACTTGATTATAAAGGATGCAACTGTGAAACATAAATAAAGGGAAACATGGAGTACCTTCTGGGAGGGTCCCAAATGAAAAGTGTCCATGCCATCTCCTTTTGGAATCAGGGCATGTTGCCTGTCTGCCCAGTGATATGTTTACTGTCACTAAGCTTCCATGTTCAGTTTTTATTTGGGTCTTATTATGTAGGTGCAATTGATTAAATCATTGGCCACTTGAATGAACTCAATCTCCAGCTGTCTTCCTCTTCTTGGAAGTCAGGCAGCTAGAAGTCCCAACATGCTAACCTATGCTTGGTCTTTCTGGTGGCCAATGCTCCTCCTAAAGCTCTCTAAGGGCCTGCTTTGAGTCATCTCATTAGCATAAAGTCAGGTGTGACCCTGGGTCCCATGAATAACAAAGCCACTTCTATCACTCAGGAAACATCAAAGGTTGTCAAAGCACCACACCAGAAACCAGGGACAAAAAATCCCAGGCAAATTCTTTATTACACAGCTAGGAGTGCAGAAGGCAAGAAGAGGCTAGCAAGAATTTGAAAAGATAAAAGACACTAGATTTGTGTTTTATGAACTTGAGGTCATGAACCATTCATTAATCAGTTTTTAAAAAAAATTTTGTTTATTACTTAGTATAGAATATAACAACAGAAAAGAAGAGAATAGACCAGAGTATATCATGTATAGTAAGAATAAGTATTATTTTGTAAAATTTTAATATACAAATGGAGATGATAGATAGAGTCACTTAGACATAAACACACAGACCGGTACACAGACTTAGAGGCTTACAATGTAAAATGGATTTAAGATAAAAAATACACCACTGTCCATCAATAAATGAATGAATACAAAAATTAAAATGTGGTATATATATACAATGGAATACTATTCAGCTTTAAAAGGGAAGAAAACTCTGTTATTTGAGACAACATGCATGAACCTGGAGGACATTATGCTAAGTGAAATAAGCCAGGCATTGAAAGACAAATACTGCATAATCTTGCTTATATATGACATCTCAAAACATTGAACTTATAGAAGCAGAGAGTATAATGATGGTTACTAGAGCCTGGTTGGGGAGAGGTGATGAGGAAAAAGCACATGGTGGAAGGATACAAAGCTTTAGTGAGACAGAAGAAATACTTCTAGTGATCTATTGCACAACATGGTGACTATAGTTAATTATAATATATTGTATATTTCAAAATTGCTAAAAGGCCAGATTTTAAATATTCTCATTACAAAAAATAAGTAAATTAGCTGGATTTTATTACTGCACAATGTATACATATATCAAAACATCACATTGTACCTCATAAGTATATACAATGAATATTTGTCAATTAAAAATTAAATTAAATTAAAAATTAACAAAACGTTTAAGGCCAGTGCCCCAAGTGGACAGATAACATTTCTATTAAAATGTGACTTATGGTATTATTTATCCAAGTTTTCTTTAAATATCCAGTTACTATTAGGACTTCAGCAAACATTTTAAGTACCATGCAAGTTATCTGAAAATAGCTCATAGGAGGAATGGTGTTTATTTTCCTTGTTAAAGTAAACACTTACTATAGCATCTATGTTAAATTTTTGTCCTATCACCCAGTGACCTAGATGAAAGTTATAAATTTACCTTGCCATGTGGAAATGTAGCTACTAAGTCATCAGAATAAGAAACGGTCAGCCGGGAATTCTTCCAGGGAGGAGTTTCTATTAACTTATGGTGCTGATTTCCTATATTTACTGAATCCCTTTCATCATTGCTTGGTCTACAGGAAAATTAATTAATACATGTCAGGCCCATATTGGGCACTGGGGATGCAGCACTGCAAAGGCATATGTGGTATCTGCCAGATGCAAGTTCTATAAATAGAGGCACCAAATCTGGCCTAGGCAGTGAAAGAGGAAACAGTGGTTAAGCTGACATCTGAAGGTTGCCAAGTTAAGAGAGAAGTAGTGAGCCCTAAGATATTAATAAGAGAGAGTCAACGAAGCTGAAAGAACCTGAGTATAATCGGTGAGGTAAGTACAAAGGAGAAGGGAGCTAAGAGGTGAGGTCTAAGACATAGGCAGGAGCTAGATTTTTAAGAGTTTAAAAGTTGCTTTATGCATTTCAGACATTACTTAAAAGCTAGTTACTATAGAGTGATTAGACCTTTCCACTTGATAACTTTTCTAAACAGCACCAGAAAAGCAAGGTCTAGAATTCTTGCCAAAGCAAGGTCTAGAACTCTCCTTGACCTGGAGTTCCTAATGGATGAACATTCATAGTCTAGTGGAAGCTGGCCAGCCTCACTTTCAGAGGGAGAGCTCTAGGGGAGAAATTGAGAATATTCTGAAGACAGGCTTGGAGGATGCCTACAGAGTGGCTGGGCATTCTCTAAATAAGAGCCAAGGAGACCATTTAAATGAGGATGTGCAAAAAGGAAACAATAAGAGCAGAGAGCAGAAGAGGATAGAAAAACAAATTATATTTTAAAAGATACAGCAGTTGTCACTCTTTTTTTTCAAAATTTGATGTTTATCCTTTCAATTGCTGTCTGCTAAGTATATACACCAAAATTCAGCTGCAGCTTTCATTTTAGCACAGTATAATATTTAACGCATGGCTGATTCAATTAATTTAGGCTGAGGAATTGCAGCTTTAAAATGTCCTTTTTTCGGCTATTATAATAATAATATTAAAAAATGACCAACATTTGCAACTGAGTTATTTCTTAACACTGTAAAAATGGAATCCAGTACTCAGAGCAAGAGTAGTAAGTTCCCATATTTGACTTAAAATTAAGTTCCGTTTCCAAAATCTGAGAGAATAATTTACATTCTTTGCTTTCTTATATAGTTTTTTTGGTGAATTTTCAGATTTTAAAATAGACTTTGAGTTCTGAGGCTGTTCATTTTGCCTTCATACAGTTATTTATGTCATTCCTATCCCCATTCATTCTTTTCTATCTTTACAATGACATCCTATTTTCATTGTATCTTTACTTCAAAAGTTAGAAATAATTTTATACCTAGACAAATTCTTTCCTAAAAAATATTGTGCCATGTATATGACCCATTACTGAGTTATGTGGGACTCTTTTGATTACAAATGATAGAAACCCAGCTCAAATGTGTTTGAATGAAATAAAGGATATTTTATTGGTTCACATGCCTAAACCACATGTCGTTAGGGATGATGAGAACTAAAGACTAACACAATCTTTCAGATAGTTATAGCTACCTTTTATTTCTGATATTCCTTCTCTGCAGCTGCAGGTAGGTTTCTTCAGATGACAGGAACATGGCTGTCCTCTACTCACAGCATGCATCCTCATGCCTCTGTGCCAGCAAGGAGAGAGCACTCTTTTCCCAGATCAATTGTGAAAAAATCTCCCCAGGTGCTGTGGTTTGGATATGCTTTGTTTGGCCCCAGCAAGTGTCATGTTGAATTTTAATCCCCAGTATTGGAGGTGCGGCCTAATGGAAAATGTTTGCATCTTGGAGGTGTGTCCCTCGTGAATAGATTAGTGCCATTCACACGGGAGTGAGCTCTCACTCTTAGTTCCCATAACAACTGATGGTGGAAAAGAACTGATGGCACTTCATCTCTCTCTCTCTCTCTCTCTTCCTCTTCCTGGCCATGTAATCTCTGCACAGACCTGCTCCTATTCACTTCTGTCATGAGTGGAAGCAATCTGAGTTGCTTCCCAGATGCAGATGCTGGTGCCATGCTTCCTGTACAGCCTGCAGAGCTGTGAGCCAAATAAACGTCTTTAAAAATAAAAATAAATTATCCAGCCTCCAGTATTCCTTTATAGCAACACAAATGGACTGACACACGATGTAAGAGTTCTGATTGGGCTGACTTTGGTCATGTGACAACCTCTAGTTCAATCATTGTACATGAGGTGGCATACTGTGATTGGTGGCTGCCACTAGAACCATATGCATTGAAGGAATTCTTTGGAGAAAAAAAGGAGTTGTTTATATTATAAACCGAAAAACCTGTTTACTGACTATAAAAAATGTAAGTGGGAACATATTTTGTTTGAGAATAACAGACATTATTTTAAATGAAATGTATCAATTCCATCAAAAGCTCCCTTTGAAGTACCACAGTATACTGACATCATCTTTTTGTGTTTGTCTCTTCCACTGAACAGCAAATTCCCCAAAGAACCAATTATATGTTATTAAGATTTGTATTGATGGTGCCTAATTGCTATGGTTTGATTGTCCCTGCCAAAATTGATGTCGTTGAAATTTAATTGCCATTGTAACAGTGTTGAGTGGTGGGAACTTTGAGAGGCAATTAGGTCATGAGAGCTGCCCTCATGCCTTCATGCTATGCCCTTATGAATGCATTAAAGCCATTATCACAGGAGTGGAGTCCTAATAAAAAGTATGAGTTCGGCCCTATTTCCTCTGTCTGTCTCGTGTGCTCAATTGCCCTGCTGCCATGTCATAATGCAGCAGGAAGGCCCTCACCAGAGGCAGCCCCTGATCATGGAATTCCCAACCTCCAGAACAATGAGCAATAGATAAATCTCTTTTCTGTATAAATTCCTCACTCTGTGTTACTCTGTTGTAGCAACAGAAAATGGACTAATAAAGCCCAAACCACACCATTATGTAATATATTCATGTAACAAACCTGCATGTGTACCACCTGAATCTATAAAAATGTTTTTAAAAAAGAAAGAAAATGGATGAATACACTAACATTGTGCCTAGCACATAGCAGATAGTCAAGAAGTATTTATTGAACTGAGCAGTTTAATGTACATAAAAAGCATCTGCAGACAAGAAAAACAGCAGTATTAACCTATTCACAGCCATAACACTAGACATCCCCAAAACATACACATGGCCCTTCCTTTCTAATCTTCAAAGTTTTTTTTTTTAAATTGAAGAATAATGAGTAGTCTGGGGAAATTTTTGGTTATCCAACAAAGCTACTCATTATTCATCCCTTGTTATCAGATACATAGCTAGACCACATTTCTCAGGCTCCCTTATATTTTAAGTGTGGCCATGTGACGAAGTTCTCACAAGTTGAAGTTATATTTGTCACTTGTGGGCTGCCTCCTCAATATCCTACTTTCCTCCTTTATGTTTGCTGGAATCCAAAGTAATCAAACCTTAACCATGCAGATGATGACAATACTTTAGGGAATTGTGGAGCTCTAAAACAGAAAATGCCTGGATTGTGAAGTGACCACATGGAGCAGAGCTGAATCATGAAGCTAGAGCATCTGCCTTGGAGTTGTTAACATGAGAAAGAAAAAAAAAATCTTTTTTCTTGAAGCCCCTGGATTTTTGGGTCCCTTTGTTACAGCAGTTACCTTATCTTAACTGAACAAAAGTAAAAAGAATTTAAAAATAAGGACAAGCCAGAAGCTGGGAGGTAGGATTTAGATTGAAAATAAAAACAAATAGTAAGTAAGGAAAAAAATGGATTTTAAAATATAAGAAACTACATGGGGAGAAGTGAGTCTGTGTTGGAGCTGAGCAGTAAGGGAGGTTTCACATTTAAAGAAAGATTTTTGAAGCTGTAAAATGTGTAAGAGACAAAGATAAGTAGAGAAAGAGCCTTTTAAAGAATTTGTTACTTTTGATTGCGTTTTCTTTTGACTTATCTTAGACAATACAAATGTTTAATATATTTTAAAATCATTCTTGGCCCCCATGCTGGTATTAATTTAAATGTAATACTAAGTAAATGGACCAGCCCTAGAAATAGTCAAATTAAATCATCTTATACAAATTTTTTTTTTTTTTTTTTTTTTGAGACGGGGTCTTGCTCTGTCGTCTAGGCTGGAGTGCAGTGGTGTGATCTCGGCTCACTGCAACCTCCGCCTCCCGGGTTCAAGCTATTCTCCTGCCTCAGCCTCCCGAGTAGCTGGGATTACAGGCGCCAGCCACCACGCCCAGCTAATTTTTTGTATTTTTAGTAGAGACGAGGTTTCGCCATGTTGCCCAGGCTGGTTTCGAACTCCCGAGCTCAGGCAATCTGCCTGCCTCAGCCTCCCAAAGTGCTGGGATTACAAGCGTGAGCCACCGTGCCTGGCTCATCTTATACATATTTCTAAAAAATTGAATGAATACCGCCTCCCATTAGAATTTAGACTATCAAATTGTTTTTGAACTTTGAATTATTTCGTACTGGCAAAGAAAACTTTCATGCTAATTTTGAGGCAAAGTAAAGTCATACTGGTGTTGAACAAACATGTTTACCAATGTCTCCAGGTGTCCATCAGGCTGGAAAGTAATTTAGAACATGGGAATGGATACTACTGTATTTTTTTCATTGTCATTGATCAGTGTTCTTTTGCTTATTTTGCTTCAAATGTTTTAAAATTTTTCAAACTACCAAAAGTTGAAAAATAGTATGATAAATACCAATATGCCCTTCACCTAGATTCATTATTTGTTAACTTTTTGTTGCTGTTGTGTGCGTGCGCGCGCTCTCTCTCTCTTCTCCTCTCTCAAAGCTATTCTCCTATATTGTCTATGTTTTCTTCTAGATAAATTATGTTTTGCCTTTCCTAATTACATTTAAAAATCTGTCTGGCATAGATTTTTGTGTATAATGTGGTAGGGATCAATATTTATTTTTAAGTAATATACACATATTGCTTAAACATTGGTGCTGGATATCAAGCTATTTGGGGGACTACAAACCCACTCTTTTGTACTCTGCTTTGTGATGTCAGGGTGGGACTCAACAAACCCCGCATCTCCTTTGTCATACTGTGCTCTATGATGTCTCATGAGCAGGAGGCCCTAGAGGGAGACTAGAAGTTTGAGAAGGACCAGGCACATGCTCCTTCCTGTTCACTCTGTTAGGGTCACTCCAGCAAGGAGCTTAGGTACAGCAATGGTCTTGTTTACAATAGTAGTTGTTCTGGTTGCTAGTTTTTTCCATGCTCCCAATGCTAGCCTCATTGCACTCCTTCAGAGGAATCAGCACCAATCCTGTGGTACCCCTTCCTGTGAGGTCTAGGTCCCCACTGTGATGGGCCTTTCCTTCAAGCTCTTAGGTTCTAAGAATCACAAACTCTTCCTTTTGGACTATTAAATCCCAGCAGGGATAGCTGCTTTCTGCACACTATCTCTATTTTCTAACTGTGCCCATTTTGCTATTGCAGTTCTTTAACACTTGTTTACCACATTCCTACATTCAATTCTCTCTGCTGAAGGAAATGGTGTGATATCTGCTTTCTTCACTGGACCTTGACTGATACACTATCCAATGACCCAGCTTCATTTATTAAAAGATCATTTCTTGGCCCAGTGCGGTGGCTCATGCCTGTAATCCCAGCACTTTGGGAGGCTGAGGCGGGAGAATCACGAGGTCAGGAGATCGAGACAATCCTGGCTAACACGGTGAAACCCTGTCTCTACAAAAAAAATAGAAAAAATTAGCAGGGCATGGTGGCGGGTGCCTGTAGTCCCAGCTACTCGGGAGGCTGAGGCAGGAGAATGGCGTGAACCTGGGAGGTGGAACTTGCAGTGAGTGGCGCCACTGCACTCCAGCCTGGGAGACAGAGCGAGACTCCATCTCAAAAGGAAAAAATGAAACAAAACAAAACAAACAAACAAACAAAAAACAGATCGTTTCTTCTTTCAGTGTACTGCAATACTGTTTTGCACAATCAAAAGCCCACACATGGGTCGTTCTATTTTGTACTCGTTATAGTTCCATTGGTATATTTGTCCATCTCTATGCCAATTCCTTACTGTCTTTGTTACTGTTACTTAATAATGTATTTTGATATCTGGTAGTGTTAGTCTTCTTGTCTTGCTCATTTTCTTTAAGATTGGGTAGTAAGAGTGCCAGCTGTCAATCCTCTGGGGTCCCCTTCAGCTCTAGAGAACCACTTACCCAAGGTCACACCCTCCCTGAAGCAGCTGGCATCCACTGACTGAAAGATGCATGTATAAAGGCACAACCACTTCAGCCAGTGGAGGACATTCTGATGGGGGACACTCATTCCTGAGCTCCCTGCTAGATTGTCTGAGGTTTTGCAGGAACTCTACCACAGTTGGATGTCTCCTTTTTCCCATCCTGCTTCAGACCCTTCCTTTCACAGGTACTGATCTCCAGAAAACATATTGCTCCCCAATTCCCATGTCAGAATCTGCTTTGGGAGACCACAATCTACAAGACCTTATCTCAGACACCTGGTGCTCTCCTGGTTTTGATGCTAATAATGGAAGCCAATATCCTTGTCTACTAAGGTCTGCTTACTTACTGGGGTAAGGGGAAGTGGAACAAACCATGGTGAGATTTATGGTTGAACAAAGTTCGTCAACTCAGAATATGAAACATGGCTTTGCTACAAAGAACAGCAGTGTGAGACAAGGAAGGACTCAAGAGCTAATGGCTGGGGCCCACCATGTGGACCATAATACTCCAGTTCCTTCATAATACTGTTTTGGGACTTCTCTATTCTTCTCCCAAGCATTGTTTCCAGAGATTTATTTGTTTTTATTAGTTTCTTTTTCAGAGAACTAATTTTAAGTTTTATTGATAACTATCATGTTGTTGACAGCTTTGTCTTCCGTTTTATTGATTTCTGCTGTAATTTTTAATCATCTCTTCTATTCTGTTGAGTTTATTCTGTTGTTCATCGTTCAACTTCTTAAGATGGACAACTGGCTCATTCATTCTGATGATTAACTCTTTCTCTAACAGAAATATTTAAAGGTATGAATTTCCCTCAAACCATCATTTTTATAACAGTGTGGAAATACAGCATTTTAATTCCTCACTGTGTAAGCATAAGCTATACATAGCGACCTCCTTTGACAGAGTACATTATAGAAAGAGGGAGGAGGTGTGACTTCACAGAGGAGAACCTGACACTACTTTGCCCACATGATCAAGGTCAACACCAACAGGGATACATCCTGTTGACAGTTGTTACCATTAATGCAATGTGATGAGGACAGCACTTTAAATTTGTGATCTTTCTCTCAGAAAACCACAACTGCAGTCAAATCATGAAGATATGTCATAAAATTCCAATAGTGGGCATCTACAAAATATCTGACAAGTACTCCTCAAAATTGTCAAAATTAAGGAAAATCTGAGAAACTGTCATAGCCAACAGTAGCTTCAGGAGACATGATGACTAAATGTAATGTAGTGTCCTGAATAGGATCCTGGAACAGAAAAAGAACATTAGGGAAAAACTGAGAAAATCTGAATAAAGTATAAAGTTTAATAATAATAATGTATTAATATTGGTTCATCAATTGTGGCCAGTGTACCCTGCTAATATGTTAATAATAAAGGAAAATGGTGTAGGGTATGTGGGAATTCTCTGTACTGTCTTCCCATTATGTCTCTAAACCTAAAGCTGCTCTTAACACTATACACACACAGACACACACACACACGTTATTATTTGGTTCTAGGTATTTTTGAATTTCATTGTGATTTGCTCTTTAACCCATGTGTTATTAAACACAATGTGATTTTTAATTTCCAAATATTTGAGAATTGTTGATGTATCTTTTATTAACTTATCTTATTTGCATTGTACACAAAAATCATAGTTCATATAATATGTATATATTAAAATTTTTGAGGCTTTTTTATGGCTGAGTTATGATAAATTTCTATAAGTGTTTTTCTGTTTGCTGGAGAAATATGTGTATTCTATAACCTGTTAGAGGCAGAACTCCTAAAAGTTCACTCATTCAGACTTACTGTTTTAATTGTTAGCTCTTCTGTTTATTTGCTTATTTTTGTCTGCTCCAGCTTATTATGCTCCCATTGTGATAGGGAATTTGTCAACTTCTTCCAACTGGTGTATCAATTTTTACCTCATGTATTTTGAAAGTATTAGTAAGTTTTTAATGACTGGAACCTTTTATCATTATGCCGTTACGGTCTTAATTTGCATTAAAATCCCCATTACTATAAGTATACCAGCTATCTTTTTGGTTAGTTTCTTAATAACATGTAATTAATATCCTTTTCTTTCCACCTTTGTATCCAGTATGTTTATCCAGTCTTTTGTAAACAGCAAATATATGTCAATATTTGTTTTTTAACTGGTATGTTTTGTGCATTTACTTGTTTGTAATAACTGATATATATTTCTGTTTCTACCATATTTATGTATTATTTCAGTTTGTTCTCACTTTTTCTATGTCTCATTTTATGACCCAAAAGACAAGAACTTCAGCATGCTCTCACACCCCTTGGCCTATCCCTTACCCTAAATACTTTTCAGATTAATACCCCACAAACCTTCAGTTGTCACAGCAATCTGTAAAGACAACAAACATTATCAAAATAATCGATCATCTTTTCTTCACATGATCTCTTGCAAGTCTCCTAGATTTGTCTCTCTTTTAAAAATACTTCAAATGAAACTCTTTTCAATGAGGAGTTTTGCATGAGTAGGTGTCCAAAGATTTCTGTACGAGAGAATATTATTTTTCTAAAGCTTTCCATGCATGAGAATATTTTTTATGTCCCCATATTTGAATGACAGTTTGCCTGGATATAAAATTCTACTTCCTAAATTTTTTCCTTTTGTTTCAGAAAACACTACTCTATCCTCTGTAGTGATATAATTTTTGTTTTTTTTTATTTTTCTCTCTAAATATGTAGATTTTAGAATTTTTTCTTTGTTCTTGGTGTGACTAGATTTGACTATAAGGTGTGGACATTTTTCCTCATTTCTCCTCTTTAGTACTCTATGTGTCTCTTCAATCCAAGGTCTTTTTTTAACATTGATTCTGTGAAATTTATCTCAGTTATTTCTTCAATGATTTTTAAAAATATTTCATCCCCTTACTTTTTTTGTTTTTCTCTTTTTCTAGGACTGCTATTATTTAGAAGTGCTACTTCTCTCCTCTATATTCCATAACTTTTCTTTTATGTTTTTTATTTCTTTGCCTTGTCTTCCTTTCTGGGAAATTTTCCCAATGTGTTCTTCCAGTTTGCACATTTCTTCCTCAGCTGTATCCATTCCCTTACTCTTCACAATGGTGCATATTTTATTGAAAGTATAATTGTGGAAATATCAAATATGTCTGCTGGGTTCTTGTTTTTGTTTTCTTGTTCTTATTGCCAATATCTTTCTTTTATCTCATTTTTTTTTTGTATGTGCTTATCAGGCTATGTTGATATTCTTGGCCTATTGTTCTAAGAGTTCCACTTAGGCAAACTGTAACACAGCATGTTTTTCTTTTGAAGTGCAGCTCGAACGTCTTGTTATGTTGGTTGGTGAGCTGCTTTTTGCCCTGAATGTATAGGTTAGTGTGTCCGGCAAAACTCCAGAGAGCATGGCCCCATTGAGCTCAGAGGAGGAGGAGTGAATAGGCCCAGGATGGAGAGCCCCAACCCCCAAACCTTATCAATCAACCAGTGCTCCTGCCTCAGACCAGCTCCTCAGCTCCCACACTTTACCCTTACTGGCCCGCCCCCTTCACCCACTGCAAGCAGGATGACTGCAAGCCTGCAACGACTTTCAAGAGTAGAATTCACCATCGCAGGGGTATGGAAGAACTGGGGCGGAGAAAGCAGTGTCCAAAATCAGCCCCAACTTATTTTTCTCTGCTCCTCTTAAGCACAGAACTTCTGTGCTGCCCTGATTTTCTTTCAAAGGCCCTTAAATTAGGGCTCTAGGTTTCTGCAGATGTCCAGGTGGGCTCTGTCTGGCCCAAAGCAGTAGCAAGAAAAGCAAAATGTTCCTTCCGATTTCATCCTCCAGCTGCATCTCAGCTACCTTCTATGGTTCACCAAAGCTACTTCATACTCACATACTACCCCCGCTCTTCCCCACCCCTGGGGTTTCTCAAATTTTTCAGTGCTTTAGGTTTTCTAGCATTCTTCCAGGTTGATCTCATATGTGATATATAACAAAATCTGAGGTCTGGTAGGAACTGGAAACTGGTCACTCTAGCTCCTTAGCACATTGAAATTAAAAGCTTTCTTTTATGCCCAAGTACAATCTAACACTGCCTCCAGACCTGTCTGGTGCAGGCAGAAGAGGAAAAGGTGAGGTTAGGGAGAGAAGCCCCAGTGATTCCCAGCAGAGTGTTCTCAGCAGGAGAAGGAAATGATACTCTTTAATTGTAAGATAGCAAATTTCAAAGAGCTATTTGAGTAGAGTGCAGAAAACATACTTTTGAAAAGGAACAGTGTTTGCCCTGTAAAATTTTAAGAGCCTGTCATTATTCGGAGACATTTAACTTTCTCTAGTTACCAGGTGCACTACCTTATTTTAGAAGCAAACTTTCTTTTATAACAATACAGGCGTTTAGAAGGAATTTGGCACCACAGGTCTGCCACTTTGGGGATGCTTGGGCATCACCAGTTTACAGGGGCAGCGGAAGCCATGGCAGCCAGTGAAACATGAGAGGCTGATGGAGTAAGAGGCAGAGGAGGCAGATGCCAGAACAATGGTGGAACTCACTGAGGAGCAGTGAGAGAGAAGCAAGCAAAACCTCCAGCAGGAGGATTACAGAAGCCAGGGAAGTCAAGTTCTCCATGAAGAAAAGAGTAATACATGTCTAATGTCCTAGTCAGGTTAAGTGCAACCAGGAATGAGGTGTCCTTAATTTTAGGAGTAAGGAGGTTGTGGAGTTCAGAGTGTTGGAAAAAGAAACAAAATTTAACTATGGGTGAATTGATAGTGGAGGAGGCAGCAAGTGTGGGCAACTGTTTTAGGATATTTGATTGTAAAGAGGAGACAGAGGAATGGGCAGGGTTTTGTATATTAAAGAACTGAGCATGTTCAGACAAGTAAGTCAATGGTTCTCAACTGTGGCCACAAAGTAGCACCACCTGAGAAACTTAAAAAAAATACCTATGACTGGCCAGGCGTGGTGGCTCACGCCTGTAATCCCAGCACTTTGGGAGGCCAAGGCGGGTGGATCACTTGAGGTCAGGAGTTCAAGACCAGCCTGGCCAACACGGTGAAACCCCATCTCTACTAAAAATACAAAAATTAGCCAGGCGTGGTGACGCATGCCTCTAATCCCAGCTACTCAGGAGGCTGAGGAAGGAGAATGACTTGAACTCGGGAGGCGGAGGTCACGGTGAGCAGAGATCACGCCACTGCACTCCAACCTGGGCTCCGTCTTAAAAATAAAAAAATAAAAATACCTATGGCCAGACACTATTGATGGATATTCTGATTAAATTGGTCTAGAGTGAGGCCCAGGCATCACTACTTTTTTGGAAACTCCATAGGTGATTTCACTGCACAGCCAGATTTGGAACCACTAGTCCAAGGGAAGGACACAGGAGAG
Source organism: Homo sapiens (assembly GCF_000001405.40). Lineage (NCBI taxonomy): Eukaryota > Metazoa > Chordata > Mammalia > Primates > Hominidae > Homo > Homo sapiens. Next base: position 61,737,238 of record NC_000008.11, on the reverse strand, counting down.
AGGGAGACAGAAAATATAAGAGGGAGAAATAATAATCACCATAAAAATGGCTCAAACAGGGGCAGAGGACTACAACTTAGCAGGAGAGCCATTATTTCTAATGGGAAAACAGAAAAGGAGGAAGGGGTGCTTTGGAAGTAGGTAAGTTTATGGCTGAGATATGGAAGGAAGCTGAAGAGTTCCCATCTGACAGCTTGTGTTTTCTCTGTAAAGTAGGAAGAAAAGCCATCAACGGAGGGGCAGGGGAGAATTTAGAGAGGAAAGTAAGGAGAGCAAAGAAGGGTTGGGATGGTTGAGTAAACTGAAAATAAAATCCCAAGCATCCCAATGACTGAACAGCCCCCATCTTGGCCAAGGGAGCCCAGAAAAAAAAAAAACATGAAAACTGAGTTCCAGCCCATGATGGAATGAGAGGTCAGACATGCTTCATTACGCCCATTCTCTTCTGGAATTTAGACATAAACACTGATCAGTATTCATGTTAAAATAGAGATTATAAAACAGATAAAATAGGATCTTCGTGGTAATAAGATATCAATTTATACAACAGTGAAGTAATCCCTTAAGTTAGCACCCTACACTTAAAGAATAAACTATGCTGTAACTGCCATAAGGTTTTTTTTCTCTCTCCAGCAGTGAAACAAGCAATAGCCTCAAGATAAGCAATATTAAAACAATTACAACTCATCCAGCTCATGGACACGGACTAACTAAACCCCTGTTCTACAGTCATAGCTACAGCTTTGATTGGACAACAGACTGATTTTAGTGACTTTCTCCTGATAAGAGACCATTGCCCTTGGACTGGTTCTGGCCACTTTACATGAGGCTGCACACCTGAGTGCCTTTGTGTCCTGAAAAGACTCTTTAATGTATAGAGTCTAACCATATCAATAAGAGTTAGTGTTTAAGGCTGGGCGTGGTGACTCATGCTTGTATTCCCAGCACTTTGGGAGGCTGAGGCAGGCAAATCACAAGGTCAGGAGTTCGAGACCAGCCTGGCCAATATGGTGAAACCCCATCTCTACTAAAAATACAAAAAATTAGCTGAGCGTAGTGGCAGGCACCTGTAATCCCAGCTACTCAGGAGGCTGAGGCAGGAGAACTGCTTGAACCTGGGAGGCAGAGGTTGCAGTGAACCAAGATCGTGCCACTGCACTCCAGCCCAGGCGACAGAGTGAGATTCCATCTCAAAAAAAAAAAAAAAAAAAAAAAAAAGAATTAATGTGCCTGTAAAAACAAGAATTAATGTGCCTGGGATTACTTCGCCAACACAGTAAAACCCCATCTCTACTAATGTTTAAGTGGGATATCTCTACCCCAAAGTAAACATGGGTCATATGTTACATGCATTTTTATTCAATATGCATGTGTCAGGACTACCTTCATGAATAATGCATAGTTTCTCCTGTAACCTGTCGAATATGCATGCTTCATCATAAAGCTCCTACCACAACCCCTCTTCCTTTGAAGCCCTGGCTCTGGTCTTTGCCTGAGGCACACTTCTCAGCCTGGCGACCTTGTAGGCTGTAACCCTTACAAGAAATAATGTCTCCTCTTCATCTCAAATTTATGAAGATCCTGTGATTTTTAAGTTGACAGTTGCTATAATAGGAGCCTGAAACAGAATTTCCACCTTTTTAAGTTGACAGTTGCTATAATAGGAGCCTGAAACAGAATTTCCACCATTGTGGAGAATCAATGGAAGACTATGGCAGAACCTGTCTATGAGGTTAGGTGGCCCTCTCTGGCAGTGGTAAGACAGCAGGTCTGTGCAGCCTGGCAAAGTGTGCAGTTATAGTTATGTTAGTTCATTATTGGGAGACTGGGGAATATGACCAAAAAATTGTCGATAAAGGAAGTCTCAGATGTGGATTGCAGGATCTGGGCAAAATAGAGAAGGAACTGATGAGGGAAGGGGGCTACTGGGAAGAAAATAGAAAGTTCAAGTGACTGGAAGGAATTGGTATGGTTGAAAAGTAATGTAGCAGGAGAAGCTGAGTGAGAAAAGAGGAAGACTAGAGTGTTGCAATCTGAAAGTAACGGTTAGAACTTGAGTCTTCAGATGTGGACAGGGCTGAATAATGACCGAGTCTGGGTATAGCCAAGGGTGTGCATGGCTGAAGCAAAATAGGAAAAATTAGGAAAAAAGCACCAGAACATCTATTCCATTTCCCCATAAATTTCAACAAAGTTTTCTGTATAATTATATATATATAGTATAATTATTTATGTATATATACTAGTGTATATGTAGATAGTTTATATAGTACATATTTATAATTAATTTGCCTAGCATGCCCAGTGTGTTTTTGAATACATTTTAAAAAGGAGGAAGAAAAAAAAACACATATGTATACATGAATAAAAAGAACTACATGAACAGAAACCCAAATATTCACAGTGAGATTGCACTTAATTTTTTCTCTTTCCTTTTCCAAATGTATAATTATCAAATAGTATTTCCATAATCATAAAAAGCAACACAATTTACATTTCAAAAGAAAATGATTTATACAAAATCAACTTTTGCTCTCTCAGAATATCTTAGTCTTTGAGGAAGTAATATTATGACCTACGGAACATATTGCAATGTATCAGTATAGAGTATCTAATGCAAACAGTAATTCCAGTGAGTCACTTTCTTTCCGGCTCATTTTAGTTATGAGATTGCAATCAGGCCCACTTATTCAAACTTACAAATATTTACTCTCAAGACAAGTTCCTTATGCTGATAATGTTGACTTACTAAATGCAAGCTGACATTGATATAGTACAAGACTTCCTTTTCTGAGGATTATGTATTGTATTGAGACAATTTCATAAAATAGCAAATGAAAAAAAACAGGGAACAGAAGTTCTTCTCTAACCACTCAATTTTTAATTTGCAGCCTCTCCACCAAACACACACATACAATTTTCTATTTGACTTTTCAAACTTAACTTTCCTCCTTTGCACTTATTAACATACTATCCATACCACTGGTGTGTGTGAAATCTGATACATACATTCATGTATCTCTGGTATATATTAAATCAGAAATTCTGATTTACTGGTTTGTGGTAGGACAAGCATTGCTATTTTTTAAAGCTTCCAGGGTGATTCTTGTGAGCAGCCAGTATTTTTATATAAGCAACTCAATTAAATCAAAGTCGAATGTTTGGAGCCCTGCTCCTTTGTTCCATGAATATCAAGACACTCTCGTCTGTTAACATTCCTGTCAGCTTTGATGTCCCAGCCATCCTGAATACTCAGTTATTCAGTTCCCAGCTCATCACCAACTAGTAGAATCCTTATATGCCTATCCTCAGTGTTTGCGTTTTTGTTTCTCCTTTGGGACGTGTAACTACACAAGCCAAATGAAAATGAGGAAAAGAATTTCCCATTTCTTAGGTACTTCAAAAAGACAAAATGAAAGAAATATTTTTGATAGAAAGTTGCACCTGCAACAAGTTGTAGAGGGCTGCTTTAAAAATGTTTAATGGTGGCCAGAGAGCCACGGCTGGCAAGACTGCAGAGGAGTGTTGCAATGCAGTTCATCAGAAATCAGAGGGCGACAGCTGGCAGAGCTTACAGGAGGCCGCCTTAAGGAAGTTCTCCAGGGATCAGGAAGCTGCTAAAGACAAAATCAACCCAGATGACATTTAACCATGCCGTGAAAAATCACTTTATCAACCAGCATCATTTTTTTTTTGCTTTTGAAATAATTGTAGATTTATAGAAAATTGCAAAGATAGTAATACAAAAAGTTCCCATGTCCCTTCCATCCAGTTTCCCCAAGTGGTTGCATCTTGTGTGAACACAGTACAACATCAAAACCAGGACGTTGACATTAGAAGATATGTGCATGTGTGTGTAGGTCTGTGTCACTTTTATCATATGTATATCATGTAACTATCACTGAAATTGAGATACAGAATTATTACATCATTTTTTCATCTCCCTGGGATAAATGCCCAGGAGTACAATTGCTATATCCTCCCGGTCATAGATGGATTTTTTATTTTATTTTATTTTATTTAGAGAGAGAGAGAGATGGTGTCTCCATTTGTCTCCCAGTCTGAAGTGCAGTGATCCAGCCCACTGTAATCTCAAACTCCTGGGCTCAAGCAATGTTCCTACCAGCCTCCCAAAGCACTGGGATTATCGGCATGAGCTACCTGATGCCTATAATCAGGACTGGACTGAACCTTTTAATCATTATGTCCCTTTCTGTCCCAGGTAATTTTCTTTACTTCTTTTTAATATCTACTTCTTGTGATTTCTAATGTTTACATGGAATACCATTTTCCATTCTTTTGAGTCTACTTATATTGTTATATTTGAACTGAACTTCTTATAGACCCTATGTAATTGGGTCATGTTTTAAAAGTTAAAACAATTAACAGGCTATATTTTGAGAGCAGGTTTAGATTTACAGGAAAAATTAAGCAGAAGTAAAGAATTCCGTACACCCTCCCTTTCCTAACTTCTCTATCTCCCCACAATGTCCTATTATTAGCATGTTGCATTAGCATGAAGCACTTGTTACAGTTTATAAACTGGTATTTATACATTATTATTAACTAAAGTCCATTATTAACTTTAGAGCTCCCTGTGTTGTACATTCCATGGGCTTTGACAAATGCATCATGTCATGTGGCCTGCCATTGTATTGTCATACAGAATAGTTTCACCATTCTAAAACTCTCCTGTGCTTCACGTGTTCTTTCCTTTCTCTCAAGCTCCTGGCAATCACTGATATTTTTACTACCTGTATGGAAAGCATAACCCACTTAACAACTTAAAAAACTAATAAAATTGAATAAGATTAGCTGAAAAATAACCAACACATTTCAATATTGGATCACATTTCAATAAACAAAATAAATAGAACAAATGATGTGTTCTTACTGAATGAATGAAAAAAGTGTCACCCTGTTTTAAACTCACTTTGAATTTGATGTAAATATTTTTGCTTAATGATTACCTTCTAAAACATGAATTAATATTTTTCTTTAATTGTCAGTAGTCTCTGTTTGCCAAATTCCACGTAGGCAATAGACATTTAAAATATGAAGATAGAGTATGTTCACTGGGCTCTAACATGTTACTGTTCATTATAACTTTATCTCAGGAAAAGGTGACTTTGCTACCTCTTGCATAATTTAAGTCTGTGCTGTTTTCAGCTACTGCTAATATTTTGTACAACTGAGAGTAAAATGTTTTATTATTCAAAATAAGCAATAGCCATATAAATGTGGTACATTCATCTTAAAAGTGATTGAAACTTTAATAAAAAGAGAAATCTTCAGGAATAATAGAATTTGTCTGCTTGTATAATACAAAGCAAAAGTTATTCATAGAAGTATGCAAATGCCACCCATCAGTCTCAGCAATCCTGAATCTTCAGTTTTTTTTAAGAGAATGTGATTATCTGTGAAGCCGGCTTTGTTTCATGGCTTAATTCTACCCATAGCTTCCTCTTCCCAGCTGTCTACATAAACCACTCCATCAGGAAGTATATCAATGTGCTCTGGGTATCCAATGGTGACAGGCCACATCCTGTACCCCCACGGGCTAGGGAAGCCTCTGGTAGCCACAGGAGAAGAAATGGAACTGGTACCTCTAAACAATCCACAAACCCTTCACCCACTTTCCAGTGCCTGCTTCTCCTAAACAACTAATTAGACAGGACACACCTTGTCCAGACAGTCATTATTTATTTATTCCATGAATATTTATTGAGTACCTACCTTCTATGCACTATGTATGTTTTAGGTGCTGGGGAAATGACAATGACCAAAACAAATTCTCTGTTCTAATGGAGTATATGTTTCCATGCTGAGATACAGATAATAAATAAATACTGAAGTAGAAAGATATACAAATATACACTATAATGCCATGGTGATAAACACCAGAGAGAAAAGTAAATCAGGTTGAGAAAGTAGAGATTGACAGAATGACAAGGTCATAGGTGTGTCAGGAAAGGCCTCTGTGTGTCCATGACCTCCAGACTCTAAGAACAGAGGAGAGAGGCCTTATGGATGTGTAGAAAAATAGGGTCCCAGGCAAATGCAAAAGCCCTGTGGTAGAAGCATATCTGTCACGTTCGAGAAAGCCCAAAAGCCAGTGTGGCTACACCAGAGTGAGCGAGCATGGGAGGACATAAAGTCAGAAAGGAATCCAAAGACTAGGTCACATATGGTTTTATAGGCCATGAACAGGATGTTTTCTTTTAAACACCACTTTCTTAGATATACCTTCTTGTCTACCATTTTATATTAGCCTCTCCTACTCATGCTTTATAAGAATATTTGATTTTGTTTTCTCCATAGGTTTTTACAATTAACTGGAAATTATATTGGACTTTGGACTTCTTCTAAATCAAGTAGAAAATGATTGAAGGCTTTTTGCTGTTTGCTAATTCTGACTTAGGCTTCCCGCCAATCACCGTGGATGCTGTGGGGAGGACGGTCTCTCAGAGGAATTACAGAAACTGGAAGATCATCCAGGACGCTCTTTTAGGAGATGGTGGCAGTTTAGGAAAGAGTAATTGTGATAGAGGTGAAAAGAAAAGAGGTGACTGTAATGTAGGATAAATTTTCCATTTAGAGCTGAAAAAAATTGCTGCAGAATTTAATGTGTGCTATAAGGAAAACAGCATCAAAGGAGAGGATGAGTTTCTGAGCCTGAGCATTTGCGTGAAAGGTGGGACCATTTCTAAAATGAAAACATTAAGCAGGGAGAAGGTCTATGGAGAGAAATCAAGAAACCACAATGCAGTGGATCCTTGACTTTAATGGTTTTTTTTGAGATAAATATAGGACCTTTAGGAATCTTTCAAATTCACACATATCCCCATAGCCTACAAGATTTGACATAAAATGCAGCCAACTGGCCTCTTCCTTTTTAGTCCCTTAAAGATCTCTCCCTTGCTCAGTGAGCAATTTTGGTGGTAGTCAGAGCACTGTCTGGAAATGGGGTCTCAAATATCTTTTTCTTAAAGGACCACATGGTAAACCCCTTTGGGGTATGACTCTGTCCACAGATAAATTTGGCATTATACTCTAACTCATCTAAACCTTTTCATTTTTAGCTAAGGACTCCTTTAGGTATTTCACTTCCATCATTAGCATTAGCAGCTTCTTTTTTGGCCACTTTTCAAGAAGAAATAGAGCTTGGTTCACCTTATGAACATTTCTGAATGTGAGACAATGACTCAGGATAAGGAAGCTAAGTCGAGGCAAGGTTCGTAAGTTAGCTATGAGGTTCTCTCTCTGGCTATGTAGGCCTTTCAGGAATATCAGCTTGCTTATTCCTGGAATATTCAACTGTATTTATTAATAAAATTTGAATTTATTTTGAGTTACAAACCAGGGAGTCTCACAAATGGTTGAAACCATTAATTTTAAATCATGAATGTCAATGACCTACTATCTGAATTGATCATATGAAGTTTTTGCTAGTTCGTTTTCCATGCTTGAGCTTATTGATGAAATTATGCTGTCTGAAATGCCTCTTCTCTGCCCTATGGTAATTCAAAGCTTCCCTTACCTAATTCATGGATTTATTAAGCACCTCAATATGGTTACAAATATCTTAGAGAGGCCATGTGTTCAAACAGAAACAGACAGACTTTGGTTCAGATCCCATCTTCCATTTACAATCTGTGTGACTTCTGAAACGTTGCTCACCCTCTCTGAGCATGTTTCTCCATCTTTCAGTGGGGCTAGTGACACCTAGTGAGGTGTTTGAAAATAGCCCAGAGTAAGTGCCTATGGTGGTCATGGGAGTGCACCCCTCAGACTGCCTTTGAAGGGTGCTTGCCTCGAGAAGCTCAGTTGGCCAATGACCCTGGCTGCCACGCCTTCAGATTTGTCCTGGCATTTACACCAAAGGCCACTGCTCCCACCCTAAGTATGGTGGCAGTAACAGACCTCAGCCATTTCTGCCCAGTATAGGACAGAGCTCTAACGATCACACTTTGCCAGAGTTTCCCATTGGCCTAGTTGAGGTTTTCTGTGAGCTCCTCTGAACCATCTATGGCTCCTCCTATCCAGTCCTCTTTCCTTTTCTTTCTCCATTTACAAGAATCAGGCTGCATCACAGGCCAAATATTCCCTCCCCTACTCCTGCTCCCTGCCCTTTCAGCCTTCTCAGGTGTTTCTCTTAATATACCTCTTACATGTCTGATTCTGTCTTGTCATCTGCCTCTCTCGGATCCTAACTGACATGCTGCCTTTAATGAAGACCAGTAGGACCTTGGGCAGGGTCTGGTCTCTGGAGGTAGGGTTCTTCAGCATTCTAGCATTTCTTCTCATCAGGACATAGAGCACATGTCCTCCCTGCAAGGTGTCACTTGTAAGTAGCCAGTTCAACATTAAGCATGTTTGCCCATTGCTGTTCCCATAAGAGCTCTTGACCTTTGACCTCTGGACTACATCCCATCATCTTTCCAGTATGGATTTTCCTGTGCTTTTCAGAATTCTTAATCCCACCTTTGTGCAGGGTCCATCATCATCCCTCCCCACAGCCATTTCAGCTCCCTGAATTTTGCAAGCTCTTGGAAATACATTTACAGCTGACCTCAGGAACTGGGTCCTAAGTCCCCTATGTTAGCTCTCAGGAAAACAAGAGCTCAAGTGTGCAAGCCCCTGCAAAGTCTCCAAGTTTGGGTAAGAATCATCAGGATCATGTGAAGGGGAAAGCTTGTGCACTAGCACCAGACTGCCAGGGTGCAGATCCTGAAGCTGCCATTTATCAGATGCGTGGCCTTGACTATTAGATGTGTGACTTTGAACATTTTTGGTGCCTCAGTTTACTTGTTCATCAAATTTAGATAACAATCACATCTATTTCATAGGGGTGAGGTGAGGATTGTGACAATAAACTCATGTAAAGCAAGCACTAGCGCCAGACACATAATAAATGCTCATTGCTCATTAATGTCTATTATTTATTTATTTATTTGAGACAGGTTCTTGCTCTGTTGCTGAAGATGGAGTGCAGTGGTGCAATCTCAGTTCACTGCAGCCTCTACCTCCTAGGCTCAAGTGATTCTTCCACCTAAGCCTTCTAAGTAGCTAAGACTACAGGCGCACACCATGACACTTGGCTAATTTTTGTTTATTTTTTGTAGAGACAGCGTCTCACTGTGTTGCCCAGGCTGGTCTCAAACATCTGGGCTCAAGTGATCCTCCCATGTTGGCCTCCCAGAGTGCTGGTATTACAGGTGTGAGCCACCATGCCCGGTGTCATTAATATCTATTTCCATCTATTTATATACATATGTAGATAATAAAATAGAACGAGAGCTCAACTGCAAGCCCTTGGAATGAATTCCAACTGTACATATGTACATAAATAGATGGATAACTAATCATAAAAAGGTTTTTTTCAGTAATAAGTAAAAAATGCAAGGCTGGGCATGGTGGCTTACTCCTGTAATCCCAGCACTTTGGGAGGCTGAGGCAGGAAGATCACCAGAGATCAGGAGCTCGAGACCAGCCTGGCCAACATGGAGAAACTCCATCTCTGCTAAAAATACAAAAATTAGTTGAGTGTGGTAGCATGTGCCTGTAGTCCCAGCTACTCAGGAGGCTGAGGCAGGAGAATCACTTGAACCCAGGGGGTGGAGGTTGCTGTGAGCTGAGATCACGCTGCTGCACTCCAGCCTGGGCAACAGAGCAAGACTCTGTCTAAAAAGCAAACAAACAAATATATAAGTAAAACTGCCTTTATGCATTTGATTTTTAAATAAGAATTTCGTTTTTTAGACAAAAAAATAAACTTGGGAGATTATATTTCCTGTTTCACAGTCACCCATATTAGAAAGTATAGTGCCTGAACATAAGTAATCCACTAAAAACAAATTAGCCCTTGTAATATCATCTCATACCAGTCAGAATGGCTATTATTAAAAAGTCAGAAAATAACAGATGTTGGTGAGGATGTAAATTATTACTCTCACAGTTGGTGAAAATGTAAATTATTACAACCCTTATGGAAAATAGTATAGAGATTTCTCAAAGAACTAAACATAGAACTATTATGCAATTCAGCAATCTCACTCAGGGGGTATCTAAACAAAGGAAGAGAAATCATTATTTCAAAAAGACACCTGCACTCTTATGTTTATCACAGCACTACTCACAATAGCAAAGATATTCAGTCAACCTAAGTGTTCATCAATGGATGACTGGATAAAGAAAATGTGGCATATATACACAATGGAATACTATTCGGCCATCAAAAAGAATGAAATCATGTCTTTTGCAATGACATGAATGGAACTGGAGGCCACTGTTTTAAGTGGAACAACTCAGAAACAGAAAGTCAAATCCCACATGTTCTCACTTATAAGTGGGAGCTAAATAATGTATACACATGGACATACAGTGTGGAATGACAGACACTGGAAACTTGGGAAGGTGGAAGGGTTCTTCGGGTTGAGAAATTACCTAATGGGTTCAATGTACATTATTCAAGTGATGGATACTCTAAAGGCTCAGACTTAAACAATACGTAATGTATCCATATAACAAGACTGTACTTGTACCCCTGACATTTACACAAATCAAAAATCAAAAAAACAAATTAGCCCTCATAAAACTATAATGGTTGAATGGAAGGAAGAACTGATTATAGAAAAAGAAAAGGAGAAAATATGAAGAGGAGAGAAGAGAAAGCTAAACAATAAATAAAATAATATTCAGGACCATGGAGTAAAGAGGAAGTGTCACTATAGAAGGAACAGTGGCCTGGCTATGAGTTTCTCAAGCTTTTCTAAAATTAGTGCCCTACTCATCCCCACAAGAAGCCTTTTAGATGTTTATTTTTTCATAATTGTCCTTCATCCCATGAAAATGTAATACTATAGATATACTACGTATCTGTTTATGTGCTATGGTTCTTTGGAGGTGCTATGGTTTGAATATTTTTGTCCTCTCCAAAAATCATGTTGAAACAGAATTGTCAACATGATAGTATTAAGACTTGGTGGCCGGGCACAGTGGCTCACTCCTGTAATCCCAGCACTTTGGGAGGCCGAGGTGGGCGGATCATGAGGTCAAGAGATCGATACCATCCTGGCCAACACGGTGAAACCCTGTCTCTACTAAAAATACAAAAATTAACTGGGTGTGGTGGAGTGCGCCTGTAATCCCAGCTACTTAGGAGGCTGAGGCAGGAGAATCAGTTGAACTAGGAGCCAGAGGTTGCAGTGAGCTGAGATCACGCCACTGCGCTCCAGCCTGGGTGTCAGAGCGAGACTCCATCTCAAAAAAAAAAAAAAAAAAAAAAAAAAAAAAATTGGGACCTTTAAGAACGAATTGAGTTACATGGGTGGAGCCCTCATGGATGGGATTCAGGTCCTCACAAAAGGGCTTGAGAGAATTGGTTCACTGTCTTTGGTTCTTCCCCTCTGGAGGATGCAGCAACAAGGCACCATCTTGGAAGCAGAGAGCAGCCCTCACTAGACACCTAACCTGCTGGCTCCTTGATCTTGGAATTCCCAGCTTCAGGAACTGTGAGCAATAAATCACTATTATTTATAAATTACCCAGTTTGTGGCATTTTGTTATAGCAGAATAAACAGACTGAGATAGGTGGTGGCCATTGTAAACTTTAATATTTTTCCCACGAGAACCAATTTTTACCTTAATGGGGTAATATCTCCGTTGCAGAAAATGCACACTGTAAGGTGACTTGAGTTCTAGTTCTGTGTTAACTGACTTTGCAACCTTTTGTAAGTCACTGTCGCTCTTTGGGATTCAATTTTTTCATTTGTAAAATGAAAATGTTTAACAACATGGTCTTGAAGACTCATTTACAACACTGGAATCCTAGGACTTTTATATGGTATTCATGGAGCCACTGTGGCTTACTCCTCCTGTAGTCCTTGCTCCCTCGTCTATGCCACCTTTGCAGGCAGAGGCAGAAGGTAGCACTGTGTATTGAGATCATTAGTTTGCATGCTAGTCTCCTTTCAAAACAACACAAACACTTGAAAACAAAGTTCACATGCATTTGTTATAGTACCTGGCAGGAAGCTAACACTCAAGCAATGTTTGTAGAAGGGACTATACAGTACATTCACAGGTTGAACTAGATGAAATTTTCAGTGTTAGATCTTTTTGACAGCAATTATATAGCCTAACTCATGTACCATGGAATTACATGGTACCTGCCCTGTACTATAGCTCTGGGGTCCCCAACTCCTGGGGCTGCAGACAGGTACTGGTCTGTGATCTGTTAGGGACTGGCTGCACAGCAGGAGGTAAGCTGTGAGCGAACTAGCATTACCGCCTGAGCGCCATCTCCTGTCAGATCAGCACAGGCATTAGATTCTCACAGGAGCACAAACCCTATTGTTAACTGCACATGAGAGGGATCTAGGTTGCGTGTTCCTTATGAGAATTTAATGCCTGATGATCTGAGGTGGAACAGTTTCATCCTGAAACAATCCCCTCGCACACCCACCCCATTCCACAAAACTGGTCCCTGGTGCCAAAAAGGTTGGGGAATGCTGCTATAGTTCACAGGGTACTGTCTGATATGTCAAGGGTCAAGAAATGTTTAAGGAAAGAAGGGAAGTTTACAGTAAAGGAGAAGGAAATATCAGAGAAGGCATACTGTTAAATTTTTATGTTTCTTCAAAAACTTCTCGTGACTCTAGCTGATTGTTTTCCCCTAGATCTAGCAGGATAGTTATTGAACTTGGTTAAAATTAAGTATGTAGTGATATTGCTATAGAAAAATTTAATGTCTTTATAGTATTAATTTAGGTCATAAAATTAAGAAGTAAACAATTGGTTACATTTTGTAAAGCACGTTATAGTTTCCAAGGAACTTTTCTTATTAATTATCACAGTGCAGTCTCCAGGAAAGTTTCATATTGTGTGAAAGGCAGTCAGACTGAGTAAATCCACCGCATCAGTAATAGAATCATTGTTATAACCACATTTATATTTTATGTAGAGATCTTGAGCATTCTCTTCACACTGTAGTTGATAGCATTCAAAGTGTCCTTGGATACAAGACAACTCATTTGCCACCCTCAGCCACTAGCCTTATGAATAGACTAAGAAAATGCAAAAGACCATTTCCAATAGCAGTTACCAAGGCTTAATATCATGGAACGTGAGGGGGGAGAATAAACCTTATCTTCTAGTGTGGATATTCTTAACCTTGGGCACATGATTCTCTAAAATTGTCTAGGAAACTTTATGGCTATGATAATATTTCTCATGATGGTCCATAGCTTTCATTAGATTATTAAAGACATAGGAATCCGTGATGACAAGCCACTATTAGCATATGAGACAAGTGATACAGTAGAAGCCAAGTGAGTTTCTTGGGGTTCCACAGTACAGCTAGTTAGAGGCAGAATCAGATTTCTGGCACTGTTAGTTAAATGCTATTTCTCTCTCTCTCTCTCTCTTTCTGATATTCAGAAGCCAAGACTTTCTAACCCCAATCAGGGAATAGTTATAACAATGTGTAACATAGAATATGAAAGAGTCTTGCACATGCCTGCCTAGTTTATACTGGGGACACAGCATTTAATTGGATCAATTAGCACTGCTTTAATTATACCATCTCAGAAGTAAAATATAGAGAAAATGAGTCATTTTTACAAGCAGAAAATTTGTTGTGCACTAAAATTTGAATAGAGCTGGTAATGCTACACGATTACAGATAAACACAAATATTCAGTTTCCTTGAAAATGGTTAGGCAGAGGAAACTTCATGAATTAAGAAATTGGGAGCAAATCTAATTTATAAACTGGAACAAGGAGATGGAGAAGAGAGAGGCCTTGGACCCCAAGATTCCCGAGCATGGGGAGAGCTCATCGGGGTGACAGAGGTTGAGTTGGAGTGAAAGTGCCATGTCCCTGTAGCTCTGCCCCCTGTCCCTTTAGAAGGAACGTATTGACAGTGGCAGTGGCCCCGAAGATGCACAGGATAAAGCGAGGAACTCTGGAATCCTTCTTGACAGTTCTAATTACATTTGGACTTCTGAGGGGGATGAGTTGGCAATAAGGAAGTAAGAATATGTGGAAGAAAGCCTAGGAAGAGTCAGGGACAGTGCGGGGAAGCCAGCTATCAGTCACTGCCATGAGACTATTACCTCATAAGTTGGGGAAATGGCACTTCCATCTTTTGGTTATTGTTCCAGCTTTTGGCCATTCAGAAAACAGTTGGAGAGTGTTCAGAGCAACCACAGAATCACGGCTTTGGAGACTGGTAATCTTTTCGGTGCAGGGAATATTGCAGAGAAGGTATCACAAAGGATCGTTACATTACCCACCACTGGCCCAAGGACCAGCTGACAATGTGGTAGGCCCTGTAAGGCTGGGAGGGGAACAGAAGGAGTAACATGAGGTTGTCATGCTGGCCCCCTATTAACTTCAGTAGGGAAGGCACCAGGTTCAAAGGCCGAAGAAGGGAACTGGAGCCGGCAAACAAGACATAGGGTTTATTAAGAGGACTTAATACAAGGGGTCCACTGGCAGTGCCCTGGGCAGGAGAACAACAACTGCTTATAAAAAAGCAAGTAGTTTATATAGCATTTTCACTTAGTACCCTCCCCCTAGCAACCTCTACTTGGCAACCTTCATTTAACCCAAAACAAAGGGCCTCCATCCCCTCTACAGCCTGCCTTCCACAGAATGGGCTAGAGGTTTAGATTTTGCTCATAGATAAGAAATGAATTTTCAGGTTGGCCACTCCCAGATTCCTTAGTTTGGAACTCTGAACACACATTCTTTTTAGATCATAGGGTTATTCTCAAGGTATGCTTAAGTTATGTTATTGCTGTCAGGTACAACTGCCATATAGCAATTCTCTCCTTAACTATCTTAAATTCTGATTACTACCTGCAGATGGTAGCAACTGCAAGAACCTCTTCTCCACTCCTGCTAGAATAACTGAAAAGAGGTATGCCCAGTCTGGAGTGAGGGCTTCTGAAATGGTTGCTGTGCTTGCCTTGCAGAAAACAGTGGGTCAGAGAGAGATGGAATTCTGTCAGTACAGCGTCCTTTGCAGGCCTTGGACTGTTGCCTATTGGTAATGTCACCCCACCCCCTACTCCCAGTTGTAAATTCCTTTGGCCAATATCTCTGGCTTGGTGCCTTACTTATTACAGAATTGTTATTCTGCAGGATCAGAGCCAGAGGCAGGCCAAATTTTTGCCAGTCATGCTGAACATGCCATCTTTCTACCCCAACAACTTGCATTTTCCCTGGGAGTCCTGAGAGTGGGGACAGGAGGAAGGAGGATTTTCTGTTGATTGGTGGGGATTCTTCTCAAGAATTACAGGACTTTTAACCCACCTTTTAGCCTCAACCAAGGAAAATGTTTTAATTCTGAGTCCACAGTATCTCCCAGGCCTTCATTGATGACAGGTCAGAGAAAAATGGCCAGAGGGTAAGAGACCTACAGGTGACTCTGAATTCTCTCCTTTTCTTTGTGCCCAACATGTGTCAAATGAGGTTTCCATCAAAGGCAGTTTGAAGGAGAAAAGCCATTAGAAAAGAGCAGAAGGGGCAGGGGGCAGAGGCATCCCACACACCTTTCCTTGGTGCTTGGCGGCAAAGGTTGATGAGGCATGAGGAGCACATAGTAGTGCTTAGTGATGACCGCTCCTCCCCTATGACCGCCTGTGTTATGAGTCAGCCTGCATGCGCAAGCAGGAATTAGACTTGAATAAGCATCATTCAGTGAGATTTGCTGTTTTTAATGTCTGCTCTTTCTCAGTAAGCAGAACCTTGAATTTGAGTCTAATTTGAGTCTAACCTTGAATTTGAGCAGACCTGAATTTGAGCCTAATGAGTCCACTTGGAGATCTTTAATACTTGAAATGATCCTTTTAACTCAAGACTTAACTTCCTTTTTTTAAGGATTAGATGAAATATAAACTGACAGTGTACAACAACTTATGTGAAATTTACCAAGTTCTTATTGTTCATGCACACATGTCCAACCAACTACAAATAAGATTGACCATAATTCTGGCATTAGATCCAACCTCTCCTAACTTGGAAATAGAAAACAACAAAAAGACCCAGTCAAACTTAGCTAATGGAACACATCTTTTTTTTTCTGCTGTCTCCCCTCCTAGTTTTATGTCATTCATAGATGATCTTCTCTGTCTTATGCTGTTCTGATTTGAAGTCACATCGATTTTGTGAAGCTATCATAATTGCAGAGAGTTGGCAGCCTATCTGTTTAACATTGGTTAGGTTTCACATTTTAAGTAGGTATTCCTTAAATGTAGTTCTTTATCTACGTCAAGCTACCATATTCCCTAAGTGATTACTGCACAGATCCATACAATGTTCATTTTCTTCCTATGCTTGCTTTTTGATTTCTTACTTCAGCTATTCACGGCTGCCTGCATTTGTATGATGGGATAAATGATAAATGGGCTATCTCTACCTATTTTTAAGAAAATAATCCTTTTCGGTCGAGTACTACTTGTAAAAAAGTACTACTTGTTACCCTTCTGTTAACAAGACATTGACTTTATATGTCTTCTTCCTTGTTACTGTCAAACATAAGCTCTCACCTGCAGCTGCCCAGTGTTTTAATGGCTAACCATTTCATACCAACACATACAGTTCTCACCAAAACTTCTGCAGCTGGAGAGGCACTGCAGGGCTGAAGGGCTAAACTAAGAGGGTGACGAGTAAAGAGTCTGGTGGCCCTCTGCGAGAAAGCACACCCTGGGCTGAGGAATAACAAACTCAAAGAGTCCGAGGTGAAAATGTTTACATAATTACTCCACTCTAGACACTGTCCTGCTCACCAGGGATATGGAATTGAGAATGTCAACAGTTCTTATGGTCTGTAGCCTGAACATAGTTTCCTTAATATTATTTGTAACTTAGTTTATTTTCACATAAGCCCAAGTGCTATATTGAGGTGTTCATATTTTATTTCTATTTTCTCAAATTTGGAAAAGAGAATATTAAAAAATCAATCTCTTGGGATACGTCTAATCAGCCAAACCTTCTATACTTAGGTTTTTAGACAATTGCTTTTATATGCATACCTTTTGGTAGCTGCATTACTCAATTCTTCTTTTGTATTGCAGTCAGAAAAACGAAGTGCAATACGTGTAGCTTAAAAAGTAGAAAAAACAGAATTTTGTATAATTTGTGAGACAGCTGCTTAGAAACAACTTCCACTAAATTTTACTTGATCAATATGCTTTCTGGGGCTAGGAGAAGTAGCTTTAGTAAACATCTAGGATATTGGTGCATGTCTCTAACTCAAACGGATTTGCCAAAAGAGAAATGACTTTGTTATTTGATGAAGTCAGTATTATAGCAGTTTCACCAAGAATGACAAAATATTCTGGACCACTTGTTTATTTGCCACAATATGTCGTGAAATAATTTTTTAAAGTAATGGATATTGTACTTCTTAAAGTAAAGAAATACTGTAGAATTTCAAATATATTAGTAGTGGTCTTTAGGTTAATAAAATATTGTTGCAATGATACACGGAGATCCTCTCTATTTTTTATGCTTGCAAGCTCTTTGGCAAAGTCTCTCAGGATTTTTTTTTTTTGGCATGAGCTGGTAATATTTGTCATGTGGTTATGAAATTGCAGAATAGAGTCAAGTCAGAATGATGACAGTGCAAAAAGGACTGTGTCAGTACTAATTTTATGTAGTGTATGTGTGATTTCCCGTCAACTGTCAAGAATTTAGGTTGACTAATTGATCCAGTTTTGCATATTGTAATAACACTATTTATTTTAAGGCAAATCCTTCTGATTTATATATTTAGATTTGATGACATTGGAGGATTCTAGAAGCTAGTTTCAGGATACTTTTCTTTAGATAAGGGACTTGTATCCAATGGAAGAGGCTGGTTATTTTCATGAAAGACAAAGAAATAATTACTTTACTTAGACACACACACATACACACACACACACACACACACTCTCTCTCTCTCACACGATCCTTGAAGCAAATACAGTTTAAGTAAAATTATTATCTTGCAAACAATTGAATTATTGAGATTTCTCCACATTTTTTCCTTTTTTCCTCTTACTTTCTAACTACTCCTAAATCACATTAATATGTCCTTTATATACTATGGAATTGCCATGACTGTAATTTCTTGTTATTCTCTAATGTTTGGCTTTTTCTCCATGTTTAAGTTTCTTTCTGGCATTAAGTTTGAGACTTAAGAAGAGTCAGTTAATTCCATCATTTCCCTGTGCTAGAAAACTCAAGAACTGGCAATAGCACTTACTTAGATGTTATTTGATAGAAAGGAACTTTGGCTCTAAGAAGTACCAATCTTGATAGGAAATTTAAAGAATTGAAAGGAAAAAGGAAATGATAGGTTTCTTAACTAATGTGACTTCAGATCATTTTACCATATCGTAACACAATAGTACTAACTCAAATCCATTTTAGACTGGATTTAAAATCACTTCTGCTCATATAAATTTATTCTATTTATTTATGATGTAGATATTAGTCAGGCTTATTTTTTCTAGATAATCTGAAGTCAAGCTGTTTGGTGAAAATGACAGTTCATTTACGTGTTGAGATATGACTCATATGAGGATAATTGCTTTGAAAACACTGAGTAGGGAATGCCTTCAAAATCCTCCTATACTTACCAATATCCTTTCGTTGCAACAAATTTCACTAATATAATATGAAAAACATATAAATGAATCATGACCAGTTGAAATTTATTGTTTTCCACTATGGTCTTACTATGGCAAATAAAGATGAGGAAATACTCAGTTCCAGTTTGCAATAATAAAACTTCACAGTAGGAAGATTGCATAAAAATGAGAGGCATTTTCTAGGAAGCAGGTTAAAGTGGAATTTTTAAAACGATGCTATAGTAGGTATAAGTAAGTCCAGAAATATTAATTTGGAAGGAATTTGACTGGAGGTTGTAAAGGGTCATCAGAATGGAAAAAAAAGAAGTAGGGCAAATCGTGTCCTCCAGTTCTCACTTGCAAATCCCACTGAAGGCAGTGGAAGGTTTATGGAAATACCTGAAAGACACATTTGACCTAGTTCAAAAGCTCTATTAAATTAGTATTTTAATAAATTGTCCTAGATAAGTCTTGTCTTTATGGTCCTTTTAACATTATTTCACCCATAGTTTGCTTGAAAATTACAGAAAAGAGGAAAAGCTAACAAGGGACATTTGACTTCTCCTTTAATTTAAAAGATACTAAGATACTTTGTCTTTTTCACAACCATGCTGAGAAAATGTCCTTTGTAAAGAAATATATGAATCCTAAGTAAGCTTTGCGTTTTTTGATGCCCATAATATGGGAAGTACAGACAGATATAAAATGTATAGTTCTGTTACTTAGCTTGAGGGAATTCAGTCCCTGAAATGAAACTGTGTCTAGAACTGATGGCATCTGATTTAAGTTTTATTCGATAATACTGAGCACATAAATGTTATCATAGTTGTTTCCTCAGGATACAAGAAAGCGCTAGGTAGCCTCTTTCTTTCTGTGATTCATATTTACTAAAACCTCTATTTTGGCCTGATATTGCCCAAGATACACAGCAATGTACCTTGTCAGGGGTACCAGATTTAGTTTCTGGAAATGCAGGAGCAAAGCATCACTTAATGGCATTTTGGAGTTAGCTATAAAACAAATTTGATTTCCTTAAAAAGATAGGCTTTGATAAGCACTTACCACTGGGTTTCAGACCTATCTTTGAAGGTAGGACCAAGGAGGCTTCCTGGAGACATCCATTAACCGAAAAGGGAGCCAGGTGAGACTTTCTCCACTCAAAACTATGTCTTATCCAGGAGGAATAATTTGGAGTATAGACTCTGGAGCCAGTCCAACCAAGTTCACATCCCTCCTCTATCACTTACTAGCTTTGTGACTGTCCCAGCCACTCCAGCTGTGGCTGAAAGGCTCCAACGTACAGCTCAGACTGTGGCTTCAGAAGGTGGAAGCTCCAAGCCTTGGCAACTTCCACGTGGTGTTGAGCCTATAGGTGCACAGAAGTCAAGAATTGAGGTTTGGGAACCTCCGCCTAGATTTCAGAAGATGTATGGAAACGCCTGGATGCCCAGGCAAAAGTTTGCTGCAGGGACAGGGCCCTCATGGAGAACCTCTGCTAGGGCAGTGCAGAAGGGAAATGTGGGGTCAGAGCCCCCACACAGAGTCCATACTGGGTCACTGCCTAGTGGAGCTGTGAGAAGACTGCTACCATCCTCTAGACCCCAGAATGGTAGATCCACTGACAGCTTGCACTGTGCACCTGGAAAAGCCGCAGACACTCAATATCAGCCCGTGAAAGCAGCTGGGAGGGAGGCTGTACCCTGCAAAGCCACAGGGATGCAGCTGCCCAAAACCATGGGAACCCACCTCTTGCATCAGAGTGACCTGGATATGAGACCTGGAGTCAAAGGAGATAATTCTGGAGCTTTAAAATTTGACTGCCCCACTCGAATTCAGACTTGCATGGGCCCTGTAACCCCGCTGTTTTGGCCAATTTCTCCCATTTGAAATGGCTGTATTTACCCAATACCTGTACCCTCATTGTATCTAAGAAGTAACTAGCTTACTTTTGATTTTACAGGCTCTTAGGTAGAAGGGACTTGCCTTGTCTCAGATGAGACTTTGGACTGTGGACTTTTGGGTTAATGCTGAAATGAGTTAAGGCTTTGGGGGACTGTTGGGAAAACATGATTGGTTCTGAAATGTGAGGGCATGAAATTTGGAGGGACTGGGGCAGAATGATATAGTTTGGCTGTGATCCCATTCAAATCTCAACATCAAATTGTATCTCTCAGAATTCCCATGTGTTTTGGGAAGAACCCAGAGGGAGGTAATTGAATCATGGGGGCCGGTCTTTCCTGTGCTATTCTCGTGATAGTGAATTAATTCTCATGAAACCTAATGGGTTTATTGGGGGTTTCTGCTTTTACTTCTTCCTCATTTTCTCTTGCCACCTCCATGTAAGAAGTGCCTTTCACCTCCTGCCATGATTCTGAGGCCTCCCCAGCCATGTGGAACTGTAACTCCAATTAAACCCCTTTTTCTTTCCAGTCTGGGATATGTCTTTATCTGCAGTGTGAAAACGGACTAATACAGTGACCCTACTTTGTTTTATCTCTCTGAGCTTCCAGTATCTAATTTCTTTAAAAAATTGATATGACTACAGGGTTTTGTGAGAATTTAAGGGTAAAAATATCTTTGGTGTGGGGGGTGGGGGGTGGCTAGAGCATTGTGTTTTGAAATTTAGCTCTCATTTTTATTTTATATGAAGCACCATCACTCAGATTTATTTCTTAATCCAGTTCTCCACCTCCTTCATTGAGATAATATAATAGAGGGTTGTAAGGGGGCCCTGAATGGGAGAAAGGATATATGGATGCAGAAGGAGATGCCACAAGATAAAAGCTGAGAGAGCTACTTCAATAAAAACTCTGTGAACTCTCCCCTCCCACCGTCTCTTGATAATAGCCTAACACTATTTGACAAAAGGTAAAGAAAGGCATTCTCTTTATTCTGCAACATGACCTTTGGGGGGTTTCTGTGCATCATCAGGGCAGGGTCAAGCAGCATCCAACCATCCACAGGTGAAAAGGCATGGGGCCGGGGGGAGGCGGGAGTGCTTCTGAAGGCGCGGGTGGGTGGGTTTGTGGGGCTGGAAAAGAGGAATGAAACCAGATGCCACAATGCAACTGCTCTCTCTGGTCCCTGAGCCCTCCTGAGACACTCCCAGGGGTTGCTACGAAACATGATCAAGAGCTGTGGGTTCAGCAATTGACAGAAATGTATCAAATCACTAAGCATTTCTTGCTTGCCTGTTACACATTGGGCATGGTGTTAGCAATGGTGACACAAAGATGATAAAGACGTCGCTGATCTCAAGTCCTTGTCTGGTTCAACCACGTGCCAAGACATTTTAATACTCTGTTGGGAATTCTCAGGCAGCACAGGCCCAGGCGTTAGCAAAGCAGCCAGGGATTTCAGACAGAGGGTGCCATCCAGGGTAAGAAAATGAACTTTTTGTGTCACATTTGCATTTTCATTCCTTAACTAAGAGTATCTGAAAATACTGATGGCACAAACGAACTAAATTCCTGCTTCAGCACCAAATGGATGAACTACTACGGTTTAAGCATTGAACTAGTCCTAATATCACCATTCCAGAAATGTCTTAGTATTAATCAGGACAAGAAATAGGGATCTCTTTCGCAAGAAGCGAGACTGCACTCCTTCCTTTCCTTGTATACGGAAAGGGGACAAAATCCACAGTGAAAGGCCTAGAAGCGGCGCACTCCGCCCACGGGCGGCCCACGTGTCCACCTATTCCGCACCGCGCCCTGTCCCATCCCTATGGAGCGGGGTCTGCCAACGCTCGCGAGAGCCCTCTCGGCTTCCACGTTTGCCACGTTCCAAAGGACCGAGACAAACTGGAAAGCCGAAAGAGGCTCGCGCTCACAGGCAGCTGCGTAGCGCCCGAACAGCCCTAAGTGAGCAGGGGCGGGGAGCGCGGCAGGGTACCGCCGCCTCGTAAGGGCCCTTGCGATTGGGTCCCAGGCGCCGTCACTCAGCCTTCCGGGGGCGGGGCGAGGCCGGGAAGGGGCGTGGCCGTCGGGCGGCGAGCCGCGCGCTCTCGCCCCGGGAGGGAGTCACAGGTTCGTACACGCGAGGCCGGGCGCGCGCAGCCGGCAGGCGGGTGAAGTCTTCCCAGGTGCTGCAGGCGGTGCTGAGGCACAGGGTCTGCTGCAGGAGCAGCGGCCCGAACCCGCTCCAGCGGCCCGCCGCCGCCAGCGGTTCCCGCGTCGCGTGTGTACCCCCGCGCACTGAAGGAGGTCCGCCAGCCCTCACCAGCCCCCGCGGACCGTGCAATGGCCCAGCGTAAGAATGCCAAGAGCAGCGGCAACAGCAGCAGCAGCGGCTCCGGCAGCGGTAGCACGAGTGCGGGCAGCAGCAGCCCCGGGGCCCGGAGAGGTCAGAGGCCCTGCGGGGCGGGGATCTGGGGCCTCGCCTCGGGGTAGGGAGCCGGCTGGCGCGGCGGACGCTGCGGGTGCATCTCCCCAGGTCCCACCGCGCGCCGCCTCCATCCCCCGCGACGCTCCTCCTTTAGGCGCGCGGGGCGGAGGCCGCATTCGGCGGGCCTGGCGGGCGGGCGAGGGGCCAGGCGGACCGGGGTCCGAGCCCTCGGGATGCTAGTCTCGGGGAGCCCCTTCCCAGCGGTTCCTTCACCTGCAGGGCGCAGCCGAGACAGAGGTTGCTGAACGACTGTTTCTTGGCTTTCCGTGGAATTGAACATGGGAGTAAGAGAACAATTTATCGTTTGCCTTGCGTGTTTTGGGGAGTTGAAAATGAGCCAAAGTCAGGGAAAGTGAGTTCCTGCCTAACCAGCAGCGTTTCAGAGCAACTCAAAGGAGGTGAAAATGGGGGCGCCGGGGGGCAGGGGGAGGGAAGAAGTTGGGAGTGATTTGAATGCTCTCAGAAATTATTTTAAATATTTTTGCTTGTATGTAGCTTTCTTAATATGCGTTGCAGTTGCCTTTAAAATAGAATGTCATGAAATACTGAACGAGCGTCTGTATTTTTACCACTTTTACTTAAAATAAAAATCGATTGGATATTCACCTTTCTCCTCGTCCGTGTGCATATCCAGCAGAGAGAACAGATTTTTAAATCTGTTTCGTCTCATATTTCAGTGATTCTTGGTTTCTTTTATACTTCCTTTGACTCATATTTGGGATATTGAAACTGCAATACACATGTGTATGGAATGTGAGCTGTAAACTTCACTTGAAGTGATTTAGACTCTTTGTTTTCTGAGATCTTCAGATCATGCATTCATAATATACCAAGAAAATGAATCAGCTATAGTCAAAGAAGTATTTTCTTTATAGCACTTGTCACTATCTGAACTTGTCTTATTACTTTCATGTGTGTTGTCTTTGGCTCATTCTCTCTGTATCCCCAGCTCCTAGAATGTTCCTTTCCCATAATAGGTGCTCAATAAATATTTGAGTAGTGAATGAATGAATGGATTTAAATGGGGAAAGTAGTGCATTAAATCCATTGCACAAATTTACATTCTAAGGACTAATATTTGTATTCTAAAAGTAAAGATGTAGACACAGTTTGAAGTTCAATGCAAGCATATTAATTCACCTTTGACATAAGTGAAAGTTTGTGTTCCTTTTTCACTTGTTCTTAAATGTCACTTACTTAAACCTGCAGAGGGATAGATTAATTGCCTCAGCCGACTGAGGCTACTCTTTTTTAACATCCCTAAATGAGAATGGGTTCTTCTCATTGTGCCTCTAAGGGCACTAAGCAGAGAAAGCTGATGAACAACTTTAATGTTAGTTGTTTTCAAAAGGTTTCTGTAGCTATTTGCCAGAGAAGCATGTCTTCGTTCCATTTCATTTTTGTGTTTATGAGGAGAGGGCTGATTGCATCTGAGGGAAGTCACTTTATATGGCCTCTTATTGGTGAGAACTAATACTGGGAAATGTGTCTCACGTTTCTAGACCTACCCCATAACTATTTGAAGCATTTTAACAGGCAAGAGATAGGTTTAGAAAATGCAGTAACTTAAATTAACTTCTCCTGACTTTCATAGTCAGGCATTTTAGAACAAACTCTGCCCATATTTGAGGATCTACAGCCTTTTAAGCATTTTACACGTTGATTCTCTAATAGTCATGAAACAGACATAGTATGTAAAAGAATATGTAAAAGGGAGGAATGCCCGTGATACGAAAACAAAAGTTGATATTGGAACCCTGCATGTGACGTAATGAGTATTCTTTATCCGCATATCCGCAACCTTTTCTTTTTTTTCTCCAGTAGATACTGAGTTCTTACTGTGTGCCAGATAGAAGGCACTGGGTATGGAAACCATTTCCTTCCATCACCCTAAACAGTTAAAGTACAGTGTCGTGTATAGTAGGCTGTACTCGAAAGATAAAGCCGGCTTTTCTTTTAATGCTGTTTACCTGGTCATTAAAGTACGGACGTTGTGCGAACCATTTCCTTCTACTGGGAAAATCAAAGACTTTTTAGCAGTGTCATACTGTGAGACCCATTTAGTTTCCTGCTCAAATCATACAGATGAGGAAATTAATGCCCAGAGAAGTTGCCGAGTTCATTGAAGGTTGTTTAGTTCATGGAAACTCAACTAATTACTGGAAGAACCGAGACTAAGAACCCAGGTTTTGTTATTCATTTTGCCATGCTTGAATTTTAGGTTCTCTAGTATGTAATTGGAGTTGAACTAGATTATCAAGTTTTCTTCTGGCTGTCTCCATGAGTACTACATTTAATTATTGGAGAAAACTATGCTTTTGTCCTATCACCAATTACATTTCCCTTGACAAAAATTCTATTTGAAACACTATTTGAAATTTTAGTTTGAGAAGAAGTATATGTGTTCAAATAGTACGTTTTTTGATATGTCTTACATTGAGAGTCAGAAAATGACGGCATTGGTCACATTAAACATTATTATTTCTTAAGTTGTTGTGTAAACGTATGGGGAAAAAAGAACCCAGTCATTTGAAACATGCATTTTAGGGAAAAGGTGATTTCTTTTTTTTTTCCTGGCCAAACTTTATCTTGGTGGTTTTTTTGCTGAAAAGTGATGTTTGGAAGCTGGAATTTGGGGAATTTATATCACAGATTTTTAAAGCAAGTGTCTGCTTTTTATTTTCTTCAGCTTAAGCTGAAAAATGATAAAATGGTTTTCTACAGAGTTCAATTTTACTTTTTTTTCAGTTTTACTCTTTATAATATAAAAGAAACATGAATAAATTAGACTTCCTACCTTTATTTTGCATATAGAACTGGACTTGCATGGCCAGTTGGGCCCAGGGGAAGCCTTTTTCAAATTTATTGATTTGAAAATAGTTTGACAAAGAAGGATCATGATGTCCTTTTGGGCTTATTTTGTAGACACTCGTATGTGTAATGTTTTCTGTTTGTTTGTTTAGTTTTTCCCTTTTGAGTATCACCCCTTAACTCCCTGTATCTCCTAGCAGCTTTCCATCTCCCTGTTTATTTTGTCTGGGTGTCCTGCTACTACATTAACTTTTGCCACTAGGTGTCACTGTAGAATATATCCCCCTTTTAGTTTGAAGCTTGGGGTTATGTAACAGCAGGTTTTAATTATTATTTAATCCGTCTGTATATACTCAAAACTATTGATAGATAAGCACTTAAAAACTCTTAGCTACTTTTTAACTCTCTCAAGGTGTCTCAGTAGATTGAGCAGCCTTTTTGTTTAGGCTTAATTAGAATGAAATATATTCCTGTACTGCCTGTAAAACATTAACAGCTTCATTTGATGAGTATTTGTCATTTAGAAACACACTTCTGAGTTTAGTTTAGCTTCCTTTTTCTTTCTACTTTGAGTGTCTCTTAGATTACTAAGTAACTGAGGGATTCAATACACTGCTGATTGCATTGTGGAGCCCTTGAATGAAGAGGCCCTAGCAAAATTTTCTTTCTTTAGCCAAAGACCATCAGAGCCAATTGCTTAATCCTCCATTACTCATTCTAAGATGAAAACATAGGAGGACCATAATTCTTCCACTGCAAGAACCGTCAGCTATTTTGTGTTCAGTTCAACAGCATTTTGTCCATCCTGACCAAATCATATGAAACCAAGCACTAAATAATGTTCTGAGGGAGTTTATGAACACATTTTCCAGAGACCAGTTAACCTCTGGTGGTCTGTGGAAGTGAAAGTTCTATATTTTGGACTATATTTTAGTCTTGCTTTAAAATAATCTGTCTCATAGAGATTATTAGAAAATGAATGTATGACATTTTCATTTTCAGCCAGTTATCAACAGAGGAACTTGGATAAAGGCTCATAGGGTCTATCCATCTTGTTGTTAGTTAATATCAGATACTTAGCCCCTGAGCTCTCTGGTTCCAATAGAAAAACCCTTTTCTCCAGAAAGCTAGTGCAGTTTGGGAGAAGGAATATGATGACCTGGATCATATCTGTGTAAGAATCAGAACCAAGAATCGCTAAAAATCTCTGTTCCCAGCCTCCTTAAATGTAAAGAATTATTATCTACTTTCTTTTCAGAGTTTTGATATCACTAATGCTGATTTCATATGGCTTTGTGTTTCTCAGTTGTTTCCGTTAAAGTACGTCTAATAGTAGGGGTGAGTGCAAAACTTTGGAGACTATAAAAGTGTAGATGTCATCAGGCCATTGCATGCTTTGACTTTTTTGATGATTTATTCTTATTTATTTATTTATTTTCATGTTCCATAGCATCTTTGTGTTAAGTAAAATGTATATTCTTGAGATAGAGTTTATACTATGCTTTGAGGACTGCTCGATACATTTCTCTCAGCTTCTGGAGGTGTAAGTATCCATTTGCACATCAACTTTCAAGTTGGTGATTTGCCCTTAATGGCTCAGAAATCTGTAACATTATTTTATCTTACCCAGGCTCAGATATATTTAGTCTTTTGAGGTAACTCCAGCCACTGTTTTAATATCATGAAAATATGCAGCTTAGTTTGTGGCTTGGATACTTCCATATCACCTCTAAATGGCTTGACTTCATTCTGTACCAAGGTACAAAAATGTTTTTCAAATGAACTTCTCTTTAATAAACCCTGTATGTACATATAACCTATGTACACCCCACCTAAACCTCCGGGGAAAAGCCTCAGCCATCTATCGGGAAATGTGGAGGTGCAAGGGCTGCTTGCTTCATTATCTGCTGCCAGTGTCTGCTCTGCACTGCACATGTGGGTGTGATGAGTTTCTCTGGTTCGGTCCTGCAGCTCTGGCCATTTTTATTAGAGGACTAAGGATTCAGGATGTTCTTTTCTTCCCTGTGTACCACTGTGGGAGTATAGTCTGGAGGCCAGTGCTTTAACTTTTTTTTAATTATACTTTCTTCTGGTACTGCTGGGAGCCAAGATGGTATTTTCTTGTTAGTCATTATTTTTAAAATTTTAGTATTTTATTCCCCTGATGTGAGGGATGCTTCAGGCTTTTGTCCTGCATTTGATCTTTGTTTTTCAGGGATGTGTCTTGGTTACCTTTGGCTGATGTGGTTATCTTTTAACGGCAAATCACTGAATGTAATTCAGTTCCTATCAAATTGGCCACAGCTGAGGACAAATTTGGTTTAGATAACCTATTAGACTCAAAGGAAATGTTGAGCTCCCTTGGTGAATAACTCTTTTTAAAAAGAAAATCATCTTTTGAAGGATCTGGGCTATTCGGCCCCCTGTGAGATTCAGGTCACTTGCCTAGTCATGTGACTGTCATCATCTGCCGTAGATACTATGTGTGCTCCAGAGCGGAGAGCATTGGTGAATTGACTTGGTTGAGGGGTGGGGGGCTGGGGGGTGGGAGTGGTTGCTGTCCAGTTATAGTCAGGTTTCCAAGGGCAGCCACTATCTCTGTACTTGGAGAAATGCCAGCACTTCTCTCCTACATGTGTGCCCACACGTTGAACCCAGTGACTCATCCTGTACTTAAGACCCCAAGGATCAGTCTTAAATTTAAAGTAGGAGAATATCCTTTGATAATTTTATTTCACAACCAGCATTGTTGTAACTGCCTTTTCTCATATTTTACATAGGTTTGACAGCCATTTCTACCATTCCATAGTGCAGAGTCACTATTATTTTGTTGTTCTATCCTGTCTGTAACTTCTTTTTCTTATTTATTATTCTTCTAATATACAGTTTTTGTCCCTATCTTTCACAGGCTGCTTTCAATTTCAATTTTCTTGGTATACTGGAAAGACTCTTTTGGTCTTAGTTTCACTTGTAAATTTTATTTAGGACACTTAATTTTTTGACTTACATAAACCTCAAAATCTGTGTTGTAAATATTTGTTGAAAGAATATCTAGCATTTAACTACTTTTCCATTCTTTGAATCAAGTCAATTTGTATAAGATGCTTGTCACTGAGTTTTTGTAAGTTGTTTCATGGATTTGCTTTTTGGCAGAGAGCTAGTTCTCTAACCTTTATAATAAAAATATTTCTGTGTATTGCTCTTTAAAATTGTATGTATTTGAAATAGTACATATTTAAGCCTATAAATAATTGTAGAGAGTAATGCAGTGGATGCCCATGTACTGACCATATAGGCGAAGAAATGAAACATTATCAGATTCCTAGATTTTCCTCTCCTGTGGTATTCCTTCCTAACCATTGTTAAACATTTTATGGTAGTCATTATCATAAATACAGGTATATATGCACAAAATAATATATAACATGTAGCACATACACATTATGTATCCACACATGTAAACTGTATCTATTATTAAATCAATGTATTTGAAAACTGCCCAGGAAGTATATCTATATCCCTATGTGTAGAAATATACCTATACACACACACACATATATGTATATATACTGTATAGCACGTATTAAAAGTTTTGTGAACAGGCTTCTACTTGGCATACTATTTTGACAGCATTTGTTTGAAATTCCTCCAAACTCCAGTTCTTTATTTTCACATATGTAGTTCTACACCATATGAATATGCCTTGCTTTTCATTTAGCCATCCTATCGCAGGCCACTTTTTTTCTTTCAAATAATGCTGCCCTGTACATGTATGTGCCTATCTCTCCCCATGCATACATGTCTGAGTGTTTTTCTAGGGCATAATCTGGAATTGGAATTGTGGGTCATAGAAAGTACACACATTAGACTTTACTGGATATTGCCATTTTTTAACCCCCAAGTGGTTGTATCAACTTACAGTTCTGCCCCTAATGAATAAGAGCTTGTTCTGTGCCATCATCACATTGTCAACATTTGGTGAAGTTTAATATTTGCCAGTTGAGTGGCTGTGAAGTAGTACTTGAGGGTTTAAACTTGCATTTTTCTAATTACTAGTGAAGTTACTGGTAAGAGTAGCCTTGTGTTTCCTCCTTTGAATTGCCTGTTCGTATATCTTGCCTATTCTTCTGTTTTTGTTTTGTATTTGTAGTATTGATAGGTAGATTTTTTTTTTTTAATATCCTGAACCTTTTGATTATTTTTGATAAAGGACTTCTCCTAGTCTGTGTTTACTCACATTTTCATTTTTTATGGTATACGTTGTTGAACAGAATTTTAAGATTTTAATATATTAATAGAATTTTTCCATTTTGTACTTTGTGGTTCACACCTTTATACTTTTTGTAAGACACATAACACAGATGTTATGAATTATTCTTGTATTTTCCTCTAAAAGATCTGAAACGTTGCTTTTTTACATTTAGATCTCTGAACCACCTGGTGTAGCATTTTATTGTATATTTTGTTATTAGGGATCTAATTCAGTATTGTTTTTTAAAAAGGGCCAATGAGAATGTCCTGTACTGTTAGTTGATTTGTCATCTTTTTACCGTAGTCTGCAGCATCACCTCTTGTGTATGAATACGTCGGGCTCTATTTTGTTCCAGGCATGTAGAAGCAACACCAAACTGAATTGCTCACTATAGCTTTGTAATGAGTCCACATATCTGATAGGGCATGTCCTTCTACCCTGCCTTTTTCACTATTGTGTTTGCTGCTTTGGGACCTTTCCTCATCCATTTCTCTAGATTTTAGAATCTGCTTATCAAATATGTTCATGAAAAATATTTGAGAATTTTTACTGGCATTGTATTGAATCTATAGAACAATTTGGGACAAATACAGATGTTTATAATACTGAATCTTCTTATACATGCACCTGGCCGGCTGGCCTGCTTTCTCTTCTTTCTTCTTTCTTTTTTCTTCTTTCTTCTTTCTTCTTCTTCTTCCTCTTCCTCCTTCTTCTTCTTCTTCTTCTTCTTCTTCTTTTTTTTTTTTTTTTTTTTTTTTTGAGTCATGACCTCGCTCTTTCACCCAGGCTGCAGTGCTGTGGCAGCCTTGACTTCCCAGGCTCCGGTGATCCTCCGACCTCAGCCTCCCTGGTAGCTGGGACTACAGGCATGCACCACCATGCCTGGCTAATTTTCTTATTTCTTGTACAGATGGGGTTTTGCCGTGTTGGCCTGTCTGCTCTCAAACTCCTGGGCTCAAGTGGTCTGCTCATCTCGACTTCCCAAAGTGCTGGGATTACAGGTGTGAGCCCTGCACCTGGCCTATAATTTCTTATGTATTTAAGTCTGACAATTTTTATAATCTTATTTGAAAGTCATATACATCTTTTATTAGATTAAGTCTGGGTACTTTGTATTTTAAAAAACATTTTCAATAGTATTTTTAAATTAACATTTTTTAATGAAACTTAAAAAATATGTATCCAAATTGAAAGAGTTCTGTAATGACTCCACCATGTAGATGCTACAGCGGTTAACATTTTGATAGATTTGCTTTGTCATGTCTATTAGTCAATCTTATTCTTTCATGCCTTTCGAAGTAAGTTGCAGGTATTAGTATATTTCACTTTCATAAACATTTACATGTGCCTGTAGCTAACTAGAGCTTAGCATTTGTTTTTTTTTCCCTCTGAGGTAAAATTTTCACGTAGTGAATTGCACAAATTTTAGTGTCTGATCTGAGGAGTTTTTATATCCATTTCTACCTTTGTAAAACAATAACCTATTAGGATAGAGAATATTTTCATCACCCTGTAAAGTTCTCTCAAGCCCCTTTCTTGCGTCCACCTCTGCCACCAGAGGCAGCCATTGTACTACATTTTTTGATCATAGATTAGTGTTTTCTATTCTAGAACTTCTTTTGCAAGTACTTTTTTTTGTAAAGTCTCCTTTCACTCAGCATAATATTTTTTAGTTCGTTTATGTTGTGTACACGGTCACTTGTTCCTTTTTATTGTCAA
This sequence comes from Homo sapiens, assembly GCF_000001405.40. NCBI lineage: Eukaryota > Metazoa > Chordata > Mammalia > Primates > Hominidae > Homo > Homo sapiens. The sequence goes on along the minus strand of NC_000008.11, from coordinate 61,705,444 downwards.
ATAGTATTCCAGTGTCTGACTATAGCACAATTTTTTTTAAGCTTTTATTTTAGGTTCAGGGGTACATATACAGGTTTGTTATATGGGTAAATTGCATGTCACAGGGGTTTGGTGTACAGATAATTTTGTCACACAGGTAATAAGCTTAATACCTGCTGAGTAGCTTTTTTGATCTGCACCTTCCTCCCACCCTCCACCCTCAAGTAGGCCCCAGTGTCTGTTGTTCCCTTCTTTGTGTCCGTAGGTAGTCAATGTTTTGCTCCCACTTATAAATATTAATAAGAACATGGTTCTCTGTTCCTGTGTCAGTTTGCTTAGGATAGTGGCCTCCAGCTCCATTCGTGTTGTATAGCACAGTTTTTTAACCCCATCTTTTATTGGTGGACACTTGGGCTAGTTTTGGGTTATTATGAATAAAATTCTATGAATATTATAGAAGCCTTTTTTGACATATGTTTTTATTTCTCTTGAGCAAGAGAGGGATTACTGGGCTATAGGGTAGGTGTATGTTTAGTTTTATTAAGAAACTGTTCAACTCTTTTGCAGAGTAGTTGTACAATATATTTTATACTCCCACTAACCATGTGTGGAATTGGTTGTTCTACATATGTACCAACATTTGGTGGTGTCAGTCTTTTTAATTTTAGCCATTCTGGTGGGTATGCCGTGGCTTCTTACTGTAGTTTACATTTGCAATTCCCTGATGAATAATGATGTCAAGCACTTTTTCTTGTGCTTATTGGCTACACCCATTATCTTTAGTGAAGTTTCTTTTTTGCCCATTTCTAATTTTATTGTTTTTTGTTGCTGAGCGGTAATTCTTTATGTATTCTGGATAGAAGTTCTTTTCAGATATATATAGCACATATTTCTCCCAGTCTATAACTTACCTTTTTATTTTTTTATTTTTAATGCTGATATTTATTTTTTCTTTTCTGTTTTTGCTTTCTGTGTTCTAAGAAACTGCACATTCTCACGTCTCAAAGCTATCCTCTTTTATTTTCTTCTAGAAGTTTTATAGTTTCAGTTTTTATGTTTGTCTATGAGCATTTTCACATTAATTTTGAATTAGATTTATATTTTTCTATATGGAATTTCAGTTCTAGCACCATGTGTTGAAAAGACTTTGCTTTCATTATTGGATTGCTTTTGGTGCCTTTGTCAAAAAGCAAATGACAGTGTAAGTATAAATCTGTTTCTGAGCCCCTCTGTTTTTTTTTTTTTTTTTTTTTTTTTTTTTTTTTTTTTTTGAGACGGAGTCTCGCTCTGTCGCCCAGGCTGGAGTGCAGTGGCGGGATCTCGGCTCACTGCAAGCTCCGCCTCCCGGGTTCACGCCATTCTCCTGCCTCAGCCTCCCAAGTAGCTGGGACTACAGGCGCCCGCCACTACGCCCGGCTAATTTTTTGTATTTTTAGTAGAGACGGGGTTTCACCGTTTTAGCCGGGATGGTCTCGATCTCCTGACCTCGTGATCCGCCCGCCTCGGCCTCCCAAAGTCCCTCTGTTTTTTTGTTATCTGTTTGTCCTTATGCCTTTACTTTATCACAGAATCTTGATTACTCTAGCTATACAGTAAGTGTTAAAACTAGGTAGTGTAAATCCTCCTACTTTGTTGTTCCTTTTAAAATAGCTCTAAATAGTGTAGATACTTTGTGTATCCATATACATTTTAGAATCACCTTGTCAACTTCCACAGAATAAAGCATGCTAGGGTTTATGATTAGGATTGCATTGACTCCGTAGACCAACTTTGGGAGCATTAATCACAGTGATATTGCACATTCTAATTTATGATAGTGGTATATTTCTTCATTTGTTAGGTTTTTAGTTTCTTTCTGCCTTTTTTTTTGTAGATTTTGCTATGGAGCTCTTTTTACGCATTTTTCTGTTAAACATTTTTCTAAATATTTTGTATTTTTTGATGCTATTAGAAATCGTATTTTTAAAATTTCATTTTCCCATTATTTGCTGCTAGGATGTAGACATAGAACTGTTACATGCACCTTATATCATGTAGCTTTGCTAAATTCATTTCTTCTAGTAGTTTTTTTTAAGAAAATAGATTCTTTGGGATTTTCTATGTAAATATCATGAAGCCCATTAATAGAAACAGTCTTACTTCTTTTCCAGTCTTTTCTTGCCTTACTGCACTAATTAGGATTTCCAGTATCATGTTGAATACCAGTGATGAGAGTAGACATCCTGGCTTTGTTTCTGATTTTAGTGGCAAAGTATTTAGTATTTTACCATTAAGTAAGTAAAATATTAACTCAGGGTGTTTTGTAGATGCTTTTCATTGGATTGGGGAAATTTGTATTTCTAGGTTGAGAATTTTGTCAAATACTTTTTCTCACTCAAAGTCCCACTTGGTTGATTTGAATTGTCCTTTTTATATATTGCTTTATTTGCTAATATTTTGTCAGCAATTTTGCGTCTGTGTTTATGTTAGATGTGGGTCTGTAATTTCCTTCCTTTTTTCCTCTCCTCCTCTCCTATCCTCTCCCCCTGCTTCTCCTTCTCCTCTTACTTCCTTAAGAATTGTGATTAGTACGGAATATTTTCTCTGCACCTATTGATATTATATATTTGGTTTTTCTCCTTCCATACTTTAGATGGTAAATGATAACAATAGATGCTCTAATTTAAAACCATCCTTACATTTCTGGGAAGAATCCAGCGTGGTGGTTTTATATATTTTCAGTATTATTGGATTAGTTAATAGATCCATGAGTAAAACTGACCCGACATTTTCTTTCCTGGTTTTGTTATCAAGGTCATATTCTAGCTGCATAAATGAATTTAGGAAGATTTCTTCTTTTTCTGTTCTTTGGCATAGTTTGTATAGAAGTAGTTATTGGGGGGCTGGGCGCGGTGGGTCATGCCTGTAATCCCAGCACTTTGGGAGGCCAAGGCCGGTGGATCACAAGGTCAGGAGATCCAGACCATCCTGGCTAACACGGTGAAACCCCGTCTCTACTAAAAATACAAAAAAAATTAGCCGGGTGTGGTGGCGGGCACCTGTAGTACCAGCTACTCAGGAGGTTGAGGCAGGAGAATGGCGTGAACCCGGGAGGCGGAGCTTGCAGTGAGCCAAGATTGCACCACTGCACTCCAGGCTGGGCGACAGAGCGAGACTCTGTCAAAAAAAAAAAAAAAAAAAAAAAAGAAGTAGCTATTTGGTAAAACTCATTGGAACCTTTTTGTCATTTTACCCCAACACTGGGTGAGGTGTGGGTAGACATGAGGGGAAACTGCCTTTGCTTTTTAAATGTTTACAGGACTACTTAAAATTTCTGTGTCTTCTTGAGTTAGGTTTGCTATGTTATATTTTCTCTTGGTAGGTACATTTGAGTAAGTTATATTTTCTAAAACGTTTTCTGTCTTTGAAGTTTCAAACTTACTGGCAAAAAGTTGTGTATGGTTTTAGTGCTTCTTGTAAACAGAATATAGCTATTGTATGTCTAGTATTACCTTGTAATAAAATTCCATTTAAAATGACTAAATACTAAGTTTCTTTAAATTGTAACTATTTCAGCTACTAAGAATGTTTTGCTAAGTTTATTAAAGTAAAAATTCTTTATAAAATACATGGGATATTCTAACATCTGTGAGAAGGTAAGCCATTTAATACTGGTAATTTGGTTTAATTGACTTGATATGCTGCTCATTTTCCTCCTTAAATGGTAATAACTAGCAATAGGTACATTGGTTTGTTAAAAATTGAACTTTCTTCATGACTAAAATATAATGCTTATTTTCTTGAATCTTAAGATTTATTTGATTATTTGGTGGTTTCTAGCTGGTCCATCTGTTTAGTTGTAACCAGTAAATATACCTGGAGACCTAGGGAGCCTGGCATGGATCCAAACATAGCCCAATGTTTCAATCACATATTTGCTTTGTAACATTATTAAAATGAAATTAACTTATATGAAGGTGGAAAACTCTTAAGCCCCTTGTATTTATTTTATAGTTTTTTTCTAGAAGTAGTACACTATTTGTGTTAATAAGTACCCAAGCTAATTTTTAGAATTACCTTGTTATCAGTGAGACATTTAAGATGACTGGGTAGGATAGAGTAACATTGAGTAAGAGCACAGTTCACTAGCTTAAGTACTTTTACTGATTTGGAGTAAACTTGAAATAAACTATGTATGTTCAACACCTTCCTGCTCAGCTGGTCCTTCACCAGTGCCTTGTGGTCTTAGTGTGCTTTTAGCTTATGCTTATTCGTATTTTCAATGCCAGCTATTTCACATCTTCACCAACTTCAGCCAATATCTTACTATTTATCTTTCAGTTGTGGCAGACGGCAAACTACAGTGAGAAAAAAAGCAGAACAGTGGGGCCACCTCTGAGGCTGGGGATGGGGTGCAATGGAAATGGCCATGAGGGAATTTAAGCAGAAATATTGATGTTCTAGATCTTGATAGGGATCTGGGTTACATGTTGTATACACTTGTTAAATCTCAGGGAATGTATACTTAAAATTTATGCATTTCATTTTGTGTAAATTTCACTTTAAATAACTATAAAGAAATGTGTAACTATAGTTTATGATACTCATGCCGAATTATTTAGGAGATGTGTGCTGATGTCTACAGTTTACTTTGCAATGCATTATACAAACAAGGTGATGATGTAAAGGGATGAATAGGTATGCTACAAACAATATAATACCATGTTAATATTGTAGCGGAATCTAAGTGTTATGAATCCTTTCAGCTTTGTTGTGTTTTGCAAATTTTCATAGTAAAACATTGGGGAAATTCTTACGTTGTTTGTTTCCTGTGAAATAGCCATTTTTGTGGGTCAGAAACTGACAATTTCCTGTGGTTGAGCCCGACATATGGAAGCACATTTTGTAGCCATTTTATTGAGGCATCTTTATCTGCCTGGATGCTAACAGGAAATAGCTTCATTTTTCTCCATTCGTTGTGCACAGTTGGGATAGATTAATCTGTTTGCTCTTGGTAGCAGAGGATCTTGACCATCTTTGGGACAGAACTTAACATCTCAGTCACTCTTTTTAAAAGTCTGTCTGGATTAGAGCTGATCTCATTTTCGGTGCTTATGTTCCTGTCTCCCCTTTGCAGCAGGGCAGGAGGGGAAGGAGTGAGTGTGCTTTCCTGTGGTTTGCCTTTGGGGCTGTGCTGGGGAGGAAAAGGGGGTGAGGCCCCTCTCAGTCTCCTCTCTAAGTTGATAAGATTGACTGGCATGGTTATTCACAAGTGACAGGTGCTCAAACACTGCCCATGTGAGTTCTTTGAAAGGCCTGGTATGGACCCTCCCTGTGACACATGACTTGGTCCACCCTCAATCCCCTGGGCCTCCACTCCTGGCAGAATACTTCATCCCCCCTTGCTCTTGGGAGCCCATTGTGTGTCAGTCAGCCCTTTTGAGTGAGGTGCTGGCAAAATGGTACAAACGCTGGTACTTCCCTGCTGCCCTCTTGGATTTGTGGGAAGCTGACATTTTGCCTGGAGCTTGAGCTCCCTTGTAGCCGTCACCTTTCTCTGTAGCCGTCATTCCCCAGTTCCCTCTGCTGTTCAACTAGGCATAGGGTGGGCCATGGAGTCCGTTGCTTGAGTGGACATCCACTGGGGAATGAGAAGTCAATCTCCCTGCAGGCACCCTTGGTCTCTGACAGGCATTCTCCTGCAGAGAACTCTTGATATCTCTCTTAGAAATTTTTTAAGTTTTTATTATAAAATGGAATTTTTTTTCACAGTCTTGCAAGTAAACTATGTGCCTTCCTCTATAATACTGCTTTTTAAAAATTTTTCTTAGGATTTTCTAGGGTTGATAGAGTGAAACTCACAGTTAAGAGAAACTTTTTGATTTTTTTTTTCTCATTGCAACTGTCTGGTGATTTAATTTAAAGAGTCGAGATTTTGTGAATTAGAATAATGAATTTTTAGAATTAGAAGAGACATGAGATAATATACTTCATTTATTCATTATTTTTCATTTTACTGAGGCCCATGAAACAAGAAACTTACCTTGCAGTACCTGCAGTACCCCTCTCTCATTTGTCTTATGGCGAGGGATTTTTGGAATTTATAAACAAATATTTGTACCTTACCAAGTAGATTGAAATATGAGATTCACTATTCTACAGAAGTGTGGTTATTTAGCTTTTGGCAAAGTTGTGAAATTTTTACTGATCTGTATGTAGGAAAAGTCAGACTTCATGCTGTTAGGGTGAAGGCCGCTGTTAGGGCATCACCTGTTTATTCAGTTGATCATGTTTTCTGCAAGAAGTTAGGCAAACCATACAGTCTGAAGGAATAGTTCTCACAAGACTGCCCTCACTTCAGGCACCAGCTATAATTTTGGGGTCCCCAGGGTCCTCTGGAGATCACAACTGATATGGCATGTCCCAGCGCCCACTTGGTTAGGCTGTCCAGTGGCCAAAGCCCCCAGGCAAAGACACTGTTATCAGGCAGAACATTCCTGGGATCTGGAGACCCCACTGAAGTAACCAAGGGCAAAGACCAGACTTCTCTTTGGGTAAAGTTAATTGTTTATGCAATTTTTAGTTGCAGCCATTGTTGGTGTTTATTACTGTTACTCACTTTTATTATTAATTTATTTAGTAAGAGCTTGTTGGCCATCTGTGATATTGTGAAATATATATTTGGTCTTCTTCTTGTTTCCTGACATACATCTCCTAAAACCCTTGTGGTCTCCCAGAGTCTTAAGAGTGTCTTTCGCTAATAATTGACTGGCGGCTAACAGCCCCTAGATAGCTTCAGGATGGGTGCCGGTCACAGGAAAGACAAAGGCATCGTTAGAAGATTGGAACTTTCAGCCCCACCCCCAACCTCTGGGAGGAGAGAGGGGCTAAAAGTTAACTTGATCACTAGTGACCATTGATGTAATCAGTCATTCCTAAGTAATGAAGTGTCCATAAAAAACTAAAAAGATGGTTCCTGGAGCTTCCAGATAGCTGACAAAGATTAATAGAGGAGACAGTGTGCCCAAAGAGGGCATGACATGTGTTTAAGTTTAGCCTAAAGCTGCCTCCTTGCCTATTTCAAGTTCAGCCTAAAGGCTTTTCCATATGTAGTAAATCGTAACGTAACTAAATGAATAAACAGACTGTAACCTACCCTTGTATCAGTCACAGAATTTTAGTCAGTCACAGGGGTACAACTGTTCAAACTATATTCAAATATGGCAAACACTAAGCTGTAGCCAATCCAGCTGTTTCTGTGCCTTTTTCTGTCCATAAGTATTACCTGACCTTGTGGCAGCCCTGGAGTCTCTGAACTGCTTCTGGGTCCTGCCCAATTCAACAATTGTTCTTTGCTAAATTAAACTCTGTAAATTTAATTTGTCAGCCAGGTGTGGTGGCTCACACCTGTAATCCTAGCACTTTGGGAAGTGGAGGTGGGAGGACTGCTTGAAGCCAGGAGGAGTTCAAGACCAGCGTGGGCAACAAAGCAAGACTCTGTCTTTACAAGACATTTTTTTTTTTTCTAATTAGCTGCATATGGCGGTGCATGCCTGTGGTCCCAGCTACTCAGGAGGCTGAGGTGGGAGGATTGCATTCAAGGCTAGGAGTTCAAGGCTACAGTGAACTCTGATTGCACTACTGCACTCCAGCCCGGGAAACACAGTGAGACTCTGTCTAAATTAAAATCAAATAAAATAATTTTAATTTGGCCAAAGTTTTTCTTTAAACACATGGAAACTTGGCACTTCTTCCCACATACCTTGCCCTATGCATCTCTTCCATCTGGCTGTTCATCTGCATCCTGTGTAATATCCTTTATAATCAACTAGTAAATGTGTTTCTCTGAGTTCTGTGAACCCCTTTAGCGCATTAATCAAACTGGAGGAGGGGGTGTTGGGAACTCCGATTTATAGCCAGTTGGTCTGAAGTATAGGTGACAACCTACTACTTGTGACTGGCCTCAGAAGTAGAGACAGTCTTGTGAGACTGAGCCCTCAACCTGTGGGATCTGACACTATCTGCAAGTAGATAGTGTCAGAACTGAATTGAATTAGAGGACAGCCAGCTGGTGTCTACTGCAGAATTGATTGGCTGCAGAATTGATTGCTTACTTGCTGGTGAGGAGAAATCCCCACATGTTTTAGTGACCAGGGGCTGCAGGAATATTCTGTGTTGACTGTGGGGTGAGAGTACAGAAGGAGAAAATATAGAGTTTTCCCAATATCCTTATAATATCCCCAAGATGTATTATAATTCATAATTGTATCAACTGTTTTTTGACCTATGGTTTTCTACTAACTCAACTGTAAGACGTGTGTTTTATAATTTACAGGATTCTTCTGTGTATGCTGTGCTAATGAATTTTTGTAATCCCTCACTTTCCTCCCCATTTGCATCTGTAGGGCACTTTATTTTAAATGCTGGATTCTTTTGCTCCAGAAAGTGGGAACTGGTGGGGAGGAGGGCCATGGATCTTTTGCTGTCAAAATAGGTTAAAGTCAAAGAGTCTTCATGGACACAGCTGTAAACCAGTGTTAGTTGTCCATATTGGCAGTGTGTCCTTGTCTCATTGCCTTGAAATTTAGAGTTAAAGCAGGATTAAGCTTTTTTGTTTCTTAGTTTTGAAAAAATAACCTTTTTTATTCATTGTAATAACTTTTCTTTCACCACCTCAGAGTTTCTCAGTGGACATAGCTCATCTTCCTTTACACCTTTTGCTTCTCTCAGGCCAGTGAGAGACTGTCTTATTTTGAACACCATGCTAATAATTATCACCCACCCATGTGGACAATTGAATAGCTCAGAGGAATGCTTTTTTTTTTCTATGAGACCGTCTTCTCTATTGAGTGCTCTGTAGGGAGAAATAATTACGTTTGCAGAGCCGACTCATTAGGCCTGGCTTGAGGAACTAGCCTGTGAGGTTAACTACTATTTATATTGTGTTTTTATCTTCTTATCAGTGGTGTTTGGGTCCATCACAAATTCGTATGACAGGCATGGGTGGACCCATATTTTGATTCACATTCTCTGCTGCAGTAAATCGGTATTAGCACAGAGGTGTGGGCTAGGGCAGTAGCTCCTTAGCTGGGTATTCTAAAGGATAGTAAAGGTTCCAAAAATACCTGGAGGCTGATATAAATGGGTATTGCTGATATTTCACTTTCGTTTACTAATACTGATGAAAATGCAAGCAGCTTTCTCAATTTTGTTTTCCTAAGTTCTAAAACTCATGGCGCCCCTTGTCATTCTTCCAGCCATGGTGCCTTTCTACACAGGGACAGTCAAGAGAGCAGCATCTGGTGTTTGCCAGGACAGGTGGAGGAGGCTACAGAGCCTGTCCTACCTGGCCCCACTCATGTACAGCCCATGTGACAGTCATCCAAGATCAATCAGGGAGGAATTCACCTGAGATAGAACTGTGAAAACTTGGTGAAGGGACGAATCTGAGTCTGAAATCAGAGTCTAGAAACCACTGGGCTGCTTTCTGAATTTCTCTCTCTTAGCTATTTGTAGGTCTTTTCCTCTAGTGAATTAATTTTAGGATCATTAAATTCATGGAGATGGGGAAACCTGAAGTGACTTGACAGCCCAAACAACTAAGCAATAAGTTGCTCCCTTATTTCTAAAGTGTTAGCAGAAGAAGTTTGATTACTCATACCATATCAAGGATTTGGGAAGGAATGTATCCACTTATTTCACAAGTGATTATTTTATTGAGTTCCTAGTAGATAGATCCAAGGGAAGTGTACAGTAATGAACGTGGCAGATTCAGTTCCTTGTTGCATGAAACTTACATTCTGGAGGTGGAAAGAGATTAAGAAATCAGTTGTTGTATAGTTGTCTAAGTAGCAGTGTAATAACGTGGTAAAGAGGTGCACACTGCTGTGAGAGTAAGGGAAGTGAGGAAGGCTTCCTTGAGGAGGTGGTTTGTAAGCAGAGTGAGCTGGCAATAGCTGGGGTGTGGGGGTTGTATGTGATGGTGCAGCTTTGACATGGGAAAAGGGAAAAGTCTGGGCTGAGAGCCCGAGACAGGAAAGACCATGGTCAGGTATTTTGGGCAGGTGTCTAGGCAGCTAGGGGGGTGACACAACACTAAGACTGGAGCCACGGGCTGGGGCCCCATCACATGGAGCCTTCCTTGTAGGCCACATGGAAGATGTTGTATTTTATCTCGAAAGCAGTATTAAGACATTAAAGGATTTTTAACAGGTCAGTGCTATAATCAGATTTAAAAAATATTTTGTCTGCTGTATGGAGTAGAAAAGTGTATGCTAAGTTATTGAAATCACCTAGGAGATGATGATAACTTGGATTTTGATGATCACAGTTGAAAGAACGTTGGAACTTGAGACAGAGTTTCTCACTTTTTAATGTCATGGCACACGCAAATGCTTTTAAAAACTATGCTGTGGTAAATGGACAAGGGTGACCCAGGTGCTGAGGAGAATCCATATCTTGGCCTCGTTGTAATCACCCGTTTGCAACAGCCAGATGATAAACTCAATTTTGAGAGGTGAGTTTTTGGGACAAAAGTCAAGGATGAATCCTGGTGTTTTTGTCTAAGCAACTGGCTTCACAGAAGTGCTTCTGAGATTTAGGACACTGAACAGGAAAGGGGAAAGACCATGGTTTATTGTGTATATGCGGAATTTGAGGTTTTTGTAAGTCATTCAAATGGGATATTGAGTAGACACATGGTTGTGGAGCTCAAAGGAGAGAAAAAGGTAAGTCATGTAGATGATAGCTGAAGTGAACTAGAGAGGTGGCATAGGAACAAGTATTACAGAATTTTCACACTTAAAAATCAACTAGATGAGAGTGAGCTAGCAAAGGAGACTGAAAACTACGAAGTTTAAAGAGGTGTTAGGAGTGCCACAAGATTCTGAAGTCATGAGAGTCGAGGGAAGAGAGTGTGGAAGAAGGAGGGAGAGTTCTGCTGAGAGGGTCAAGTCAGATGAGGACTGAAAGTTTTGCGTTGGGTTTAATGACATGGAAATCATTGATGTGACATTAGAGCCACTATGCTGGAGCCGTGTGCAGAAACCAGATGGAAGCCTACAGGTTGTAAGGAGTGAGTGGGAGGTTAGAAAATGAAAACAGAGAAACAGCGGCTCTGTGGAGAATTTCATCTGTGATGGGAAGAGCAAGATGACATGGGGGCTAGCAGCGGGATGGAGGGAAACCTGGCAAAGGCAGTGAGGCTGGGGGAGAAGGGGCGAGAAGAGACAGTGCAGAGTGCGAGGTAGCTGAGGAGAAACTCGGAATGGATGCAGGCTAGGGCAGGTTTGTGTGCTGGGCATTGGGCACTCAGGATAGCTTCCTGCTGAGGGTTCTGTTTTCTCTGTGAAGTATGAGGCTATGGCAGTTTGAGTATGAGGAGGTAGGATACATTGGGGGCAGAGAAGTTTGACATAGTCATCATAAAGAATGGCAAGGTGAGTTTGTAGAGAATATGGGAGGGTGGCAGGCAGCACCGAGGCCCAGCTGAGGCTGGCTCTGCTGTGTTCAGTTCCTGATCTTGATTCCGTGAGCCCAGCTGCCCTTGCCTCTGTGGCGGGGGATACTTGTGTTCACCCAGGGAGGCAGTCACGGCAGTCCACGCAGTGAACTGATAGAGGAGCAACAAAGGCTCATGAGTCGCTGGAGTGATGTAAATGGTCAACTGTGGAGTCTAAGATGGCCACTGATGGATATGAAGGCAGGAGGTGAAGAGGGGATATGCAGGAAGCAGAAATAAGAGAACTACAGGATCCAAGAAGAAAATGTTGAGGAAACAAAGTGGAGATGTAGGAAGTTGTGATCAAAGAGTGAATGTTCCCATTCTGTGCGTCGTGTGGTGAGAGAACCTAAACCCTTGCATGTGGAGGTGGCCTTCCCCAGTGGTGGTGGCCGTGGGAGTCTGTCTAAGCAGGTTTGACTTGTGTCTGCAGAGTTGCATTTTGTTATTTGGTAATACTGGTTGTTTAGTGTTAGTTTGAAAATGTTATAATTCTCTCCTGTTAACTTTGGGTACGATGTGTAGATGAAAAAAAATTTGTTTTTGTTTTAAAGAATCATATTTTCACTATCTTGTGACACTTTACAGTCATTATGATGGAGCCAAAAAAGCAGAGCCTTCTTAGCAGGGTTACGGAATCTGTTAGGATGGCCGCTTGTGTCATCCAACAAGAAACAAGGTGTGAAGAGGAACATGAATTAGGTTGCGTTTATGATGAGGTCCATGGTAAGAATGTAAGAATGAGTGTTGGATATAAAATGGAGGCGAACAAGGTCTCTGGGGATGAAGAAATGAAGCAAAAAGCACCTGTCTAGCTGGCCACAGGGATAGACATTGAAATCACATGGTTACGGCTGGACTTGGGGTGTAGAAGACTTCCCTGAGCATGGGGTGGGAGTGGGAAAGTCACTGGAGGTGGTGGATGACAGCAATGAGGCACAGTGGAGGGTTGGATAATTAGATGTCATAGACCACAGAGGAGCAGGGAGCAGGGTTTTGTTGTTGATGTCATCGTTTTCTTTTTTTCTTTTTTTTTTTTCCTTCTGGTGGGTAAGGAAATGATGGTCTGGAAATTGGTAAAAGCAAGAACTACTTCCCTTCCTTGAGACCCTGAGAATTAGGGACCGCTGGTATAGTATTCTTTGTATGTGGTCCCTAGACCAGCAACATCAGATCATCTGGGACTTAGCAATGCCAATTCCAGGGTCCCACTCCAGACCTACAAAATCAGAAACTCTGGGGTTAAGGTCGGCATCATGTCTTAACAAGCCCTGTTTGACTCTGACGTGCTCAGAGTTTGAGAACCATTGCTGTAATGATAGCTGATCCGGGGTGAGGGGAAGGAAGTATTCAGTGCTGACTCATGAGAAGGCTGATGGATTTTCACCTGGAAGGTTTTTGGAGGGAGGTAGAACCCTCGACTCAGTGGGCATATGTCCTGGCTCCCCTGGTTGCGAGTGGCATTAGGCTGATACTAATGGTCTCAGAACACACGTTGGAAGTTTGGTCTTTGCTTAGACTTGGAGTTGCTATTAGTACCAGTAGCTGTTACAAGGAATAGTTAACTTAGTGTCATTTTAGTTGCGTTTGCTAAAGTTTTAAAAACATGATTTACTATATGCAAATTAAGTTTATTTTTAAACTTTTCATAAACATTCTCCATCATAAAAATGAATTGTCATTATAAGAGGCAGTTGTTCAGAATTCAGAATTTATTGTTCTTTAAAAAGTGTTATGATAGATTAAATGATATTTCAGAGGGTTTTCTCCTGATCTCCATATCTAAAATATCAGGTATGTCATTGTCATTGTGAACTGAGGAGGAAAGACATTTTTATCAAAATAACTATTCAATTATTGCAAAAGACAAAAGATTAACTAGAGGACTTGTGAAAGTGCTTGATAAAGATTTGTCAAGGAGAAATAATTGGAGCTGTGTTGAAGAAGTCTTGGGGTAAGGTATAATCACATTTTAATAGCTGTGATTCCTACAGTTTGACGTTTAGCTGTAGACATTCTGTAATTTGGAGTGGAGCTGACCTTGCACAGGCCAGTAAAGAGAGGAGAAGAAACCCTACCAGCTCCAGCAGTTGCAGGGGCAGATGGGATTATGAAACGAGCTCTAAATTGGGGGTAAGGTTATTTATGCACTAGTCACGATTGAATCAATAGAAGTTTGTTTCACTGATGACTCCAACAAATATTTGCATGCCTAGTTTGTGCGGAGACCCATTTTATAAGCAAGGAAATTCAGGCCTAGAAGTTTGATGACTTCCCCCAAATCAAATTTAATGGAGAAGCCGTGAAGCAAATCCAGGTGTCTAAGTATGAAAGCATACCAAGCTGCCTGCTGGATCAGTGTAGGGGTTTGGTTTCTAGTGGTCTCACCCATGGGGGTATCGTGTTGCTGTCATTCTCCCTCCAAAAACAACACAATGAAAGGAAGCTTCCAGAATATTTGTCTTAATAAATTTGTATGGTGACGAAATGGTGGGTCACCTTAACCCCTGTCAACAAGTGATTCATTATCATTTAACAATTTAGCAAGCACTAAGTTTAGTGGGACAGATCTTTGAAGAAAATAATGGGGGAAAGGACGCTTGGCCAGAGGGCACCTGAGACCATTTTGTTTAGTTGGCCATGATGTCTACCTACTTCACTCTGTCCTAAACCTGGACCATCAAATGTTGGTACCATAGGTTGCAGACTATGGTACCAACCTCTTAAGGCTTTATCTTACCATGCATTCAATAGTTTCACTGGACAGAAACTGATCTTCCCTTTGAGACTAGGCACACCATATTTACAAAGTGACATATCAAGAGTATATTGTTTGCTTTTGATAAAAACTGCCCCTAAAACAGGCATCTGAGGAAAGAATCCCTTCTATAATTTAGTGTTTTGTTCCTTTTTGGAACTAGTAAATATCAATAGTAGTAAGGTTAATAATACTAGAGTAACACCTCATTTATTTGATATTATAAAAGGATAGATAAAATATTGCTAATAATTTAATATTGTAGTTAACATTTAGCTTTGAATATATGTGTTTCAGTGTACACACACACACACACTCTCAGACGGATTTAATTTTTATGGCCCTTTTTGAAAAATTGATCTAGTGGTGTATTTTTTAAAAATGTGCATATCCTTTTAACAAGAATTTCATTTTTTCTTCCAGAAGAAATATTGGCAATATATTCTTGCCGTAAGCCACTGGAAATTACTAGTAGTATTCAAAGCTTTTAAATTTTTAATTTGCTTGTGAAGCTTTAAATTTGAGTGAAAAATTTAGTCTTATAAACAACTTAGAAAGGTTGCTGCCTGCTCTAGATACTATTTGTGCTAAATTAATTTAGTATACTAATCAGAACTCTAATGAATTCTGTGAACTGCTAATGTTAGATCAGTGAATAAATGGCTGATTTTATTTCCCAGAAGAGAATGTTTGGAGATGAGGTTGGGGAGAAGTTGAAAAAAAAAATCAGAATGTGGTTGTGTAATCTTTTCCTAGTTCCCTTTCAAGATGATCTTTCCCAGGTCATTATTCTTACTCCTGAAGATTTTTCTTTCCCTCTCCTCACCTCCCAGCCTTCCTTCTATTTCTTTCCTTCCCACCAGTCCTCTGTCCCTCCTTTTCTAGTGAAACATTTTATGTTGGTGCTTTATTTTTGCTGTTGGAGGAATTATTCCTGGGATGGTGTCTGTGAGTAAGAATTCTAGAGCATTGATTAATTTCTTACTATGTATGGTTTTGTTTCATTCAAGCAATCTAATGGTCTTTCCTTGTAGCCATTTTATTAGATTCTGAAGGGCCAAATCAAACTGTTTCTGGGCTTGGGGCCATATTTTATAGCAAGACTTGTTTGAGTTTTCAATGAATTGGTGCTTAAGCTAAAGCCGTTAAAGCCTGCTTCCAAGAAAACAAAACTGGCAGCACAGTTTGTTCCATTTCATTTTTTTTCAGCATGCTTGATTTTTTAGGGGTTGGAGTTAGCTAGGACCAACTGGGAAAAGAATCCCGTAAGTGGGAGAAAGGCTGTGGTGTTGTTAGGGAGTGCACTTCAGCCTAAGTGGTGATTAGCAGCATTTAGCCTCTAAAAATAACTGGTGAGCAGAGTTTGTAGTCAGGTCCAATTTCAGTTCTAGAGGCCCTTACAGTGCAGGGATTGGCCAGTCTCAAGCTCTGGTAGGCAAGTGCATGCAGTGTGCCTAAAACCTGCCAGCAGTACTTTTGAGTTTTTTTTTTTGTTTTGTTTTACTTTAGCATTTATTATTCATGGATTGAAGAAATCAAAATGGCTGAAGATAAAGGTATATTTTTGTTATTTAGGCTAAAAGTGGCTTTAGATCTAGCTGACAGCTTTTCACTTTATTTTCAGTGGTGCTCTGTTAAAATATTTTTGGCTAAGTGCTTTGACTGTACTGTCTACATTTTCTATTTTGAACTCCTGGAGATACTGACTTTTCATAGTAGCTGAATATTTCATTGAATAATCTGTCTTTAATCCGAATATGTTTTAGTGTCTTAATTTAGATGACCTTTTAGTATGTTGTACTACTGGAGGCTGCATTTTACAAATTTCAAAAAATGTACAAGCTCTCTTCTTATTCTTATAAGTTAATTACAATGAATTTAAAGAATTATCTATATTTAGATTTTATATAAAATTATAGGAGATATAAATTCAGTCTCATATTAATGAACAGACTTACCTGGTTCAAGCAAGGACTTACCATTTATGGAAAGTGACCTACTTTTATGTGAAGCAGACAATAAATGCAAAGAAAAAACACAAGGGTTTTATTTTGATTTTAAATTGACTCTTTAACTTTGAAGTATTCTTTAACTATGTATTGAATTTAATGTTTTGTATATATTTGCTTTTGCTTTACTTTGTAAATTAAGATAGTCTTTCCATTAATTGAAAGACTGCATTCACTCATTATGTTGAAGATTTATAAAAGAAAAGAATAGATGTATGAAAACTGCTTCTAACTCTCAGCTGTCTAATCAGCAACTGAAAGGATTCTTTGATTAGGATAGAGAATATAAGCATGTACTATGTGAATATTATTTGAATAATTGGTGAGAATGGGTCACTTGACTCGTCTGATAAAGTGCTTCATGTAGCCATGAAGAAGAATATGAGATATGTATCTGACTTTTAGTTCTTTTGGAAGACATTTCTCTCCTCTTGTGGATTAGGTAATCCATGTAGTTAGGAAAAATCAGCTGTTGCATCTGATGCACTTTTAACAGTTTTTGATTCCCAAAGGGTGACATTTTATAGCATGGAAAAATAATCAGTTTGATGAGTTGCTTGACAGTTTTTGTGTTTTTCAAAAAACTTTAAATGTGTAGAGTTTATGTGTAAATATGAAATTCCCAACATAATGCTAACTAAAACTTATAAATGATCTATAATTCAGTTAGTAGTAGGCCAGTGAAGTAGCTGGTGACTGTTCAAGTGCTGGGGTTCATCTTCTTGTCTCCCTTTCCTCAACCAAATAAATAAAACTACACATTGCCCTTCCCCCGGCTTTTGTTTTGGAGAGTCTTCATTTTGGACTGTTGCTTGCCATAGTAATTTCTGTGTTTGGTGGTATGTGGGAACATTTTCTGATTTGGAGGTCATGTACTTTTGATGGAATAACATGGGAAAAAATGAATCGCATCGTTCTTGCAGTATTCTTAAACCCCAGTAAAAATCCGCTTTGACTGATCCCAGAACTACAGGTTGAACATGAAGCCAGAAAATGAAATGAAGACTTAGATTTATTCTGATCTTAGAAAATAGGGACATCTACTAGATGTTCTTCCCAAATACCTTTGGAACAAGATACTGGTTTCAGATTTGCTTAGGGAGTTGTAAACCCTCTTAAGGGTTTGTCTTACCATGCGTTCATCAGTTTCATTGGACAGAAACTGATCTGCCCTTTGGGACTAGGCACAGCATATTTACCAAATGACATATCAAGAGTATATTGTTTGCTGTCGATAAAAACTGCCCCTAAAAAAGGTGTCTTAAAAAAGAATCCCTTCCATAACTTAGTATTTTGTTCCTTTGTGGAACTAGTAAATATCAACAGTAATAAGGTTAATAATACTAGAGTAACAGCTCATTTATTTGATATTAAAAAGGGATATATAAAATATTGCTGATAATATATTCTAGTTAAGAAACATTTAGCTTTTAAAGTGATAAATCTCTTTACTACAAACTACTTTGAATGAAAATCTTCCTAAGATTTATTATACATTTCTTCTATGTTTTAATGGCAGAATCAATGTGAAACCAGTTACTGTCTTGTACTGAAGATTATTTGAAGGACTGTCAGGGATTCTGCCTGAAAGTTTCATCATAAATGACTTCCCACCACTCAGCTTTTCTGACTTCCTGGGCCTGCTCTTGCTGAGAGATCTGTGCACTCGATAGGCTTTTCCTCTGTCACCACTCTGTTGCTTTGACTCATTGGGTTAGATTGTGTCTGAAATGTAGAGTTTTGTGCATAGAGCTAGAAAACTTAATTGAAGTTGTTAGAATCACATCTAAAATAAAAATGTAAACAAATTCTAGGTAAAGGTGTATTTTTTACTGTGTTTGGCTGTCTCCTTCCCATCTGAATCCCTTGCTGTTTTGGTGCATGCATTCATTTTTTAGAAAAAATATTTTGTCTACTTTTCCCTTATATTTAGTGTTACAGTCAATAACTTAAATGAGTATCACTGAGTTAACTTGGATAAATGATAATTTCCTTTTCAGAATCTCAGAAATTTTTCTCCTCCATTTCCCTTTAAGAGAGATAGAAATGGAGAAATGATTAAAATTTGAATTCAAACTATTACTTTGTTTTATTAGCTATTTCATTATAGACTTTTTAATTTTTTTTTTAAGAAAGGGTCTTGCTTTGTTGCCCAGGCTGGAGTATAATGGTGCAATCATAGCTCACTGCAGTATAGGCTTATTTTAAATAATATCATCTTGGGTATCTGTTTGGCCACATACTCATTATAAAAACTTAATTATTGGGTAAAATTATCTGATATTCATGTACTGAATAAAAATGTTGGATGAATGAAAAGATGAACTATATTTGTTTAGCCTTGCTGTTTTCCAGTTAATGAGGAAAAATACAAGAGACTGGTATCAGCTACAGAATGTTCAAGAGGACATAAGACAAGAACCCAGTTTTACTGAAGTTTTAGCATTCCTTTTGCCAAAAAAAAATTCAATTTGATTCTTAGAGGCAATAAGTAGCAAAGGCAGGAAATTCTTAGTCATTAGCTACTATAATTCCATATTTAGAGTATGTGGATATTTTGGAAGGTAGTATTTTTGTTAAACTTAGTGTTGTACGCAAATGGATTTGTACGCATATGTCTGTATGTTATATAGAAATAAGCGTTCTTTTTTGGATACAGTGTTAGAAAATAAGTCTTTCTGTTTATAAAAATGTAGTGAATTAGACATACAAAACTGTTTCTGAATCTGTGGTGCTTCCTGACCTCACAGAAGCTTACTCACTTTCGTAAATCTTTTTTTCTTCAAATTTTAGTAGTGGTTTAATTTGTATTTTTCTTTTTATATGCTTACAACACATAAAAATTTTGGAAACCACCATTTCCCTCTACCAACATTGCAGACATTCTCACCCAATCTTCTCCTGCTATGGCTGTGTTTCAGGTAATGATACCTATTTGAAGTTGATTTAATCTGCAACAATAGGATCTATGCCCAGCAAGTATTTTTATTTAATACATAAATTACGTTTTTATATAGCCAGCTTTTATATAGATCACATTAGAAACAAAGTTGATGGCCATTTGTCATTTGGTAAGCATACTTTATGAATTTACCATATTATTTACAACTCTGGTTCTGAGGGATCCATTAATATTTAAAGAATGTCAGAAAAAGGAATTACTTGACGTTTTAAGAATTACCCAGCACTTTGAGAGGCTGAGGTGGGCAGATCACTTGAGGTCAGGAGTTCAAGACCAGCCTGGCCAATATGGTGAAACCCTGTCTCTACTAAAAATACAAAAATTAGCCAGGCGTGGTGGCAGGTGCCTGTAATCCCAGTTACTCAGGAGGCTGAAGCAGGAGAATCCCTTGAACCGAGCCGAGATCATGCTAGTGCACTACAGCCTGGGTGACAGAGGGAGACCATGTCTCAAAAAAAAAAAAAAATTTATCTACATGTAGGCATGTAGATAAATATATGTATATGTTTGAGTGTACATATATATACTCAGATGGATTTAGTTTTTATGGCCCCTTTTGAAAAACTGATCTAGTGGTGTATTTTTAAAAAATGCATATATCCTTTTAACACAAAGAATTTCATTTTTTCTTCCAGAAGAATATATTGGCAATATATTCTTGACTTGAGCCGCTGGAAATTACTAATAGTATTCTGTAATTAGAACTGGACTTAGAAGTCAAAGGGCAAGTTCTAGATTAGAGCTAGTGGGGTTTTTTGAAATCGTGTAATTTGGCCCACTGATTAGAGATTAAGGAACTCAGAGCTGTAGAGATGAGAGTATGTTCTTAGTTCTACCCAACTTGTACTGGTGACTTTGGGAGAATCATTTCATGTTTCACTTATAAAACAGATAATTATTCCTGTCCTTCTTCCTGTTGGTTCTCACCCAGGAACTGCCCCTGAAGGGAACATGTGGAAATGTCTGGGGATGTTTTTTTTGTCATAAGCCTTGACAGCTCCTTGCCTTTGAGTCCAGGGGAAACCAGGGATGCCAGAAATCTTGCAATGTGAGGAACAGGTGCACAGGATGAAACATTGTCCTGCATAAACATCCAGAAATGCCCTCTGTAGAAATAGTGGCAGGACACCGTGAGGATCACCGGCAGCAAAGCACATGAAAGCACTTTGATGGCGACTCTACCTGCCACACAAATGGGAGACACCGCCCTGGCCTTCCATCATCTGTTTGATAAACTTTTCCTCTTCTCAGAAGGCATTTTGGGATATTATTTATTCTTTTTATTTATTAATATTGATATATGTATTATATTCCTTTTTATGGGAAATTTGAATATTGTATATCTTTTTAAGGGCAGTGTTGACTATTTTCTGTTAATATCAAATCATTTTTGTTTATTTTTGGCTGTAAGAAGAATATTTACAAAAGAATATAAGGTATATTAAGCATATCAAATGCGATAAATGACACTTTAGGTGGACAGCAGTTTACAAAGCTGTTTCCTGCAGTGAGACCAATTGTGAATGAGCCTTTTCCTGTTTCCTTAGGCCTCAACGGATCTTGTAAAGGAGTAGGAATGGATTGTGCTGTTTCACTTTTCTGTCCTTTTCTCTCTGGCTAAGAATATGGAATGGTTTAGGGGGAGATATTTTCTTCTGTGTGTTAACAGAGTTTTTAAGATTCTGCAGAAATGAAATGGGACGGAGAAAAGGATTTGGCTACATTTTTATGTGATTTCATTAAGTTGTTTATGTGCTCTGCCTTTGGAAAGAGGTAATATTCAGGTCATTTTGATGAGTAACTTGGATGGAATATACATATTATACTAAATCTTTAAAAAAATTCAGGAGTTTATTTCCTGCACTACTTCAAAGTTAGTGTTGCATCTAAACAATCTTTTCTGTTTTCAGAAATATTTTGTGTGACGTGTTTTGAGAATTTAACTGGAAACTGTTTTTGAAATGATCTATCATTGTACATAATCCCAAATTATTGGAGAAATAATTGTGAGAATAAGTGTTCAGTAAAATGTTTTCTTCTTATGATATCTTACATTTATTTCTAAACAGAGACAAAGCATGGAGGACACAAGAATGGGAGGAAAGGCGGACTCTCAGGAACTTCATTCTTCACGTGGTTTATGGTGATTGCATTGCTGGGCGTCTGGACATCTGTAGCTGTCGTTTGGTTTGATCTTGTTGACTATGAGGAAGTTCTAGGTAAGAATTTTGATATCCTTATGTGAATTTGTAAGAGAGTAAGTGACATCTCTTAGGAGTCTTGAATATTTGTTATCATCTTTCTGGTACTGGTAATTTCTATAGCCTTTCAGTGGTTCTCAATAGAGTGAGGCTGAAAGGGGATATGAAGAAGGTTACCTTGGAGTATTGTCTTTTGAACTCTTTAAATGTGACCTGTAGGTTTTTGAAAAAAGGCTTTATATTGTATGTCTGTCACACAGGGAGAAGTTTTATCAAACAGTACTCATTCTCACTATATGCAGTACTTTTTGATTTCTATTCAATTTTGTTATATTATAAATTTTAAAAATACTTGATCATGAGCCATTACATTTATTTAAGGACTTGCTAATGGATCATAACCACACAATATGCAAAACTCTTCCTTAGAGAGGGTTTTCAAAGTACACCCTTCTGTGTCTCTGTTGGGATGGGATGAGTACGTGTGCACACATATAGGTACTGGATGGGTGTGCTGAGATAGGCGTTTGTAGATATTATTGTGTGTGTGTAGGTGTGATCTGTGTGCTGTTCTGAGGAAGTTGCTGTGGTCCTTCTGATAGTGTCCTTTCTCCACCTTTTTCCTTTTCTGTAATCACTGAAGTTTTTCATGATTTTTTACATTAATGATTCTTTGTTATTTTTGGAGTCACATTCTCCTTCACTTCCCCAAAAATCTTTTTTTAAACTGAAATAAAATTCAATATTATATATATTTGAATGTGTACAATTCAGTTTTTTTTTACTATATTCATCATTTTATATACCCATCAGCATTATCTAGTTCCAGATTATTTTTGTTACCCCCTTCCCCTAAATACCCAAACTCTTCCTCTTTCCCTCTCCTGGGAAACACTAATCTACTTTCTGTGTCTGTGCTTTTGTTTATTCTGGGCATTTCATGTAATGGAACCATACATTATATGATCTTTTGTATCTGCCTTTTTGCACTTAGCATAATGTTTTTAAAGTTCAGTACTTCATTTTATGGCTGCATAATATTCCATCATATGGGCACACCACATTTTGGTTATCTGTTTATCAGTGATGGACATTTGGGTTGTTTCCACTTTTTGGCTGTTGTGAATAATGGTCCTCCTCTTTAGTAATCCAGTGAAAGATGTGGACCTGTCACTGGAAAAAATGCACACTTGTGTCTATGTACAATGTTGCATGGGTGATATCCCCTTGCATTGGACTTCCTGTGCTTCTGCTTTACTTGTCAAATTATAGACATATTTTTGGGGAGAAAGGGCAAACAAATTTTTGGCTGTAGGAATAACAAAATATGCTTATTTGTAATCTGTCTTTCATTGAAGTTTTTCATTTTCATTACTTTAAAGAAAGTGTCTCTGGATAGATTGACAGACCAACTGAGGGAGAATTTTAGTCTGGAGACAAATTTCTGAGTAGATCTATGCTTTGACTGACTTACAGTGATATGTTGTTAGGGAATGTATCTTAAAAGAGGACACTTTAAGTATTTGTACCTTTAAGCACAAATAACAGTTTTCATGTTTTTACATGCATGCAGCCAAAGCAAAGGACTTCCGTTATAACTTATCAGAGGTGCTTCAAGGTAGGCTATTGGAGTTGCATTTCAAGTCTACGTGTGTTACTCTCTAATGGCTCATCCTTTTTCTACTAATTTAATTATTATCTACATCAGAATATAAGTGATAGGACCAATTTCCCATTATGGGTTTGTCAGAAAGGGTAGTATTTTCTATCTTTTACTGTTTCTTGAATTCTGTACTCTGCATAGCCTTGATTAGTACTTTTTGTTTTCTTAGCAGTTGAAATAACATCCTTATCTCTTCTTTCATCATAATCATTTTAAATGTGTATGTGTTTGCTAAGTCAGACTTCTATATAGCAAGTTAACCATTTTCCTAGGTAGAGCAAGGGCTCTGGGGAGATAAAGATTGATCAGAACTAATCTGAGCCAAAATTTCTGCCTGTTCTTCTGTAATTTTTTAATGTACTTTGTGTTAAAGAAATGATAACAATTGCCAAAATTTTTTTTTAGTACTAATGCTGTATTTGAGAAAGCTGTTTAAAAAATTGCTGTACATTAACATTATTATGTTTCTCCACAGTCATTGTCCAATAATGAATTAGAATCATGTAGATTTTAGGATGCTTTTTTAGGGAGTTGAATATATTTGACTTTTTGAAATGCTAAACAAAATAACAGTGTTCCTTATGATAAAGCACTAAAGCCTAAAAACGTTTTCTGTTCATCAGGAGGAAAGGTTTTGGTAGTATTGTCTTCTCAGCATATCTGTTTTAAGCCCTTTTTTTCTTAGTATAGATTGCCTGTGCTGATTAAGTTAAGTAGAATAATCATAAGTTTTCCTTTATAATTTCCGAAGCCTCCAGTTTTATATACTTTATTTCCAGAATGATCTTTTATTTTTAAAGGTTAATTCATGATATTTCTGTTATAAGTCATCATTGTAAAATATAAAATTAATGATTTTTTAGTTTTTAGTACTTAGATTCTATGTTAATCTATTTACATTTGGTCTTTATTTGAGGCTTGGTTGTTTCTTTTGGTTCAGATATTGATAGTGTGATGAAATTTCATGCTTTAGAAACATTAAATTTCAAGTGACTTAGGAATGCATCAATATTATTTCATATATGCTAAAAACTTTACCAAGAATATTTTTAGCAGTATAATAAAAATTATTCTGAACTAATTAGATCAGGATGTTGTTCAATCTTTAAAGATAATGCTGTGTCAGTTTTATTTCATAGCATTTATTAGCTGAACATTTCCTGACTCTCTTAACTGAATTGCTCGCTATTTTTAGGTAAGATATTCATTTGACACTGCTTTGCAGGATTAAAAGAGCAAAGAATTGTATTAATTGGTAACATTTATGACTGAGTTGCATGACTTCACTAAGTTATAATACCTTATTAAATTTCTTTTCTTTTTTATTCCCATATCCATCATTTCTGCCCTATTATAGGAAAACTAGGAATCTATGATGCTGATGGTGATGGAGATTTTGATGTGGATGATGCCAAAGTTTTATTAGGCAAGTACACATTTTATGTTTTTTGTTAGTGGTGATAAAATGCTGGAAACAATTATTTTTGCTTTAATAATATCTATCTCAATAGTATATATCTTACAGGAGACTTTTCTCCCTTAAATCATATATTTCATTACTGTTAAAATTTTAAATGGCTTATTTTTCCACACTCTTTCATGTCAATTTACTTTTATCAATGAATAAGTGTATATCTCTTACACATATATCTTTTGATAAGTATAATAATTTCATGTGTGTTTCCAGATTTAAAGTACTTCTTATTCTGAACTTAGAATTTGAATAGATAATATCCTAGTCTGTTTTTAGATATGGTAATTATAGCCATTTTTCATTAACATTACACATTCACTTCCATTTCAAAATGTAAATTTCTACAGGCTTACATAAATTAATGATGAAATAAAAGTGATAATAAACATCTTAAAATGTCCCATGCATATTTTAACGGTAGCATTAAAATATGAACTCCTGGTCTTTTGACCCAGTGTCTTTATTTTGGAAGTCTTGGACCCTTCTCTTTCATTATCAGAATTACTTGTCTTTATCAGAGATGTTTCTTGTAATAAATAACAATGTGGTATTCCCTTATTTGTTTTAAAGTGCTGTCTTGCTGGAAAGAATGGTGTTAATTTCAATATGCAAATTTTATATAATCTGGCCTGGTGAGACTTCCTTTGCTTTTGTATGTAGCATAATATATGTTAAAACTTTTTATATAAGAGTCTTTAGAAAAATAATGGATATGGCATGATATTATACACTAAGCTTATAAAATAATGACCCAAACAAATTCTTCTTAGTTAACATTGTTTTGTGTATATTTATTAGATATGAAAACATGGTAGGATGCCACATCTGTAACTAGTGAAACTGCTTTTAGTAGATTAATTCCACCTCCTTATGAAATAAAGTTCCAAATATGAAAATAGAGTTTTAGTTGTGATTAAAGGTAATAAACCTTCCTAATGTTGACCTGTGTTGGTGTTTTTTGTTTTTTTTTTTTTTTTATTATTGCCCATTGGGAATTAGTGTTTGTGCATTGAAACTTATTATGAAATTTCTTTTCTTGTCTTAACTTTAATGAAATTTTCAATGTAGTCCTGTCATTGTGTATCTATATTTGAGTTTCTCTAAATATATTAAATCCTCAGATGACTATAATCTTAGGCATGTAAAAGAAACAAAATTATGTAGAACTTATCAGAATGATGTTAATTTGCTTGCCTATAAATGGTTTATTACTTCATTATATTACTTTAAATGACACATTCTGAATAGCAAAGCTTTTTATTTTAAAGATAAAATAAAATGTGGGCCAAGTTCCCTCATTTTTAGAAATAATATTACTCTCATCTACTGCATTTTATTGATTTTTATTTGTTTGTTTGTTTTTGCTTAAAACCAGCTATGTGGTCTGTCAGGAAATGCCATTAGAAATTAAAATGTGGTATTTCTTTGATAAAACACACTGATTTCTATAGCAAACTATTACCTTAACTTGATTTTTAGTGTATTTGAGATTTCAAAAGGTCATCCCCTTTAAGTTTTTTAACCTACCATTAAGAAGCTAATTAATTGTAACTTTGAATATTGCTGTTTGCAGGTATAGTGTGAGGAACTCATAAATTGTGCCATTTATAAGAATTATACACTTGGAGGTGGAACTAAATTTGGTGAATATCAAGGTTTATTTTGGTAACTTTACTAATAAATGCATAAAGACAGATCAGATAAAGCTACATAAATACTTTTTTACTCTTCCTGTACTAGTTTGCAGTTGGCTTGTGGCTTCAGTACAGATGAAACAAACCAAAGGTGAAATGTTAGGCTTACTTATCACCTCTAATCTTATTTCATAGCATTTGAGTTCTCTGCATGAAATGCAACCTTAACTTGAATTGAGTTTTATGACTGAAGTTCTTTTCTGGTTTGTGAGATTATTGTAGTTTAGTGGTGCCTCTGTTACTGGAAGGTTACTGCAAAGACAGCCTGGTGAAATTGTTGGGAGTACAGAGGCTTTAATGGGTTCTTTGAGGTCAGGTAGAGGTTATGGGGGGAGCACTACAGTGAGCATATACCCAAAATGAAGCCAGACTTCCAAGGTACGTTCTCACTGGAGAGGGAGCTTAATGGTAAAGTTTAAACTTTAAGGGTTTAGGTTTTAGATTAAGGCCCAGGAGATCCAAGGGGAAGGAGGAGGGTAGGAAATCAGAGATAAGAGGAGCTGTTGTCATCGCAGGTATAGTAATAATTAAGATATGTTAAACTTTCATAGGATTTTGCATTTATTTCATCAGTTTTTTTTTCTAGATTCTTAAATCTGCATATATCTAAATCTTATAAATTTGGGGAAATGTACACATTTACATGGTACATTTCACTCAATTTTAGAGTTTGGCTTTTCTTGTGAAATAGAATTAAATATATGTGAGTAAATCAAGACCCCTAACCATCATTAATTTTATTATTTGGTTATTTCTGGCCAAGGCCCTTCTGATTCTTTGAAAGCGTGCTAAGCCCATTTTTCTTCATTTACATACCTTCTTATTTTTGTGGCCAAATTAACTAAAATATAGGTATCTTTTGTTGTAGTTCAGATTATTGAAAACTACCTTGTTTGAAAATACATTCTTTAAAAACTTATTTTCCAAATAAAATCAACAGGAAAATGACCCAAGAACTAAATGATGCGAGGACTAAATCCTTAGAGTGACACCACCTAAGGATCATGTGGTTGTCCTTTTGTCCTATGGCTAGCACCTAGCTGGCATCGTATCAGGTATGGGTGGAAAGCAAAAGGGAAGCCAGTCAGCACTTGCTACATCCTGGAAAATCATTTGTAGACTGATAGATGCATGAGTGAGCTGATGGGAGGAGAAGACCAGATCTTGCCAAGCCAAAGGCATTCCCTTTGGTTGAGCCCTGTTCTTAGAGGTTCAGAAGGAATCACATGCCGAGAGTATATATTTTTCTCTCTGGACTAGTACTTTTGTCTTGAGAACCACAGGAAGGTTGCTTGGCTGGGTAAACAGTTTTGTTCAAATGCTTTTGCATATTCGTTGCATATGGTCATCTGTCATACTGAAGGATGGAAAAGTTTTATATGTAATACTTGGAAGTACTTATAATATATTGGCAAATGGAGAAAAGTAAAGATGTTTATACTAAATATGCAGCTATAGTGTTTTAAGGCAGGAAGAAGAAACTGTTATTCCCATAGGGACTTAGTTGGGATTATAGATCTTTGTTCACAGCATTTGTCTGCTGCTAAATTCAGTGAAAACATTCTAGGCTTGTCAAAAAGTAATTTAAATACCAACTGCAATTTGCGTTTTTCCTACCAAAAACATGAACAATGACATAATATAGTTCTTTTGAGTAAAGCAGAGAAAATTCACTATAATCTTTAAAACTTTTAAATTAGTTGTCGTCTTATCCTTTATCTGCCTATCTTGATTGCTGGTAGTTATACTACATGGAGACATTGTGTGTTGCCAAAGCCTTAAATGACTGAATTACGTGGTTCCAACCAGAAAAGCTCAGTGGTCATGGATGTTCACATTTCTTACAGTCAGAACACCCCACCCTGTTATTCCTCCTCAAAATTAAGGGCTTGGTATACAGCTTGGTAGATTCTGATACCTACTAGAGCTAAGAAACCTTTGCTACCCAGAGCCAGTTCTTCACAGGAAAAAAACAAATGATGAAAACAATATATACTTTGATTTATTTCTATCCTAAGGCCTGTTTGGGGTCCAATACTTAGTTGTAAGGGGTCTTAGCAATAGAAGCTAATTTCACAGGCCCATGGGGAGAGGAATTTGGAATGTTCCTATTGCAAGTGACCAGCTAAGGCCTTGATCACATTTCATATCGGTAGGCAAAGTGAATTATTATTAATAGCTGACTCTTGTCATTGGCCAGAATTACAGGACCATGAGTCAGTTGCCAGAGTTTTATAGAGCTACCACATTTAATAGTGTTAAAATTTAAGTGTTAAAATTATCTGAGTTACATAATTTGAGTGTATTTTTGCCCACCTATGGATGCTATAAATGGTAATACTGCTAATTATATTAACTCCAGAATTTCCTAAGTCAGCTCCAGGTCTTAAGTGGGGTGGTGGTGGGGGGAGGGGAGAAGTTTGAGGAAATAAACCTTTCTAGTTTGAATGAACAAATGAACGAATGTGTGTATAATCAACTCTCGATAAAATCTGGTTGGTAAATGAGCAAATCTGGAGGTTGTCAGAGTATATATCTTTTTTTCCCTGATACTGCTTTTACTCACTCTTCCTTTTACTGTCAACTGATTTTTCCATTACTGTCCATTGATTTTTGATGATAAAATTTTGTCTTTCAACTCAACACTCTAATGAGAGAAAGGTAAACCTGGGTAGGGGCTGGTAGGAGTGGTGAGGCTTGGTCAAATTGTGGCTTTCTTTTGACATTTGATTGAGAGTTGATTGTAAGGTGTGCATTTTAATGGACTTCTTTATTTTCCAAATACCGTTTCTGTAAACCTCTCTGACCTTGATGCACCTCGCTTTTGAGATCACCCTTCCTCCACTTCTTTTTTCCACCTAACTGCTCTCCTTATTTTCTCTCTCTCTTCCTTTATTCTTATGTAGGCCTGACCAAAGATGGCAGTAATGAAAATATTGATTCTCTTGAGGAAGTCCTTAATATTTTAGCAGAGGAAAGTTCAGATTGGTTTTATGGTTTCCTCTCATTTCTCTATGATATAATGACTCCTTTTGAAATGCTAGAAGAAGAAGAAGAAGAAAGCGAAACCGCAGATGGTGTTGATGGTACGTCACAGAATGAAGGGGTTCAGGGAAAGACTTGTGTCATATTGGATTTACATAACCAGTAACCTTGATTCAGGGACTGAAGTCATTGGCTAATGAACACCTGAAGCAGCCTCCTTTTTCTTTTCTTTCCTTGGCTTATGCAGGGCTTAATGTGCAGTGGGGTGGTTGTGATCTTACCGTGCAAGTCAACCATGTGATCTTGCCCAGTACAGCTACTAGCTAGTCCCTTGCTCGCTCAGCTCCCCCAACTTCTATTGAAGAAAATGGTACTCCTCATTCTTGTAGTCAGCTACAAAGTACACTGAAAATGATGTTCTTGGTGGTATAATTGGTTTCTGTATCGTTTTGTTTCAACTCATGTATTCACTGAACTAAATTTGGACACTTAACAGCAAATTGTGTTGTGGTTAACCCTTGATGCTTGTCTTTCTAACACACTATTAATTATGATGATTCTAATGGATTTCATTATAAAAATATTTCTGGCATGATTTTTAAGTTAAATGCTTCTCTGTTCTTTAACATGACTGATGTATAAAATGATGGTTCTTTACTAAGCTGATATTTTTTATTGTAATTTGTTTAGGTTTGTCAGATAGGTTCATACAAATTTCTATGTAAAATTCTGTGTTAATGGTGCTTTTAAAATAATTTAAAAATAACTCCATGTTTTTGCCTTAGAGTAAGTTAACTTACTGTTTTCAGATAGTAGCATGACATATTTCTGTCTGTGAAAGCAAAATTTATTTTAAATTTTATTTCCAAATATACATCCAGAGAAAGTAATTTGTATTTTTTTTAAAGTAGGCATATTACACAAGAGGGAACATGTGAATATGTATCTTAATGTTGTACATATTAAAATTATTCATCCTAAATAAGTCTTTTTCCATTTTTTCCTTCATTAACTTATTAATTGGATATTGATTTTGGCTTAGATGTAATGTGATTTTTAGAATTATAAACTTATTGAAGTGGTAATTCCATTTAGGGCAGTAAACTTTTCCCATTAGAAAGCCTTAAAAACATATTTGAATCAATTGCTTTAAAAATGAGTTTGCTTCAGTAGTAACCAAAACAGGTGTAGCAGCTATATACAAAATGCATTTCTTAAAATGAGATTTCATCAGTTTCCCCTCAAGCAAAGCTCTTCTAGGGATAAGGAAGATAAGGAAAGGGATGTTACTTTTTGAAGGAGTGATGTTCCGTGGTTTTAAATCTCTTCCAGCTTCTCTAGGATTTTGCTTAGTGTTAGTTTGTCAGAGAGCTAAAAATTTGAAAATGCTTGCACTTCCTCACGTTTTATTTAACTATAATTTCTACTTTTCAAATATTTCTTGTCTTCTATATCTAATCAAATTACTTTCAATAAGTGTATCATTCATCCATTTATTCTGAGGGGACTATGACAAATTTAAATTGTTATGAATTACTCTTGTAGGCTGTCATAATAACAGCCTGAAAGTAGCAGCCTCAAGTCAGCATGGGACATCCATTCCCTCTGCCCACCATTTACCTGTGTCAGCAAATACTGTCCAATTTGCTAATCTTATTAAAAAGCAAACATTCTGTAGCTACTTTTGGATGTGGATATACACACTGGACAATAATCTCTTAAAGTTTAAATGACTATTAAAGTGACTATTAAAGCTCTTGTTTGTCTTGCCTGCACTAATGGGCAAATATGTTTTATTCTGTTAATGCAGAAGATAGTCTGTTAAAGCTTCTGTTTCCAAATATTCAAGGACTTCAGTTAAGCTGTCACTTAGTAGCATGTTCTGCAACAAATGAGTATCATTCAGTAATGTTCCTTCTGAAAATTTATTCAATCTTTGTATTTATTGTGTCTTCTGCTTTCATACTTGGGTACTATGAAATATCAAAGTTTATTAGGTTTAAATTCTAAAGGAATCTTCAGCCCCACTCAATGAAATTCACCCAGCCTAATTTCCGGGATATACTTTTTAAAGGAATCTTATTTGTTAACGTGTTGTTACTACTAACACTAGAAGATATTCGATTAATTGATAAGAAGTAAATGATTAAATTTTGTGTTAAAAATATTTGAAATTACTAATTTTTCATCAGGCTTTATTTGCCCTACTAATGCATATTTTATGTACAGAAATTAATTATGCTTTATTTTTGTAAGTGAAAAACAAGAATGTGGGATAAAAATTTGCTACTTATTTTGTACCACCTCTCATTAGTTCCTCTGAAAGCCTCTGATGAAGGTGACACCCAGGTAGCTGACGAACCCCTGACTTCTGTGACTTCCGTCAACTTGTGCCTAAGGCTTGTGTGTGTGTGTGTGTGAGAGAGATAAAATAAAGGTATTTTATTTTATCTCTGCACTATAAACTGCACTATAAAGTATCTCAAAGCTGATCAAAATTACTTCACCTTAGTTTGATTTATTATGTATTGCTAAAATTCTTAATTTTCTAAGCGTGTATTTTCTGACTTTGTTTCATAATATAAGTCTTTTCCTACCTCATGTCTTTTAAACTTAAGAACTAAATTAAGGCAAAATCATATCCCATTAATTTGAATGTTTATATAGTTATGGAATTTTAAGTTATACTGTATTTACTTTACCTTTTCAGAGTTGAGAAACTCTGTGGAACAGGCTTCGTGTTGAGATATAGTGTTGTCTCCTCAGAGTCACTGTTCTGGCTTATTCGGATGTGCTGACATTTGTCCGATTGCAAAGACGCTGGGTTCTCCGGAGTTTGGCACGAAAACAAGACAGCAGCACTCTGGGGATTCTTTTCAGCCCTTTAGCTTCCTTCAGCCTGCCTTGCTTTGGGACATGAGTGGTGGGTATAAGTCAGTAGGGGAAGTGTCTTCTGGGTGCCAATTTTACCCAGTCCTGAGGCCTGGCTGTCAGCCTGCTGCCCTGGGGATCCTGCAGACGCCTCGGTGCTGAGGACATATGGAATAGTGGGCTGTCCTGCATTTTCATCTTGTCCTTGATTCTTTCTTTATTCTAGAAATTACCTCCCTGTCTTATAGAGCTGTATCCAGACATGAAAGAGGGACTATTTTCTGTTTGAATTATTTTTATTTAGTTAGATAGAACAGATTGTCTACCTTGATGTTTGTGACTTTGGATAATTATCAAAAAATTAGATCTAGCACAGCCAGTTATTCTTAATTTGGTCACTTGACAGTTAACTTTTTGGGAATTGATGCTCCATGACCCTTTCTAAATAATCCGCTGGGCTAGCTCCTTAAGTCTATAAAACATACAAGAAATTTTCTGTGATTTGGCTGTGGAATCTTTGATCACAATGCATATTTGGAATGCTTAAAGAAACTCAGTGACCCAGACTTTATTTTCATAAGTTAAATGATGGAACCAGTATTCAGAATTCACTGCCTTTGTTATTTGTTGAGATGACCCTGTAATACTTAGGAGTTAGATATTAAGTAGTTTGTGGACTCCTTGAAACTAGGAACCAGATCTTCGGTTTTATTTGAATTCTCCTTCAATGCTAAGCCTTGCATGTGATATTCATTAATATCATATGAATAATGTCATATGCTGGTGTGGGTCCTGAAGGATGAGGAGTTACTCCTTGCATAATAAAATACTGAGTTTTTTTTTTTTAAAAAAAACTGGTTTAAATAAGTGGTAAAATTATTGGACATATTTTTTGCAATAGAAATGACATTTTGAGTTTCTATAACAAACCTATGCTAACAAAAGTCTTCAGGTGACCTTTCCAATCTCCAATTTGTATTTGAATCTGCATTTTACCTTTTTTTCTCTGTCTCTGGATGTAATCCCTTTCTGCTTATTTAGTCTTTCAGTTTTCTTATGTTCTGATCCTCCGTTCCCCACTTACTGTAGAGGGTTGGTGGGTTTGTAGCTTTTTCTTCTTCTTTTTTTAATCTGTACTATATTATTACATCTATTTAAAAATAAAAAAGCAATTGGTGTAGTGTCCTGACATGCATTTTACTAAGAGTAGACATCCATTCTAGAGGAACAGTCTGTCTCGCTAACAGGATGGTTACTCAGACATTTAGGGCCTCTTTTTGCTATTTGTAGTCAATGTTGAAATGATTACGATGTTCCAGTATGGGACGGAGGAAGATGAGAAGGCTTACAGTGACTCACAGGTCTCACTAGAAATGGTGAGAGTGGCTGAAGTGACCTGAGTATGAAGTGATATCCAGACCAATTCTAGAGCTGTCTGAAAGTCTGAAGTAGCTACTTGTGTATCTGTAATGCAGCCAGTCTTCTAAAATCATGTCTATTGCATGTGGTGTAACCACAGATCTATCCATTGGCTTAATGGTTCAAACATTTTAATTTCATAGAGAACATTTGATTTTGAAAATGTAGAATAATGGCCTGAGGCAGTTGCCAAAATAGCATAAATTTCCTTTAGGCAACTCTCTTACGTTCTAAGGGAAGAATGTAAGATCTTTTTTCTAATTTCTGTATAAGAATTCCCAAATAGTTGCCAGAGCTATTAACTATCATCACTTTAAATACTTACATCAAAATAAGTATAAAAGGACGAAAAGAAAATAAATAGCATGGCAGTTGTTTTTCAGCATGTATTTTAAGCACATCCTAATGCTGCTTTGATTATTTCTTAAATTGGAATATATTCTATTAATTAAAAACAACTTTTGTCTGAATGGATTAAGAAATACCAAGATGTTTCCATTTTTGCTCGAATTGATAGAATTTTCTTCCTACTACTTGGAAACTATTTTTGAAGAGCCTTTGTGTTGTCATGAATTTTATTGATTAGTGGAATGTTCCCTTTTTTCTTTTTTTTCCCTAGACATTAGCTATGGTACTAAAGATAGAAAAGGAGAAAAGTAGTGCATGCTTGTGGCATTTTGGCACTGTAGGGAGAATCTACATCAACCAAAGTTGCAAATGATAAGAATTTAATTCTGTCAAGAATTAGGAAGAATAGAAAGGTGGGCCTTTCGTACCTGCCTTGTGGTTTTCCCTTAAGTCCACTTCTCTAATGCCCGCAAACTAATATTTTTTCCCCTCTACGTGCTGTCACTAATCTTGGATTACCACTGACCCCTTTCTCCATTACTGTATTTCCCATTGTTGCTGGGAAAAAAAAATCTGTTATAAAGTTACCTGTACTGAGCCTCTGTCGGGGGCATGCTGCTCCAACAGTTTCCCTTGTTAGCAGTCATTCTAAACTTTTCCACAACCTTCCTTCTTCCAGGGTCATTTTATTCCTCTGTAGAGATGATTTTGCTTTCTGCTTTCCTAAGATAATCTAGTGTGGCTTCATTCCATTATTTTCTTCTCTCTTCCCTTTACAACATTACTATCTCAGGATTTTTTTGAGCTATTGTTTCTTGTCTCATTCACTCACCTTTTTTTTTCAGACACTGCATCCTCTGGTTTCCAAAGCTAGCCCTTTCCCTTGAGCCTGTACATCCTCCTGACCTCATCACCTCTCTCCTGTTATGAACTTAGCTTCTTTTTCTTACAGACATGCCTGCGTTTCCTCGACCTTCAAAACAAA
Source organism: Homo sapiens (assembly GCF_000001405.40). Lineage (NCBI taxonomy): Eukaryota > Metazoa > Chordata > Mammalia > Primates > Hominidae > Homo > Homo sapiens. The sequence goes on along the minus strand of NC_000008.11, from coordinate 61,670,617 downwards.
ACCCGGATAAAATTCTTCAAACTTTTTCCTTTTCTGTTCCCCTCAGAATCTAGGGAAATTCCATGTATGATCAGTTTTCTTCTAAGGAAATGAGGAAGGCTGATGTGAGCACCCTAGATTTTTGGTCACCTTTCCTTCCACCTATGTTTTCTCATCACTGTGGCATGACTGCCTTCTCTACTGCTTGTAAAACTGTATTCTGAAGAACCTTAGAGGATATTTAGTAAGTAACATAATAAAATAGTGCCCTCATCCTAAACCTTTGTTCATGTCTTCCTTCCTAAAACTGATCATTTCACTTTAAAAAAAAAACAAACAAACACATTTCCTTTTTTAAAAAATTTAATTTCATTTTATTTTAAGTTCTGGGATACAAAAAAAAATTTTTTTTTCTTTACTCTCTTTTTGTTTCATTGTTACTTAGGGACTCTTGTTAACTGTTTTTGGTGGTATACTTTTTTCATGTCTATATACTTTTCTTCAGAAACTGAATGTAATAATTGTTTAAATTATTAGCTTGGTCCTTTTTATGTCAAAAATATTGAAAAATTATTGGCTATGTTTTTAAGTTCAGAAAAGCATAAGATGATCCTTTGGAGTTTTATATCATGCATTGCACTTTGTTCATGTGTTCATTTCTATCACTATAAGGATTTATACCCAAACCAAAAAAGTTTAAAATAAAGCACAGCACTGTTTATTTTTATATGTTTCACTAATCTGATGCTAATCTAATATTTTGGTTTATTCATGACAAAAGTTAACTCTAGTCTTTTCATCCATATAGCTCTTTTTACCTAGATCATAACAGTGGGGGTAGGGAGAGGGCAGTCTGGGTTTCCTCACTCTACGTTTTAATAGGAAAATCTGGTTCTGCTGTGGGAGAACATGTAGGAGTCAGGAGGGGAACATAGCGGTACTAGAAGTATATTTTAATGTTTTATGCTAATGTGTTTTACACCTTAGATACTACTCATATTTAAAAGTGGGTATTATGAGAATAGTTTTGATATTTTATTCTGAAATAAACTTTAGTGGAGAGTGATTGGAAATAGCACTCATTATTGCTGGGTTATACACTGTTTTTGGCAGAGGTTAGGAAAGAATCAAGTTTTGTCTGGGAAAAATAATTTTTAAACACATGGGAATAAGTACTGGTTATGGTTACCTATGTATTTCATATAAGTGGACAAATATAACCATGGTCACGTTTCCATTTTTATGTTGTCAGTGGTAAGAGATACTAATAACATTTTTGAAGAATATTGATATTTCAACCAAAATAAATTACCATTCTCGAATGGATGACCTCAATTGATAGATACAAATTGCTATCAATAGTGAAAGGGGAGGTTTGAACAATATAATAGAACAGACATCTAATACTGAAAGTAGAAGTTTTGAGAAACGTACAAAGTGGGTTTTACAATTTACAGCTGCAAAAATGTCAGATGGCTTTGGGGACTTTCTTGTGACCACACCTTAGACCTTCGTTCTTTAGTGACAGGCTAAAGGCCACCCTTCCTGAGGAGATGAACACTACATTGCACCTCCAACCCTAATGTGCCTAAGAAATGGATTGGAACTTTACAAAGTTTGCCAATACATAGCATAAACCAGCCTTTATGTGACTGAGAGAGAGAATTGGGAAGATCAGTTCATTGGGATGCTAAGTACAGCCTGGTTGGAATAAGAGTTAGAGGTATATTGTTAGAGACTCAAAAATAAATCTATTATCAGAACTTTCATTTGCCAAGAGAGGAAATAGAAAGCTATTGCAAAGTTTTTAGAGTGGGTGAAAAATGTAAAATGTATGTACATAATACTGTCATTCTTACTTGCTTGTATAATTTTTTAAAAGACAGTGCGAACTGGTGGAAGAGCAGTGATTGTTCAAACAGTAAAGATGAACTCTATCAAAATATGCTATCCTTTTTTGGATGGCAAGTGTGATTGAGTAGTGAAGTAAGGTCCTTGGTCCTTCACTCTAGTATTTTTAATTGATCATCTGTGACCCAAGCGGAAGTCTACCACTGAGTAGAAAATGCAATTTCCAGTGGCAATTAAGTATTTCTAATGCCAACAATTCTTAAAGATCTAAGCCAAATTGTGAAGTTGGTTAAATCATAGGCTGATTATAATGCATTTATATGTTAAAGATAGTGAAAGGAAAGCTTTAAAGTGACAAATAAGAGAGATATTGGAGTATTTTTTAATGATGAATTTAACTAACTTAACATATTTTATAGTGGCATTGATTTTACCTATTTAATAGACACTTATTTTTGAATTCCCTTAAATTTTCTGTTTATAACCTATTTTCATCTTGTAAATGTCAACAGAAGGACCCAGTGGGGTAGCCAAGAGAAAAACTAAGGCTAAAGGTATTTTCATTTTTTCAAATTAGCCTTGAGTGAATCAAGTTTAATGTTTGAAAATGCATGACATTTTCTGGGAATGTTAATATTGCTACTAATGCTAAACACTATTGCTTTTGGGTCTTGCTTGGGTGCAACTTAGGTTATAAGTAGTTTTATCAAGATTTCATCAAAGGATTTTCTGCTTCAAGCCTATAATTTTAAGTCATTATCTTTTCATGTTATCAAAGCTTTGTAATAGTCTTTAAATTAAGAATGTATATATTATACAAATATGTTATATTTGTTATGATGTATATATTAAATTTACATGTACACATCTTACCTTGTTCCCTAAAACCTTTCTTACTTTGATTTTTTTGAATTACTTTTGGGAAAAAAAGATGAAGTCTTCAGTAATTGTTTTTATTTCTCCAAAAGCTCTCATGACACTCTGTCTTAGAGCACAGTGAAAGCTAGTGTGATTCAAATGTGTAGTTTTCAGTAAAATGAAAACTTGGATGTAAATGTATAACCCTACATTACATTGACATAGAATTTACTGTGTTTGATATTTTAATTCATTAAAAATTATTGTCCGGGCACGGTGGCTCACGCCTGTAATCCCAGCCCTTTGGGAAGCTGAGGCGGGTGGATCACGAGGTCAGGAATTCGAGACTAGCCTGAGCAATATGGTGAAACCCTGTCTCAACTGAAAATACAAAAATTGGCTGGACTTGGTGGCAGGCACCTGTAATCCCACCTACTCAGGAGGCTGAGGCAGAAGAATCGCTTGAACCCGGGAGGCAGAGGTTGCAGTGAGCTGAGATTGTGCCATTGCACTCCAGCCTGGGCAACAGAGTGAGACTCTCAAAATAATAATAATAATAATAAATAAGTTATTATACCTGTCAGCCATTTGTAGACTAACAGCTCAGTATTACAGCCTGACTTTATATGCCAGTGGTTATTCTTGTTCATATGTTAGTAGTCATATTCTTTGTGGGTAGAGGCATGGGGGATGTGCATGCCTCTATATAAGCCTGTTTTTCTTTATAAGCCTGTGATATTCTTGTGGTCATTTCACGGGCTTGGCATATTGTTTGTAGTTTGTTTTTTTGGTGAAATATGAACAGATGAGACTTACTATGTGATTCACAGGGTTTTGTGATTTATATTTTAAGATCAGGAACTTTTAATGGTTTAACCTCCTATCTCTTCTGAATAATTTCTGGGGATGAAAACAATTTTCACCATCTTATTTTTATATAAATAATGATGAAACAAATGGACAATAAAATATTTTACTTCTTGATCTAGAGAAGCAAATTAAACATTAAAGACTGAATTTTTTAAAAGCAGTTTTCAGAATAAGACATGATAGCATTGCACATCCATTTTACACTTTTGCAATGCCAGTATCTATGTTACTGTCCAAACGCATTGAAGTAGAATGAAGACTCAGCATGATCCTGAATGAATACTATTCTGTATTCTTAAAAGACTGTAATAAGGTTTTTTAGGAAGAACTGAAGAATCTCCTGGTTGATCACCAGGAAATTCAGTTAATGGAGAAACCCTATGTGGTGTTTTTGTTTGTTAATCAAGATTTTATTAGACAGCCTAGAAAGACATAGTGCTTTTAGTGAGCACTGCAAATCTAATGCTCATTTTGAATACCATTTGTGCTATGTAAGTTTTATGTGATTTTGATGGGCAAAAACATCTTTCACATTTTATTATATTAAAGAAATATTTCATTTTCTTTGTTTCTGCTTAAATGTGGCATTGCTTCTGCTTAAATGTGGCATTGCAAACACCTTACCTTATGATTTCCTTATGAGAGTACAAACAGATGAAATTCAGAGCTTTTGCTAACTGCTTTATTACCATGTAAAGCAAGTTGAAAGCAATACCTTCCATGAGATTTGGAATTAGCTGTGTGTTTCATTTAATTGCTCTCTCAACCCAATGAACTAGAAGACGTGTGTTAGCTTGAGTTGCTCTACATGAATTAACAGGGAAACATACTTAAAGGAATACTGATTTCATGATGAATATAAGCAGAAAGAGAATTCTAATTTTTCCTTTTAAATACTACAGATAATGATTTAAAAATGTCATACACATGACAATTTTTTCCTAGTTAACTAATAAAATGAAATTATATTTAATTTTATTTACATATATTTGTCTTCAAAGAAGCACGTGTATTTTAAGGACATATGTTTTTGAGCTAAACATTTTAAATTATCTTTGTATATATTCTTACAAATTATGAAAAATTTGTTCTTACGTTGCCAGTGTTCCTTTAATTATAGTTACAAAGTGTGAGTTAATACTTTGTGCAAAGCACTGCCTTCGTGGTGCCCTCAATTTTATAATATTGCATGTTAATGTTTTAAGACAAGTCATACTATATTTCAAGATGGAAAATATGACAAGCTTCTAGCATTTTTTAATAGTTGATATTTGATAGAGATTTGCACCTATTTTTAGCCACCATAAAGACTAGTGAATTAAAGTAACTTTCTGAATGTGCATTTCCTGTGTGTGGAGAGATAAAAAGAGAATACCTTTTCACTAACTTCCTGTTCTGTGATTAAGAGATCCTGTCAATAAACATTTTTTCCTTTAATTGGAAAATCTGAAAGTTAAAGAACTCACTAAAGAAGAGCTCAAGAAGGAGAAAGAGAAACCTGAGTCAAGGAAGGAAAGTAAGAATGAAGAGAGAAAAAAGGGGAAGAAAGAGGATGTCCGAAAGGATAAGAAAATTGCTGATGCAGACCTATCCAGGAAGGAGTCTCCTAAGGGTAAAAAGGACAGAGAAAAAGAGAAAGTGGACCTAGAAAAAAGTGCTAAAACCAAGGAAAATAGGAAAAAATCAACAAATATGAAGGATGTTTCTAGTAAAATGGCATCCCGAGACAAAGATGACAGAAAGGAAAGTAGAAGTTCTACCAGATATGCACACTTAACAAAGGGAAATACCCAGAAAAGAAACGGCTAAAGCTCTGGCATCATCATCCCAGAACATGGTCATGTTCCAGATTGCAGTTTGTTACAAAAAAGCATGGAAAATGTAATATTGCTCTGATTGGTGAGGGTGTGTAAATTAGCCATTGAATGTATCATTGGTGCTTAGCAAGTAAATTACCTGAAATTTAAATATACCGTCTCATACTTCTAAATGTAAAAACATTTTAAAAATGTCATAGAATATGATGTAATAACTTCTATTTATTGATCATGTATTCAGATAAATGTATATGTATCATGAATTTTTATGGATTAATATATTGAATACTTTCATTGACGTTAAATAAGAATATTAAGATTTTAAATGTTATTTCTGTGCATAATGCCTTGTAACTTTTTCAAGTATGCTAAATACTCAGGGAGATGGATTTGCTCGTTGTTTTCTTCCCTCCTTCCCCTTCCTGCTTCCCTGTTTTTCTCTTTCGTGGACACCTCCCCAGGCTCATGTGCCACCACCTTCCCTCCTCTCCAGCCCTCCCAGCCCTCCCGCAGCCTTTCAGGGGGCCGTTCCTCAGGCTTTTCATGGGTTCTCCTTCCCCTTTTCCCTCTTATCTCCCCTTTTCTAGTCTCCCTCCCCAAGTCTTTTACTCTCTCCTTTCCTTCACTCCTCACCTCACCGCTGCCCCTCACTCCTGCATGCTTCTCACTCCTGACCTCCCTACAACAACCTCACCCTTCTCCCATCATCCAGTACATACTTAGTGCTTACCATGTGCCACATACACTGCTCCGAGAACTGTGGCCATAGCCATGAATAAAGGGGAGAATTGTATTTAGAAGAACAGTTTCAGAACACTTTTATTTATGATACCTTTATAGTCTTAGAATAACTATAGAAAGGTTTTAATTATTTCAGATTAGAATGTACTTTCATTTTATATCACACTTTTTTTCCATTATTTTGGTTGAATGGCATACATTTTTCATATTTGATTGTGTCATTATTATTTACCATTTCTAAGGAATTGCAAATGTAATCTCTTCACTAGAGATCAGAATTTAGCACCTTAGAAAACATTTAATATAAAAGTGAAGTTTTAGTGAGAAATTAATTCTACAAATGGTTTGTACTATTCTGTGCCTCAAATATTAAATATCTAATTGTGACTACTGTGAAATGCAGTTAGTTGATAATGATAAAATCTCTGTGGTAGCATTTTTGATTCTCTTAATGTTAACCTTATTAACAACAGAATCAAAAATGCTACCACTAAGATTTTATTTTTTAAAACATATTTATTTACTTTTTTATGAAGATCTTAAAAACGAGATTTTTGATCTAATTAAAGATATTTCAACTCAGAAATGAGTATGTTTAAGTGTAAATATTTCTAAATGTATTGTACACCTTTTTCTTAGGTTAACGCCTTTTACTATTTAAAGTCAAATACTTTACGACATTTAGTTGACAGAAACTTCAACTCAATAGAATTATACAACAGAGAAGAAATCCTAGAGAATATCTAATATCTCCAATATAATCCTGTTATTTTATTGCTTAAAAATTAAGGCCTGAAGATATTGTAACCTGATAACTTCGAGTTTTATGTTTTGATTAGTCAGGATTTTGCCATTTTTACACATTACAAGAACATTGTAAACCAAAAAGGGAATTCTACAGCTGCTTTGTTTGGCAGATACAGGGCACTAACTTCAGATGACTAGATCCCAAGTCTAGACCTGGAATCAGAGTTCTTTTTCCTCTTAGCTCACTTCCTAAGTCTTAACTGTGCTGGTTTCTGCCTGAGTTATTCTATTTGGAGATGCTACCACTTGATAACCAAGATGGCCCTCAGCAGGCTCCAGACCAGTCTCTAGTTTACCAATCCCAATGCAGATGGCTCTGGGAGAGATAATTCCAGTTGGCCTGGTTAGGCCTGGTGAACATCTGGGACCATTTTTGTAGTTGAGGATGGTGATTCTTCCCAGGCGCACACCTGTGCACAAAGCTTTGGAATGGGAGTTGAGTGGGTCCCACTCAAACTTCATCAAATGTAGGGCTTCTGGGACAAGAAAGTGAGGCTTTGAAAACTGGACAGAAGAAGAAGCAGAACATGTCCCCCAGGCATATGAAAGTTACACGATTCTCAAACCATATCCCCGTGTTAGATCTTTTCTCCTGAGATAAATGGAATGTTTTTTTAAAACTTATGTACAAAATTTTAAGTGCTGTCTTCACTAAAGATTTTTTGTTCTCTCTTGAAGAAGGGCAAACAATTATAAGTGAATTTGTTGAGAGCATTCTGGTAATTTTTACCTTAGTTTTTAAGTTCAATGGCTATGTGGCAGAAAATACATAAATACTAAATTCTAAACAAATGAGTGAAAATATTTTGGAATAACCTAATCATCAAAAGCACATAAGAATTGTCTATTGCTATTTAGTAAAGTACTTTGAAATGTTTTGGCTATCTCATTGATTTTTCCTTTGACTGTTAGCTCAAGAATTGAAACACCTCAACTAAAACATTTAAAGATCCTTTAAAAGCACTTGTAGACTAGAACTTGATTTATTTTTTCCCATCTCTCTTCTTTTCCCCTTCTCTTTTCTTTCTTTTTGTAAATGTTTCAACTAACTTTTATTGAAGTTGAAGTCACACTTTATCCAACTGCGTAATATTTAAGCTTCAACTAAAAACAAGCTTTCAGTCATGATTAGAGGGTTAAAATCATGCATTGCACTCTCAGTTTTACACTTTTTATTCAGTAGGTTGTTATTTCTGTATTGTTTGCTTCATATTGTTTTCTAAGTATAATTAAAACCAGAAAGGTTACCTTTTTAAATAAGCCAGCTACAACGGGACAAAAAATTCACAATACTAGGTAGTTGGGAGTCAGAAGCTGTTTTCGGGAAGACCTGAAAAGGGAAAATTAAGTACTAAAAATGTAAGTTTATTTTGCCATACCCCTAACAACATTTTATTTAAATTATATTGTGACTTGATTACAAATCTTTTAAATGACATTATTGGCATATTTTTCTTAAACTTTGTAAGAAAAAGATAACATTTCACATTTTAGTAGCAAAATCATTGTTAAGAGATAGTCAATTTTGTGAAAATATTTGAGTGCTAATCAATTTTTCCAGGATGATCTTCTATCCTTTAATATTTAGATACTTCCTTTTGAAGCACTTACATCATCATCAAATTTTTGGTCATTTGTTGTGTCATCTAATTTCTGTTTCATTTTCTAATGGCTTCGTATGTGAATGAATTTTAGTTATTCCTAACGTCATTGGTAGCCACTCTTTTGAATTTTTTTTTTAAACAAGTCTTTCAATTTTATTTTATAGGTAATTTGCATTGTATATAGATGATCGTCTCAAAATTTCACAATGAGAGACTGATGAAATTGACATAAATCAATCAGCATGAACACTTGAATTAATCCAGAGGACTACTTAAGTTAATTCTGTAGGTGGTTGCTTTATTGAGAATATTTTGTATTATGACCTGCTTAGCTATGCAAGTTTGTAACTTCAGAGGTCCTCATAATGATACTTGGATAATAAAGATTCCCCATAGACACTTCCATTGAAAAAGAAAAGAAGTAAACAAGTGTCATTTGTAATTTGAAATGTTTTAAGTTAACTGTCATGTTACTGTCCATGAAATGGATCTGGTGACTTAGGCTCTATCTCCTGACATTGATTTCTTTCTCCTGTGTCCTCAATTATTTCTTCTCCTGTTAATGCCCACTGGTAATAATTCTCAAAATCGATTGCTCAGAATATTCCATTGTAAAATGCACCTTGGAAATGGTTGTTTTCCTCATTTGTAAATTGAAGACAATGCCTATTCCTCAAGGTGGTTGTGAGAACCAGTCAATGTTGCATATGTGTAAACAGCCAGCACATGGTTGGGCATTCAGTTTCCCTTTATCATTGGTAGAATAAGAATAGTAATACTCAACCAAAACGTCTCAGTCAGGGGTTAAAAACTTGGAAGCACTGAAACTGTGCTTCCTATTCCTACTTAGGTCAACAGATTGCAAAACAAATATTTCAGTCCTTTATCCTTTGTAATGAATGTGTCTTTGTGAAATGAGTATAGTGGAGCCTGATTTATTCTATTGAGATCATTGAGGGGGCAAATGCAAATAATTATAAATGTTGCACATGAGTGAAGCCGTAAGAATGCTTAATTTTTAAAAGAATATTGTGACAACCTGAAAACACAAGATATGAAGGCTAGAAAAAAAGTTATGAAATAAACTATAGCCTTAAGTATATGGTACAATCGAGAAGCCTAATAACCAGCCTAATTGTGAAAAACTTATGTTTGTTTTGTATTCAGAACACATTTTTCCATAGATGAGATTTTATGGTCTTCAGAGATTTTTTTTTTACTCTGGTCCACAAAAATTGATTTAATTCTAATATCCATTTCTGCAACTCTCATTGTAACTATGTTTCTATGGAAAATGCATTTATCATTCTGCCTTGGGATATTAGGAATATATTTAGTTTTACTTCTGAATGTTCTCCAGAATTTCTTTGGTTACATCCATGGTGTTAAATCCATTCAGATACCTTACATGGACAAAAATCATGGATTGGCTCACATAATTGTAAAGCCCAGGAGTAGTTTTGGCTTTTTTCTTTTGTTATGCTGGATCTAGGTGCTTGAACAGTGTTCTCAACATCCATCTGTCTATGGACCCTCAGGAATGTTGGCTTTCTTCTCGGGCAGAGTCTCGTGTGCTCATCTTCAACCCTACTCCTTATGGGGTGGGAGATAAGAAAGCTGTGATTGGTGACACCCTGGGATATGTGAGTGCCCACTTTTAAACTGTTGGGTAAAGAAAAATTGGAGTCCTCTAAGGAAGTTAGTGTGTTTTTACCAGAAGGAGGAGGAATTGATGCACTGAAAGCAGGCAGATGATGGAGTTTGTTTCCCCTTTTTCTACCCATCCCATTCCTACTTCTCCCCCTGCCCAAATACAGAGAGGTGAATGGGATGGGCCAAAATAGGTATTTCAAAATAAGAAGCTGTGGAGCTAAACATTGGGTACTCATGGGCATAAAGATGGAAACAGGAGACACTAGAACTTCTAGAGAGGGGAGAGAGGGAGGGAGACAAGGGTTGAAAAACTAACTATTGGATACTATGCTCATTACCTGAGTGATGGAATCATTCATATTCTAAATTTCAATATCACGCAATATACCCATGCAGCAAACTTGCACGTGCTCCTTGAATCTAAATAGAAGTTGAAGTTATATTTAAAAATTAAAAAAAAAAAAGCTAGGGAGAAGAGAGAGATCTCATTCCAAACAATTATTGGTCAACAATAGTTTTAGACCATTGAAAGAATATAAGAGAATGTTGACTTGATAATAAATATTGCCATTTAGATGTCAGGTGATAAAGTTTATTTTGTTGTTAAGCTCTCTCCATTTTGCCCCATTCAGTTTAAAAGGAAAGTTTTTGTGTTTAGGAAACTAAAGGATGGGTGATATGTAGCAGACCCATAAGGTTATTTTCATGAAAAACCTAGCTTGGGCTAATCTGAAAGATTCCTCAATAACAGTCTTTGGTGTCTTATCCTTTCTTCTCCATTTGCCTAAGAATATAATTGTATAAGCTGGATGTTTATTCCTTGGCTATCGTTTTTACCTAGGAATCAATTTCTGCAAGAGCTCTGTAAGCCTTACAAAGCAGAAAGTCATCCATTTCTTTTTTCTTTGTTCTCATTTAGTGCCTCATTTGATTTCACTTTGTGTATCTATTTATTGCTCCATGTTAAGTCAGGTATGCATACATCATAGAAGTCTGCCTCTCATTTCCATCTTCTTTGCCTTATGTATCACTTCTCTTGTGTCCTATTAGAGGGAGATGATCTATGCTTAAAGCTGTTGGGTTATTTTTGATAATTATATAACACCAACATGCTGTGTCTATAGTTCCCATTTATTGATTCAACTAATATTTCTGAGTATCTACAGCATGCCGGGACTGGGCAAGGCATGGGGGATACAAGAGATTGAGGTGGCTGCAATCCCTCCAGTGAAATGCTGCAAAATAAGCAAGGGGCTGAGAGAGAAAGTAATGAGACTGAAACGATTGTCAGTACAGCCCACTAGTCCCTCTGCCTAGAACGTGCTCCTGAATGTGCTCCTGCTCTGTGTGGTGGGCTGCCTTTGTCTCTCCCACGGGACCCAGCCCAGTCATCACCTCTGCACTCAGACATCTCTGACCCTCCCAAGTGGCTGCATCCCACACACTCCAGTTATCGCACTCATCACCTTGCCTCATTCTTGGACTTTGCTGCCAGACTACGATTTATCTCGAGCACCTATCCTAGTAACTGACACTAATAGGCATTCATTGTTTGTTTATTGAATGGTGACTATACAAAATAAATTATCTAAAAATATTTCAGGTGTATATATACTGTTGAAGAATATTAGGAAGAAGAAAACCGTGTGTGTGTGTTTTTGAAGAACCCAAAAGATTGTTCAGTAATTGCAGTGTTTTAACTACCTTGGAAGTTACCTGTGACTGGCAGGGAGGGGGGTGTAAAGATTTTTTTTAGAAGAAATTAATGAAATGGTAAATTTTTGGAAAAATACTTATTTAAATTATCTCATTTAATTCTTAAAGCCCTTCTTAGGGGTCCTGTTTTGTCCCCTTTTTGCATTTGTGGAAACCAAAAAGTGTAGCTGTGGTTAACACTGAGATAGAATTCAAATGGAATTCAAAGGCATCCTCTTGTCCCAGGTGCCTGAACTTACACACCATGCTGAGTTGCATGTCCTTGAACTGTATTTTTCATGATGTTAAAGTGAGTCCACTCTCACCAGTCTTTGTTGAGTCCCTTCATTGGTGCTGAAACCAGGCTCTTGGGAACCTTATTGGCAGTGTTTAATTCTTTTGTAATTTATGTCTGTTTGAAATCTGTCTGTCCAGCTTGGGTTACTTGAAGATGCTTTGAATCTGGAATGGCTCTTACTGCATATCATGGGGCAGCTTTGAGTACCTGGTAGTCTCAGAATTTTGGTAAGTTCCGAGACTGCTGTTGGTATACTGAGGAAGATCTGTATTCACTGATTACACAAGCCAGGAGCGACAACGAGGATTAACGTGGTTACCTAGTATGCATGCCTTTCTGGTGTATTGATTTTCCAGAATATTTCTCAAATTTCATATACCTATGAGCCTTATTCTTGGGATAAATTGATTTATACTGCTAGACTCCTTGCAATTGAAACAGTACCACTTCTGAGCACTCACCCTGAGCACAGATAACCATAGCTGGAGTAACCTGGATTAGTAAGGACACGTTTTCTTTCATCTGTACACCTTTGAATTAGTAAACCAAAGATTAAAACACTAATTTTAAAAAACTTTTTAGCTTTTTAATGGGCTAGGTGTATGAAATTGTATGAAACAAAGTAAGTTTATAATTGTTTCCCAGGTTTTGTTGAGGGAGTGGCTTGCTTATAACTCTTAGGAGAAGTAAATCCTTTGTGTTCCCTCAAGTCACAGCCCTTGGATCCAGCATCCAGGGCCTTTCTGATATGCACACCTCTCTTGGTGCCTCAGTCACCTTTCTTTTCCTTGGTGCCAAATATGTGCCCAGTTGAGGAATTTCGTACAGTCACATGCCTCATGCTATCATTTTGGTTAAGGATGGACTGCATGTATGATAGTGGTCCCATAAGATCATAGTGTCATATTTATACTGTACCTTTTCTGTGTTTAGATACACAAACACTTTGTGTTACAATTGTCTACAGTATTCGGTACAGTACGTGCTGTACAGTTTTGTAGCCTGGGAACAATAGGATGTTGCATACAGTCTAGGTTTGTGGCAGGCTATACCTTCTAAGTTTGCCTGGGCACACTGCAATGTTCCCACAGTGGTAAAATTTCCTAATGGCACATTTCAACATGTATTTCCACACATTCCTCAGAATGTATCGCTGTTGTTAAGCAACACATGACTGAACTTGCAGTTCCCTACCCGAAACACACGTGTAACTTACATAGCCACATCCCTGATTTCCTTCAGGGTCTGTTCACATGTTATCAGTGAGTCCTTTTGCCAAAGTATTATGAATAGTCCCCACCCCCACTTTTCCCTAATGTGCTCCCTGTTCTGTGTCTTCCCCGTACTATCTGTCCCCATCCAATATACTCTAAATAGTTCATGTTTCTTATTTTTTAAGTTTCTCTCTCCCCCGGAAGGTAGGTGTGTTGTTTTCATTTACTGTAGAATAATGCCTTGAATTAATAGGTGCTAAATATTTGTTGAACGATTAAATACAACATACAATTTAGTAAGTTTACAACTACTGCATATTTATGGAAAGAAATATATTGATTCTTTCTCATTATGGGCAGCAGTGAATAAAGTAAGCTAATCCTGGGCTTGGGTATTTGTGTCACTCATATTTGCTATGAGTGGTTGATTTAAAGTGCTGATTTCATTTGCATTTCATAGCTTCATCTAATTTTAATTAAAATTGGAGGGGCAATTATATAGTGATTAAATGCAAATGTTTTATAATTTCCAAATTTATCTGATTAACCTAAAGAACTAAAACCAAGGTATGTTTTAAGGGAATTAATGTGTTTTCCAAATCATGTTGTGGCCATTGCTGTGGACTGGCAGTATCTATTCACCATACATAATGACTGGAAGGCGGCTGTGGACACCCTGTTCCTCTTGGCAGCACAGGAATGGAAGTGGGTCCCAGTCCTGATGATTAACACTGAAAAGGGAGACTGCTGGTAGCTTCTGGAAAAAATTTCCTCAAGCCTAAGAAAGAAGCAGAGCAAGAGATGCTCCTTTTGCTTCTGGACATCGCCTTGTCTGAAAAAGAAGCTTGCAGCTGGGGAGCTCTGATTGCCAGCCTGAGGGTGAAGCTTGACCTGCGATGCAGTCAGCCGCCTCCGCACTTCTTGTTTAGTTAGATGATAAATTTCCTTCCTACCCAACCATTATAAGCTGGCAGTTTGGTAACTGCAGCCCCAGGAACATCGAAACCGACACATCTCATGTCATAACCTAATTTTGAATATTTATTTCATTGCTACTTCATTGCCACTTGTACCTCATAATAAATCCATTTTTGAAAACCTTTCCTATGACTGAATTGAGCTTATATGCATTTACTTTTCTTGATTCATTTTCGCTTGCTTTTTCCCTCAAATTTTAGAACTAAAATGAGCTTGGGTGGCAAAAAGTTTTTTGGAAACACTGAAATAAAATCTTGTACGGCAAATTCTTCCATATGGGTTGTTAAAGCAATTATAGTCTAGAATGTGTTTTTGTTAAGTTTCAAAAAGTTTATAGAGGTCTAGAGGAGGAGATACAGTAATATGATCTCAGCTTCTTTGAAGTTTACAATTTTTTTTTGTACTGATTTCATATCTGGAAATAGCTATGACCAGGTATTAACAATTTTATAATACACCTTCCACTTTGGACAGGGTAAAATAATCAATATTTTTTGCTCTGTGCTTTTGCTTTCTCCTGTTTTTCCTATGTTTTGCAATTTCAATTTTAGAGACAAATAAGTTCAAGTTGGTTAGAGAAAGCTGACTCTCAGGGGCATTGTATGTCGGAATGTTGGTATACTAGTAGTATTTGAACACGTAGCATTATGACTTTTCAAATGAAACTTCAAAACTCATTAAGAATGGGGTTTTCAGGCAGTTTAGATCTTTATCGTTTGGTGAGAAAACATTTCATTGCTTGTATAACACACGGAACACAGTTTGAGAGCCTGCTAAAGTGGGGTCAGTGAAGGATGACCCTGTAATTTTTCATTCAGACAGATAGTTTTGAGAGTGAAATAATCTCAGGACAGCAGACATAAACTGGGAGTGTCTCAGGCAAACTAGACTTATGACACTGAAATGGTGGATGCTGGAGCAGAAATACGGATCTCTGGTACATAGGAGTAGAGAAGTACTAATGTGAGTCCCCTTCCCTCTTCTACTCAGCTACTGGAGTGCACCTAAGAAGCCCTGGCCCTGCAGGGAATCTCCACAGCCATTTAGACTTAGCAGAGTAGTCACACCACTGGGTGTATTCAGCCCTTCAACAAGTGTTCATTGAGCAATTGCTATGTGCCAAGTGTTAGCTGAGGTGCTGAGAGTGCAAAGATAAATTACTTGATTCTTGAGATTCTTAAGCTTTTTCCCATTCATTCAGCAGAACTTGGCAATGAATCATTCCATACCTGTTCCATTAACAGTTGAGGGATGTAAAAATGATTATTTAAATGGTAAAAGGGAGGGCAGCCCTAAATTTGAATTTGAAATGTGATGTCTTTTACTAGGCCTTCATCTCTACCCCCTCCTCCCTGAACTTGAACTACAATTAGGACCTGTGTATAATCCCTTTGCAGCCTGTCTTACAGTTAGAGGTAACTTAGGTATAGAACACAACTGTATGTGTTGGTGTCAGGTGTACTAGTGGTGAGTTTTGTGTGGAAATAGTGTTGCAAATGGTAACTAGAGGAAATGTAAGTGATGTGGCAGGGTCCTGTGTATCTGTCTCTGTTTCTTTTAAGATTTGGGAAGAGGAATGTGGGAGTATGTTTTTGTCCATAAAAGAAACATGAAGAGACATAGGAAAAATAATAAAAAAGAAGAGTAATACATCGAAATGAAAATTTTCCAGACCACATTAGTGTGCATACATGAGCTGCACAGAGCTGCTTAAGATTAGAATACTGCCCTTCACATCACCTTGACCTTCCTGCCGCAGGCTGTCCATGCACAGTGACTACTCTTGGTAGGAGATTCTTAATGAGGTCAGGAGGAGTCCAGGATCAGCAAACGGAATCTTTGAACTCTTGAATTTAGCTGTTTTCTAAATACTTGGATTTAATTGAGGACCTATTTTAATGTTCCACATACAAAATATCAAATAACTTCAAATAACTAAGTTAATATAATAGATTTTAGACTGGCCTTGACTTTAAAATCAGTTTCATGTTAACATACCCTGCTGTCTTATTAGGACTTGTAAAAGGGAGAAGAACTTTTAAATTTTCATATGTTTTAGCTGTTATAGAATAATATGATTACTTGTAGGGGTTTCCTTTAGATGATAATAAATAGTTATGTATGATTTCTTTTTCTTTTTAACTGTTTTTCAAGTAGAATAAATAATTATATAAGTGAAAACATCGAGTGTACCTGAATAACAGAAAATTCAAGTGCATTTTAGTTGCCTCATTGCTGAATTCAAACTGCAGGACTTAGGAATTAATCGCTTATGAAAACAAAAGGAGCTTGAACTCATATTGAACTTTTGGCAGGTTTAGACATGACTGTTTTAGAGATTCATGAACATTTAAACAATGATTTTGTTTTAATTTGAAGTGAAAAGCTAACTAAGACAAAGAGATATATTCAAGGCTCATGTGAAGTTGAAGAGCAAACTGTTTTCCTACCTCACTTTTTAAGCATACAATTTTAGAAACTATTAATTAGCAGCACTATTAATTAAATGTTTGAAAATATTATTTTTCCTGGTTTAATGTGACAGAAAACCCCACAAAAACTCAAGTTAACTTTGTGAATAAAAAAATGCAGGACTTAAAGAGAGATCTACTTCAGAGCCAGCAGTCCCGCCAGAAGAGGCTGAGCCACACACTGAGCCCGAGGAGCAGGTTCCTGTGGAGGCAGGTAAGCTTGTCCTCATCCTCGAGTCTCGCCCAGGTGTGCCAGAGCCTGACAGGTATCCGCATTTACAGAATCACGTTTTACCTGGAATTTGTTTCACATCATTTACAGAATAATTAACTACTTTTTTTCTCTTCTGAAATTATGTAGTATTTTTCTAGTAGAAATTGGAACAGGATAATTTTAATTTTTAAGATCAGCTCTAAGGCAGACAGTTGTTCTTTGTCCAAAACCACACATTTAGGAACGTCATGAACTGAATGTTGTTTCTTGATTCCAATTCCAGCACTACTGTACTATATTACCTTGAAAGTAAAAATACACACAATTCTACACTACTAGTGTTATCATTTGTCACGTGATTTAATAGAGTAGATCTAGTGGTTTCTCAGTCTTTTTTACATGAGGGTCTCGTTTATTTTAAAAGACTTCCCAAACCTCCCTGTGGGCATCTATGGAGCCTGTTTTGTGTCCACATGGGTTCATAAATCAAGCATCTCTGTAGTTACCCCAAAGCCTATGACTATAGGTAGGAAAGTCGTGAAATATTTTAATAAGTTAGTAAATCTAATACAGTCTCTAAATCTCTGGTTTTCTTATGCCACCTATTGAAAGTTTAAGGAATGACACTACATATTTACTGAAAACTTAAGTACTGAATCCAAATGGTACTTTGGCTGATTTTTTCACTGTGTGCTGAGGAATAATATTTGATTTTTTTTCCTTTAAGGCCAATATGTTGCTCTGAGTTTTGTTATTTGTTGAATTTTTAATCCTAGGACAATGTATTCTCTCTCATTCCTGTAGAATTGCTATGATCATACCATAGCTCCAGAATAGATAGTAACTTTTAAAAAGTTTTATAATTTAATGTGTGTTTGGATTTAGCACCTCAAATTTTACTTTGTACTAAAATAAAACCCCTCTTGACCCCCACATTTCTTTTTTCTGCCATCTAATCCCTCTCCCCTCTACAACAGCCACGATTTTGAAAGAAGAATCCACTATTACTTTTTTACCTTATTTTTCATTCATTTTTTTTAACCCATTACACTCCAGCTTCTGCATCTTCCAATCCCCTCCAGAGGAGAGAAGGAGTATTTGCAAAATTATGGAAAGTTGAAATGGCATGGAGTCCTCACTAAGTTCAAAGCCAGTGCTGGTAGCAGATGATTCTGGAGAAGTGTGTGAGGACTCAGTTGTGGAGGTATTATATTCTGCTCCTAGGAACTGAGACTTTCACCAGTTTGGGCAAAGATAGCCATTAAAGAGTGAGCAGAGTGCACCACCCTCCACTTCTAGTAACTCAGATTATATTCTCTTTGGATGGTGATTTCAGCAGTTATGAACCTGGGAATCCAGTTAGGAAGCTATCTTAGGCTTTGTGAGAGAGGATGGCGATTGGCAGACTCTATAATAGCACAAGACTACATATATAAATGGCTTGTGAAATATAAACATTTATTAAAAATAGGCATTTTTATGCTTTGGAAATGATTTTGTAGTGTGATTAGCATAGTAGATATTACATTTAAACTCTTTTCCTTCCTGAAGTCTAAATTAACTTTCTATTTTTTGTCATGGAAGATTAGCTCTTTGACAACAACCGATGTCACTGGCATTATCTCACATGACAGCATTTATGATACCAAGTGTAGTGCTACTTCTATTCACTGAACATAGATTATATTTATTAGAGAACTTAGTATCAATGTAGTTATAGCTTCTTGTTCATTGTGTGATGTTGCAGTTAAGTCTAATAATCTGATAAGCACCACAGTGTTTTTGGAATGTCATCATTTATGTTCACTTTTGTAATTCAATTTATTTGAATTTATGGATCTCAGTGTCAGATGTGGTTCTCCAAAGCTGAAAGGATTGTCAGTTACAATGTAAGGTTTTCTACTGACACTTCCTGACAAACCTGAGTGAGAGCAGTCGGCTACCTCTGAGTATTCAGTCCTCTCACCTGCAGGAGTGCCCTTTCTCCTCTCAGGGAAGATAGGTAATGGTTGACCAGATACTTCAATCTGTATTGACCTTGTCTTCCACATTTCTGTCTTTATTTCCAACTATTTCCCTTTATGAAAGCTTTGTTCTTCCCACTTTATTTTATCATTATTGCGAATTTTATTAATTAGAAACAAGTCATTTTGCTTTTAATAAGGCTCTTTTTTAAATACAAATCTGAGCCTGAGTTTTCTTTAAAAATCTTATTGAAAGTATTTTAATGCTTAAGTCTGTTGACAGAATAAAACAAATTTTACATATCTACCATGTTTGCCAACACAGAACAAAAAAATGTAAGCTGATAGAGAAGGCATGCAGAGTTGCTTAGTCAAATATATTCATTTTAATGTGTATGTACCAATGTCATATTTGAGTGTTAGGGGTCCATGTTGATGTTTGAGCTTTTCTACTTAGCTATGTTTTGCAATTATTTTAGAACCCCAGAATATCGAAGATGAAGCAAAAGAACAAATTCAGTCCCTTCTCCATGAAATGGTACACGCAGAACATGGTATGAATTAAAATCTGCTCTTTGTTTTGAGTTACTAAAATAACGCTTAGTTATGTAAAATGACTTGGACATTTGTTTTAAAATTTAAAGGTTAATTGGGTGTTTGTGTTTTTTAAAAAGTTTTTGAATTCAAAGTTAGATAGCAGGTGTTGTTTTTGAAATAGCACTAAACTTACTTTATTCTACTTCACCGTGGAGGAACTCACTGCATACATCTAAGAGAGAACTGGTGGGAATAAATGAGAATGAACAGATTGAAAACAGTGATCCATCAGGAACAGAAGGGGAGGATGGAGAGGAGGAAAGTGGGACACAGGCCCACGGTCGGGTTCATCCAGGTGTTGTGCTCCACCTCGATTTTGCTTCATGGTTGGCTGGTCACCACAACAAAAATGATGACACTTTTAATTACATAGGTTGCACTAAGCAGACAGGAAAAAAAACGTGAGAATGCAAAACATTTTCCCAGTACTTAAATTTAAAAATTTTTCATGGGGAGCTCTGTGTAGAGGATACTAAGTAATAACCCAGGAACTAACGTTTTAAGGTTTTATAAGGCTGCTTCTTGAAGCATCCCTTGATAAAAACAGAGATCGTGATCCCAAAACGTATCTCATGAAGGGATTGTGGAGTGGGCAGGATGTTCTGGAATCCTGATTCTCCTGATGCTTTGGTGTGATCCAAGGGTGGCCTAAAGGAAAATAAAATTACGTTTCTTAAAAACAAACAATGCCCTGTAGTTTAAACTGTTTTTTGCCAGTGGATGCTAGGGGTGTAGGAGCCTGTATGCCTTTATTTCTAGCTTCTTTGCAGCTCGGAAAGCCACTCATGGGCCTATATGAGCAAGTGCAGGCTTCCCCTTCCTCAAGCCTTCCTTCCCCACGGCACCCCAACTTTAACTTAACAGAAGGAAAATCCAATCTAAATAAATAAGTGATTTAAATATAATGGGGTAAGTGCTGTCATGGTAATAAAATATGGGAAGCTCTTCAGGTCTTACTCAGAAGGGGGGTCAGAAGAGGCTGGTGTAGACCTTCACCAGGCCAGTGCTGGTGGTGAGTGTTTTAAGCAGAAGGCATATCCCAGAGACAGGAAAGGACCTGAAAGTAGTTCAGAATGGCTGGCACGTGGAATATGTAGGTGGAGAGTCATGAGAAAAAGGATATTTTTTACTTGATTCTAAGAGTAACTGAAGCCATTGGGGAAGGTATTTAGGAGTGTTGTGCCTTCTGTCTGTAGCATGAAAAATGCATGGGGGGATGCAAGAGTGCAGCTGGGAGATTAGATGGAGGTTGTGCAGGTAACAGTGATTCAGGATGGTAGCAAACTTGCCTCAGCCAAAGGAGGGGATGGAGAGAAATAGAAAGAACCCTAAGATGTTTAGGTGGTGGGGGGTGGGCAGGCAGCCAAAAGAGGGAAGTAGTCAAGTCTAGCACCGTGTTCTGGCCACAGCCTCCTTCTTGGACTTGTTCTTTTCTTTAATCACATTTAGAAAATCACATTTATGGCCCATGGTTATAAATATTCTTTGTATGTTGATAACTTTTAAATATATAGCTGCAGCCCTCATTGCTCATCTAAACTCCAGGTTTACCTAACTGCATACTTGGCATCTCCATTTGGATGTCTTATGGGTGTTTCAGACTTAAAGAACTCATGATTCTTCCCACACCCCATAGCTCCTCCTCACCCCAGTTCTCCCCAGATTGCTTATGCTAGTCTTTTATATTTTAGTTAATGGTCCTCCTACCCTCTTACTTGCTTAACTTGAAAACTCGAGAGTTTTCTTTGATTTTTCTTCTCCCCTCACATCTAATCCATCAGCAAATCCTGTCAGCATTGCCCCAGCACTGATTTTGGCTCTCTAGGGCCTCGGTGTGACCGTGGCTTCTTGCCATGACTGTTGCAGTAGCACAGTAGCATCCAGCTGGGTCTCCCTGTTTCCATACTTGCTCCTCTATAACCTGTGCTTAATGTGGCCCAGCCAGTTGTGCCTTGTCTGATCCCAGCCTCTTTTTCCCCTTCAGTGACTTTTCTCTAGCCCAGCTGACCTCTCTTTTCCTTGTAATTGCCAAGCCTATCACTGCTTTAGCACCCCTGCACCTGGTATATCTTTTGCTGAGATGTGTTTCCCACCCCGCCCAATCACATCTTTCAGACTGAGCATAACCTCCCTGCCCCCATCATGGTGCATTCACAACTGGATTCAGGTCCTGTATCTGCCATTGATTAGCCATGTGGCTTTAGCACAGTTTTTCAAGTTCTTCATCTTTCAAAGTAGGATACCAGTACCTGCTTCACAGGGAGGATATAACAGCTGCAGAGGGCTTGGCCATGCCTAGAGTCTCATGACCCCTTAGGAAATTTTTCATGATGAGACTCAAAGATAGTGTTCAATGTTAGACTGGTTTCGCTACAGAAAACAGGAATACTTCCACTGAACAACCGCATACGAAAGCTAAATCCTGCTAGTGTAAAAATCATCAGATTTCACTGGATAGAATGAAAGAAGAATAAGGAAAGAGGAATATGATAAAAATAAAAAGAGAAGTAAAATTTGTAGCAGAAATTCAAATTGGTGATTTGCTGAATAGCAGAAAATCTAAAATGAGGAAAAACAGTATTGCAAGCTATGAGGAGAAGATAGAAAACAAATAGCATCAACATAAATAGGCCTGCCTGATTCTCTAACACCTGAGAGCATTGCCTTGCCACGCTAAAGGGAGAGTAACTAAGGAAGGCTTCTTGCAGTCTGGGCTGGGGTTGTGGGGTAGGGGGATTCAGTAGCAGTACAAATGACAATGTTGTTATTACTGTAATAATGGTGATAATGACACCTAAATACTTAGGGCCAGGCATTTTTCTAAGTGTTTTAATCTTCATAACAATGTTACAAATAGATATTATTCCCATTTTATGGGAGGGAAATCTGTGGCACAGGGTAGTTAAGTAATTTGCCCACAGTCACCCAGCTGGTATGGAAGAGCCTGAATCTACAGCCATGCATCCGGACCCCATACTCGTCCTAATCCCTGAGCTGCACTGCAAAGCCAAGTCCTGCCCATTCACTTTCTTTAGAGTATTATACACAGGAGATACTCTGCTGGAAGCCAGGTCAAGTTACATTGGGATGCAATACCCAGTCTTAACCATGTTGCAGTGGAATCATGCAACATGTCCAACCTCTACACAAAAGAAGCAGAGCAGTTCAATATATCATAGAAGTTAATCACAGAAGAGAAAGTGGGCATCTTTGCATAACTTGAAGCCTAATAGGAACATTTGAATGCATAGTATGATTCAGGTAAACCTGTGACCTAGCATATAATTTATTTTTATTTATTTTTAATTTAATTTAATTTATTTATTTATTTATTTTGAGACAGAGTCTCACTGTGTCACCCAGGCTGGAGTGCAGTGGCACCATCTTGGCTAACTGCAACTTCTGCCCCCCAGGTTCAAGCGATTCTCCTGCCTCAGCCTCCCAAGTAGCTGGGACTACAGGCACGTGCCACCATGCATGACTAATTTTTGTATTTTTAGTAGAGATGGGGTTTTACCATGTTGGCCAGGCTGGTCTTGAACTCCTGACCTCAAGTGATCTGCCTGCCTCAGCCTCCCAAAGTGCTGGGATTATAGGCGTGAGCTGCCATGCCTGGCCCTAGCATATAATTTAGATAGGTGGCTAGTCACTCTTTGCTATAGAATATTTGAATAGTCATTTAAAGTTGTTACCTGGAATTCTATGTCAATTCCCAGGAAAAGGCCATAGAGTAGCCTTTTCTTTGACCTGAGGATAATTGAAGAGGCAAATATATTAGTAATAATTATGAATTCATTTATTCATTCATCAAATATTTATTGAGTGCTTCCTTTAGCTAGACATGGCCCTAGGTGACTGGGAATATATAATGGATAAAATATATAAGCTTCCTGTCCTGATGTGTAACATCCTAATGAGAGGAAACCTGTCCCCCACCACATATACTTAGGCAGATTAGCACTTGGCCAGAGGAAGAAAATAGCTGTGGAGTGGACAATGGTGTCTTCAGCGGCCGAAAGGAGGGGCAGGGGAAGCCCCAGCAGCAGGAGCAGGTGTGTGGCAGCCCTTCACAAGGGGCTTTCATGTCTCAGTTGTATGTTGCCAGTGTCACTTTGTTCATTGTCATAGTTGAGGGAGAAGACTTGCAACAAGAAGATGGACCCACAGGAGAACCACAACAAGAGGATGATGAGTTTCTTATGGCGACTGATGTAGATGATAGATTTGAGACCCTGGAACCTGAAGTATCTCATGAAGGTAGAACACTTTTTTTTCAAGTTTTAGGATAAAATATAATCAATGACTTCTAATTACTGAAGTTTTTCTTAAACCCCTTTAAAACTGATATTTAACTTTTGCTTAGATTTTTAAAAGTTGAAGCTTAAAGCTTCAATTAAAGCAAATTTTTTCTTAAAATAGATACCTTGATTTTGGTTCAAAGCACTTTTCAGGGAAACTCAGAATATACAAATTTCTTATAAATAGTGAGTCAAATACTTGAGGAAACTAGTTTTACTATATTCTTCTGCTTAGGGTGCTATTTGTTAAATAAAATTCAAACAACTGATGAAATATTGGACTTGATAATCTATCACAGGCTCATGTTCACACATGAACTCTGTAATTACAGTGAGCAAAACACAATTCTTAGCTTCTGTACCAGGCATTGGCAAACTTTTTTTTGTAAATAGCCAGAGAGTAAATATTTCAGGTTTTCTGGATCGTACAGACTCTGTTCAGCTACTCAACTCTGCCATCACAGCGTAAAAGCAGCCTTTGATAGTTCCTAAGTGGGTCAGTGTAGCTGTGTTTTTATACAACTTATTTGTAAAATCCTACCCAACATGGCTGGTAAGTGCAGCGGCTTGAACACAGCTCACTCCAGCCTTGACCTCCCATGCTCAAGCAGTCCTCTCACCTCAGCCTCTCAAGTAGCTGGAACCACAGGCATATGCTACCATGCCCTGCCAATTTTTAAATTTTTTATAGTGGCAAGGTCTCCTTATGTTGCCCAAGCTGGTCTCAAACTCCTGGCCTCAAGCAATTCTCCTGCCTCAGCTTTCCAAAGTGTTGGGATTGCAGGCATGAGCCATTGTGTGTCCAGTTAGCAAACACTTTTTAAAAGCATAAAAATGAAAAGTAGTTTATCTACTTTGCACAATACTAAATATTTTGGAAAATTACTTTAGCAGCAGGTAGCTCCTACTTTATGAGTACATGTATTTCCAAAAACTTATATCCATGCCTATTGTTTAGAACAGGAAATGCACTTTCCCATAAAAATATGGGATGGTTTGGTTTTCAAAAGAATTGTATATAATGCATAATTTTCTGTGAAAAATACAAGCACACAATCCTTTTGAACATCTATATGATTTATTTTTGCTGCATTACACATTGAAAATAAGCACTTATAGACTACCTTCAGAACTTTATGCCTTTAGTAATCATTTATGTCATGATTTCTTTGGGACAAGGTTTCCAGTTTCTGAGTAGGGATACTGATAAAATGATTTCCACATTTCCTGTTGCTTCTTCTCTCCAGTCTTTGGCCTAAATGGCTCAGTAAGATTGACAGTTGCTCAGAATTTTTCTATCTACATGCTGCTTATACAACAAATTTCAGTTAAGATGCTGAAATAAACAGAAGCATGAGGAATTTGATATTCTTAAAGTTAGGAGTCACAGATTGGGAGTAGGAAGAAACACTTTTAAGAAGTTCACAAATTGCAGAAACCTTACTTTCTGATCTCATCTTTAATTAGGACATAGATGCAGTTTGAACTTAAAAGTTGGTTGTTAAAAGTCTTCAGAAAATAAAAATATTTATTCTTTATATATGCATTAAATAAAATTAGCAAGGTCATAAGTGTGGTGACGGACAGATAGCTCTTCTGCTATCTGGGGTGTATGGGTTAAGTGTTCAACACATTTACCCTTCAGCTCCCTAAGGGTATAAAGCCTCTTCAGCTGTTTTTCTCTGTTCCCATCCATAGTTGCTGTACTTTCGCTCTAGAAAATGGTAGGACAGGTCGAGGAGATAGCACATTCTAGTGGGTTGTGAAGTGGATTAGAAATGAACGGCTTTCCTGGTCTGGCCTGTGTCACTCTAAGTTGTCCTCTCTCTTTAGTCCAGGGGGTGGTGGTTGTCAGCCTTGTGGGGATGAGTGGACTGAGAAGGAGAATGTGTGAGACATCCCACAGTGTACTTCTAGTGAAATATAAAAGTGTTAAGCAGACTTTTAATTGATAGTCCCATTTTTTAATTTTTTAAATAAAATTAATGATAAGCATAGATTCAGAGTACATATACGGGATATATACATACCATTTTGTAAAAGCAGTAAATATCAATCTAATTTTTTTTTTTCCAGAAACCGAGCATAGTTACCACGTGGAAGAGACAGGTGAGATTTTAATTTAATTCTGTTCTTAATTAGAGTGAGTCTTCCTTTAAAAGGGCATCATAAAATACATAATATCTATTATTAATGATATATTTAAATTAATATATGCAAGATATGCAATTAATAATTTTATTACGTCTTATATTTATGGTATTTCTTTGTGAATATACTTTTTTGTGTTTTGATGCCTAGTTCCTGAGGATAAATTTTCAGTAGGATTACTAGTTCAAAAGATACAATTGAATTGCATGTTTTGTACCTTTCAATTACAGAGTCAACGAAAGGTCTAAATCATGTTTTGTCACATGCCAGCGCCCTTAAAGGGCATGGCCACAGGAGGTGGGCGCATCATCTGTCAGCACTTTACTGTTTTGCGGTTTGAGTGTAAACCAGTTGATGACAGGCCCCCCTTACTCATCTTTGCATTTGGCATTTAACACACTTAATACCTATTTGTTTCAGGAGTGAACATGTTTGAATATCATTATGACTTGATTTTGCATTTCAATCATAACTAGAAATTGTGTCTTTCTGGTTTCGAATATTACATGTATTCCTTATTTGAGACGTAATTTCCTAATTATTCCATAATTTATAGTTTCACAAGACTGTAATCAGGATATGGAAGAGATGATGTCTGAGCAGGAAAATCCAGGTTTGTAAATGTTAAAATTATTGATATGTGTTTTCTGATTGAGGCAGTGGCCAAGGCCGTTTTATTCCAGGGTTAACAATTGTGATTCAACACAGAGATCCCTGTATGGTATTTATAATCACTTTTGATTGGTCAGATGTTTATAGAAATGTCTGAATATAGTTTAATACTACATAGAGGGATGAGAGAAAAAGGAGACGTATTTTTCAAACCACTGTTGAGACTTTGGTCTTTGTAGGTAAGGTGCTGGAAAGAATATTTGAAAATTGAAGGGGCAGTATGATGTACTATAAAGTCATTCTGGGTACAAATCCCATTTCTACTCTTTCCTATCTTTTTGACTTAGGCATCAAATTGTGGAACGTTATTCAGCTTAAATTTTATTAAATGATAATGAAAACATCTATCTGGCAAAGTTGTGAAGATAATTAATTTATGAATCTCCTAGAATGCTGTCTGGCAATGTGTTTGGTTTTTTCCTGTTTGGCAAAGGTGTGTTTTTGTTTTTTAGATTCCAGTGAACCAGTAGTAGAAGATGAAAGATTGCACCATGATACAGGTATTAGATGAGCATTTTCATTAGATTTAAAATATTACCTTAGATTTTTCAATCACATGCTGTGTTTACATGGTGATTTTTCTTTTAAAGGCATCAAAGAAGTAATTTCGACATCTAATGCATGAGATTTTGTTTTATAACAAAGTTAGACTGTTATAAGAATATCAGGCTTTCATATTTCACCTCATCAACTAACCATTCCATAACAAAACAGGATGTCAAATTTTAATGCTGTTTTTGTGTATCAAATTCCTCTGTGCCAATTTGAGAAATTTTAATGAAAATAATTTACCTGCCTTTTAATTGCTTTTGGGCAGAGGCATTTATTATTGACTGAGCAGACATTAATATTTGAAGGAGTAGAGTTCTGTGTTTACGATTAAGTAGTATTTTGTTTTAACTGAACAATTGTATAGAATGACTCAGTTAATACTTATTTTGCTTTTATTCTCTTTTTTTTTTCAGATGATGTAACATACCAAGTCTATGAGGAACAAGGTTTGCAAATGCTTTCTTTTTTTTTTTTTTCTTTTTTTTTTTGAGATGGAGTTTCGCTCTTGTTGCCCAGGCTGCAGTGCAGTGGCACAATCTTGGCCCACTACAACCTCCGCCTCCTGGGTACAAGCGATTCTCTTGCCTCAGCCTCCTGAGTAGCTGGGATTACAGGCATGTGCCACCACGCTTAGCTAATTTTGTATTTTTAGTATTTTAGGGTTTATCTCAAACTCCCGATCTCAGGTGATCCTCCCGCCTTGGCCTCCCAAAGTGCTAGGACTACAGGCATGAGCCACTGCGCCCGGCCTGCAAATGCTTTCTAACCTTAAGCCACCTTCTTGTTTTAAAATATACCTATAGTTTGACTACAAGATGTGGAACATTATGCTTTAAACTATAAACTTTGCAACTTAAAACATCCAGATGAACGGTAGCGTTCAAAGAATTCACTTGGGGAGACTGTTTACCCATTCCACGGCTTCTGCCATTGCCTAAATAATTTCTTAAACTCTTTACAAGTTGCCTTAGGAGGCAGTTACAGTCATTCAAGAAAACCAATCTCAGTACTTTATAGTTGTGTCTCTTTTGACTAAAATATGCATGAACAACTACTTTAGCCGGAGTTAAATTGCTCTAGCTGCTTCTACAGGTTAATCCCACTCTCAAAGATGACTGATTTGTCACCTTGGGGAAGGTTAAGAAGCACTGTGTTCCAGGCTTAAAGGCAGTATGGAGAAAACAGTTCTGGCAAATTTGTGGCATCAGCAGCATCTGATTCAGTTTAGGCCTGTACCTCCCTCCTCTTGTGTCCAAGCATTGCATAGACTATTGTGTTGAACTCCATGAAGTAGATTTTATTTTCCCTGCTTCCCAGAGGACAGAAATAAGGTTCTGACATTATAAATAAGCTGCCCAAGAATGTATGGCTAAGAAGTAATAGAACCAATAATATATCCTTTTTATTCCATTATCCTCAAAGATGATTATGTAGAAAGAGAGAAGTCAGTTGGGTATAACTTTATGTGTAAAGCAAGAACGATGAAGAAATACATCGTAATTGAGTTGGTGGATATGGAGGACTTTCTATGTTCTAGATGGTTTTAGGGCCTGGAATTCAATTATGAGTAACATAGGGTCCCTCCTTTCAAGGAGTTTACAGTGTCATGATAGATAGTGAATCACAATTGAAGAAAATTAGGAGTGTTTATAAATATGAATCATATTTATATGATGATTTAAGATTTGAGACCCTACCAAGTTCATCATCTATAGTGGCTATTTCTAATGGGATATGAATGACACCATGGGAAAAATCCTAGGTTGTGTCTTTAAGGTACTGATAATTTTTATGAAAAGTTAAAGAATTTGGACCTGATGTGTTCACAGGAAGATTTGGGGCCGAGGGAAGGTTGGGGAATAATTTGGTCTTGAGATTGCACTTAGATTTTCTTTCCAATCTTGAATTTGAAGGAGAAAATAGGAATTTATAAATACAAGTTGCATGTAATGATGGGATTTGAGATATTTTCCTCATTTCTACTGATCATTATAATGTTTTTAAAAATATAAAGAACATGTTTGGAATGCAATTTGAAGACTAAATCTAGAGGAATTTAAATTCAAACTCATAAGAAGTATAAAATTAGATACCATGCGAAAAGAATGTTATATGTTTTCATAGGGCAGAGTATCATAATAAATGTAATTTAAAATGTTAGCAAAAGGCAGTAAATATAACCTAAGAGATTGACATGATTTGGTAAGCTACTTTGGATTTCTTTGTTATATAGAACATAAACTGTTTCAAACAAATAGATCTAATTGAACAGTGTATTATTCACTATATGCTAAAACAATACCTTTGTGAAAATTCAGGAATCAGAGCAGAGAAACCAAGTAACTGACATGTAAGTGAAGCTGTAAGTAGGGTGAAAACAAAACCACATTTCAATGGGAGAATAGAATATATTCTGTATGAAACTTGCAAACCCCAGAACATACACTTCGATAGAACTATAGTAGGAACCAGCTTCTACATCAAAGATAACCTAGAAATCATCATGCCTACATTGGACAAACCTGGGAAGTGACAGTATGGCCTTACCATGTAATTGACTTATTTATTCATACACTGTTTAGTGTCTTCGGTCTGAAACACAGGACACTGGAGCAGTTCTAGTGAAGAACACCCATGGTTCCTGTTCTCATGGATCTTATATTTTAGTAGGGTAGTAGAAATTAAACAAGCAATTTCACTGTAGTTTTCATTTCCAGTTGTGATAAGTGCTAGGAAGAACAAGTACAGTGGTAACAAGAATATGTAATCAAGAGACCTTACCTAGTTTGTGGATGAGGCAGGGCCTTCCTGAAGTTTGAGCTGAAGGTGAGAACAATTGACAAGGCAAGGAGAAAGGTGACTGGAGAGTCGTATGAGGTCTCTGACGTGAACTTGCAAGAGTAAGGCTGAGGTGGTGAAATGGGCTGGGTTCAGAGGATGCCTGTGAGCAAGATCAAGGACGTTCATCTTCACCTTTGAGCACTGCCAAGTCAGATCTGCATTTTGAAAAGATTGATCGGTCTGGCATGCAACAAACAGACTGGAGAGACAAGAGTCAATACAGGGAGAACAGTTAAGTTAGCTGTAATCATCCAAATTGGGTCTTTCCGTGCATCACATCTCTCTCTGTCTGAAGGAACCAAAGGAGATGAGTTTCAAGAAAGGGATGTTCAGTGGTGCCCTGCGCTACTGAGAACCATGTGAGATGAGTGCTGAAAACCTGCCCTGATCTGGCGCTGCAGTGGCCTCAACGGGTGACTTTAGCTGGAACTGTTTCAGTGGACGGATAGGACAGATATGATAGTTTAAACCAAGGGTGGTGGCAATGATGGAGGAGGGAAGTGGGCAAAGTTGAGAAATGCTTAGAAGGTAAAATTGGCAGGTCTTCATGCATGGGTGTAGCTGGGGGGAGACAACAAGGTGCCAAGAGCCACATACACTCTTCTGCTTCTGCAGCCTGGTGACAGGGGGTGCTCTTTTCCTAACGTGGGAGAGACTGGAGTCAAGCACGGGGCAGGGGCTCATGAGTCCAGTTCTTTACATGATGATAGTGAGATTTCTTTGAGGCATCTGAGAGGAGAGATCAAATGAGCCATTTGGTGGTGTTTGACTCTCAGAAGAGAAGTCTACTTCGTGATTGTGAGTGTGGGAACCATCAGAGTAGTTACGTGGTCATCAGGACCAAGCTCTGAGATCCCTTAAGGAGAGCAGATTGAGGGAGACATGAGGTGGTTCTATGGCTGGACTTTGAAGAAAGCCAGCATTTAAGGACGGCTAAGAAAAAGATGAAGTGAAAAAGAAGATTGAGTGGGAGAAACGAAAAACCAAAGGGGAGAGTATGGTCACCCTGAAGTCCAGGGGCAACAGTGTTTGGAGAAGAATGGTGTTGCTAAAAATATAGCGAGGGCTGGCGAGTGTCCATCATATCAAATGAGGCACTGGAGGGGGTCTCAGCAGGAGCCTTTTCAGGGATGGGGTCAGGGTCTGAAGACAGGCGGGAGTGAGTTGAGGGGAGAGGAAGAGATGAGCCATGAGATGTAAATGACTGAAGAAATTAGATTGTTCAATGGAAGAAAGAGAGGGTGACGAGAAGCAAGCTTAAGAAAGAGTGGTATTGCATTTTTAAGTTCTTAGAAGCTTGAGCATGTTTAAATGCTGACACTGCTCAGGGCAACAGAGTGAGCACACATTCACTGCTCCTTCATCTTTCAAATGCCCCAAAAGGACAAAACGACCTATTAAACATTGTTCCCTGCTGTACCCCAATACTGAGAGTGTCTGAAAGATAGTAGGTGCTCAATAATTTTTCTTTATTAAATGAATAAGAAAGAATAAACTTACAACCATGCTGGGAAAAAGAAGGATGTTTTCTTGTAGTGTGCCAGAAAATTGGAGGTATTTTGGAAGATCAGGTTGACTGAGGAAGCTTTGAGCCACTGGGCCCTGGAGAGGCCTGTGTGGAGATGAGACTTCCTTGCAGCAGAGCAGAGAAGAAGCACTGAGCCTCATGCCAGCAAATGAGGGAGGCAAGGGCAGCACGCCCTAATTAGGGTGGGGAACGCTTCATTCTCAGGGGCTGGCGGCAGAGGTGTTTGGCCCCAGGTTAGAGGTCTGAGAATTGTTTCCTAAACAAAGCAGGGAATCTGCCCATGAACACCAGGATCCAGTTGATTCCCAGGGTACAGCTTCGGCTAATTCAAAACCTCCACCACAGACATGAAGAAAATTTTAAAAAGGTAGTAAAATTTTAAAAAGGTAGTAAAAAGTGGCTGCCCTGGAATTAGAATCCAGGCCTGTTTTACCCTAGACCAAACTCTTCTCCACCCTACTCTCTAGTCGGCTGTTTCCCAGTGACTGAACCTTGCAGGTTCAAAGATGCATAAGGCATTGTCTCTGCCCTTAAAGCATGTTGTCAGTTTTTGTGTTACAATGAAAGTTACGGGATTTTGTTTCTGTTTTTTTTTTTTTAGCAGTATATGAACCTCTAGAAAATGAAGGGATAGAAATCACAGGTAAGTTTTTTCTGTAAGCACATATTTTCTGCAAGTCAGCTTTCCCTGTATTTTGTTAAAACTCCTACCTGTGGAACAAAGAGTCAGTGTAGAAAAAATGCAAGACATTTTCAAGTCAGTAAGAAAATAATTGAGTATCAAAATTAAAGTTAATATTCTAATATAAATACTCTGCAGAAGACCCAGTTTAAAAAGAGTCAAATTTAGCAATCTGAGTGGACACGAGTTAATTTAGGAATCTGAATGAAGGCGAGTGAATGTAAGATGTGTCACTGGTCAGCAACATGTAATGGATTCTGATTTTATTCTTTATTTTAGAAGTAACTGCTCCCCCTGAGGATAATCCTGTAGAAGATTCACAGGTAATTGTAGAAGGTAAGATAAATTTATGGAAGTGGTTTTACC
Organism: Homo sapiens; assembly: GCF_000001405.40. Classification (NCBI taxonomy): domain Eukaryota; kingdom Metazoa; phylum Chordata; class Mammalia; order Primates; family Hominidae; genus Homo; species Homo sapiens. The sequence continues at coordinate 61,637,916 of NC_000008.11, read as the reverse complement.
TTCCATATGAGAATTGTGTTTGTTTATTCAGTTATTTATCGAACATTTCCTACTTGCTGTCTATACAGTGCATAGGAGCTAGGAGTACAAGAGGGAAGAAAACACAGAGTCCTCTTTTCATTGGGGCTGGCATTCCAGTGGCCAAACAGATAATAAATAACGGAATTAAGGATTATGAGAAGTACAATGATAGTGATAAAAACAGGCTACTGTAACAGCAAACAATTGATGAGGGTGTGGAGGGCTACCCTGAGTAGCAGCAGGTTACCACCCCTGAGGGGTGATCTGGTGAGAAGGGCATAGCTATGGGCAGAGACGGGTTGAAAGATGGGTCTTTATGTCATGACTCACCTGGGAAAACAAAACAAATTTTTTTTTTTTTGGTGGTGGAGAACTGAAGGGATGGTTTCTGAAAAACAAAAATAATTGCATGTATTAAACAGTGGCGCTTCAATAGAACTTAGATTTAAATACAGTTCTTAGTTAGCATTTTACAGTTATTTCACATATATTATTTCAGTTGCTCCTCGTAGTAGGCACTGAGAAACAGGGAGCGTGGAGATCTTTGTACTTATTTTGCAAATGAAGACCTGAAGCTGGAGTGAGGTCAGGTGACTGGCTAGCCCTAGGTTTCATAGCTGTAAGTGACCAAGGGGATATTCGACCCAAGACTGGGACCTGTGGGTGACTCTGCGTGGGGGTGTGAAGGTGTGAGGGAATGGGGTCTCTGCTTTAACAACCATAAGTTGCCAGGGGGAGCATGTAAGAGGGAGAATTTTGCTCTTACAATTACTCTTAAAATTTAGGAGCAGCTAATTGTCACCTTTCAGATTAAATGTTACTGCTTTTGAGCTTGGTTAGGCAGAAAGGAAAATGGAATGGTGCAGTTGACTGAAATGGGGGGAGATAGGTATAAGGGAATCGGGGAGGCTAAAATTGCTGTCTGTGTCCGCTTAGCTGCTGCGAGAGACCCCTGTACAGGCACTCTGGGCCCTTGTGTAAAGGCAGGATCCATCTCTGTGTGGCAAGGCTGAATTGAGTTGAGATTTTTTCCCACCTTGTGTTACTCAGTTCTCTATGAGGGATATTAATGTTCTGAAGAATATTACTGAGTCTATATGTTTATTTGGTGAGAATCAGAAGATGGAAACCCATAATCTCTGGGCAGAACTTTCTCCAACCTACCCTACATACGGTTTATAGAAAAGAACTATGCAATTTGACCCTACCTTTCTTGGTTTAGAAATAGTTTTTTCCTAAGACTTTTCAGTATTTTGATATGTTGACAGAGGACATAGCAGAGGCTGCTAAGGGAGTTTCCTGTCCTGGGCAGTGAGGCACCTGGCTATGCACCTGCCACCCATCCTGCAGCTTCTGTGCTGGGCTCCTGTAGTGCCTGAGTGGACAGTGAGGGGAGCTTATCTCTCACAGCAACCAACCTTGTTTTCCCTGTCTCCTCTTCTCTTGGCCGGTTGTATCAATATATACTTGGATTCCCAGACCAGAAACATGGAACTCGTTTTTGAGTCCTCTCTCCCTCTGTCTCTATAGCTAATCCCAAGACCTGTTAATAGACTCCCTAAACATTTCTTAAATCCATTTTTTTCTCCATAGCTCTTGTATAGCCCCTTGTCTGGCTCAGCCCTTTCTCATCTTCCTAGATAATAGCAGTAGTCTGCTAGCTAGACATCTTGATTCTGTTCTTGTCCCCTCCAAACCCATCTTTCACATACTGTTAGGATGATCTGTCCAAAAGTATAGCTCTCATTGTATCAGCCCTGTGTTTAAACCCTTCTGTTATTCTCCATCTGTGTCAGTAAAGTTACTTTCAGTTGCAGATAATAGAAAACGAAACTCAAACTGGCTTAAGCAATAAAGAGATAGGTACAGATCAGTCAGGGCCTTGCAAGGCCTACTAAGGCTTTTTGGATTATATTCTAGGCACAGTGTGAATTATGAAAATTCTTAAGATATAGCATAATCTGATTTTTGTTTTAGATGTGAAAGTGAATTACTTTCACTAGATTGAATGGAGCAAGAACGGAAGCAGAGCGAAACACCCTGTTAGGAAAATATTGTGTACTAATCCAAGGAAGTGATTGTGGTAGCCTGAAATAAGATCATGGCAGTGGGAATGGAGGGGAAAGTGTTGAACTCGAGATATATTTTAGAATTAAAATTAATTGACCTTCCTGATGGTTGTGAAGCAAAGATGAGGAATAAAGGGGGTCTTTTATTTGGTTTCAGTAACTATTAGATGATGGGGCCATTTATAGAGAAGAAAACTATTATTAGAATGTATTAGGTTGGTGCAAAAGTAATAGCAAAACCCACAATTACTTTTGCACCAACCTTATAGAAGAAACTGGTTTAGGAGAGAAAATAAAACGCCCCAGATCAGACATTTTAACTCTGGGAGTTATGTGATATATCCAAGTGAAAGTATCAAGTGGGGGGTTGAATATGCCAACCTGAGCTAGTTGGGTGAGTTTTAAGATGAATATAAACATTTGGGAGCCATTGTCGTAGAGATGGTATTAAATCCATGGAAACTGATGTGATCATTTTGGAAGCAAGTGGAGAGACGATAAAGAGGCATGCCCAGGACTGAGCTCTAAGAATCTAATATTGTGAGGTTGGGTGGAAGGTGAACAGCCATTGTGTGAGGAGGAAAGCCAGTGGAGAAGTAGAGAAGGGAAAATGTGAATATGTTTCATGTTGTTGTTGAGTGGCCCAGGAATTTCAGGACTGAGAAGTTATCAGTTGCATTTGGCCACGTAGAGATTGTGAGTGATCTTACCAAAAGCCATTTGAGTAAATTAGGGGAAGAGAAAGCCATACAGAATGAAGTGGGTTCAAAAAGACCTGGAGTAAGGAAAAGTAGGCTATAAAATAGGTAACCCAGATTGTGCTGATAGAATTAATTCACGGTTTACTTTTTAGAAATCATGTTATTACATCATATACCAGAAGAAATTTCATATGAGTTTGTTGAATGTATATTTTTTGTAATAAATTTAGATGAAAATTTAACTTGCAATAATAATAAGGCTTTCTTAGTATAACATCAGTGTTGGAAATAACAAAAGCAGCAACTAATACTTTATGATGTACAATATTTTGAGCGTAGAATAACAAAAGTAAAAGAAATTCTGAGAAAAATATTGGCAAAGTTGATAAAGTGTTAATATGTCTCCAAATAATTAAGAACAAAATAAACAGGCAAACCTATTAAAAGCCAGTCACAACATAGCTATTCAATAGTCACTGTACTGCTGTTATAAGAAGAAAATATTGCCAGATACTAACAGTGGTTAGTGGGAATGGGTGTGATTTTTGTTGCTGTTTTCAATTACTTTTATGTGAAATATTTCCAAATATTCTGTTTTGAGCATGTGTCATTTTTTATAATTAGAAGCAAATTAATGCAAGAAGAAAAATTATTAAAATAGCTCCATAAGTGTTTTCTGTTTTAGAAAATACTGTTAAAAAAATCTTTCTTTTGGCCAAAGATTGTTAACAATTCTTAAGGACCAAAAGGAATGTTGATATAATCTTATCTCTAGGTTAAGGTAATGTTAAATGGGTTGCTAGGTTTGAAGATATTAATATGTGATGTAATTTCATGGAGCAAATCAGATCACTATGTCTTTAAATCACTGGGTGGGGACATCTACCATCTCTTTAATTGTAACTGGGTTGAAGCAACCAAGGAAAAAGACAGGATATTAAACATTCACATCCATATCTTTGACTAGTCTCAGAATATATTATCTGGAATATTAGTTTTCTAAAACAACTTCATGAAGGATAGTGTTTGATGTTAAAGAAGAAATAAGATACTTTAAGTGTCTTTCCACAGCTCTCTTATCAAATCTGATGCAAAATTGTGGTGAAAGCATAAGTTTTAGTCCATAGCTCCTTTGCTGGGCAGTGGAGTTTGAGGTTAGTCGGGCAGGTACTATAAAACCTGCTGTGCTGAACCGTTGAGAAATACACAACATTTTGCTAAGTTGTAGCTGATCATTCTTTGTTGTGAGGGTATAGAAGCCTAATGTTTTTATTAAAATTTCAATTGAATTGTTTAAAAAATCTATGAAAAGTATCATCATTACTTAAATCTGGCAACGCATATTTTAAACACTGATCAGCAATATGTAACAGATTATAACTTTATTATTTATTTTAGAAGTAAGCATTTTTCCTGTGGAAGAACAGCAGGAAGTACCACCAGGTATGACATTTTGTATGTTGTATTTTCCTCTTTTGTTATCCTTAAAAATCCTGTTAATATTACCAATAGCTTTATAATGAATCTACGAAGGATAAAAATTTTGAGAGAGATTAACTGTACCTTAATTTAGAATTTTTCTGTTTTGATCAGTTCAACCAAAGTAATGGAAAATGCACATCAGATTCAGTGCAGTACATATCTGCTGAGCTAGAATTTGAGGAGCATTAATGATCATATGATTTTGCCATTATAGATGGTGGTAGTAGTGGAAGTTAGAGTTTTTTTGTTTTCCTCTTTGATTGACAGGCTATTTGATGGAGAATATGGAATCAGAATTGCCTTGGGATGAAAGTTGAATAGTGTATAAATTGTGACATTACTCCTCTTCCTCTCCATTCCCCATCTCTCCTGAGAGCATCTTTAGTGCTTTGTGACAGTCCAGGCTGCCCAGTGCTTGTCAGTGTCCCAGGGTGTTTCCTTTTAGTTCACTGCATTACATACTTTTCCCTGTTTTTTCCTACTTTCCTCTACCTGAGCCCTCTTGTCACCAGTTAATATAAAGAATGGTAACAGCATTTCCACCAAAGCCTATGCTTTCAAATGCATTTTAGAGATGGCATAAACTATACCTGCAACCAGAAGTGAGTTTATAAACCTCGTACTCTCATAGTGGGAAAGAATGTTCTATCAAACAGGATTTGGAAAATCCTACCTCTTTCCCAAGTGTATTTCTTCTCATTTCTGCATTTTATTTTTGTGTCATATTTATTTGTTCAACCTTTACTTATATTTTCTACATTTTAACATGAATTTTGTAGCAGTGATGTGCATTCCTATTACTGATTTTGGTAGAACTAATTGTGCCTGCCAAAATTTATTAAATACTAAATTTCAATTTTCTTTCTTTAATGATAAAAAAGGATAAAATAATCAAAGAATATATTTAGTTATATGTGGGATGCCTTAGGTTTTGATAGTTGTCCTGCCATGTACATTAATAATAATTATCTGCAGAAACAAATATTTGATTAAGAGAATGGAATTGTTGGTATTATAATATGAATGAGAAAAGCAGTCCATGGAGAAATTGACCTTTTACATGATGACTACTAGGCAGTGTGTATTTGTGTTTAAAATACTTGGACAGGGCAAGGGCAGCTGATATTTATGTCCTTCTGCTGGTTTCCTTTTCATTTTTGAATACTGCTTCACAGAGTACCCTGTTTGTATCAAAGAGGCAGGACCAGTTACAGAATTAGCATTTTGATGACTATTCCATGACTTAACAGAAAATTATTTTATATTCCTAAAAATAATGTTTGTACAAATTAATATATTTCTAGTTATAGTTCATATTTTAAAATACTGATCTAATTTTTGTGAAGATATGAAAGATAATATTTTTCAGACCAAAAATTTCTATACTTTTAACATTTTATAACTGAACCCAATAGTTTATTTGGAATGTAAATATGAAACACCAAGTTTCTGAGGTGATGGAATAAGGTGCTTTTTTAGATTTTTAAGAACCAAAGCACATACAAATGAAGATCTGATTAATATGCATAGTTCCCGACCTATAATAAGCTCCCAGTAAGTTTTGGCTATGACTATTGTTTAGTAATTAATTAGCCTGATCTTAGAGGTAGATCAAGATCTACCTCTGTGATGGATGTGAGGGCCATCTGGCTGTGACATCTGTCACCCCATTGATCATCAGGGTTGATTCAACTGATCTGGCTGGCCAGGCAGGTGTCCCCTTCATCCCTCTCCACTCCATGTGCATCCCTCCCAAAGCTGCATGCTCAGTTGACGAGCATGACCGTCCCCGATACAGGAGGACCAGTCTTCAGTCAAGGGTATATGAGTAGCACCCCTGCTGGAACCTCCAAACAAGATCAAGAGAAGCTACATTCTGAAAGACCTCATGGAGAAGTTGTAACCTGTAACTTGGTACCATAAAAATTTGAATGATCCACTGCATTGTTGTAGTTTGACCCTGCCAGAAGAGGATGTAAGGCTGAGAGTCAGCAATACAGTCATGTGTCACTTAATGACAAGGCTACAGACTGAGAGTGTGTCGTTAGGTGACTTTGTCCACGTATGAACATCATAGAGTAGCCTACTACACATCTAGGCTATATGGTACAGCATATTGCTTATAGACTACAAACCTGTACAGCATGTTACTGTACTGAATACCATAGGCAGTTATAATGCAATGGTATATATTTGTGTATGAAAACATACCTAAACGTAGACAAAGTATGGTAAAAATATGGTATAGAAAATTAAATAAAAAGATATACCTGTATAGGGCACTTCATGAGTAGAGCTTACAGCACTGGAATTTGCTCTGAGTGAATCAGCAAGTGAGTGGTGAGTGAATGTGAAAGCCTAGGACATTACTGTACCCTACTGTAGATTTTATAAACACTGTACACTTGGGCTACAGTAAATTTATTAAAATTTTTCTTTAATAATTAACCTTGGTTTACTGTAATTTTTTTAAATTTGTAAACCTAATTTTTAAAAACTTTTTGATGATTTTGTAATAAAAATTAGTTTAAAACACAAACATATCATATAGCCATACAAAAATGTTCTTATATCCTTATTTTATAAGCATTTTTATTTTCAATTTTTTTAACTTTTTAAACTTTTTTGTAAAAAACTAAGACACAGACAGACATATTAGCTTAGGCCTGCAGGATCATCAATATCACTGTCTTCCACCGCCACATCTTGTCCCATTGAAAGGTCTTCATGTGTAATAACAGGCATAGAGTTGTCATCTCCTATGATAACAATGACTTCTGGATACCTCCTGAAGGACCTGCCTGAGGCTGTTTTACAGTAAACTTTTTTTTAACAAGTAAGAATATAGTCTAAAAGAACCGTAAAAGTATAGGAGAGTAAAACCATTAACAGTCCTTTATTATCATTGTCATATATTATGTATTGTGCATAATTGTATGTGGTTTGCTTTAATACAGCTGGCAGTGCAGTAGATTTGTTTACACCAGCATCACCACACACATGAGTAATGTGTTGTGCTGGGACGTTATGAAAGCTAAGATGCATCTAGACAATAGGAATTTTCATTATCAAATGGGACCACCATCATATATTTGATCTATCCAAAACATTGCTACATGACACATGGCCGTATTTTTAACCATTGCACTTGGTTTTCTTATTTTCTATAAGTCTTAAGTCTTACTCTTAGTCCTACCACATGTTACAATTTTTTTATTATTCACTTGTGCAATCTTCATAAATCTGTATTTGTGGTATTTTTGCACAGTCTAATTTTGCATCTGATTGTAGGAACACTAATTATAGGGCCTACCTCCTTGCCATTTTTCAATCTTTAAAATTCTTTTATTCAGTGGAAGACTCAAATTGAGGACTTCTGCAAAGTGCTGAATATTAGTTCACTTTTTCTTTTCCCTTGGAACCTAATTGACGATTGATTTGCCTTCTCTGATTATCCTAATACTAAGTTATACAGTCTTAATATAGCTTATTAAAGTTCATAATAATGTAACTATCAATGTGCTAATCCCAAGTGGCATTATCACCATTGCCTCCATCTAAAGTAGGGAACAGTGAATTTCATGTTTATTAAGCATTATGTAGGCGCTCTGCTAAGCACGTTCTGTGGATTGACCTTTAATAGTTCTAAGACCCCAAGAGGTAGATATGCCATTACCTCCATTTTACAGATGAGAACACTGAGGCACAGCAAGGCCAAGTAACCTTCCCCAGGTCACAGAGCTGACAAGTGGTAGAAATCGGATTGATCCTTGCATTCTGGCTCCAGAGTCCACACTGTCAGCTGCCGTTTTTCAAAGGATTTTAAATAAATGAAGACGTGACAGCTGAGAGATTTGAGAGCAGTTTTGGTGTGGTAAAATCAGATGTGTTATATATTCTTCAGCATCTTTCTCTTAATCTGCATTAGTTCATCACATAGGCCTCAGGAATGTCAAAGGTTGAGTTATGATGTATAGTAGAAAAGTAAGTTGTCCAGTAGTTTGCATTCTGCCTTCTTTCTTGCATATTTATAAATTTGTAAGTGCTGTGCACGTGGATTCTTGGCAAGCATGTGGAAGCTTAAGCTTAAGATTTGATTTTTCTGATATTATAGGCCAATCACTTTGGATATTAGATTTTTAAGATTGATTTTGGAATTTCTCATCCATTAGCAGGTTTTCACCTTTCTCCTTAAACTCATAGTTTTCCTTGAAATCATACAGCATATTTGTAGCAATCTGACAGCATAAATATACACAACACAAATGGAACGACTTATGAAGGAATTACTTGTGAAAGCTCATTGGAGTAAAATTTCCTCTCAAACAATACTTTAGGTCATATGACTGAGTCTATTAACTATTTTTCTGTTATACCCTGCCAGAAAAGAATTTTAAAAGTTAGTTTATGTTTTGTGTAACCATGTTCTTCAGAATGCAGGTATGTGAGCATCATGGTTTCTGGGTAATTCTGCTGCTCCTGTCTTTGAAAATGGAGATACCACTTGCAGCTTATCCCACTGCTGAGTATTCCAGCATTGGTAGTGGTTTCACTCCATTGCATCCATCCAGAACTTTCACACAGGCCTCCCCATTACCCAGCATTTTTTAACATTGATCAATAAGGCCTATAACCAGATTTAGGCTAGCAACACCAGAGGTCTGGGGGCAAGGGTGGAAATTGACTTTACATTCTTAGTAGCTAATATTCCATAAGTGCTTTATATATATATTGTTGTTATTGATCATCTATTCAAAAAATATATATTGAGCAGCTGCTGTGGTATAGGCTCTGTGCTGGCCAGTGAAGATACATGATTGACAATGTTGTGCTTGCTTGGTTCACAGTCCTGTGGGTACATGGTGGAGTAAAATAAGTACAATTAATTTCTCAGAGCTGTGCACAGCAACACACAGAAGGAGAGATAACTCACCCAGCTTCAGAGGGGTGGGACAGAGAATGAGGTTAGCCTCCCAGATGTCCTTGTGCTAGTTTTAGCTGTTTTCAGGTGTTGATAAAAGCTCCAGGAGCTGGCAGGAGGAGAGCAGAGGAAGCTAGAGCTTACAAAGCACAAAGGCCATGACAGCATGCCAGACGGGTGAAAGAGGACAGGGGAAATGTAGGCAAGTGTCTCTTCTCAGAGGATGTTATATACTATGTTTAAAAGTGTTGATCTGCTGGGCACAGTGGTTCACGCATGTAGTGTCAGCACTTTGGGGTGCCAAGGTGGGAGGATTGCTTGAGCTCAGGAGTTTGAGACCAGCCTGGGCAACATAGTGAGACCCCATCTCTTAAAAAAAAAAAAAAAAAAAAAAAAAAAGCCGGGCTTGGTGTCACGTGCCTGTAGTCCTAGCTACTCAGAAGGCTGAGGTGGAAGAATTCCTTGAGTCCAGGAGGTCAAAGCTGCAGTAGGCTATGATCGCACCACTGCACTCTAGCCTGTGTGACAGATTGAGACCCTGTCTCAAAAAATAAAAGTTTGGATCTTTGCCTAAAAATGACAAGAAGTCACTGAAAAAATCCAAGCAGAGGAGTCATATGATCTAATCTCAATTTGAGAAGTTAGTCCAGCAAGGAGGTAGAGACTAGTAAGAAGCAGCTACCGTAGGCTAAGCCAAAAATGGTGGGAGCTTGGCTGCAGTAGAATGAATGGAAAGGTGCCTGATTTCATGGAAACTGGAGCTGGAAATAATTTGATGGGGGAGGGAGAGGAGTCCACGTTCCTACATTTCTGGCTTGAGTCCTTGTGAATGAATGGCAGAATGTTAATGGAGATAGAGAAGGCAGGAAGAAATGGAGAGTAGCAGAAGAGATGACGGTCCTGGTTTTGGAGATGTGGGATTTGCACCATAACCACTTCTGAATGGGGTCTTCAGACATTTATTGGAATTGTTCAAAATTGTAGTAGAACTTTTAGTTTATTTGCCTTTTTATAAATACTCATTGTTATACTTTGAACAACTTTCCATTTTCCCAGGGTACTTCTGAAATGTATCTTCCTCTCAAATCAAAGTCCAGAAAATTGTTGAATGCCAAGAGAATCTAAAACTCATTTAAATAAACTTTTTCTATTGGGGTATAATTTATACATGTGGAAATGCTCAAATGTTGAATTTTTCCATGCATATATACTCGTACCCGTTACTCAGATCAAGATAAAACGACGTAAAGCTTTTAACACCCCAGAAATGTCTCCCTCTTCCTACCTCTGAGTCATACCCCAACCAGAGGTAACCACTCTTGTGAACTGGATCATCGTAGATTAGTTTTGTCTGCTCTTGAATTTAAGATCCATAAACACACACATTTGTTTTTGCAACTTGTTTCTGTTCTACATCTTGTCTGTGGTTTCATCCACCTTGTTAAGTGTAGTCATTTGCTCTTATTCATAACTATTTCCTACAGTTTTTAATCACTGTTAATGGACACAATGAGTTTTTTTCCCTCAATTGTTGACTATGAAGAAAGCTGCTATGAATATTTTTGTAATGTCTTTTTGGGGAAATAGAAGCATTCATTTATGTTGGGTATGTAAAGGTATATATAGAATGTCTAGTTGTTCCCAAACAATTCCACTTACATAAAAAGTTTTGGTTGCACATGTGTAGATAGATAGATAGAAATTCTTAGGAAAGTAGGAAGGAAGAAAGGAAATATTGGGATCCAGCTTTAAAAATTATATCAAGATTTTGCAGGGCCTTTCTGTGCACCACCTCCTTTTCTAGTTTAATTGTAACACAAATCCAATTCTGTGATAGTAAAACAAATCAGATACTAAAGTTAAGAATGAAAAAAAAAATTGTAAAAAGTTGGATAGGAATGAATTTTACTTCTTTTAAAATACTTATATACTTTTATTGTCAACCATTTATGTTATTTTAATTTTCAAAGCAATATATTTTAATTTTTAATTTTTTAAAATTTATTTTAATTTAAAATTTATTTTAATTTTTAAAGCAATATATTTTAAATGCAGCTTATAGTGTCCAGTTGATCCTTGAAACTGCTTCTTGTATTTATTTTTCAAATACCATACTAGATTTCTGTTTCTTTTTAATAGAGTGAAAATATTGAAGAAAGAAATTTAATGCTGTGTTTCTTAAAAGATTGAGATTATTCAGTTCAGTTTTAATTCTCAAGTGCTCGAAAGAACCTGAGATTTTCATCAGCAGCTTTGCAAGCCATCCCCAGGGGCTTCTTTCGGTAGTTGATTATTCTGTTACCAAGTTGTCCTTAAAAACAAACACCAAAAAAAAAAAATTACTTTGTTGGTGGGTTTTTTAAAAAGTAGAATGAAAATGAAGCAGTTTCACAGTCTGTGTCTGGTTGGTCCTTTAATTTAGATTTCCCCTTATTTTTGCAGATACTTAAAGCTTCAAAAAGACTGCCCCTACCACCACAGGAGGACCAGCCTAACCATACGCTCCAAAAGATGGCTGTGATAGATCTTGTGAAGCAATTACTGAGCAGATCAAGATCTTTGGGAAGGAACACTAAAGATGTTTTGAATGAATTATAGTCCACTGGCATTTTAGTGTATTTTTTTTTCTTTTTAGAAACACACATTTCTAAAAATGTCATGTTACATTCCTGCATGTCCCTTTTGATAGCATTAGTGGATCCATTGGATTTCTTTTTTCTTTTTGTGAGACAGCTTTTAGTCTTACCTGAATTTATGTGTGTTTTTCCGACAGTGGTTAATAATTATATTGGTGATGTAGCAGCAATTGTGTTGGCAGGGTTTTCATATATTATTAGTAATTAACACTAACTGTTGGACTGACTTGTGTACACTGTGTTAAACATGATTTAAAAGCTATTAAGAGTACTTTGTGTTAGCACTCTTAAAAACGCTAACAGAGATCATCATTAGCTGTGAAGATTTGAGTTGTATATACCTGCACTGATATTCTTATCAAAAATTTCTACATTAGCTTTAAGTGTTCAGATTAACACTTTTGAAATTTTTGTAGCTTTTAGCTGATTAATTAGAAAAATTTAATATTTCAGTGAAAGTTTTAAATTATCATTTATTTATTTTTTTAAATGAGAGGGGAAAGCTGAAATTCCTTGTTAAGACACAAGGAAAAAGAATGGCCCTACTATTATCATGCAAAAATGCTTTGTTGGCACCTCAGATTAATCATATAATAGCTATAGTCTCTTCAGCATTTGTTTAAATTTTAGAAAACCTGTATAAATTACTGGTGCATAACTTAAAGATTATTCTGCCTTTGGCTAATTGAGTAATTCCCCTCCAGCACTAGAGACCGCTCAGTGCTCTTACTAGATGAACTCAGTAACGCCTTGAGCTGGGTTGATTGAGGATGTGTGAAAAGCTCACAGAGCCCGATGCCTGCTGCTATTTCACGGCAATGAGCCTTTTTCTTTCTACACTGAAGATTTTCTTCTTATTTAATGTGGTTTATTTTGGGCTCAGAAATAATTGCTCTGTTGAAAATAATCCTTTGTCAGAAAAGAAGGTAGCTACCACATCATTTTGAAAGGACCATGAGCAACTATAAGCAAAGCCATAAGAAGTGGTTTGATCGATATATTAGGGGTAGCTCTTGATTTTGTTAACATTAAGATAAGGTGACTTTTTCCCCCTGCTTTTAGGATTAAAATCAAAGATACTTCTATATTTTTATCACTATAGATCATAGTTATTATACAATGTAGTGAGTCCTGCATGGGTACTCGATGTGTAATGAAACCTGAAATAATAAGATAATAAGAAAAGCAATAATTTTCTAAAGCTGTGCTGTCGGTGATACAGAGATGATACTCAAATTATAATAAAACTCTTCATTTTGTGAATTATAGAAGCTACTTTTTATAAAGCCATATTTTTTTAGGGAAACTAAGGAGTGACATAGAACTGATGAATGAGTAAAAGTAAGTTTTGCTGGATTTTTGTAGAACTCTGGACGTTGAGGATTCATTATGCTGTGGTTAACTTTAAATATTTTTGAATTCCAAATATCTGAATTAATGAGCCTTGTCTTTACAAATATGTGCCATTGTGCAACATCGGTGGATTTTCTAAAAATAATGTAAATGTCTTCTATTAAATGTTGAGTGCAATAAAATACAGAAGAATTCTCTATATTGTCATTATTTTTGAAGTATAAGGTATTTTTAATTTGTTACATAATAAAATCAGTTCATTTTATCCTTACTAGTATTTTAGAAGATTATAGCATTTTTGATAACTAAAATCACAAAGGAATACCTTCAGCCAGTTAACGTATTTCTAACAGATAATGCTTATTTTGCATTTACTATCATGCTACATTGCCAGGAAGCAAGATTAAAATTAAATAGCCCCTGCAGCCATCCTTTGTAGATTTTGTCCTGCACCTAGAAGTTTTGATTATTCCCTGGACAGCCTGCTCCACCTTTTTTCCCCAAATTTTTAATTTTTGTGAGTATATAATAGATGTATAAATTTGACTATATGAGATATTTCGATACAGATATAGAAAATGTACAATAAATTATTGTTGGCTATAGTAACTCTGTTTTGCTATCAAATACTAGATCTTATTCATTGTATATAACTATATTTTTGTACCCATTAACCATCTTCACCTCCTGCTCCCCTCTCCCCTCACTACCCTTCCCAACCTCTGGTAACCATCCTTCTACCCTCTACCTCTGTGAGTTCAATTGTTTTAATTTTTAGCACCCACAAATTAGTGAGAACATGTGATGTTTATCTTTCTGTGCCTGGCTTATTTCACCTAACATAATGACCTCCAGTTCCATCCATGTTGTTTCAAATGGCAGGATCTTATTCTTTTTTATGGCTGAGTAGTACTCCATTATATATGTACCACATTTTCTTCATTCGTCTGTTGACAGACCCTTAAGTTGATTCCAAAGCTTAGCTATTGTAAATAGTGCAATAAACATGAGAGTGCGTAAATTTCTTCAATATACTAATTTCTTTTCTTTTGGATATATACCTAGCAGTGGGATTGCTAAGAGAAAACAATGGGGAAATTGTCCAGGACTTTGGTCTAGGCAATGATTTCTTGAGTAATACCCCAAAAGCACAGGCAACCAAAGCAAAAATGGAAAAATGGGATCACATTAAGTTACAAAGCTTCTGTACAGCAAAGGAAACAACAAAGTAAAGTGATAACCCACAGAATACATCAAAATATTTGCAAACTACCCATCTGTCAAGGGATTAATAATGAGAATATATAAGGAGCTCAGACAACTTCATAGGGAAAAATCTAATAACCTGATTTTTAAAATGGGCAAGAGATCTGAATTCTCAAAAGAAGACATAAAAATGGCAAAACAGGTATACGAAAAGGTGCTCAACATCCTTGATCATCAGAAATGCAAATCAAAACTACCTTGAGATATCTCACCTGAGTTAAAATGACTTTTATCAAAAGACAGCAGTAATGAATGCTGGTGAGCATGTGGAGAAAGAGGAACCCTCATGCACTGTTAGTGGGAGTGTAAATTAGTACAACCACTAGGAGGTTCCTCAAAAGACTGAAAATAGAACTACTGCCCCACCTTATATATCACTTTTTAATGGGAGGATATTAATTTCATCGTGAGTGGATGGAAGGGCAGAAATGGATATGGAAAGTTCTCTTTTCCATTTCCAGTCTTCATTCTCTGGACAGAAAAGGAGAACTAAATAAGGAAGAAGCCCCTGGGGTTCTAGAACAGGTTGTTTTTAGCCCCAGCATGTCCAGAAGAAACAAAAATAAACACTAATGGTAAGCAGACCCACTTTTATTGAATGCACCCACTCTGCGGAGTACTGTGTGCACATGTCAGGGAGCTGAGTTTTCTCAGCAGATAAGTATTACTTCTGCCTGCAAGTGAGCAAAGCCAAGGTCAGAGAGGTGGGGTGCCTGCTGGCCCGAGGTGACACACCAGTATCCAGAGCAACTCTCCGGCAGCTGGTGCAAGGTGGAAGCCATTGGAGGGAGGCCAAAGAGCAGGCAGGAAGATGGTTAGGCAACTAACTAGTAATAGGTGATGGTGATACAGCATGAGCTAAGGAAGTGCTAGTAGAGAAGGAGACTGGAAAGCTGTGACGTGAGGACTGGTCAGTCTGGGTGCTTAGGGAGAGAGCAGTCTCATGTCCTGGTGCAGGGAAAGAACAGATGCCAGTGTGGTAATGCACTCAGAGGGATGAACAGGCCTGGGTGGAAATTCACTTTGAATGTACCTTGAGTCCAGCAAGAACTGCTCAGCTGGCAGATTAGCGCAGTGGCTGGAACACGAGTACAGTATATCTGTTTTTTGTTTGTTTATTTTTGAGACGGAGTCTCAGAGTCTCGCCCTGTCACCAGACTGGAGTGCAGTGGTGCAATCTCGGCTCACTATAAGCTCTGCCTCCCGGATTCAAGCGATTCTCCTGCCTCAGCCTACCGAGTAGCTGGGACTACAGGCACGTGCCACCACGCCCAGCTAATTTTTGTATTTTTAGTAGAGACAGGGTTTCACCATGTTGGCCAGGATGGTCTCGATCTCTTGACCTTGTGATCTGCCCGCCTCGGCCTCCCAAACTGCTGGGATTACAGGCATGAGCCACTGTGCCTGGCTGAGTACAGTATATCTGAATCCACCAAAGCGATTTGCTTTAGTGGTTGCATGACAATATTTAAAGATCAATATCCCATTCTTTTTAGTAAGGTGTTTATTGTTCTGACAAAATATTTAAAGGAGAAAAAACGTTAAGACAGGTAAAGAGTAGTGTAACATCTTTTTTTTCTGAATACGAATATTTAAAGACTAAATATGAGTTACATGTGAGCTTGTACTTTTGTAATTTTCAGGGATGGGCTGAGCATATAGCTCCCTTTAGTTAATGAATTCCCCATTACTGGGATATAGAGTGTGATTAAAGTAGTATTTTATGGAATATAGTCTCTGAAATTGGTTTTGTTTGTTTTGTAATCCTACACAAGATTCTTTAGCCTCTCTATGCCTCAGTTGCCTTATTTGTAAAATTATAACTACCTCCTATGAATGATGAGAAGTTTAAATGGGATAGTCTGTGTTAAGTGCTTAGAACAATGCCTGTATATAATACGTGCTCAAGTCATTTTCCTCTTTGGCACAGTGAGGTTCATATGAGGTCTCCCAGAGAAGCATAGGTACAGAGAATAAAGCAAAGTATCACTTCATTATTATCTTTGCAGAGTGCTAGTGGGGTAAGCTGAATCTCACAGAAAGCTCCTTTACCTAAGCTAAATTTAAGCAATAAAACTTGTAGAGCCTAAAACGTATTCTCTGTGTATTTTCTTTTCTTTTCTTTTCTTTTCTTTTTTTTTTTTTGCTCAAGTTGCAGTAATTTATGTATAACAATATAAAACTAATGCAAAGTATTACTATTATCTCTGTGTATTTTCTCCATATCCGAAATGAGTCTCAGAACTCAGCTTCTTGATGTGAGGTGAAGGACAGAAGAGGACAAGAATGAGAATAAGAGAGCTTTTGGCCTGGGGCCTGGAATGATCTGGTCCAGGCTTTAGGTCAGACTGCCAACCCCCTTTTAGATACAGCATGGGAAGTTGAAGAAAGATGGTGGCCCTTGTTTCTGGGCATATGTCCAACCACACTCACCCTCCACGTTCCTGGGAGGACGTGAGTCTAAAGGACATGAGGAGACCCGGCCAGGGCCCTCCCACATCGGGATCAGCACCTTCCACTTCTATATGGAATGTGACCAGTTCAAACCACTCCTCCTTCCTTATTTCCCTCCCAAGAGTGGGAAGATCTGTGGAGAGCCCTAAACTCCCCTTCATGACCAGCACCCACCTGTTCTATCTAGTCCAGTTAGAAACTTGCATTTTACGCTTGATTTTTCTAATCACATTAGCCTTATGCAATGACTGGGGGATGTGGAGGGTTGCAGTGTTCCTGCAGGTACTGCTGATCCCACTAGGAAGAGCTCCTTCAGGACTGGAATTTTTTATGCTTTTCTTCATTGCTGTATCTCCGATGACTACAAATGTGCCAGACATTAGTAGGTGCTCAGTTAATATTTGCTGAATGAATGGTATTGAATAGTCTAGTTCAGCTACCTAACTTTATAATAAGGAGGCTATAGTTAAAGAGATCGGAAATTCTAGAACATTCTACCAAGACCTACATGTCCTTAAAAAAAAAAAAAAGTCCTGCATTATTCTTGCAGCACTGCGCAGGAGGTATGTGCTGTAAACCCTATAAAATCAATCAACTCTTTGCAAAAGTCAAGACTGGCACTTCTCTTTGAAGAAAGGTACACAGTGGTTCAGTGGAAAAAAAGTATGCTTTGGAATTATGTAAACTGCTGGCCTTGATAGCTTTGGGGACTCTAATTTCTCAGCCATCTATTTTCTCCTATGCACAAAGAGGGAGGTAAGACCTTCTCCACAGGGTGTGAGAAGACAAGAGAATTCATAAATGATGTGCTTAGCACTTAGCCTGGCACGCTAGATTTCAAAGTTAGTTTTCCTTTCTTCCTCTTATGTAGAGTCTCAAAGGAGCAAGAACACTTGACTTATAAAAATCCCTTCCCTGCATTAAAACCAGCCTCAGATTTACTTTTCATCTCCCCAAATTGAAATGTTTTATATGAATGAATGTGGGAAACTCCAGACCAACAAATTGAGTGATCTGTGTCAATGTTCACTTGACCGCATCCCTGATCTCACCGACATCCTCTTGCAGCTTCTGTGGGAGAGGACAGAGTCTGGTTTTTTATCAATCTCCCAGACTCTGCCTTGTTCCCTCTCCAACCTATGTGCATACGACCGTATTCCTAGAAATACACAAAGAACAGATAAGTTCCTACTAGGGCTGTAATCAAGTGATTGCCGTGAAAATTAACTAGATCCTAATTTACCTTACACAGTAGTCCTGATGTGGAGTTACAGGTGCAGAAATGAGGTTAAAAACACATGGTCAGCTCATATGCTGTTGTTTTCCATGTGAGGGGTGGATGTTCTCTGGCTAGTCTAGGCTGTTGGTGGGTGTCACTGTCCTAGGTAATTCTATTTGTGGGAGAGACACTGACTGTGATTTACTTAGTGCATCTGACACAGGTGGGGTCTTGGGTTCATCTCTGGCTTCTCATCTGGGCTTCAGCACAAGCTCCCCCAATGGATCATCTGTGTATATGTGAAGTCCTTAGAGTAGCAGACTAATATTCCAAGCAGTGTGACATGCTGCATTCCTTTAAAGCACATGATGTCAATTGTTCAAGTAGTTTTCTGGTTTTAAGAGACAATAACAATATTGAACAAGCTTTAATGATGGCTTCTCCCCATCCACATGTCTTTGTACCTTAGAGACACTTGGAGTTGATGTACATCACCCACTCCAACTCTCTTATCTTATAGACAAGGAGTACTTAGCCTGGTGCCTAGTCAGTGCTTGGTGACTTTTAGTATAAGTAATTGAAATATGCCCAAATCTTGATCTTTTCTAATGAACTTCATGTGTAATGAATTCAGGATTTAGGAAAATTGAATTGTATGCTCAGATATATTTTTCTTTGATTATACTTATTGAATTCATTTAAATATTGTCCTATATTTTGAGATACTGAATGGTGACTTGCATAGTACTTACTATGTTTTGTCTTTAATTTTCAGAAACAAATAGAAAAACAGATGATCCAGAACAAAAAGCAAAAGGTGAGATTGTCAAATAAACAGCCTTTAAAATATACATGGGGAAAAGAATAACATGATTTTATGTTCCATCCAAGAATAACATGATTTTATGTCACTAATTAAAAGAATTTGCTCCTGGGTTTGTTATTTCAATGATTTATCAAAGAACACTTATTAATATTTTACATAAACATTAAGAGCCAAAGCACAGAAAGAGGTTGCCCAGCTTCTAATTCTAGTTTTGACATTTGCACTCTTGCGTCCTTGGGAAAAATACTTAACTTTTGTGCCTCAGTTTTCTCTTCTGTAACGTAGGAATAATAAGAGTACCAACTTCTGAAGGCTGTGTTTCCATGATAGTAATAAAATGAAAATATACGTAAAGTGCTTAAAGCAATAGCTAACATAGAAAGCACTTAGGATATATTAAATATCATTTATTGTTGATATGTCAACAACTGTACTAGGTATAGGAATCCAAAGATTCCTAGAACATGATATCTTTTTCAAGGAACTCTGAATTGTTGGAAAGATATACAAACAAAGTTACAGCTATGCAGAAAGAATTATTTCTGCCTGCCAAAAGTTTATTACAAAGTTTATTACAAAGAGTTAAAAAATTATATGGATGATCATAGAATAGTGGCTATTTTTAGTATCAGTTGAATGATATGATCTTTAATAATTGAATATTATTACAATTTCAGGAATGCTTTTAATTTAATTTGTAGTGATGAAAGCAGTATCTACATATGTATCTTGTACATAACGTGCATAAGATCTTACTTAGTGTGCAAATGATACTTGGTGAGCATGTGGAATTGCTGGCCTCTGGCTGTAATTTCACAGCCCACAAGTTGAGAAGTAGGCCTTTAATTCATGAAAACTTTTCTAACTAGTTGTTTTTAATTTTTGTCAAAGTAGTACAAGGATATAGTTTAAAAAGTTGAGGTTTATAATGAATAGCAGCAGTCCTCTTCCCTACTACTTCATATCCCCAAGTCTCACTCCTAACTTTCTTTTAGCTGTTTCTTTCTTTCTTTCTTTCTTTTTTTTTTTTTTTTTTGAGATGGCGTCTCACTATGTCACCCAGGCTGGAGTGCAGTGGCATGATCTCGGCTCACTGCAACCTCCTCCTCCCTGGTTCAAGCAATTCTCCTGCCTCAGCCTCCCGAGTAGCTGGGATTACAGACACATGCCACCACGCCAACTAATTTTTGTATTTTTTAAGTAGAGACAGGGTTTCACCATGTTGGCCAGGCTGGTCTCAAACTCCTGGCCTTGTTGTAATCCTCCCACCTCGGCCTCCCAAAGTGCTGAGGTTACAGGCATGAACCACCGTGCCTGGCCTTAGCTGTTTCTTTCTAGTACTTAGTTATGCATTTCTAAATAATTTGTATAATGCTGCAGTTTTCTCCTTAATATCAGAAACCGTTGGCTGACTCTGTTTTATAGATCGGTGAGATTAGCTCGATCATCATACTCTCACAAGCTCTCCGCTGCCTTACTTCCTGGATCTTCCGATATATTTAGGACATAACTATAAATAAGATAGCGATACCTGCTAATGAGAAAACACAAGGCAAGAAGGGGCAAATCAGCAGCTTTTGATAGAGTTGATCACTTCCTGTCCTTCAAACACTCCCTTCACATGGCTTGCTGGATACATTCTCTTGGTCTTTCTCCTGCTCTCTACTGTTTGCTTTTCTCAGGCTCTTTGGATGGATGTTTCTCATCTCCTTGACCATTAATCACCGGAGTGCCCCAGACTTAGTCCTCGGAGCATTTCCCCATATACACGCACTCTCTTAATGATCTCATCTAATCTCATGGCTTTAAATGCCTCTGTATGCCACAGATTGCCAAATTTACTCACAGCCTGGGTCTTTTGCCTGCACTCTAGACTGGTGTGTCCAGCTGTCTACATGTTGTCTGCCTGATAACTTCAATGTGTTGGATGTGTAATAATCACTTCAAACTTAACAAGTCTAAAACCGACTCCTGATCTTTCCCCCTCAAAACACACTTCATCCCCTTAAAATTAGTGTGCCAACTACATGCCAGGAATTGTTCTAGACAAGTGGTTGCAGGTGAGAGCAAGACAGACCAGGTTCCTGTTTCAGGGAACTCACATCCCAGTAGGGAGACCAGCAGTACACACACAGACTGAAATTGTGGTAAGAGTTCTGAGGAAACAAAGCAGGAGAGCATGCCGTAGGCAGAAGGGGTGGTGAATTAGGGAAGAAGGTGTCCCAGGAGGTTAGGGAAACCTAAGCACTCTGAGCAGAGGAACAGTTTGTACAAAAGTCCTGAGACAAGAGAGAAGGGCCCAAGAAGCTGGAGCACCTGAACAAGCCTAGAGTGTGTAAGATACAGTTAGAGAAAGTCAAAGACTAGACCACAGTGGGAGTCTGGACTTTTCTTCATGCTGTGGACACCGTACCCAGCCCATGCACATCTGTGTACCAAACAGAGCCCTTTCTCATTTACACATTGACTGGTTTGCTTCTGGGAGGTTCACTATAATGCATTCTTACAAAGAGAGGGACAGGGAGTCCGAATGGTGGGCATGGCTTGTTGCAGATAAACAGAAACACTTGCAAACCTGCCCCAAATCTGCTGCTCACAGGGCAGTTGCAATTGTGAGCTCCTCATATCTCTGCCTCTCATGCTCCAGACCTCCCATTCTAGTCTTAGCAGCCCGTACCTTCCCCTGCACTGTCGGGTATCCTCGGTGCACAGGTCTGACCTCCAGGGATGCTGATCCTAAAGGGGGTTTGCCAGGGAAGTGTAGAGGCTGGAACCTCTGGAACCTGCAAAGAAAATCATTGCAACGGCTTCTGTTGACTGGTTTGTCACTCTCCCCCCATTTAAAATTAGCACTTTAGATCAGTACCAACCAAAATATGTTTGTAACTAAAGTATTTTATTAAGGGGGAAATGCAGGAATAGACAGAATTAAAAGAAATAATGAATCAATGTCATCACAGATTTATTAAAAATCTATTGGAGCAAATTGTGAGCTGTGGAAATTCCATGTATTTTTTATTCAAATCGATTCATATGATACTGTTATCTGGTAAGGAAAAGGGAAAGGGAAACATTATGTAAACATTACATATCCAGAATATGTAGTAAAAAAATGGAATGGCCTTCACTCATCAGACTTTAGTTTCATAATAACAGAAACTGAAATTTTTTTAAGGCAAAATAGGCCCTCATTTGCAGACATCTGTTACTTGAGTCAAATCAGATTATTTTTATGTTTTAGATAAAATTGCGATATCAGTTTCTCCCCACTGGATGTCATCTTTTCCCACATATTCCATAGCCCATGGTCACAAAATGTGTGAACTACAAAATAATCCAATACAAAAATGGCTTGTTAAATGTCAAATTCAAACAGTCATTCGTGTTCATCCATTTATTGAGTACATAGTGAGTACTTATGATGTCCAGGCTCTGTTTTAGGCACTGGGCCCAAAACAGTCAATAAAACAGTTGCAGCTCTCATTGTACTTGCTTTTTAGTGTGTATAGGGGAGAGAGTGGGGCTGGATATGTAGTTTTAAAAAATTAAAATATAAGAGGCAGTGTGAAGTGTGAAAAGGAATATAAGACAGGAAAGGAAAACAGAATGAGCAGGAGGTGTTGCTGTGTAATAGGCCTCTTGGATGGTGACATTTAAGCAGAGATTTGAAGAGGCAAGGGCAGGAGTTGCACCGGCGTCTGGGAGAAGAGTTCCGAGACTTGGGGAGCATTCTCATGGTCCTCAGGGCATGTGTGCTTAGCATGTTTGAGGCCTAACAAGGAGGCGATTGCTGGTAAAGAAGGTATGAGGGGAGAGTGCAGGAGTGCATGAGACCAGAGTGGTCAAGGGTTCAAATCACATAGGCTTTCGAAGACAAAAGTAAGAACTTGTGTATTACCTCCAGTGAGATGGCCATTGGGAGATTCTGGGCAGAAGATGGATATGATTGCATTATATTTTCAAAGGCTCATTCTGGCCATAGGGGTGCAAGACTGGAAGCAGGGAAACCAATTAGGAGACTATTGCAGTGGTCCAGGCAAGACATGATGATGACCAGGATTACGATGTAGAGTAGAAGTGGTGAGTGCTGGTTAGATTCTACATATATTTGGATATAAAGTTAGTAGGGTTTGATAATGGGTGGAATAATGGAGTGAGAGAGGTCAAATATGGATCTATGGCCAGGCACAGTGGCTAATGCCTATAATCTCAGCACTTTGGAAGGCCAAGGGGAGGATCACTTGAGGCCAAGAGTTTGAGGCCAGCCTGGGCCACATAGTGAGATGCTGTCTCAACAAACAACAACAACAACAACAACAACAAAAACCCAACACGTAGCCAGGCATGGTAGCATGCGCCTGTAGTCCCAGCTACTCGGGAGTCTGAGGTAGGAGGATCGATGCTGCAGTGAACTATGATCATGCCACTGCACTCCAGTCTGGGCAACAGAGCAAGATCCTGACTCAAGGGAAAAGAATTCACTCTAACCTTTAAAAGCTGTACTTTGACAAATTCACTGAACACAAAAATGTGCAATATGTTCTTGATTTAGTATATTATCAAAGGTCAGTTATCAGTTGGGATTTGTGAGCCTTTAAAGAAATTTGAAGAGCAAAGGAAATGTGTTTTTTCTTGTGTGTATCTATGTGTGCACGTGGGTGGGTGGGTGTTAGATAAAACTGTATTTGTATTGTGGACTTTTCCTAAAATTTTTTATTTAGACTTATACTTAATATCTTATTAAATTATTCATTACAATTAAGAATATGTTTAAACAGTATTTACATGTCTTTAAAACACTTAAAGATTTCCTGGGTACTATTTGTATTTTTTTTTAAAGTCATAATCAGGGCCCTAACAAAACACCAGATGGCGCTAGAAAACAAATCACATTTACACTAACAGAAATCACATCTGCAAAGCAACTTAAAGAAAGGTGGAGATGGCTGTATTACAGCCAGTAAATCAGCTTGGTGCAACTAGTACTTCATATGGATAGTTCTTAGTTTTCTGTGATCATAAAGAAAATAGAACAGACGTAGCTAATAATCAAGTGTCATTCAGTTTTCTTATTTAAAAAATCTTCAGTGAAGTTTTCCTTGTGATTCTTATAACTGTATATAACATATTTGAACAAAGTTCTCTATTGCTTTGATGATAAAAAAATAAACTTCTTAGTGCAGCACATGACGCATCTCAGGATATAGCCCCTGCTTATGGCCTCCCTGTGTTCAAAATGCTCTTCCTAATCGCTCCACTTCCCTTTTATCACTCCCATTTCTTAAAACTGAGCTTAGATGTTCTGTCTTTCAGGAAGCCTTCTCTGACTGCACTCCCATCTCCTACCCCAGACCAGAAAGTGTGTTTCTCTTTTTGTTCCCAAGATGCCTTGTGCTTACAGATTTTTTATTAGCACATATTTTGAATTTTCCTTTTAATTTCTAGACAAAAAGCTTATTAAGAGTAGGAACCATGACCAACCCTTATCCCCTTATATTAATCAGAGTTTACAGAGTTCTCCAGAGAAACAAAACCAACAGGATGGTGTATGTGTATAGATATAGAAATAGATAGAGATTTATTTTAAGGAATTGGCTTACGTGATTGTAGAGGCTGGCCAGTCCAAAATCCGCAGAGCAGAGTTAATGTTGCAGCTTGAGTCTGGAGGCAGAATTACTTTTCCTTGGAAGGAGATAAGACTTTTTCTTAAGGCCTTCATCTGATTGGATCAGGACTACTCATATTATGGAGAGTAATCTGCTTTACTCAAAGTCTACTGATTTAAATGTTAATCTCACCAAAAATACCTTCTCAGCAACATCCAGACATGTTCAACCAAATATCTGGGTACCATGGCTTAGCCAAGTAGACAAATATAATTAACCATCACACTATTCTAGTGGTGCTTAACCATAGATAGTGGGTGCTGAATAAATAGTTGTAGTATGAAAAAAATGTGACTAACCCCCTTCCCTTTCATTCTTGCCCCTTCATCTGATAGTGATATTATAAGATGCATATAGCCTGAATGGTGGGCAGGAAGAATTATAAACAGAAAAGTCAAACTATGAATTAACTTTAAGTGTCTACAAATATACTTGCTACATTTCAAGTTATTTTCAGATGGGTTCTTGTTTAAGCCTTACCCATCAATCTTATGAGTTAAGCATTTTTCAGCTACCATTTCTTCATTTTTTAAATCTTCTTTCTCACTCCCCTACTTCTGTGCCTATAATTAAATGTATATTGGATTGCTTGAAAATGTCCCACAGGTCTATGAAACTTTGTTTATTTTTAGTCTGGGCATGATGGCTCATGCCTGTTATTCCAGCAATTTGGGAGGCCGAGGTGGGTGGATTACCTGAGGTCACGAGTTCAAGACCAGCCTGGCCAACATGGTGAAACCCCTTCTCTACTAAAAATACAAAAATTAGCCAGGTGGTGGTGTGTGCCTGTAATCCCAGCTACTTGGGAGGCTGAGGTGGGAGGATCACTTGAGCTCCAAAGGCAGAGGTTGCCATGAGCTGAAATCACACCACTGCCCTCAAGCCTGGGTGACAGAGCAAGACTTTGGCTCAAAAAAAAAAAAAAAAACTTTGTTCATTTCTTAATCATTTTTTCCCATTGGATTGCATGCTTTATATTATTATATCTTCAAGTCCAGTGATTCTTTCTTCTGCCATTTCAAATCTGTGTTGAGCTCATCTAGTAAAGTTTTCATTTTAGCTACTGTTCTTTCCAACTCTAGATCTCGAACTGCTTCTTTTTTGTAGTTTCCATTTCACTATTAAGATTCCATGTCTGTTTACTCATTAATACTATGTTTTTCTTTAATTCTTTGTACTTATTTATGATCAACAATTTGAAGTATTTTTCTAATAAACCCAATATTTGGGCACAATGGCAGGCAGCTGCAGTTGGCTCCTTTTTTTTTTTTTCCTGAGACTGGGTCAGGTGATTCCTATTTTTTTTGCATATCTAGTAGTTTTTGGTTGAAAACTGGATTGTGTATGTAATTTGTTATATCAACTTTGGAATTTGTTTTGGTCTTTCTGAGGACTGTTGGTGTGTGGTAGACAGTTAACTTGGCTGGACTCAAATTGAAAAATCTGACTCTCCAACAGTGTAAAGCAGCTAATATCTCTGCTCAGGATTTTTGGCTTTTAATTGCTGTGTTTAAAGTCTGGTCAGAAAGGGTGGCGGTGTCTTGTGCCTTCAGAGTTTACTTGTTTGCCAAAGATTTGAGTAGAATTCATACTCAGATTTTGAGACTTGCTTCTGGAATTTCCCCTTGCTTCTGGGATTCACTATCTAAATTTCAGTTGCCTGGCCAACCCCAAGTTCTGCCCTCTTACACCTCAAGCCAGTAGAACTTTTATCTCCTCTATTGGGAAATGCACTCAAGCAAAACATAACGACTTGTACTTTCATCAGAAGCTGCTCTTTCCGGAGGTAGATTTTTATAGTAGTCAGCCTCGAAGGCAGCCTCCAGTGATTCTTGCCTCCTGGCATTCATGCCTCTGTGTAGTTCTCTGTCTATTGAATAAAGCTGACCTGTGTGGCCGAAAGAATATTGCAGAAATGACAGAGTGTGACTTCCAAGGCTAACTCATAAAAAATGTTGCAGTTTTTACCATAATCCCTTTTAATCGCTCACTCTGGAGGAAACGAGCTCCTGCATTATGAGAGTATACAAGAAGCTGTGTCCATATAGCAAAAAACTTGGGAAATACAATAAATGTTTATGGCTGTTGCAAGGTGCTGAAGTTGGGGATGATTTGTTTTTGAAGTCATTATAGCTAATCCATCGCCCTCAAATTTCTGCTAGCTTTTTCACCAGGCTCCCTGGGGCTACCCATGAAGGTGGCAACTAAGTCAGCCAGGGATGCTTTGGCTTGTGAGCTTGGGAAGTATGAAGTGTGGTCCTTTCCTTTAAAAATTTATTCATTCATCTTATTGAGATGAGAACTGTAGTGCCTGGCTGCAAAGACACCATGAAGTTGCAATCATTCAGTCTCTGAGGGTCCATTCCATTGATGCACATGGGCTTGATCAAGCCATCACCGCCTTGAACTTAATTACTGCATGGTTAGCCTAGTTAGATCTGTCTTTGTCTTTTTGCTGCCCACTGGAGATGCTTTAGCCTTGTCTTTAGCAGTCCTGAAACACTAGGTATTCCTCATTGACAACAGCCTGCCTAGATGTTGCAGCACAGGCTGGTGGTTCAGTTCCAGCTAACCACTATGCCTAGTAATTTTTCCATGTTGTTGAAGAGCAATGTAGCAATAGCATAATAAACCAACTCAAGGAAAAGCTTTGAAAAAACAGTCTCCCGTCCACCCTTGCAGCTGTGAAAAGAGATTATGAGATAACTGCTCTTAAAGATTTATTGTAGTCATTACATTCAACAGCTACAGTAGTTTTAGTGGTTCCTAAAATACACCAGCAGTTATTGTCTGATTACTTCCACAGATAAGTTAATTATACAAGATTTCTGACTCTCATACAAGTCTGATTTAGAGAGAAGTTTAATTATGGCAATTTTAGTGATTGAAATAAGCTCAGCATATATCATCAGTCTTAGCAAGTATAGTAGAGGTTTTTAGCTGTGTTAAAATACACATTCTCTTTGTTTTTATTTTTCATTTCATGATTTCTAACCATAGTGTAGTACATGTGATAATTTAGGACACCTGTTTTCACCAGAGTGCATCTTCAGTCAAACACACCACAGGACAACAATAGCAAATTCTTCATTATCATTAAAATCCCATTCTAATGCTGCCCATGGAGCACTCCACATTTTACAAAGCTAATTTGTATAATGATTGTGACAATGTGAGCAGGAAAGTAAAATACTTTTCTTAAGGAAAAAAAAATCAGGTATTGGTATGTTTTAAAATGACTGTTAAGATTGTAATTTTTTTAATGATGGAAGATGTGACACTCCTTCAAATCAGGCAATGCACTTCATTGTTTATGAACACATTGTCTATTTCTATACTGAGGCAAATTAAAGATTAACTTTAACCACATATGCTTAAATTAACTTAAAATTAAGCTTTCAAAAAATGTGCCATAAAAAGACAGTGCTGTGAGTAGTTGAATATATTCATTTATTTAAACAAGACTTCAAATTGGTGAGTACATTAGTTTGAAAAATGCTTTACTGAAAATTACCTTAGTCTGAGCCCTGCAGACCTCTTCCCCATAGCACTTTTCATTCTTCTAATATAATGGTAGGTCCAGTGGCATTTGGAGCAGTAGTTCCTGCGATATTTTTATATTTTTCACTTAAAAATCAAATATATATTGACAATAGGAAAATATTAATAATGGTGAAAATAAATCAAATTCTGTTTTAATTTGAGTGATTTTATTACATCCTGCCTGGGAAGCCAGTCTACCGCCTTTCCTTAACACTATGAATGTCAGTCATGCCTTTCCTCTTTGCTGCAATGTTCTTTCTTCTTCCTCTTCATCCATTGGGATCCACCCCACAGTCCTTTGCTGCTACCATGCCCGGTCAGCAGTGACAGAGATGTGGGTGAGCATGGAATGAAGATTAGGCATCTCACAGGCAGTGTCTGGAGACCACGCGGGAGGCAGCAGGCAAATCTGTCTCAGAAATACGGAGAAACCTAGCCTCATAGGGATTCTGGAACAGACCACAAGTAAAGCTGCCAGCAGAGGATGTTTGCTAACAGAAAGCAGGATTTCCACGTGGAGGGGTAGCATTGGATCCTCAAAGTACTGGAATAGCACAGAAAGCCCCGTCGCTAGCCCTGCCACGTCGTTAGGAGCTGGTCCAGGATGAAGGTAGCAGGGCATGAGCTCAGTGCCAGGAGAGCAGCCGCACTCGTGGTGTATCACCTGCCATAATGCTTTTATCTAACTTCCCCTTTCCTCCTCGCCCTCCATCTAGAGCACCTGAAGCTAATGTACGGATAATTAACTGCTATTGAAACCAGTGATGCACCCAAACAAAACTAGGTTCTCCTTAGGCACCACTGTATACTGTAGCATTTCCCACCCCTACCTGCCTGCTCGTCTAACCCAGCTCTGTGTCACTGCTGGCCAGGCACAGTGAGAGCAAAGGACTGCAGGATGGATCCCAGTGGATGAAGAGGAAGAAGAAAGTGCGGTAGAATCACATGGGGGAGAGTTCAGACAGTGCCCTGGGTCCCACCCTCAACTATTCTGATTTCATCACTCTAGGTGCAATAATTCTCATGTGTAGTCATGGTTGAGAAGTGTTAGTTAAGATACGCTGCTGACCTAGTCAGTCTGGTCTGTGTATCAGGCCCATCTTAACTAAAAATTTTTATTGGTATCACCTGATTCAGAAATCATTTTTTGACAATATTTGAATCCGATTTGAAGGGGTTTTTTAATAAAATATAAAGCCAACAAAAGGATCGTTTGAGAAAAGCTGAACCTGTAGTATGAAAAAAAATTTTAAGTTTATTAAACAGCTATTTTAAAGATAACCATATGAGCCACAAATGGTAAGCAAACCTAGCTGTACTGAGGAGCTGAGGAAACCTTGCAGTGCTTCCTTCTCATGGCGTGGACAGAATACTGAGCTTGGTAGTTGAGGCAGCTGTTACTGCCTGAATCTTGGCGGAGACCCTTTTCATCTCATGACCCATGTTCTATCTCATCGGCAGACTCTCACCTCACTCAGCTCCATTCCTTTAGCAAACCGTGCAAATTTTAATCAGGACTAAAAGACTACTTTTAACAAATTCTCAGTTGCCCTCTATACATGCTCAAACTTCAGATATGAAAGAACAAGATTTTTATCAATGATATTTTCAAAGGTCTAGCTTTTTCTGATGCCGTCAGTTACTACTGCATTGATGCCAGCAAGTGCTAGAAGAAAGGTGAGCCTTTCCCAGTGCTGCAAATATGTTGCCTGGGAAAGACAGCAACTGCCTCTGGCCTAGGACTGGAGAGACCCACTTGACCACTGTCTCAAGTCCCCCATCCTCCTTCCTGCTCCTGCTGTCCTCATTCTCCACCCTGATTTCAGCAGCTGAGAGTAGACACTATCCTCTTTGAGATTTTTGCTGCTTAACTATTTGAGGCAACTAATTAAATCCTCATCATGTATGTGGGGACATGTCATTTACTGAACAAATATTGCTGTATAGGATGACGATGTTTGAGGGAAAACATAACCCTAATAATAAATGGCAGATGCATTCCACTTCGTTTGTTCACTTTCTGCAAAGGGACTTAGCTGTGCTTTGTACTCAGAAGGTACTCAGCATTTCCTGGGTCATTGCCATAGACCGATTCATGGGTCTCTCATGCCAGAAAGAATGTTGTTTTTTTTTTTCCTTTAACTCTTATTATTAAAGTAATAAGAAAACATTACTGAGGGCATAACAGTACTTCTTTCATGGTTCCCCTCCTAAATTATTTACTACTAGATATGTTAACCACTTAAGGTGAATATATAGCACTTTATGTTGCGAATTCTAAACTCATTTCAAATTATAAATACATTTGTTGAGTTGGTCATGGTAGAATAAGAGAACACTGATTTTTGCCTTTGAGTTCATTTTTAAAAGTCAGCGTGTATGGATGAACGGAGTAGGAGAAAGAATTATATATATTCCGACACACTTTCATTTACAGAGGACTCATTTGCGTCTGGTGAAAGCCAGGCGGCTTGCACCATGTCCTGGGACTTCAGCCATCCTTTCATGTGTTGACCCTTCTTAAAGAATGGAAGGGGGAACTGAATAAAGAAGATAACAGCTTCTAGCTAAGAAGGATGATGCATTAGTTTGCCAAATATATAGGCTCCTTTTGTGTGCTATGCTCTGTGGAGCGCTCTGAAAGCAAAGCAAGTAACTACAATGTAAAGAGGTAGAGACTATGAACAAAATGCTGTGGGAACACCAAGGAGGAAATGACACACTGCTGGCAGGAGATGGAAAGCAACTGGAGTCTTCATGGAGCGATGACATTTGAGCTGGTCCTCAAGTAGTGGGTGAGGATTACATCCATGCAAGAGCCCTGTGAACCCAGATACTGAAGTATGTCTAATGACAAGGATGATAAGTTGATATGGAAAAAAAATCACAGGTGTTTCTGCTCACAGCAAGCCCAGCAGTACTCCAAGAGCAGTACTTAACTTGGGTGTCATGGGCTATGCTCTCTATACAGAAGATTACATTAGAGTCTTGTCTTAAAAACCCTTTTTGGGAAAATTATCATAATTCATTTTTTTCTAATATCCAATGACTTTTACGCTTTTGCTACTTTGATTCATCAGTACGTTGATGATACCTTCTCCTCTTTGTCCCATTCCTGCTTCATGATAATTTAATGAAATTAAAGTAATGGATTTAATTAGCACCTACATCTATGATTATATGTATATATTATTTATCTGAAACCTTTGGGGTGGGCCAGCTACCACAATTAAAATATCAACTTGATTCAAGTTGTGTGAAGCACACTTTAAACTTGAAATAAAAGTGAATAAAATCTATTTATACAGTGTGATGCCTTTAATTGATACCCTTTATATAAAAGCCAAGGTTTGATAAAGTTGTGTTTCAGGTAATAACCTTGATTTTTATGCTTCATTGAAATTTGGCTCCTCTCCCCCAAGGATCACTGACTTCCTTGTGCATTTATATCATCATAGTAGTGATGTTATTACTAATGTCATTCAGCTAGTCATAGGGTGGAAGTAGCATTAATTGCAAATTATAGCTTCAACATAAAACCAATGAACTTGGGTGAGCATTTAATTTCTGGGCCTTGTCACTTTGATTCATACTGCGTCTTTGCCTTTTAACTGCTGCTGTGAGCATACATGTGCATTCTCTGCAGTATATTTTTTCATGGCACTTCCAGACAGTCCTAAGAGTCAAGCAGTATAGGACCCAGCAGGGTATGTGTTGTTGCGCCATTAATTGCATACCTCTGCGCCTTCTGAGGAAGGAGGCCAGAGGCAGATTGTCTTTCACCCCCTGAGAAGTATGATAATAGCTTGACAGTGCTCTTACTGGAGTATTTCTCTGTGATTATTAAATACAAGTGAAGAGACTTGTTAGAAAGAGAGAAAAATGAGGAATATTTTAAAATTGCCTTTTAGATTAATAGTATCAAACACACTTAGTGCATTGGTACTAGCGTCATGGAAATACACAAGAGGTTTCCATTCTTGGTCAGTCTGAGTTTGGGGTTTGATCTGGTGTGTTTTTAGATTAAAGTGTGTGGCTAAATGTGATGCTGGAGGTCAAGGCTCTTATGAGCCCTGTTCTTTTGTCTGCTTCAGCTTTTGAGTAGCTATTATTATCATTTTATCAGTGAGCATTTTCCTTATAGGCATATGAATTCCTCTTACTAGTGTGAAATCACTTATTTAATTCTAGAAAATTCTTGCAGTACAGTAGAAAGGGTTCTTGACTAGGAGTGTTAATCAGCTTTACCAATTCTTATTTGCTATTTCATCTTGAACAAGTCTCCTGGCCTCTCTGAGCTTTTTCTCCCATGTATAAAACATGGAGATAATTCTACCTGCACTCCTGCATTTTTCGTGCAGGTCAGATGGCCATTTGGCTTTGTCGCTGGTGTCATGCTATACAGATATGAGCAACTATTATCATTACTTTCCCTCCAGTGATTACTTTGTATAAAATGCATGTTATCCCTAAGTCCAAATGCAATAGAAGAGTAATC
The DNA here is from genome assembly GCF_000001405.40 of Homo sapiens. Lineage (NCBI taxonomy): Eukaryota > Metazoa > Chordata > Mammalia > Primates > Hominidae > Homo > Homo sapiens. The sequence continues at coordinate 61,605,261 of NC_000008.11, read as the reverse complement.
TGATATTGCTTGTGTATGTTCCTTTTCTAAGAGGCTCTTAATGACTGTGATAAACTTTATCCACATGACATTCCAATGTCTTTAAGTGCAAGAGAAAGGTGGTTATTCTTCAGGGATATTTTTCTAGGAAGTGTTTATATGTGAAAACAAACATCTACAAGTTGAATAAGTTATGAGAATATTGGAAAGCTATTTGAGGAATGCTTGTAGTGGCAACTCATTAAAGCGTTAAGTTATGCTTTCCTTCTACCTTGGGTGTTACAGCTTTATTAACACTGAGTTTGAAAACAGCTAACAAAAAAAGCTAAATGCTTAAGGGATTTATTATAAAATTCAATAGTGCCATTAATTTCCATGTATGCTTTAAATTGCTGGGAAAAAGTAATGTATTCAGCAAAGAAGCAAGTTCCTGCTTCCTCCCCTGAGTCTGCCTGATTGTGCAATTGGTCTCTCATTCTTTAATTAAACTTGTCCAAAGATAGGATCCGCTAAAATGTTTACTGTATAAATAGTTTTCATTCCCAGTGTGCAAGTTTAAAACCATGGTAAAAAGTTTGTCATCTGTTAACAACCAAAACATGTGGTGTGCTGTTGCATAAAAATAAACTGCACATTATTCATAAAAGGGATCACAACATGTATCACATCTTTGGGGCTGACAATAATCTGTGATGTTTTGGAATGTCACCTCCTTCTAAGTGACAGTATGCTCAGTAGTGCATTATGTTAAAAAACATGATCGTCTATAATTGTAATAAAAATAATTCATGTATTGTTATTCAAGTGAAATTGATTTATCTGAATGTCAGTGTTACTGATAAGAAATTATAATTTTTAATTTTTTCTTTGATATTTTCAAATCTAAATTTTCCTGAGTTTTATTTTCAAGTCTTTTTTTCCTCCCTAAAATTTAACCATTTAATTTAGCCAGGAATTTAACCATTTCTCTCTCTTTCTGTACTACCATTGCCTCGGCCCTGTGACATCTCAGGCTTGTATATCACATCCAGGGAGTCTTCTTGCCTCTAGTTTTTGCCTTTCTGCATATATGTACCTACCACAAGAGAAAGTTCTTGAAAGACAGGATTCATATGCTCACTCATTGAAGCCATCAGAAATACCACATTGTCTGTGGAGCAAAGTCAAAATTCCTCAGAATTTTGTTCAAGGCACCCCATAATCTGGCTGTAAGCCACCTGTTTAGCCTTGGCCCTAACTATCCATGTCCCTGTACTTTATAGAATTCCACAAGATTTTTCACAAATCCCTGAACATACCTTTTTCACATTTATATGTACATACTTTCCCATTTCTTTGAAATATTTTTCGCTGTCTACCTCATTCCAAATTAGATCTGTGCCTCAAGAGTCAGTTCTAATGTTCTGTCATTCCTTAATTCTTTCCTTGTTTTTCCAATTAGTGGTAATCCTTTGCTTCTTTCTGTTCCCAGAGCATTTTGTAATTCTTACTTTGCATGATCATTTTCAGTCTTTTATTCTAGTCATTAATTTACTTCCCCCCTACCACTTTCTAATGTGTGAAGTACTTGGGGATAGGGATTGTCTTGTTTATCTTTGTGTCCCCACACTAGTTAGCATAATACCTGTGAGGCACTCAATAAATACGTGTCAAAATGGTTTGAAAATGGTCACACATTGTGTTCTGGAGAATCCAATAAGCAAACTAATGCAATGGAAAAATTTAGACAAACAGGTCAGAGCAGATTGTCATATTCCACATAGGATTTTTTTTTCTATGTAGCAGTAGTTATGGATGTCCTAAAATGATTTTGGCCCTTTCCTATTCAGTATTTCTTAATGGACAAGAGTGGACATTAATAGACATTAATATCTCACAAGATTCTGCAGGAAGTTCTGATTTGTTTCACACAAAACGAATTGCTGTCTTTGGACCTTGTTTAGGTCCCATTTCAAATTAACAAACTCTATAAATTTTTAAGACAATCAGGGAAATGTAAACACTGATTATTCAGTGAAAGTATCCAACTATGATATTCAGAAATTATTGTGAATTTCTTTTCTCTTTTTTTTTTTTTTTTTTTTTTTTTTTGAGACAAGTCTCACTCTGTCACCCAGGCTGGAGTGCAGTGGTGCGATCTCGGCTCACTGCAATCTCCACCTCCCAGGCTCAAGCGATTCTCCTGCCTCAGCCTCCCAAGCAGCTGGGATTATAGGCACTGACCACCATACCTGGCTAATTTTTGCATTTTTAGTAGAAATGGGGTTTCACCATGTTGGCCAGACTGGTCTCGAACTCCTGACCCCAAGTGATCTGCCCGCCTTTGCCTCCCAAAGTGCTGGGATTACAGGCATGAGCCACCACGCCCAGCTGTGAATTTCTTTTTAGATATGGTAACAGTATTGTGGTTATATTTTTATATGTTTATTATAACAACTTCACTGAGGTATAGTTAATATACAATAGACTTCACCTAAAGCATACAGTTTGATAAGTTTTGCCATGTATGAAACTGTAAAACCCTCACCAAAATCAAGATAATGACCATATCCAGTGATCCCAAGTTTCCTGGTGCTGCTCTGTGACTTCTCCTGGATGTTCTTCCTCTGTGCCCCTCCCCAACCCCAGGCAGCCACTGATCCACTTAAGGTCCCTACGCATTAGTTTACATTTCCCAGATTCAGTGGCTGGAACCTCCAGTAAAATGCCAAGAAGTTATGCATGGACATCTTTGTCTTTTTCTTGATCTTGGGGGCAGGAGAGGGTAGAATTCAGTCTGTTACCGTTTAGTATTGTTAGCTTTAGATTTTTCATAGATGCTCATTCTCAGATTGAGAAAGTTTCCTATGTCTACACTGCTTAAAGTTTTTTTTCAGGAATTGGTTTTAGATTTAGTCAAAGGCTGTTCTATTGTCTAATGAAATGATCATATTTTTTTCATTTTTGTGTATAATATAAATTGCACTGATTAATTCTAGATGTTAAAACAACTATACATTAATACATTTCTGAGATAAAACTCATGATGCATTATTCCTTATATATCTTGTTGGATTTGATTTGCTAACATTTTGATAAGAAGTTTTTTACATCTGTGTTCATGAGGGATACCAGTTAGTAGTTTTCTTTTCATGTAGTATCTTTTTCTGATTTTGGTTTCATAATAATGCAGACCCCACAGAAGGAGTTGGGAAACAACCCCTTCTCTTTAAGAATTTATGTATGATTTCTTTATTACATATTTGATAGAATTCACTAGTGAAGGTGACTGGGCCTAGTATTTTGTGTTTGGAAAGTTTTTAACCATAAGCTTTATTTATTTGACTGATACAAGATATTCAGGTTATTTGTTTATTCTTAAGTAACCTTGGGTAGTTTGTGTCTTTCAAGAATTGTGTTCATTTCATCTAATTTGTTGAGTTAATTGACATAACATTGTTTATAATATTTATTGTTTAATAATTATAGAATCTGTAATGATATCACCTGACTCATTCATGATGTTGGCTATTTATGTTTATTTGTGTCTTCTCTCTTTTTCTTGATCGGTCTGGTGGAGTATCAATTTTAGTTAACTTCTCTCAAAATCAGCTTTATTTTTATTATCTTCCTCTGGTATTTTCTTGCTTTCTAAATTATCAATATGTACCTTGATCTTTATTATTTCCTTTCTTCCACTTATTTTAGGTTTAATTTGCTGTTCCTTTTTGAGGTTTTTTTTTTTTCTCTCTCTCTCTTTTTTTGAGATGGAGTCTCACTCTGTCACCCAGGCTGGAGTGCACTGGCGCAATCTTGGCTCACTGCAACCTCCGCCTCCTGGGTTCAAGCAATTCTCTGCTTCAGCCTCCTGAGTAGCTGGGATTACAGGCACCCGCCACCACGCCTGGCTAATTTTTGTATTTTTAGTAGAGACGAGGTTTCACGATGTTGGCCAGGCTGGTCTTGAGCTCCTGACCTCGTGATCCACCTGCCTCAGCCTCCCACTTACAAAGGTGTGTATTTTACTATTGTTGCAGGGAGTCTAGAAAAGTCATTTAGGTCAAGTTGCTTCATACCACTGTTCAAATCTTCTATATCCTTGCTGATGTTCTCTCTGCTTGTCCTATTAATTACTGATGGAGGGCTACCAAAGCCTCTGATGGAATTGTGGATTTTTCTATTCTCTTTAAAGTTCTGTCAGGTTTTGTTTCATGGATTTTAAAGTTCTGTAACTAGGGGAATGAACATTTAGATTATTATGTTCTCTTAATGAATTGATTTATTTATCGTTATGAAATAATCCCCTTTATCATTGAGAATATTCTTTGGTCTGAAATCTGCTTTGATATTCACACAGGCAGGCACTTCAGCTCTTTTTTATTGTCCTTTTTATTAGAATGATATGCCATTTTCTACTCATTTGCTTTTAACGTATTTGTCTTTATATTTGAAGTGTATTTATTGAGTTACCACATAGCTGGCTCTTACTTTTTTATCCAAGCTGAAATTGTTTGGCATTTAATTGGGAGTATTTATATTTAATGTGATTATTGCTATGATTAGATTTAGATCTATTATCTTGCTGTATGTTTTCTATTTTTCATATTTCTTCTTTGTTCCAATTTTCCTCTTTTACCTTCTTGGCTAAATTTATTCTTAGGTTTTTTTTGTAGCTATTATAAACAGGATTACTTTCTTGATTTCTTTTCAGCTTGTTTGCTATGGTGTATAGAAATGCTACTGATTTTTGCATATTGATTTTGTATCCTGTAACTTTACTGAATTTGTTTATCAAGTCTAAAAGTTTTCTGGTAGAGTCTTTAGATTTTTTTCTATATAAGATCATGTTTTCTGCAAACAGGACAATTTGACTTCCTCTTTTCCAATTTGGGTGACTTTTATTTCTTTTTCTTGCCCTTTTGCTCTGGCTTGGACCTCCAATACTATGTTAAACAAGAGCAGTGAAAGTAAACACCTTTTTCTTATTTCAGTTCTTAGAGGAAAGGCTTTCTGCTTTTCTCCACTCACTGTGATGTTAGCTGTGGGTTTGTCATACATGGCCTTTATTATGTTGAGGTATATTCCTTCTATGCCTAATTTGTTCAGAAGTGTGTTGTATTTTATCAAATGCGTTTTCTGCAACTATTGAGATGATCATATGGTTTTTGTCCTATCGATGTATTTTTTTTTATTTTCATATGTTGAACCATCCTTGCATTCATGGGATAAATCACACTTGATCATGGTCTGTTATTTTTTAGATGGGTTGTTGGATTCACTTTGCTAATATTTTATTAGGGATTTTCGTATCAGGAATATCAGTGTGTATTTTTTTGTTGTTCTTGTTGTCGTTGTTGTGTCCTGTTTGGCTTTAGTATCAGGGCAATGCTGTCCTGGTAGAATGAGCTAGGAAGAATTCCCTTCTCTTCAATTTTTTGGAATAGTTTGAGAATTGGTGTTAGTTCTTTAAAAGTTTGGTGAAATTCAACAGTAATGCTATGTGGTCCTAGGCTTTTCTTTGTTGGGAGATTTCTGATTCAGTCTCATTACTTGTTATTGATCTGTTCAGGGTTTCTGTTTCTTCCTAGTTCAATCTTGGTGGTTGTATGTGTTTAGGAATTTATCCATTTCCTCTAGGGTTTTCAATTTGTTAGTGTATGATTGTTCATAATAGTCTCTGATGATCCTTCGTAGTTCTGTGGCATCAGTTAAAATGTCTCATTTTTATTTCTGATTTTATTTATTTGGGTCTTCTCTCCTTTTTTTTCTTAGTCATTCTAGCTAGTATTTTATCAATTTTGTTTTTCTTTTCTTTTTTTTTTTTTGACTTTTTTAATATACTTTAAGTTCTAGGGTACATGTGCACAACGTGCAGGTTTGTTACATATGTATACATGTGCCGTGTTGCTGTGCTGCACCCATTAACTCGTCATTTACACTAGGTATATCTCCTAATGCTATCCCTCCTCACTCCCCCGACCCCACAACAGGCCCCGGTGTGTGATGTTCCCCTTCCTGTGTCCAAGTGTTCTCATTGTTCAATTCCCATCTATGAATGAGAACATGTGTTGTTTGGTTTTTTGTCCTTGAAAAACCAACTTTTCATTTCATTGAACTTTTGTAATTTTTTTTTAGTCCCTATTTTGTTTAGTTTTTCTCTGATCTTTATTGTTTGTTTCTTTCTACTAGTTTTAGGTTTGGCTTTTTCTTGATCTTCTAGTTCTTTGAGGCATGTCATTAGGTTGTTTATTTGAAATCTTTCTACATTTTTGTTGTAGGTGTTTAGTGCTTATAAACTTCCTTCTTAGCACTACTGTATCTCATGGGTTTTGGTATGTTGTGTTTCTATTTTGATTGCTTCAAGTAGTTTTTTAAAAATTTCCTTCTTAATTTTTTCATTGACTCAGTGGCCATTCAGGAGCATGTTGTTTAATTTTCATGTATTTGTAAAATTTCCGAAGTTTCTCTCCTTACTGCATTTTTAGTTTTATTTCATTGTGTTCTGGAAGATACCTGATATGATTTCAATTTTTTAAAATTTGTCAAGACATGTTCTGTGGCCTAACATATGGTCTACCTGGAGAATGTTCCAAGTGCTGACAAGAAGAAGAGTGTGTACTCCGTAGCTGTTGGATATGATGCTCTGTAAATGTCTGTTAAGTCCATTTGGTCTAAAAGTGCAGTTTAAATCCAGTGTTTATTTTGTTGGTTTTCTGTCTAGCTGATCTGTCCAATACTCAGAGTGGGGTGTTGAACTTGCCAACTATTATTGTATTAGAGTCTGTCTCTTCCTTTAGAGATAATAATATTTGCTTTATATATCTGGATGCATATATATGTGGAATTATGTCCTCTTGAAGAATTGATCCCTTTATCATTATATAATGACCTTCTTTGTTTCTTTTTTATAGTTTTTCATGTGAAGTTTGTTTTATCTGATAATAAAATAGCTACTCCTGCTCACTTTTGGTTTGTATTTGCCTGCATATCTTTTTCTGTCTTTCTATTTGCCTGCATATCTTTTTCTGTCTTTTTGCTTTTAGTTTATATGTGTTTCAGGTGAAATGAGTTTCTTGTAGGCAGAATATAGTTGTGGTATGTGTTTTTATCAGTTTATCCAGATTATATCTTTTAAGTAAGAATTTAATTTGTTTATATTCAAGGTTACTATTGATAGGTGAGGACTTATTCCTGTCATTTTGTTAATTGTTTTCTTGTTTTCCTTTTGTTGTTGTTGTATATTTTTTGCTCCTTTATCGTCTGTTGTTTATCATGCAGTTTGGTAGTTTTCTGTACTGGTAACATTTGACTCTTGTTTTCTCATTTGTCTGTCTGCTCTACTAGTGAGTTTTATACTTTGTTTATACTTTGGTGTGTTTTCATGGTGGCAGATATTGTCCTTTTCCTTCCAGATATAGGACCCTCTTAGGCATTTCTTGTAGGGCTGGCTTAGTGGTGATAAATTCTGTCAGTTTTTGCTTAAGAAAGACTTTATTCCTCCTTCATTTTTGAAGGATAGCTTTGCTGGATCTGGTATCTTAGCTGGCAATTTTTTTTCTTTCAGCTCTTTGAAAATGTCATTTTATTCTCTTCTGGCCTGAAAGATTTCTGCTGAGAAATATGCTGTTATTCTAATGGGAATTCCATTTTAAATAACTTGATTCTTTTGCTGTTTTTATAATTTTCTCTTTGTCTTTCACTTTTGACAGTTTTACTGTAATGTAACTTGGAGAAGACCATTTTGTTTCAATTTATTTGGGGATCTTTGAGCTTCTCATATTTGGATGTCTATATTTCTTGCAAGCTTTGAGAAGTTTGAAAGCTATTATTTCATTAAATAAGTTTTCTTTGCCTCTGTTCATATCCATAAATTAGGACATTTGGTTATTTGGTTGATTTATGGTGTCACATATATTATGTAATAATCTTTTCTTTTCTTTCCTTTCTTTTCTTGAGACAGGGTCTTGCCATGTTGCCCACACTGATCTTGAACTCCTGAGCTCAAGCGATGCATATGCCTCAGCCTCCCAAAGTGCTGGGATTACAGACATGAGCCACCATGCCTGACCATGCCAGGCCCCTTCATTGTTTTTTTTTTTTTTTTTTTCCTGACTGGATTATTTCAAGTGATCTATCTTCTGGTTCTGAAATTTTTCCTTCTATTCAATCTAGTCTATTGTTGATGGTGATGGTCTTGATTTTATTTTTGATTTCACTCATTGAATTCTTTAGTTCCCGGTTGAGTTCTTTTAAATGGTATCTATCTCTCTATTGAATTTTTCTTTCAGATCATAAATTATTTTCTTAATTTTTTTGTGTCATTTATCTCTGTTCTCATATATCTCACTGAGTTTCTTTAGTATTATTATTCTGATTCTTTTTCTGATATTTCATAATTTCCTTTTCATCAGAAGCTGTTGCTGGAAAATTATTGCGTTCCCTTGGAAGTGTCATGTCTTCTTCCTTTTTTTGTCTTCATTTGTCCTTACCTTTGATATCTGCACATTTGGTATAACAGTCACTTCTTCCAATTTTGTGAATTGGCTTTCATAGGAAAGACTTTTTTGCTGTAGAAGTATCTATAATGCTGGTTGTGTAGAGCACTTTGTCTTTGATTCTGGGCTGGCGCAGTAGTGTAGTCTCAGTATGATTTCCTTGGCTGTGTTCAGCATCAGTGGTGTCTGTGATTTCCTCAGTGGTTTAGCTGTGAATTTTAGTGGAGGCTGTGGTGAGGCTCTGCTGGGGACTGGGATGCCAGGTGGGCTGGTCCTTGGGCATGCCCGTCTGTGGGCCCCTAGGCAGTGTACATGGGCACTGATGGTAGTGGGTCCAGGAGAGCAGACCTTTGGGCCTTCAGAAGGCTTACTTGGTTACCAGCAGTGGCTGCAGTGGGCAGGCAGGTCCTCAGGCACCTAGGCAGCATGTGTGGTATTGGCCATGGCAGTAGCAGTAGCAGGCCAACCCTCAGGCTCTCAAGTGTCATGTGCAGGTACCTAGGTCCCCAGGTAGGGTGTACAAGTGGTTGCTTGCAGTAGAGGTGGCAGGCTGGCTGGGCCCATCCTCAGGCCCCTGGAAGGCATGCACAGGTGCCAGTGGTGGCAGATGGGGTGGGTCAATCCCTAGGCCCCTGGAACATGTGTGTAAGCATTGGTGGTGGCGGGCCAGGTGAACCAATCTCCAGGTTCCCAGACAACATGCACAGGGAGTAGCAGGAGTGGTACCAGGTAGGACACACTTGTTCTCACACTGCCTGACAGTGCACATGAGTGCAGGCTGCATTGAGGGGTGGGGCACGGGGCAATCCTTACACATCCAGATGGCACACTGGGGCATCAGTGACAGTGGGGGTGGGTGGGGTGGATCTATCTTCAGATCCCCAGACAGCATGCATGGGTGCCTGCAGTGACAGGCTGAGTGGGCCGATTCCCAGGCTTCCAGATGATATGCTTAGGTGCCAACAGCTATGGCAGTAAACCAGGTGGCCCTGTTTTTAGGCCCCTGAATGGCAGGTGCCAGTGGCAGCAGGTGGGGCAGGCTTATTATTGGGCTTCCTGATGGTGCATCCAGGCCATTCTTATTTTTATTTCCCTGTGTGTGACATGTCTATTCTCTCTGTCTGCTTTTATGATCCTTATTTTATCACTGGTTTGAGGAATGTGATCCCTATCTCTCAGAGATCACTGACCTTTATTACCTGATATACAGTTTCTCACAAGCCATTGTTTCATAGATAATATGGAAATATTTAGAAATTTTACCAAGTTTACTCTCAACCTTAGTATTTGAAGATAATGTCCTCCTCTTTATTGTTATTTTTCACTACCTCTGTTTCAGAAAGGCAATGGCTTTGTTTTTCAATATATCAAATAATAGATTTACATCCCTGTTACTGATCTATAATCTCATTTGTCTGTAATGAGAAACCTCCCATTGAAACATGTATTTTCTCTATTGGGTAATACATCAGAAATAGTTTGTCACTTCATCATCCTGCTATTGCTCAAGTAAACTTAACTATTTCTTACTCCCCAGAGACCAGGATCTTCACAGTTGGGTATTTGTTGAAAGTTTGTGGTCATCCTGTCATGCCTACCACCTCTACTATAAAGCAAGATTAATCAATTTTGTAATGTCAGGTTTTCATTCTTATAGCATATGGAGAAACTCTAAAGACACTCTTGGGGTTTCTCTCATTGTGATTTTCAAGTTGTGTTTAAAGATATCCACTCTGTTTTGGTGAAATCTCAGATGATATCTAAAAAATATGAATTCCATGTAATTTATTTCTTAAAAGTTATAATAGTGAAAACCAGTCAATATCAGTTCTGAACAAACATCGGTCAAACATAGATCCTGCTGACATCTAAACAATCAAATGAAAAATAAGATAGTTCAGACATAGGATTAAAAATACTGAAATTATTCATTCATATAATATATACAATAGTCCTTCCTTGTCCATATGGGATACTTTCCAAGAACCCTTGGTGGATACCTAAAACTATGAATAGTACCAAACCTATATATACTATATTTTTTCCTATACATACACACTATGACAAAACTTAATCTATAAATTAGTCACAGTAAGAGATTAACAACAATCACTGATAATAAAATAGAAACATTATAACAATATACTGTAATAAAAGTTATATGAATGTGGTCTCCCTCTCAAAATACCTTATTGTATTGTATTCAGCTATTTTGGGACTATTGTAGACCATCTGTAACTGACACTGTGAAAAGCAAAACCGTGGATAAAAGGGGATTCCTGTACTAATCTTTACATGTAGCTGAGATGTTGCAGAGCAAAATCACCTGTAGCAATTTTTTTGGTATTGGGGTTTGGGAACATCTGTTTTGTTTCAGGTCCTTCAGGAGACACTGATGCAAGCTGGGCTTAGAAATTATTATTTCATTTGACATCACTGGGAAATCAGTATTTCATAGAAACAATTATTTAAAGATGATGTTAGATAACTTTAAGCATCATTTAAGCAAAATTAATAAATTCGGGTGATATTTTCTAAAGCATTTTAAAATCATTTCCCCATTTAAAAAATGTGTTGTGCAAATAATTTAACATTCCCTGGTGACTGGAGACTATAATTCTGATTTTAATGAACATCAGTTACTGTATCATGCAGTGATGCTTTTGGGGACTGTTAAAGTGTTTGGCACCATTTATGTCTACACAGTTTAACCCATGTTGCAGTGCTATTGGAGCTGGGTTTATTTCAGGTTTATTTCTGGTTTCTGACTTTCTTACTTTCAGTCTGTCAGCTTGTATCCGCTGCTGAGTATATACCTGCTTCAAACAACCCTCACTCCATCTTGTTAGTTTGTTACCTATAATAACTTAAGGGCTAGAGAAACAGAACACCAAGATTATTAGAATTTTATCTAAAATAACATTTGAGGAAGGTGGCTATTCTCTCATGGAACGTGTGCGTGGGGATAAAATTCAGTGTCTGGCACTGCTGTTGGTGAGGCTGCGGACTGCTTTGGCACTGAAGGGTTTTCTGTTATGTCTAGAAAACACATCACTTAGCATCTCTAAAATTTCTAATTTAACATATGGGGTCACATCTGTTAAAGGATTATTACTCTAGAAGGGGAGTGATGTATAATTTATAAAAATAACCCTATGGGAAGGCAGCCAACTACATGTAATAAACTGGAATACTTGCTGTCTCCATTGAATGCTCCCAGCAGAATCTCACATTAGTTTAGTAGAGGGAGCAGATGAAAACAATTGCCCTTTATATACTATTTACTGGGTTGTATAAGTTAGCATCTCTCAGTGAAAAATATTTGTTAACTGTTTGGTTTAAGCTTTGAATATTGACCTCCTGCTGGTATATAGTTGATAATTAATTCTGAAAAAACAGAAGTCCATTATTCTTAGCTGTAGGAGGCAAGAAAGAGTGTGCCATCCTTGGTAAGAGAGTCTTTCAAGAGTTGCCCAAATTTACTTCTTCTTCTGGTAATACCTATAGAGTAGATCGTGTTAGAGAAAAAAAGCCTCAGAAGGGGCTATTTTTGGATCAAACACATTAGCTTTTCTTTCTCACATGGTGATAATACAAACAAAGGCTCCTGCCAGAAGCACCTCCATGGCTGTCTGCATATTGGGTTTCTCAACAGCAAATAGCATGTCTCTCAATATGAGAGCAGATTTATTTCAGACCCCAGTGTGAGGCATCACAGTAGGGAATACCTTGCACAATTCCCACTTTTAAATGAAAGAGAAAATAACTGAGGGCGCCTACCCACATCCCCCGCCTGTAGGAACACTCGTAGATTCAGGTTTGCTTTTCCTGTGATTAGCAGATAACGTTTCATCAAAAATCCTAACATGGGATTCTTGAATTCTTGAATGTTTTCTTCTTTTTTACCCTTTGCCTTAATTTATAGATTTACCTCACTGTCAAGACAAATGTAGAGTGATGTTTCTTTTATTGAAATCTATCAGTGATTTTAAAAAGAAAAGCAGAATTAGCTTCCAATCCTAATAAAGGAAGATTAAAATAAGCAGGGGTCCTATCTTGGGTTAACTGTTAATTGCTATGAATAATATTGCAGTAAGGTTGCTTTATGTGATGACTTTGAAACTTCACACCACATCTCAGTCAGATACAGAGCACCTTTTTCTTTAATATCTTATTTTGGTCTTACTTTTCCTTCCCTTAAATTGTTTTGCTTTTTAGATTATTTTTCATCAAATTCCACCTTTGAATAACCATAGCCAAAAGCAGTATTTAATATTTTATGTGATTCTGCTTAAAAACACATACTAGAGTTTGGGAAGCAGGGGAAGTTTAGCATGGCCTCAAAGCTCTTTAATCCTTTGTTGACTTGAAATCCAAACTGAATGCAGGTATAGTGTGATAAAGTTATTAGTTGCCCAAAATCTCTGCCAGGGAAATGTCTGATCATAGAGAAAATCTGATCTTTTTAAAAAATTAACTGCTTAAACATTTATTAATAAGAGTCAGGCACATTTCCCACTTAATTAAGCATAGAATTTTAAAGTAACTAAAAATAAGATACTGTAGATGAAAGTCATAATTAACATTTATATGAGGTTTTATGCTCCATGACTTTCCTTTACTGTAGTAGGAAGGAGGTCAGATATTATCCCCATTTCGTGGATGAAAAAACAAAGGCTCAACAAAATTAAGCAAGCTGCCTCAGAAGTAGCGGAACTGAAGCTCACAGACTGGCCTTCAGGCTTGTACTCTGTGGTCCTTCTACCAAGCCAGGATGTGTCTGTGTAATGTCTAAATGCTACGTCTTGAGACACAAAATGAAGGAAAATTACTATGGTTATTTAACTGCCTTTATCCTTACAGACAAGTAATACAAAGTTCAGCTACTTCCTTTACACAAATAATACTTATACTAATACTTAATTCCACTGTGTCATCACCCTTAAAACTCTTAGGAACACCCTAATTTCTTGACTTCTGAGCCAGATGCCAAAGATATAGCAAAATGGTTAAGAGTACAGACATTGGAGTCTACTGGAGAGAACCCGAAGCTTCAGTCTCGGTGCCTACTGTTTACAGTTTGTGCAGCTTGGGTGAGTCACACATGTCTAGAAGGCTTAAGTGCTCCATAAATGTCAGCTGTTATTATCAGCACAGAATTGGCTAAGGCATTAAGCAGTGACTCAGAACATAATAGCAAGCTGCTTTGGGAAGTTTTTGTTATTCTAAAATTAGCGAGACCTTGCAATCCAAGAATTTACTGTTAGTTGTGCCTTGTATTCTGCCATGTGTGTCCCCATTTGCTCAATATACTGAAAAACCTACATGGAATAAGATGTAGAATAAATGTTAGTGTTCCCTACAAGATCTTCAGTGGGGATTATGGTACAAGTATCTTGCTTTTTTTTTTTTTTAATCTTCCTCTTCGGGCCCCTCCATTATTGACCATTGAAACTTTTTGGATTTGAACTCTATAAAGCAAGCAACTCTCAGGTAATTTTCTATATTGGTTGTTTATAATTTTCTCATTTTTTAAAAGACAGCTGATATGCCCAATTACAAATTCACATTGCCATATCCCCTTCTACAGTGTCTTGCTTCATTCATGCCTGCATGCATTCATGCCTTTAGAAACATGAAAAATTGTTGAGGATTTCCTATAGGACAGGCCATATGCCAAATGCTGTTTTGTAAATTATAAGTAACACAGTTCAGAAATTAACAATCCAGCAAGGGAGGAAGGTGGGAGTGAGGGGGGAGAGTTTGAGCGAGCACTGTGTATATACCGCCAGCATGAACACAGCCTGAAGAGTTTACTATTTCTAGAAATAGTAATGAGTATAGTAGTAATAGTAATAGAATGTTATATGACCATAGGAGAGATTATTTTCTGCCTAAAGATGCCTTAAACTTGATAGAAGAAATGACATTTAAACGAGGTCTCAAAAGTTAAAATATAGAATATTCTTTGGTAGAAATAAAGGAAAGGGTTTTCCAGGAAGATAAAACACCATGAGAAAAACCACAGAAGTGTCAATGTTCATGCCATATTCGAGAGTCTATATAAAGGAAATTAATAGAAGAGGAAAATGGAGATTAGGGGCCAATTTGTGAAAGGCAAAAGCTGGTTCAAGGAAATGCAACTGTGCAAGAGCTCAAGATGCACATTATTTTCCTTGAATAAGTATAGCATTTCAGATGGGCTAGTGGGAGAAATTCATACACACACACACACACACACACACACACACACACACAGAGTTAAATTAAGGTCCGTATTTAATCAGCCATACAAAATTGTATCAGAAGCAAAATGGCAGCCCAGGGCAGGGGCAGATGCTATGTCCCTTTGCATGGCTTCCCTGGCCATCTAGAGTCCTTCACTGGTGCAGATGGGAGCCACAGTTTTCCACTCTCTGTCTTGCATGTTTTCAAAAACCCAGTTCTTGCTATGCCACTGCCCTTTTGTAGTCAGTGTGTATACCCTCTCTCGAAAAACCTTATACTCCCAGAGCAAGCACTCTGGACTCTACTGGCTTTTGAAGCAGGCTCAGCATCAATAAAGTTCCTTCTTCAGACACGGGGAGAAAGCAAGTCAGTGTCTGGGATCCCTGAGCAATATCTACACCTTCAGCTTCCCAAAATTCTAGAAAGCTGAAATTCTTATTGTAAGAAAATTTATGTGTTATGGCACCAAACCCTAGTATCCAAGCAGGAGAGGAATTTTAGCCTTTCACATTAAAAACAAAACAAAAAAACCAAAAAACAAACAAAAAAACCTAACAATAAAGGTTCAAATTCCTGATTGTGATTGAGTTACAAAATAAATACTCTCTCCTCTGGCCAGAATGCTACCTCTCCCTGGGTATACAGAAGTTTTTAGTTTCCCCAAGAAGGCTCCCCTCCCAAATAGATTAGTACCACTCCTCATTCATCCTATAATTGCACATATTCCTCTAACTATTAGTTATTCATGTATGTCTTCCCCAAAAGACTATAACCTCCTTAAGAAAGATCCCGTTGAATTCTGAGAACCTCACACAATTTTTGGAAAACGGGCACTTTAACAAATTCTTGAGTGAATAAACAAGCCGGTGAACAAGATGGGCCCTAATCCACAGTCCTAGGTCTCCCTCCACTGTGGGCAGAGTGACATGCTGAGGAACGGCCAGTGTTTTGATGTAGTTCAAGAGTAGGGTGCTTGGAAGGCTGGTGGCTGGTAAGGAAGAGGGCAGTCTGGAGTAGAAGAGGTAGCTGGGATGTTAAATACAAAAATATTCCAATGTCATTGAGGGCCTAGCTAGGTCTAGATTCGCATGTTGGGTTTTTTCCTTTTTGTGTGCAGGTAAGTGTGTCTTAAACATGGGTGAGTGAATTACCTCCCAAAAGATTTTTGGAGAGTTTCAAACTAAATTTAATTTCATTTTTGAAAAGGATGCTGTTTTTATTCCCAAGTGTTTCTCATACTATTACACCTACACAGTAAGAGTCTTCACTGAGAATCATGGAGCTTATCTCTGCCTTGTAACTTTTTTTGTTAAAAGTCAGGTTCATTAAGAAGGAATTTACATACAGTAAAATTTACCTTTTATAGTGTGTATTCTATGATGCATATACATCTAGATACAGCTTTTATCCACCACAACTAACTTACAGAACTTTGCAACCCCCTAAATTATTTTGTGCCCTTGTAGTCATCCCCTTTTCCCACCACAGCCTCTGAAGCCACTTACCTGTTTTCTGTAGCTGCAGTTTTCAGTTTTCCAGAATGCTATCTAAATGGAATTAGTCAGTAGCCTTTTGGACTAGGCCACTTTCACTTAACATAATGCATTTAAAATTCATCCATATTGTTGCAGGTACTGGTGTTATTGCTGAGTAGTATTTCATTTTTTGGATATACCACAGATTGTTTTCATTCACCAGTTGATGGACATCGGGTTTTCTCTACGTTGGGGCTGTTGTGAACAACCCTGTGGTGAATATTTGCATGCAAGTCTTTGTGTACGTCTTCATGATTTATGTTTTCATTTTTCTTGGGTCCGTAATTAGGAGCAGGATTGCTAGGAGGGCATCCCAGTGAATTTAATTTCTATTTTTTATGTTCTGGGGATCTATGGGTGTATTTTCAGCAATGTAATGACATGAATAAATAGTGTTTCAAAAATAACCTGAGAACAAGGTAGAACATGGGAACAGACTCGAGTCAGGGAGACTAGTTAGGAAATTGTTGCTTTTCAAAATATACCTTGTAGGAGAAATTGCTGTTTTCTTCACTGTCTTCAGTGGAATGGGTATAGGACATAGAGTAATGTGAAGATTCTGTGTCTGTTTTTATTGATGATCAACTTCTCCCCATGGACTGTAGTATAAAAACATCTTCCATGAACTAAGTGGAAATGAAAAGGAGTCAACGTAATTTTTATAATCTACAAATGCATCACTAGTGTTTTCCTCCTGCCTTCAGCTATCCTTTTATTTTCCTTCTTTTCCATTTTGTTTGCTCTTAATATTTCAACCACAGCCTGGCAAGGGAAGTAAGGATTTGAAATGTAAGTGTTCCTTTTTCTTTTCTTCTTTGTGCTTTTGAAAAAGGGCCAAACACTTGTAATGGCAGTGATTTAAAAACAAAACAAAACTTTAATTTATATATAGCATAGATAGCTTTCTCCTAAACCATTTTGAAAGATCCAAATTCAACAAAATTAATAATTCTTTCTAGTACCTTATAGGTGTACTTTAAAAGATTATGAACATAATTTAAATACTGAAAATTAGAAGCACAGGACTTTTGAGTTCAAAGAGACCTTAAGAGAAGCAGCCCACATCACCCATTTCTTACCCATGGGTAAGAAAGCTGAGGCCCAGAGTGCTGGAGAGAGTTCGCCAGGGTCCCATCACCAGCCTGAATGAGGACTCATTTTTTCTACAGGTAGAACATGTGCCTCCCCAGAATGAGAAGAAAGAGTGAGTCTGTGGTTTTTAGCAGTTGGGAAAATTGCCTCAGGCTTTCTGTGTACTTAAAAATAAAAATAGGATAAAATTTGAATTTCAAAGACAGGTACAATAGTTAGAAGCTATCAAATATGAAGATATATGAAAAGATAGAACATGGTGGCATGCTGTGAGATTTTTAATATTTTGTCTATTTTAGTGCTGTTATTGAAATATCGTGACACTAAGATACAGCATTGCTCATTAACAAGCATATAATTTTGCTGTTACACTGTTTTGGATGTCCTAAACTGCTAGTTTTTAGTTTCTTTTAAATAAATATTATTTTAACTTGAATTTTATAACACAAGAGACATGTTGGGGAAAACCAGTGATGCCCACAGTGAAACTGTCTACTCAGCTGCACACCAGGCTTTTCTGGAGGTCTCACTGTCATTCTGTTGATAGACACTTCTACAAAAGCAAAATGAACAATTGGGAGACATAAGTCTGTGCTGAGATGACAAGGCATGAGCTCCTACTACCATCAATCTGTGTCACAGAGAAATGTCTATTCATTTTCCATATCAGCATATATGGTAACATATAATGGCATGCAGTTTAAAGCTCATTATTCACTGTTTTTTCAGTCTCTGCCTTAGACACATATAGCTTTCAACATTACAGGGATTAGGGTTTCTGGGAGGAGAGAGAAGGAAAGTCAAATAAATATAATAGAAGATCATAGCAAACAAATGTGTAAGTAATTAAAAGATGATCAGAGTGTCAGCTTTATTACTTGATGAAAGTTGAATTAAAAGAGGGGGTTTGGATAATCAGGAATAACAGATTTCTTAACACTGAGCCCCAGAATTGGACATACCCACTGCTCCAGACAGCATGGAACAGCCTTAGTTCTTCCATGTGAGAGCCTCTCTTGCAGTTCCGCTCAGCACGAATGTTCTCAGAAGGTCAGCTCAGCTCAGCTCAGTGTGCATGCTCTTGAGAGGTAGGGAAGGAGTGAAACTGAACTTCAAGTTCCTTCTACCAACTCAGCAAGTGGATTAAGTCATATCACCTCCCCTGTAGGGAGAGGTAGGAGACTAAGTATTTTGGAGAATCTTCCCTCTTCTTGGGAAACACGAAATAAGTATCCACTTCTTTCCATGTGGGTGAGAGAGTGGAGGGGTCAAGGTAACTAACCCTTTTGGAACCTCAGTGGTCTTCTCCGTGTAGTTAAATTCCCTGTGTTCAGGAAGTTGAGAAAATAAAAGGTATCTATGTATAGTGTGTGGCCGGGCGACTGGCGCAGAGTGAGTGCTAAAAAGACAGTAGTGATTCCATTCCATCTTCCTTAGGATGATTCCATGTGCTCTTCTTTGCCCTTATTTTGGTTGTGTTTTATAACCAAGTTTCTGATTTGGACAATTGGGTGTCATTCTCTGCAATAAAGTCAATATGAAAAAGAATAGATGTGTGAGGAATAGCAAATTCTATTTTTTATTTACTGAGTTTGAGGTATGTGTCAATAGGTGCTTGGATTTATAATTTTCGTGATGCAGGAGAAAATGAACTAGTTGGTTTGTAGCTCAGCTGGAAATTAAGTAGTTAAAGCCGCTAAAGAGACTGAAGACTGACCCTGAAGAATATAACATCCCAAGGAGCAGCAGGGAGAAGGAGTTACAGAGGCAATAAAGAGAAATTCAAGAGGCTAGAGAATAAGGAAGAACACTGGGAGAGTGGGCAACATAAAAGTCAAGGAAAGGGATCATCTAGGAAGGAGGAGGGCATCAACTGTGTCAAATGTTGCAAAAGGGCCAGGTAAAATAGGAAGAAACAGAACAAATAGATTTGCAGAAAGCCGTAGCCATTATTATAATAGCTCTCAGGTACTGAGCACTTACTGTATGCCAAGCACTGTGTTAAATGCTTCATATACTATCCTGATTTAACCCTCAAAAACACCCCTAATTTTATAGAGGAGGTAAGTGAGACCCAGAAAAGTTTAGTGCCAGCTTGGCTTAGGTCACAGAGCTTGGAGGTGACAGAGCTGGGACTCAGACCCCTGCCATCGATGCTTAACCACACAGCCTTCCCTCCTCTGGCAGACTTGCTTCTGCCCACGTGGTGGGTGAGGAAGCCAAAGTGCTGACAGGAAAGGTGACAAAGAGGTGCCCCCCAGGGGAGGGGAGGGAGCGTGGCAAGTAGAGGAGGGTAGGCTGGTTTGTTTGTTTGCTGTAAGATGGCAGAAACTTTGGCATTATTTAACGCATTATTAAATTCCCACCAGGGGGCACACGAGAGATGCTGAGAGTGAATAGACATTCAGAAGGCACAAGACAGGTGTGTGTGTTGGCGGAGAGGGGACCTTAGAAAGAACAGCCCGTCTTCCTTTGTGACAAGATAGGGAAGAAGCTATTAACGTCTGTAGGTTTATTGTCAGAAAATTGAGGAAGTTCTCTTCTGATTGTTTTAATTCGTCTCTATCCCTCCCGCTTTGCCCCCTTCCCTGCCACCACTCCCCTTCTCCAGAACATTCTGCTTACCCTTCAAGCTTCCACTCTTGTCACTTGGGGCTTCTGAGAAGTGCTCTGCATCCATCCACTCTGCAGGCACTGCCAGTTGTGCACCAGCAGGACTGGCCCTCTCACCTGCTGGGTGTGCCTTGCCTTCGGGAGGAGGGCTCCTGTTTGCTGGGTGCTGAGGTTGTGCACAGAGCCAAAAACTGTTTGCTAAGTAAGCAATGGATTGATGCTTACATAAACAGATTCAGCCTGCTTTTAAGACACGGTACCACCCTGCAAGAGTTAGGACTAAGATAAGCGCGTGAAGGATTATAACAAAACCCCTAGTGGGGAAGGACCACAAAACAGAGATACGCAGGGTGCAGTGGACTTAAAGACGCACACAGTGGAGCAGGGAACTGAGTACTGTGTGGGTGATTTCAGGAGAAACTTTATAAGGAGCGTGGTTTTGAACTTATTGTTGAAGGATAGGCACGTTTTTCACAGAAGAAGATAAAGAACAGGCTTTTTATTTAAATGAGGTAGCATAAGAAATGGCACAGGTTGGGCACAGTGGCTCATGCCTATAACCCCAGCACCTTGGGAGGCCAAGGCAGGAGGATCGCTTGAGGCCAGGAGTTCAAGACCAGCCTGGGTGACATAGTGAGACTCTGTTTCTACAGAAAAAAAAAAAGAAAAAAAGAAGAAAGAAAGAAAAAGAAAGAAAGAAAGAAAGAAGGAAAGAAAGAAAGAAGAAAAAGAAAGAAAGAGAAGAAATGGCACAAAAAGCTTATTTGGGGATCATGGGGCAGTCTATTTTGGCTGAAGTATGGAACATAGCTGGGGTGGTCAGTCCAGGATGCACTGGAAGGACCTTGAATGCTAAACGAAGAAATTCTGTTTTATTTGACTTCCTTGAGAGGAGCCTTCCATTTTCATCTTTATCTGTATCAGAAAAAGTTGTGGACATATTCAAAAAAACTATTTTAAACAATCTTTTGGACATAGCCAAGAAGTAGATTATGAGAGTTTAGGAGTCATACCCACCATTTACATCCCAGAAACCAAGCCAGTATCCTGGAGAGTTTCAGTATACTATCCACCCACTCTCCCAAGAACACATTGTAGCAGATAGGTAAGGGCTGCATTGCCTTCCTTGGCAGTCACTGACTTCATCACACCATCTAGGGGAGGAAATGGAAGGCGAGCCTGCAGTGTGCCTTCTCCTGCAGGTCTTTGGTGGAGACCAGCATCAGGTTTCCCACTACTTGTAAATTGTTATGCTTAATAACTATTTCTAGTCAAAAAACGTTAAAAATAAAAATCTCTTTTTTCTTTCAGTTAAGAAAAAGAAGCCTAAACTTTTAAATAAATTTGATAAGACTATTAAAGCTGAACTTGATGCTGCAGAAAAACTCCGTAAAAGGGTAGGTTGATATTTTTTGTGCAATGGTTTTGTTGTTAAATAAACTCAGGCATTACTCTTGATTTGTTAAAAAAAAAAAAAATAGTAAGTGTAAAAGAAACAACAGTTGAATAGAGTGGATTTTTCCCCAGGCACATGAACATTCCACATGAAATGAATCAGATGGAAGAGAATTGCTACCACATGGCCAAAGAGAAATAGAACTTTCCTTCAGGCCAGCCGATGCGGGTGTCAGCCTACCTCCATCACATTCTAGTTATGCAGCTTTGGGGAAACCACTTGGCTCTTCTGGGCGTTAGTTTTCTTACAGACATGATAATGATAAATATTCTTTCTACCTCCTAATTGAGTTTTTTAAAGATCAATTTAAAGATCAAATGAGAATTTTTTTTTTTTTTTTTTTGGACAGAGCCTCCACCCAGGCTGAAGTGCAGTGGCACAGTCTCGGCTAACTGGAACCTCTGCTTCCTGAGTTTAAGCAGTTCTCCTCCTGAGTAGCTGGGATTACAGATGCTCACCACCATGCCTGGCTAATTTTTGTATTTTTAGTAGAGACAGGGTTTCACCATGTTGCCCAGGCTGGTCTTGAACTCCTGACCTCAAGTGATCCACCCGTCTCAGCCTCCGAAAGTGCTGGGATTACAGGCGTGAGCCATAAGTGAGATTAAAATAATAATAATAATAATAATAATAACACTGTCAAGTATCATAGAAGTGCAAGTTTTTAATTTTATAGCTCCTTGATGCAAAAAGAAAAACTAGGTCAGTCCATTACTCAGGATAGTAATTGGTAGATGAAATGACATTCTTCTTACTTAGGGTTAACCTCATGCACCTCCAGTTTTCAGGGTACCTTATTTATATTTTAATTTGTCGATATATTTGAAATATTACTTGCATTTCTTTATAGATATTACAATTTTGAGAACAATAAATTGAAACTGGATTTAAGTTATTCGTTCCCTTACCTTGGTCATATCATCTAATCATCGGGTGCAAAAATATTTATTATAATGTATTTAATCATATCTTCAATTAATCATCTCCTTGTTTTTGGCGGAAATTTGTTTCTCTACTCTGCACTTGAATGTAGACTCTGTAATGTTCATTAGTTTTCCTGTAATAGGCTTTTTAATCAGTAGACATTGGCTGCAATAATAAAGGAACAAGTGGGCTTTAAGTAAACAAACAACAATAAAAACACTGGTTAGGAACTAAAATGGGACAAGAATGTACGTCCGCATGTTTATTGAAAGTGTACCAATGAGCATAAAGGCTTTTGGAACTGGCATTAGGTGAGGCTCCAAAGCCAAGGTTTGCCAATAAAAATAGAGTAACTCCACAGAATATTGCAGCAAAGTCATTGTTCACTTCCCTTAAATCTAACCACGTGGAATGATTCCTACTTTCTGATAGTAAACAAGAAAGTTAACTGTCTTGTTTAACTTTATGAAGTGAAGCCATCTACTGTTTGTGGTCAGTTTGTATTTCTTAATAGAATTGAAGCAATAATCTTTTTCTGCCACCTCCTTTGGCAACCTCCACTTTCTCTATACTAAATGTCATATATAAAAATGGGAGTGCCTATTGCACAGGTGACTTTTGGTGTAAAAAACATATGAGCAGCTTTAGAGAAGGATTTTAATGTAATTATATGAATGATAAAGGAGGGCTCAGTTATGGGGTATTCTGCAGTGTTGCTCCTTTGGAGAAGTTATATTTTTCTCAAGGAGCATCTTGAATTTATACCAGGGAAATAAAAGAGGAAGAAGTAGCCCCATATACAATTCTTGCTTCTGAAACAACAGGAAGCTATGTTATTGACTGACTCATCAACATAATTCAGTCTTTTAGGGTTGTTTTTATGGCTAGTATTTTCAGAGGATGCACCTTAGTGCACTGGACCAGCCGAGGCCAACTAACACACACTCCACACAGAGCCAGTGCAGCCTCAGTTCATGCCTTAGGCTCAAGGACTATGTTACATGAAAGTATGTGTTCGCTTTTTATCCCCCCAGAAAAGTATAGATCAGATTATATTCCAATCCTCTATTTTAAAAAATAATAATATTTATTATTTAAAATGCTTTCCTACCTCTGGAAAAAGGGTTTGAAATGATATACTGAAATATATTTGCTTATTTGTTGGAATCACTTATTATTACAGCATTGTAAGTGATTTTTGAAAAGGTGGGGAGGGAGTAAAGAAAATGTAATCAAATACCTGAAAGTTCACACCACTGGCTCTAAACCATGCTAGGAATGAAGTCAACAATTCCTCGAGGGACAACATGGAAAACAGAATCAGAAGATAAGATTAATATTGTTCATCAGAAGAGCTGTTCTGCTCCAAGTCCAGAGAGAAACATTTGGCTGTAGATCTTCATAAAAGGTATACTGATGGATGCAAAACTTCCTACTTCCCCACTGACATCATACCAGTGGATTATTCTACCATGCAGCTGCAGGAATGTATCTTATTATCCTTCCGCACAGCCCATTGGCCTCATGTCAACACAGTGTGGCCTACGTCCATGTCTCTCCCATGAACTGTCTTGGTCCTAGGAGAACATTATAAGCTATGTTGAGGAACAGATCATTTTCAGGCAATTCTTCAAACATTTTGTGTCTTGCAGCTGAGTTTTTAAATTAGAATTGAGCAATAGTGTTTGGAGCTATACAAAAACTTAGGGAAGGGAAATTCTTTCAGACTAAAAGCAAACACATTTACTTTGCCAGCCAACTGAAGTGAAAGCAAGGCTGATGGCCCCTCAGGAAAGTCACAGAGCCTCTGTCTTGCAGGGATTCAAAGGATGCTGCAGACAGAGCCAAAATATCCCATTATTTTAACAGCCTTGACAGTGTCAAGCAGGAATATCTCACCTTATCAAATTTGTTATGAACATTGTTATTCTTATGTTTTAAGTCTGATATTAGTACATTTAGCACAATTATCATTGAAATAGCTTTGACAGTTGCAATTTAAGTTGCATGGGGTGCATACTAGGCTGAAAATAGACCCCCAAAAGATATGTGTCTGGAACCTGTAAATGTTATGTTATTTGGGAAAAGGATCTTTGCAGATGTGATTAAGGACATTGAGATAGAGAGATTATCCTGGATTATCCAGTTGGGCCTTAAATGCAATCATGTTTCCTCATAAGAGAGGGACAGAGGGAAATTTGATGCCGACAAAATAAAAAGTAGCACATACAGAGGAGAAAGAAAGCAGTATGAAGACAGAATTGGATATTGGAGTGATCCATCCACAAATCAAGAAATACTGGGAATAGACAAGGACAAATATTCCCGTAAAACCTCTGGATAGAGCACAGCCCTGCCACCATCTTGATTTCATCCCAGAGAAACTAATTCTGGAAATCTGTTCTGCAAAACTGCGAGAGAACAAAGTTCTCTTATTTTAAGCCATCAAGTTTGTGGTAGTTTGTTACAGAGGCCATCGAAGAGTAACACAGATTTCAATACTGGGCCTGCAGGTACACAGAAGTCAGGAATTGAGGTTTGGGAACCTCTGCCTAGATTTCAGAGGACGTGTATTGAATTGCCTGGATGTCCAAGCAAAAGTTTGCTGTACGGGTGGAGCCCTCATGGAGAACCTCTGCTAGGGCAGCGTAGAAGGGAAATGTGGGGTTGGATCCCCCACATAGAGTCCCCACTGGGGCACTGCCTAGTGGAGTTGTGAGAAGACGGCCACCATCCTGCAGGCCCCAGAATGGTAGATCCACCAACAGCTTGTACTGTGTGCCTGGAAAAGCCGCAGATACCTAAGACCAGCCCATGAAAGCAGCTGGGAGGGGGACTGTACCCTGCAAAGCCACAGGGGTGGAGCTGCCCAAGACCATGAGAGCCCACCACTTGTATCAGCATGACCTGGATGTGAGACATGGAGTCAAAGGAGATGATTTCAGAGCTTTAAAATTTAATGACTGCCACACTGGATTTTAGACTTGCATGGAACTTGAAGCCCCTTTGTTTTGGCGAATTTCTCCCATTTTTTTTTTTTTTTTTTTTTTTGACATTGGCAGAGCTAGCTGAGGTTTTATTTTGGACCAAAAAAAAGCAATTGAATTGTTTTGTAGCTGGAGGCATGGGCAAGGGGGGTCCCCAGGTAGTAAACTCCCCAGGTGGGCTGAGGGCTAGGGCTGAGCCTCAGGTGGGTCTCCTGTTCCCAGTGCTACCCTGAATAGTGGCCTCCTTCTCAGGCTCTGGGGCAGCGCAGGAGGGGTAGGCTGGGAGGGGCTGCCACAGCTGTTCACTTGGGCAGGATGTCAGAGGACTCGGACACCAGCTTCCCATCACATGTCTCGATCTTCTTCACAACCACGGCCCTGGAGGAACTGGTGCGGCTGAGGGAGCTGGAGCCTGCGCCAGAGCCAAAGCTGGAGCCCAGGCCGTAGCTGAGGCCGGGGCTTGTGAGGCCCCCATAGGCCGAGCTCAGACCACCTGCATAGCCGCTGGTGGTCTTCGTATGAATACTCATGTTCTGCATCCCAGACTTCAGCCGGCTCTCTTTGCCCTCCAGCAGCTTCCTGTAGGTGGCGATCTCGATGTCCAGGGCCAGCTTGACGTTCATCAGCTCCTGGTACTCACGCAGCTGCCGTGCCATGTCCTGCTTGGCCCGCTGCAGGGCAGCCTCCAGCTCGGACAACTTGGCGTTGGCATCCTTAATGGCCAGCTCTCCACGCTGCTCGGCATCTGCAATGGCGGCCTCCAGGGAAGCCCTCTGGCCTTTGAGGCCCTCAATCTCAGCCTGGAGCTGGCTGATGTTCCAGTTCATCTCAGAGATCTCAGTCTTTGTGCGCCACAGGTCATCCCCGTGCTTCCCAGCCAGACTCTGCAGCTCCTCATACTTGATCTGGTACATGCTCTCAGCCTCAGCCCGTCTTTGGTTGGCAATATCCTCGTACTGTGCCTTGACCTCAGCAATGATGCTGTCCATGTCCAGGGAGCGGCTGTTGTCCATGGACAGCACCACAGATGTGTCCGAGATCTGGGACTGCAGCTCCCGGATCTCCTTTTCGTACAGCTGCCTGAGGAAGTTGATCTCGTCAGTCAGCCCTTCCAGGCGAGACTCCAGCTCTACCTTGTTCATGTAAGCTTCATCCACATCCTTCTTGATGAGGACAAATTCATTCTCCATCTCTGTATGCTTATTGATCTCATCCTCATACTTGTTCTTGAAGTCCTCCACCAGCCTCTGCATGTTGCCAAGCTCCGCCTCCAGCTTCAGCTTCTCCTGGCCCAGAGTCTCCAGCTGCCGCCTAAGGTTGTTGATGTAGCTCTCGAACATGTTGTCCATGTTGCTCCGAGCCATCTTCTGCTGCTGCAGGAGGCTCCACTTGGTCTCCAGCATCTTGTTCTGCTGCTCCAGGAACCGTACCTTGTCTGTGAAGGAGGCAAACTTGTTGTTGAGGGTCTTGATCTGCTCCTTCTCCTGGGTGCACACAGCCTGGATGTTGGGGTCCACCTCCAGGACAAGGGGGCTCAGTAGGCTCTGGTTGACCATGACTGCGGTGATGCCTCCCATGCCGCTGGCCCCACTATAGCCGCCTCCCAGGCCACCCCGAAAGCTGCTGCTGCCCACTCAGGAGAAGCTCGAGGAGCTGATGTGGGCACCGGGCCCACTCGTGTAGGAGCGGCTGCTGAAGGCCCGGGGGCCAGAGGTGGACACCTTGTAGGACTTCTGGATCACCCTGATGGACATGGTGGAGGCAGGAGTGGAGGCAGGCGGGCCGAACCAGGCGGAGATCCTAGAAGGAGCGGAGAAGCTGCTTCTTGGTCCAATTTCTCCCATTTTGAATGGGAGCATTTATCCAATACCTGTACCCCCATTGTATCTTAGAAGTAACTGATTTGCTTTTGATTTTACAGGCTTCTAAGTGGATGGGACTTGCCTTGTCTCAGATGAGACTTTGGACTTTGACTTTGGGTTTATGCTGGAATGAGTTAAACTTTTGTGGGACTGTTGTAAAGGCATGATTGTGTTTTGAAATGTGAGGACATGAGAATTGGGAGGGATCAGGGGTGGAATGATATGGTTTCACTGTGTCCCCACCCAAGTCCCATCTCAAATTGTAATCCCCATAATCCCCATGTGCCTAGAGAGACACCTGGTGGAAGGTGATTGGATCAAGGGGGCAGTTTCCCCCATGCCGTTCTCATGATAGTAAGTTCTCATGAGATCTGATGGTTTTATAAGGGGATCTTCCCCCTTCGCTCCTCACTCTTCTCTCTCTTGCCACCATGTCAGGAGGGTCCTTGATTCCTCTTTGCCTTCTGCCACAATCGCAAGTTTCCTTAGGCCTCCCCAGCCACGTGGAACTGTGATTCAGTTAAACCTCTTTCCTTTATAAATTATCCAGTCTCAGGTATTTTTTATAGCAGTGTGAAAACAGACTAATACAATATTCGAGAACATGGTAGAACCTGTACTTATATTGAGGGAAAATTCAATTTCTTTAGCAAAACCACATATTACATCATTTATCAGGTGTCTTGTCTTTTTTTTTTTTTTTTTTTTTTTTGCGAGATTGGGCATCCTTGCCATTTTCTTTTTTTTTTGTCATTTTATTATTTATTTATGTTTTTATTATTATACTTTAAGTTCTATGGTACATGTGCACCATGTGCAGGTTTGTTACATATGTATACAGTATACATGTGCCATGTTGATGTGGTGCACCCGTTCACCCGTCATGTACATTAGGTATATCTCCTAATGCTAGCCCTCCTCCATCCCCCCACCCCACGACAGGCCCTGGTGTGTGATGTTCCCCACCCTGTGTCCAAGTGTTCTCATTGTTCAATTCCCATCTATGAGTGAGAACATGCGATGTTTGGTTTTCTGTCCTTCTGTCTTTTTAAAAATGAAGTAAATATGTGTTCATTACTAGTTTTCTGTTTGCCTTAATATAGCTTTTTTTAAAATCTTAGATAAAACTATCTTTACACTCAGGATGGAATCTAGGAAACTCTGACAAAACCACTTGCTGAATATTAAATAACAATATTGATTGATTATTCATTTTAATTTATTTTATTTATGTAATTTTGTCTTTCTAACAGGGAAAAATTGAGGAAGCAGTGAATGCATTTAAAGAACTAGTACGCAAATACCCTCAGAGTCCACGAGCAAGATATGGGAAGGCGCAGGTATTCTGAGACCCTTCTCCTTAGGACACTTTTTTGATGTTCATGTGTTTTGTGTGATTGAATTTTTTACTCCTCACTATTTTCCCTTTCTAATTTCTCTACAGAATCAGTTTCTCATGTATATGCATAAGCAAGAAATACAATTATCACTATTGCATGCTGCTGAATTTAGTAACATTTTTTTCTGCTCCCCCTCCATATGACTTCTCTCTGGCTTTGAAAAGAAAATAAACAGTAACACTTTTGTCATTGATTTACCATCCCCTCATGTCCCATTCCATCTAATCCCACCATACAGTGTTCACTTGAGGCTCCTCAGAGCTTTCAGACTCTCAGTTTTATAACTGGAGGTTGCAAGTATGCTTAGGAAAGACCTTTCTAAAATATAAAGTGGAACATACTTTGATGTCTCTATAGTTTTTTCCAACGGACTCATTTCTTAGCAGCTACCTTTATCCTCATCTCCCACCGTCTCCTTTCTTATCTGGCTTTTTCTAGTTTCCAACTCCTTTCATGAAGCATGTCCCCTTTCACCTGTAACTGCATAAACCCACTGTATGTCAGTGTTTTAGGCCCTGGGAATGTCTGTTTTGCATTCTTTTATGAGATGGTTAGTCAGGTGCAGCTACAAGAGGTCTCACAGGACAGGATTAGGAAAAAGCAAGTTTATTATGCTCACAGAGACAGGAGGCCCAGCATGCCAAACAGGGCTACATGGGAAAGACTCAAGGTGATCAGGGGATGGTAGGCAAGAACGAGGGGAAGGTTTGGCCATAGCCTTTATTGAGGTTTCCATGGAAGAGGCAAAGTAGGGCAGGGTGAACAGTTTAGGACTGGCTGGTTTGAATAATTTCAGCCTACAGCGGTGGTACCTTTTGCCTACAGAGGTGGTACCTTTTGCCTATAGGGGTGGTACCTGGCCCTGAGATGATTAAAGTCGAGGAGGCGTGGCTCTGGATTGGTTAATTTGCATATCAAAAGCTTTCTCCTGGCTGAGCACTGGCCAGCTCAGAATTGTCTAGCTCAGGGCAGTCTCTCCCTAGCCAGAGAGGTTTTTTTAAGATGTCAAAACATCATAATATACAGAAAATTTAAAAATAATTACAATACAATACAGTGAACATTCTTGTGGATTCCAGTGGAAGATTTTTTTAATTATTAACAAATATTTGGTGAAAGCCCACTGTGTGCTAGGCCCTGTTCTAAGCATTAGAGATACAGCCATCAGTAGAACATATTTTAAAAGCCCTAGCACTTACAGAGTTTCCATTGTAAAGGGGAAGACAATGCATAAGACAAGTAAGTCCAATGTATATGCTTTCTAGGGCTAAGTGCTAAGCAGAGGAAAAAGAAAACAGAGAACAGCCAACAGACATGTGAGGGGGTCGACGTGGTATGAAAGGTGGCAGGGAAAGGTCTCATCAAGGAGGTGACATTTGAGCAAAGCCCTGAAAGTCTTTATAAATAAATATGTACTTAAAGAACATTATAAAGTATTAAGAATAAATATGTTAGATCATCTTACCTAATAAGACATGCTGTAAAGAAAATAAGAAAATGTAATGGAATGAAGAGCATACCTATTAAGATTTTTTTGGCTGCAGGTAACATGACTGAAAGAATGGGGCAGACAGCGCTTTGGACAAGTTGGGCAGGAAAGGTCTCTCTGGGGAGACAACATGTGGCTGAGATGTGAGGAGGTTATATTACTAGCAGGAGCTATCCAGGCAAGAGAAAGCAGCAAGTCAAAGGCTTTGAGGCAGGAAAACAATCTTGGGATAAGCCTGAGGAAAGAAAGAAGGGCATGCTGGGGCAGGGAAGCAAGGATCAAGGAGGCTGTGACCTTGCAGATTTTATTCTACACGTGCTGAGAAGCCATGGGAGGGTTTGTTTGTTTTTTTGGGTTTTGTTTATTTGTTTGTTTGTTTTTATACTTTAAGTTCTGGGATACATGTGCAGAACATGGAGGTTTGTTACATAGGTATACACGTGCCATGGTGGTTTGCTGCACCCATCAACCCATCACCTATGTTAGGTATTTCTCCTAATGCTATCCCTCCCCTAGCCCCCCACCCGACAGGCCGCGGTGTGTGATGTTGCCCTCCCTGTGTCCATGTGTTCTCATTGTTCAACTCCCACTTATGAGTGAGAACATGTGGTATTTGGTTTTCTGTTCCTGTGTTAGTTTGCTGAGAATGATGGTTTCCAGCTTCATCCACGTCCCTGTAAAAGACGTGAACTCATCCGTTTTTATGGCTGCATAGTATTCCATGGTGTATATGTGCCACATTTTCTTTATCCAGTCTATCATTGATGGGCATTTGGGTTGGTTCCAAGTCTTTGCTATTGTGAATGGTGCCACAATAAACAGATGTGTGCATGTGTCTTTATAGTAGAATGATTTATAATCCTTTGGGTATATACCCAGTAATGGGATTGCTGGGTCAAATGGTATTTCTTGTTCTAGATCCTTGAGGAATTACCACACTGTCTTCCACAATGGTCGAACTAATTTATGCTCCCACCAACAATGTAAAAGCATTCCTATTTTTCCACATCTTCTCTATAATCTGTTGTTTCCTGACTTTTTAATGATCGCCATTCTAACTGGCGTGAGATGGTATCTCATTCTGGTTTTGATTTGCATTTCTCTAATGACCAGTGATGATGAGCTTTATTTCACGTTTGTTGGCCACATAAATGTCTTCTTTTGAGAAGTGTCTGTTCATATCCTTTGTCCACTTTTTGATGGGGTTGTTTGTTTTTTTCTTGTAAATTTGTTTAAGTTCATTGTAGATTCTGGATATTAGCTCTTTGTCAGACAGGTAGATTGCAAAAATTTTCTCCCATTCTGTAGGTTGCCTGTTCACTTTGATGATAGTTTCTTTTGCTGTGCAGAAGCTCTTTAGTTTAATTCGATCCTATTTGTCAATTTTGGCTTTTGTTACCATTGCTTTTGGTGTCTTAGTCATGAAGTCTTTGCCCATGCCTGTATCCTGAATGGTATTGCCTAGATTTTCTTCTCGGGTTTTTATGGTTTTAGGCCTTACATTGAAGTCTTTAATTTTTGTATAAGGTATAAGGAAAGGGTCCAGTTTCAGTTTTCTGCATATGGCTAGCCAGTTTTCCCAATACCATTTATTAAATAGGGAATCCTTTCCCCATTGCTTGTTTTTGTCAGGTTTGTTAAAGATCAGATGGTTGTAGATGTGTGATGTTATTTCTGAGGCCTCTGTTCTGTTCCATTGGTCTATATATCTGTTTTGGTACCAGTACAATGCTGTTTTGGTTACTATAGCCTTGTAGTGTAGTTTGAAGTCAGGTAGTGTGATGCCTCCAAGCTTTGTTCTTTTTGCTTAGGATTGTCTTGGCTATATGGCTCTTTTTTGGTTCCATATGAAATTTAAAGTAGGTTTTTTCTAATGCTGTGAAGAAAGTCAATTGTAGCTTGATGGGGATAGCATTTAATCTATAAATTACTTTGGGCACTATGGCCATTTTCACGATATTGATTCTTCCTATCCATGAGCATGGAATGTTTTTCCATTTGTTTGTGTCCTCTCTGATTTCCTTGAGCAGTGGTTTGTAGTTCTCCTTGAAGAGGTCCTTCACATCCTTTGTAAGTTGTATTCCTAGGTGTTGAATTCTCTTTGAAGCAATCGTGAACGGGAGTTCACTCATGATTTGGCTCTCTGCTTGTCTATTATTGGTATATAGGAATGCTTGTGATTTTTGCACATTGATTTTGTATCCTGAGACTTTGCTGAAGTTGCTTATCAGCTTAAGGAGTTTTAGGGGTGAGACGATGGGGTTTTCTAAATATACAATCATGTCATCTGCAAACAGAGACAATTTGACTTCCTCTCTTTCTATTTGAATACGCTTTATTTCTTTCTCTTGCCTGATTACCCTGGCCAGAACTTCCAATACTACGTCGAATAGGAGTGGTGAGAGAGGGCCTCCTTGTGCCAACAGTCTGGTTGTTTTTTGTAAAGTTTGCTTTGGTTACTGAGTGGAAAATGGATTATGGAGGCAAAAGTAGATGCAAAAAGAATAGAAGGCTATTGCAAGTGTACACAAGAGATGCTGGTGGCTTGGACTGCGTTCACGGCCATGGAGATGAGGGAAGTGGGCAGTTGGTGGAGCTGAAAGGACTTGAGGATGGATTAGATGTAAAAACATCAGAGGAAGAGGACTCAAGGCTGACCCCTGAGTTTTTGGTTCGGCCAGCTGAGTGGAGGATAATGCCAGTTACTGACCAGGAAGAGCAAGTCTGGAGTGATGCAGAAGTCAAGAGTTCAAGAGTTTGCTGTTGGTCTTATTAAGTGTGTGATGCCTATGAGACATTCAGGTGGACATGTCAAGTAGACCATTGGATTCACAGAGCCTGGAACTTGGAGGAAAAGCCAGGGCAGGATATCAAAATATGCCAGGAAGTAAAGCTCCAACAGCTCTGCCTAGAGGTCAAGATTGTCAACCCTGCTGGGAAATGGTAGATTCAGAGTGCAGAAATTTTCCAGACAGAGGAGATGCTGACAGCACCCCTATGGAGAAGGTCCATGCAGACATTTGTACAGGACACACACAGGAACTAACTCAGCTGTAGATAAAACAAGTGAATTTTGTTCTGAACTGAAGATGGTGACCACTTGAGATCCAGATGCTCAGTATCTTCTTATATCTCCATTAAAAAGTAATTAATATATTTTTTATTAATTCGATTTTAATTAGATTTGTGAAAAATTGATTCAAATAAATTCCTCTTGTCCATGGTACAGACCAGCTTTAGCAGACAGCAACTGTATGATTTTTATAAATTAGTTTGGTCAGTAATTCTCTGAAATTGCTAAATCATTTTGCTATTAAGTAAGAGAGAGTGTGTTTGTTACCAAAAAGATCATGCCTATTCAAATAAGTAGTGTTTTTTATCACTAGTATTAAGTCATTTCATTAAGAGAAGCATATTAACTAGAGAGAGAAATGGTTTATGCAAATGCTAATTTAATTATGGCAAAAATGTTTTATACCTTAGAAGTTTTCCTTATATGTAATATTAATTGTGAGTACCAAAGTCTAAGTAAATGAAATGCTCTTGAAACAGTGTGATTGTTATATTTACAGTCAGCCCTCTGAATCCTCATGTTCCATATCCATGGATTCAACCAACCACAGATTGAAAATATTCAGAAAAAAAATAAAAAATAACACTTCAACAATTAAAATAATACGAATAAAAATGATACAATATAACAACTATTTACATAGAAGTTACATTGTATTGGGTATAATAAGTAATCTAGTGATGATTTAAATTATACAGGAGGATATGGATAGGCAATATGCAAATACTATACCATTTTATATCAGGAACCTGAGCATCTGCAGACTGAGGTATTGCAGTGCGGCAGTGATGGTGGTGGTCTTGGAACTAATCTCCAGTATATAACTAAGGATGACTGTATATCCTTATGTCACAGTAGAAAATTGAGATTTAGGCTTCAAGCAATATCTTTTATCTCTATGCTATTATGCTTCAATGTGTTATTGCTATTAATATTAATGTGGCATACAGCAAAATTTAGCCATGGTAAATTAAATTTTAATAGAGTAATTTAAAGGAAACTTCAAGTTCATAGTAGTTTTAAAAATAAAAATTCAACAGAAGATGGGTTTTATAGGAAGAAATTATGACTTTCATTCTTTGTTAGCAGATTAAACAATTACTTTGGAATATTCCAACAAATTTTTAAAATTTTGCAACATTAAGTCATATATAAACTATAGTATCTCTCATTTCTAAAGTAGCACTGATATTGTCTTTTTCTTCATATCACCAAAATTAATTTTGATCAAGTTCCCTGAACATTGGACACAAAATATTAAAATATAAACTCAATTCACTTTATTATCTTTCACAAACCATTAATGCCTTTGAGGCAGAAAATGACACATCTCATAGGAAGATTGGTTGGGTGAATTAGTTAGAGTCAACAAAAGGCTTTGCGATGTTAACATCCTGTAACAAATATTCAGTTTCAGTTTAGCTTGTTTTATCTACAGATGCTACACTGATAAAAATCAATCTGCAGACTTTTCAGTGCAAGTGCCTATCAGTTTTATTCAAGAGCTTATAAAGAATTATGTGCCATTTTAGTAGTGATATTTTTCCAATTCTGCAAGTTGTAAATGTTAATACTTCATTAAAACAAAGGGCCCTGGGGCACCAGAGAGGGGACAAGGCATACAGATTATACTATCTCTCTCCCTTTTCAGATTGAGTTTAAAGATGTTTATTCCAATCTCAATAAAGAAGGATTATCTTGGTAGGCATTTGTCCTCCCACTAATGCTACAGAGACCTCCAGTTCCAGGATCTTTTTGGGCACTCTGTAGGTTCAAAATGAAGAGAGTGAACCACAGATGGTTTACAATTTACAATGTCTTTTCTTAACAATTTTTCAACTTTATAATGGTGTGAAAGTGATACATATTCAGTAGAAACTGTACTTCAGTATCATATCCAATAAATTACATGAGATATTCAACATTTTATTATAAAATAGGCTATATGCTAGGTAATTTTGCACAAATGTAGGCTGATTAAGTTTTCTGAGCACATTTAATATAGGCTCTGCTAAGCTATGATGTTCAGTAGGTTATCTGTATTAAATACATTTTGACTTACGACGTTTTCAGCTTACCATGAGGTGTAAACCCGTCGAAAGTCAGTGAACATCTGTAGATGGTTTTGAAAGGACTCTCAGGTCTAGAACTCTGTGTTTTGCAAAGTTATCTATCAACATTCATATTCTGGGGAGTTAACTCACTATAACAAAACTCACAAGGAGCTGATACCTATACAGAAGAGCCAGTATATGAATATATGATAGAAGGCCATGCCAGCATCATGATCAGTGTGGGTCATTGACACTGGACTTTCTCTCCTGGTAGATAAGACTATTCTGGAGAACATTTACAGACTTCCAAAGATAGTGAATGGTCTGGAGCATATCTCCATTTAGCAAGGGTGAATTTCCTTTTCTAATCTAGAGATTTTTATCCTACCAAGTTTTCTTTCTCATAAATCTGTCCACTTCCATCACTTTAATTCTAGTTCTCATCATCTTGGGTAATTTATCCTAATCAGTTCATATTATCAAGTTATTTCATTGATGTCTTATTTTGTGAAAAAAAATCCCATAGTTGTCTTATTTTGTCAATTTGTGCTGATTCTTAGGTTTGTTTGTTTGTTTGTTCTTTACTTTGGGATATGGGAGGGATGGGTCATTTTCTTACTGTGCCCTCAAATTATGGAGCGATACTTTATTTTGATTCTGCATACATCTATATATTAACTACAGCACACATTTTAACAACATAAACATGTTTAAATATTCTGAGAAAAAAAAATATATGCTACTTTTAGCATCTAGCCAGAATCATTTTTCCTCGAATAATAGGCTTCAGATTGTAGCCTCCTAAATCTGATGAGATATTGATGACATTTTACACATTCTCCTCTCTCTTCCTGACTCCAGTATTTTACTCTCCATTCTCAGTTTCCAGCTAAGAATGTTGATTCTTTTTTCGTTAAGAAAATAGAAATATCCAGACAATTTCCACCTGATGCTGCTACTTTGCTAACAGCCATCCTCTACCTGTGCCTGTATGTTCTGCCTTCCCTCCTGTTAGCACAGATGGACTATTCTGGTCCCTGTTCCTCTCTCACCTGCTGAAGGACATCCCTCTAATTTTTGTGTCTCCTTCTGTATCATCAGATTTTCCCTCTCTACTGAGTCTCTTGCATCTCCTTGGAAGCATGCTGTACTATGTCCCATCCTTAAAGAACTCCCCTTGTCTGCACATTACCCTCTGCCAGCTGGCTCATTTTTCTGCTCCCCTTTACAGTGAAACTCTTCAAAAGAGTTATCTCCACCTCCTTCCATCTCATGTTCTCTTGAACCTGCAGTACTGTGGTGCTCCCTCCTTTTTGCTGCTCCTCCCTTGTTATCCTGATCTCTAATGACCTTTAAACATTGGAGTTCTTTAGGATTCAGTTCTTGGACCGCTTCTTTTCTCTGTCTACACTCTCGACTGCTTCTAGCTTCCTAGCTTTACATA
The DNA here is from genome assembly GCF_000001405.40 of Homo sapiens. Taxonomy (NCBI): domain Eukaryota; kingdom Metazoa; phylum Chordata; class Mammalia; order Primates; family Hominidae; genus Homo; species Homo sapiens. The sequence continues at coordinate 61,568,651 of NC_000008.11, read as the reverse complement.
CCATCTTCATCCTTGATGATTCCCACACTTAACTTCTCTTACTCTGACCTCCCTCCTGAACTTCAGACTCATATATGCCCCTTCCTGGTCAGTAACTCCATTTGGATATCTTATAGACATTTTAGGTTTAATATGTCCAAAACAAATCTCCTGATTCTATACTGCCCCCAAACTTGCTTTTGCCCTTTCTTCCCATTCTCAAGGAATGACGGTTCATCCAGTAATCACTGAAGCCCAAACCTTGTTCATTCATGGTTTTTCTCTCTCCCCCTTTCTCACACCCTACATTTAGACAATCAGCAAATCTGTTGGCTCTGACCTTCAAAATGTATCTATAATCTGACCACTTGTTACCACTTCCATTACTGCTACCTTAGTCCAAGCCATAACCATCCCACACCTGGATTCCTGCTGGAGTGTTCTGCCTCTCCCAGCTTCTCAGTCTGTTCTCCATACGGCTGCCACCATGATCCCTTCAATACATACATCAGATCATTTCAAAAGCCCCCATTGTCTTCCCGTCTCACTTTGTGTACTAGAATTGTCAATATCTTGCCAGGCCCTACTTTACCTCATGGCCTCCATTGGTCTTCCCTTTCCTCCCCTCCACTGCACTGGCCTGTCCTCGATTCCTCACTCCTACCTCCAAGCCTTTGCTCTTGCTCTTTTCCCTGCCTAGAATGCTACTCCCCAAGGTATCTTCATAATTTGCTCCCTCTCTTCTTTCAGGCCCTCCCCAATTATCCTGATTAAATTAGCAACTCCTTACCATTCCTACCCAGCACTCCTAAGCCTGCTTTGTTTTTATCCACAGCACTTATGGCTGTTAGACACATAGTACCTTTATTTGTTTATTATATTTGCCACCTTTCCAAAATGGATGCAAAGTAGAAGCAAAAAGGGCTTTGTCAGTTTTGTTCAATATGCCTGCCACATTTGTAGAAGAGTGCCTCTTTCCCAGAAAACAGTTGTTAAATGAACGAATGCATACACGAATAAATTAATGAAAGAACGGGAACTTGGGCTGGAGACCTGCCTATATAATGTTAGTGTGTAATAGGACGTACATCTCCATCAGCCCCAGCGTGTATTAGTCCTGCATTTATGACATTCTTTCTTGTCTTTAGTAACAAACTTTACCTTGTATTATTAAAATAGTGTGTTGATTTTCTATCTTTTGTTAGTTTTTTTTATCTCTTGATAAGGAGAAAAGGCTAACGTGTCTTACATTTCTTTTAAAGCATGTCCAAAAGTTAACTTTTTATGAATATTTTGGGTAATTACAAACACAGCTAGTCATGGGACATTTATCCAGTCTGGGGACTTCTTCTAGTGTGAGGATGATTTGGCTGAGAAGAGGAGAAGTAATGAGGTGCTACGTGGAGCCATCGAGACCTACCAAGAGGTGGCCAGCCTACCTGATGTCCCTGCAGACCTGCTGAAGCTGAGTTTGAAGCGTCGCTCAGACAGGCAACAATTTCTAGGTAAGATGCAATCAAAGGTAATTCAGTAGGAAATGGCATATGTTTTATCTTGAAGAAGCTGAAGAGTGTATTCTTCTCTTAGAAGAATTACGTGGGAGAAAACCTGAGTTTTACAACTGATTTCAAGTAATGTGTCTGTCCTAGGCTCACCATCTCTAAAACTGAAATTGTAATCCTAATCTTAATAGAGGCATGCCTCACAGATACTGTGGGTTTGGTTCCAGACCATCAGAATAAAGAGAGTTACACAAATTTTTTGATTTCCCAGGGTATCTAAAAGTTGTATTTATACTATGTCATAGTGTCTTAAGTGTGAAATAACATTATGGTTTAAAAGACAATGTCCAAGCCTTAATTTAAAAATATGTTATTGCTAAAAAATGCTAACGATAATCTGAGCCTTCAGTGAGTTGTAATCCTTTTGCTGATGGAGGGTCTTGCCTCAATGTTAATAGCCAGTGACTGATCAGGGTGGTGGTTGCTGAAGGTTGGGGTGACTGAGGCAATTTCTTAAAATAAGGCAACAATGAAGTTTGCTGCATTGATTGACTCTTCCTTTCAGGAAAGATTTATCTGTAGTTTGAAGTGCTGTTTGACAGTATTTTGCCTACAGAACTTTTTTCAAAATTGGAGTCAATCCTCTCAAACCCTGCCACTGCCTTATCAACAAAGTTTATGGAATATTCTAAATCCTTTGTTGCCATTTCAACGATGTTCACTGCATCTTCACCAGGAGTACATTCAGTCTCAAGAAACCACTTTCTTTGCTCATCTGTAAGAAGCAACTACTCATCTATTAAAGTTTGATCATGAGATTGCAGCAAATCAGTCACATCTTTAGGATCCACTTCTAATTCTAGTTATCTTGCTATTTCCACATCTGTAGTTACTTCCTCCACTGAAGTCTTGAACCCCTCAAAGTCATTAATGAGGGTTGGAAGCAACTTCCTCCCCAAACTCCTGTTAGTTTTTATATTGTGACATTTAAATAAAATGTATTTATTAAATAATAGAACTTAAAAGTCTAAATTACTCCTTGATCCATGAACTGCAGAATGGATGTTGTGTTAGCAGGCATGAGAACACCATTCACCTCCTTATACATCTCCATCAGAGTTCTTGGTGACTAGGTGCTTATCAGTGAGCAGTAATATTTTGAAGGGAATCTTTTTTAAGGACTCAACAGTGGGCTTAAAATATTCAACAAACCATGCTAGATGTCCTATCATCCAGACTTTGTTTTCCCATTTATAGAGCACAAGTAGAGTAGATTTAGCATAATTTTTAAGGGCCCCAGGTTTTTCAAAATCGTAAGTGAGCACTGGCTTCAACTTAAAGTCTCCAGCTGCATTAGCTCCTAACAACACAGTAGGTGTATCCTCAAAACTTTGAAAGCAGGCATTGACTTCTCCTCTCTCACTATGAAAGTCCTGATGGCATCTTCTTCCAATAGACAGTGATTTTGTCTACATAGAAAATTTGCTGTTTAGTGTAGATCACTTCATCAGTGATCTTAGCTGTTTAGTGTAGATCACTTCATCAATGATCTTAGCTAGATCTTCTGGAAACTTGCTACAGCTTCTACATTAGCACTTGCTACTTCATCTTACACTTTTATCTTATGGAGATGTTTTCTTCCCTTAAATTTCATGAACAAATCTCTGCTAGCTCTCTTCTCCCTCTTTCTTCCCATTTTATGATAGCTTGTATAATTTGCCTAAGGAATCATAGCTAATAGATTAATAGGTCTGGAATAAAAAACTCTTCCTGTGATACCAAATTCTTTTCTTCCTTAACTATAGCAAAATGATTCATGGAGGTTGAAATTATCTGTGGAAATTTTGTATAAATGAATAATAGCTGTTTCTGGTACTCTAAAAAAAATTTACTGGTAAGATTTGACCCTATATCAAGGAAAATGCTAGAAAAAAAAACATGAAGTAAATTTGCAAATACTTTGAAAAGAACATCATATCATATATCATCAGATTTAGGAGGCTACAATCTAAAGACTATCATTTGAGGAAAAATGATACCAGCTAGATGCTAAAAGTAGCATACATAATATAGAACATCATATACCATCCTCTGGACTGACCCAGGTTCCCAGTACCAAAGGCAAGTAAGACTAGCTGTTAGCTAACTTCACGATAACCAGGCTTACAATTCTCTTCCCATAACAGATCATCAGTCAACATGGAGGGAAGGAGCTAAGCTATGAGTCACTGCCAAGGCAGGTGCTCGGCTGGCAAGATAGTTACATGGACAGATTATTAATGTCACTTAGGGGAGGCTCCTATAGATTAGAGTCAAGGCCCAATGGACCCTCCTATCAGTTTTCCGAGGATTAGAATGAAGAGGAGTTGTATCACTTTTGTAGATAAATAAAATAGGACTAAAGTCCATGTGATGATTAAAAATGATAAGAAATGGTCAGTTAGACTAATATTCATAGGGACCAGTGCAGCAGAACAAAAACATGCAGCACAAATTCAGCACAGAAAAGGCAGGGCCGGGACTCCAGAGAGGCAATGCGGGCACTCGCCATGGACGCAGAATCAGCATTACTGCCCGGACGCAGTGGCTCACGCCTGTAATCCCAGCACTTTGGGAAGCCAAGATGGGCAGATCACCTGAGGTCAGGAGTTCCAGACCTGCCTGGCCAACATGGTGAAACCTGGTCTCTACTGAAAATACAAAAATTAGCCGGGCATAGTGGCGGGCACCTGTAATCCCAGCTACTCAAGAGGCTGAGGCAGGAGAATCACTTGAACCCGGAAGGCAGAGATTGCAGTGAGCCGAGATCATGCCACTGCACTCCAGCCTGGGCGACAGAGCAAGACTCCATCTCAAAAAAAAAAAAAAAAAAAGAATCAGCATTACTGAGTTTTCCTCTTGCCTCAGTCTCCACTATGGCTCTGCTTAGCACTGTTTAGTGATTCTGTCACTAAAGTGTTAACATTTTCTTCATCATGAATGTTTTACATTAATATTGATTTTTTAAAAGGATGCATTAAACTAGCCTTCACATCAAAATTATGAACTTTTTTGGCATCCTCTGAAATCTAACTCTGAGTGCCTCTCTGGCCTCACCCTGTCCTCGGCCCTGGGAAGGTGACTGCCTCTTCCACAGCAATCCATCAGCATTTGAATGTAGTCCTCTCAGAATGTCCTTGAGAATAAAGCAAGTTCACTCGAGGAGGCTCTGAGGCAAATGGAGACAGAAGATTTTAGTGAAAATGACATGGTGGTGAAGTTGGTCACAACACAACAGGGTTCCCAGATGCAGAGTGGAAGGGATGGGGAGCAGATGGCTGCAAGGAGGAGTTTGTGTCCATGCTTTTGTTGTGGATAATAGGAGATTTCTAGAAGAAAGTGTGAGCCTAGGTGGGCAGATAGGGGGAAGGAAAGGTATAGAAAAGGAAGCCCAGATTTGTTAGTGAGGAAATGACTAGGGTTCTGGTTGGAATATGATTGGCTGGTAATGGGGCATAGGCCGTCGGATGAGTTGGTGATGCTTTATGGCAGATGGTTTGGCAGTGGAATATACAGCTGCTTTAGCGTACTGACACTCCCATCACTCTCCTAGATTGTGGGCAACTAAGCCCTTTAGATAATTCATGGCTTTTTTCGTTGATGCTAGTCCTCTTTTTGCACATGTTCTTTTATACAGATAATTGAAGCTGGGTTTTTTCATGATTCATGCGTGCAAAGTATGCCTTTGTCCACGAGAGGGCCCCATAATACTGGATGATGTATCATTTGCTCCATGACTAGGTCATTACCTAGAGATGAGTACACTTGTCATTCATAGGGGATGTGTCAGCAGTTAGGTACTGTCCTATGTACTTTGGTGCCTTTTCGAATTGCATACAGGGTGCTAGACCCTGAAGTTAGTTAAGACTTTTTATTGCTTATCCCCTATTCATAAAGTTAATAAACCAAAAAGATTTCAGCAGAACTTTTTTTTTTAACGAGGAATTGTTAACTAAGTTTTTCTTGAGAAGGAATTTAACATAAAATGGTAAACATTGCTGAATGTAAAAAATGAGAATGTCTTTAGATGTTTATAATCAATACCATATTCAGTATCTACTTATGGCAGTTATTAATACCATTGCAACTACATTATGAAATCCTACTAGGTACTTAGTAAACCACTAATAAAGCCAGATTTGAGCTGGTTCTCAGGCTCTGGTGAATAGTCTCTCATGACTTACATTCTCAATACAAAAGTGTACATAATCTGTTTTTATTTCTATTTTTTTTAAATTCCCACCTACTCAGGTCATATGAGAGGTTCCCTGCTTACCCTGCAGAGATTAGTTCAACTATTTCCCAATGATACTTCCTTAAAAAATGACCTTGGCGTGGGATACCTCTTGATAGGAGATAATGACAATGCAAAGAAAGTTTATGAAGAGGTAAGCATCAATCTTGTATTAACTACGTCAAATTAAGTTCTAAGGCTATTTGCAAATTACATTTATTATACCCAGTCTCTCTTTATTTTAAATTAAGTTAAAAAGCATGTAAGTATTATTATAGTTAACATATTCTAAACTATGTTTTAACATTGCTTTTCTTCCTAGATCAGAAGATTTTTAAATCTTAGTTAACACTTAGTACATTAAAGCCTTCAACTTATAATTGTGATTCTTTTAAAACTTCATATTTATCTTTCCATACATAGTCTTTCTAAAATTGTTCTTCATGACAGGAAGAAGAATTTAAGTTCCTGTGAATGTTACACACACACACACACACACACACACACAGACACACTTTCCTTTTTTTTTTTTTTTTTTTGGCAGAAGTATGGTCTAGAGAGAGGCTATATAGAACAGGGGCCTTTCAAGCATGTGACATAAATTACTTTTCAGCAGGGCACTGACTCTTCAAATCCTCTGGCAAGGATACCTTTCAAAGGATTTCTACTTTATAACAGATGTTGATAGATAACCTCTAAGTCACAAGTAACTAGAAAATCTAGAGAAATGTGACTTCTTTAGGCAGTGGAGGAATTCATTTGGTACAGAATGAACAGGATGCCCAATGAATTTTGAAGATGGAGAAAGTTAGCGCCTCTGTAAAAGAAAGATGAACATGTTTACTTGTTATTCTTTAATTTAGGCCCTTTGATCAATGGTTTTCAAGCTGGTGAAGTCTACATCAATATGCTACCACTCAGTGATAGTATGATTTCTGCTACAGTTTTGTTTTGCTTTTGTTTTTGTTTTTGACACGTGGTCTCACTCTGTTGCCCAGACTGGAGTGTAATGACATGATATAGCTCACCTCAACATCCATGTCCCGGACTCAAGCAATCCTCCTGCTTCAGCCTCTTAAGTAGCTGGGACTACAGGCACATGCCACCATGCCCAGCTAAATTTTAAAAAATTCTTTAGTGATGGTGAGGTCTTCCTATGATATCCAGGCTGGATTCAAATTCCTGGCCACAAGTGACCCTCCTGCCTCAGGCCTCCCAAATAGCTGGGATTACAGGCACAAGTCATCTCACCCTACTCCTTTTACAGTATTTTTTAAATGCCATCAAGAACAGCAGTTTCATACTCTGGTAGGGACTGGGTCTATCCTCAAAGCGGTACTTTCCTCTGTGTATTGCTATTATTGTGTAATGAAAATCATTGAATTGTGAAGCAGTTGTCTTTTTACCTTTCTCATAATTTTTATATTTTCTGAGAGAACAGAAATAAGACCTTTGCTTTTATAACATCACTAATAGCTACACAGGGTGGATTGAACCTTTAATGTTGACAATGTGTGCCATTTACTAAAGACCTATTCCAGGTCATAAATTAATTCCATGTGGAACATTGCATTTGTTAATGGCCAACACATAACACTCAATGCCCTGTCTTACAGAGTATGGTTAAGAGAAGCATCATATACCTCAGTGAATCAGGGTCTGTGAATGTAAGAATTGTGAAGCTATAACAAACATATCCATTAGTTTGTCACTGTCAGAGGCCACAAAAATGGAACTTGTAGAATTCCTAACTTCCTTCCTCCCTCCCTCCCTCCCTCCCTCCCTCCCTCCCTCCCTCTCTCCCTCCCTCCCTCCCTCCCTCTCTCCCTTCCTTCGTTCCTTCCTTCTTCCCTTCCTTCCCTTACTCCTCATTCCCTTCCTTCCTTGTAGAATTCTTCCCTATTTTCTTTCTTCTGTCCCTCTACCCCTCCCTCTCTCGCTTCCTACCTTCCTGCACCCTTTCCTCCTTCTTTCTTTCCATCTAAAAAACATTCTGAAGTGTTGACTGGGTGCAAGCACGTTTGAGGTTAGGGCAGGATCTGACAGCATACTGGTTTCTCTAATACACTGTGGATTTGTCCTTCCTCACCTTTTTAAAACCTCCCTTCAGGATATTCATCCCTTTACCTGACGCTAAATCTCAGATATGTGAAACATTTTACTTCATCCCGAAAAATAAAATTTACCTGTTGTTTATACATTTTATATCATAATCTCATCTGAATATGCATAATAGGATGCAGAAAGTCTAAAATATAAGGATATTATTCAATTGAATGAGTTTTTTTTTTAAAGCATGAATAGACTGAAAATATGTGTGGGGGTCGCCTTTTTTCCGGTCCTCTCACTTTTAAGTTAATAAGCTATTATCTAATGGAGTCTCTTTCATTAACCAAGGTTTTTCTTGATATGTTTATGTTAAAGATCATTTTTAGAAAACAGACATTGTAATTTTATATTTTTCTTCATGTTAATTTTTACTTTTGAGTACATTTATAAAAATCATTGATATTTTTATTTTTCCAGCTTTTTGCTGCTTTTAGTTGCAACAAAGAAACTGGCTTTAAAATGGTGTGACATCATTTGCTCCAGTCTGTGGCTTTTTGCGGCCCCTCCTGGGATTCTCTTGCAAGTTGGCAACATTAGCAGCTGCCCAGGTGTTACAGTGGGGAGTTTCATGCCACTCCTGACTCACCCGCCACTGCTCACGTATACCCATTCACTCAGCCAACACACATCTATTAAAACCCATACACACTAGCTAGAGAAACAGTAGTTCATGAAACACACGCAGAATGTGCCCACATGAAGTTTATAATCTGGTACCAAATCACGAATTTGTGTTCATTTTAACTTCTGATTAACTTTCAAATCCCTTCCCTTTGTAACCAAAGCACCCGTCATCTCTTGCCTGAGCAGGGACAGGTTTATCCTGTCCTAGCTTGCTCCCCCCCCCAACCCTCACCAACACTAAAACACAACCCTGATCATCTCCCTCGGCTTTAAATCTTCTGTGGTTCTCATTTCCTGCAGCAGTGGTCTTCAAACATGCTTGATGGCGGCCCTTCCAGACTAAAATGTTCAAGCAAATGCCTGAGATATGTTTATGTACTTATATGTTATGTGTACATGTATGTACCCACATAATATTATGTATATATATATGCACTAATATACATGTGCATTACAAAAGGTACATACCCCAAAACAATTTTTAAGATGATGTCAAATATAAAATTCTATTTAACTGCCAGAAAATCTTTTAACTCTTGCTGAAAAATTAATATTTATGATTTTATGATTATATAACTTTTTAAAATCCCAGGAATGTATCACGCAAAGAGTTTGTACTGGGGATAGAAATGTCGGCTGTATGAGGTTGTGGTTGTTTTTGTCTGTGCTTTGTGTTTGTGTATGGATGTGTGTGTTTTATAGAGAGAGAGAAAGAGAGAGACAATCTGTCTAATATTACATTTGGCCCTTGAACAACACAGGGGTTAGGGATGCTAACCTCCTGGGCAGTTGAAAATCCATGTGCACATTTTGACTCCCCAAAAACTTAACTACTGATAGTCTGCTGTTGACCAGAAGCCACCGGGTAGCATAAACAGTCGATTAACGCATATTTTGTATATGTACTATATGTTATATTCTTATAATGAAGTAAGCTAGAGAAAAGAACATGTTATTTTAAAAAGCATATAATTGGATTATTTGTAACACAAAGGATAAATGTCTGAGGGGCTGGATACCCCATCTTCCATGATGTAATTAGTATGCATAGTATGCCTGTATCAAAATATCTCATGTACCCCATAAATACATACACCTACTATGTACCTACAAAAATTAAAAAATTAGAAAAAGAAACTGTAAAAGCCATAAGGAAGAGAAAATATATTTGCTATTCATTAAGAGGAAGTGGATGATTAAAGTTTGCATCCTCACTGTTTTCACCTTAACTAGGCCGAGGAAGAGGAGGAGGATGAGGGGGAGTTGGTCTTGTCTCAGGGGCAGCAGAGGCGGAAGATAATCCATGCATTTCAAACCAATGTTGTTCAAAGGGCAACTGTAGCCTCAATCTGGGTTTTTTAGAAATCTCATAAAACCACTTGTCATTTTCTGAGGGTTTGTTGATTACAACTAGATAATACAACCTGCATGTCCATTACACATTCGCATATAAACTGCAGTGAGCATGGTACCCACGCACAAAGAAGCAAGCAGGGAGGGCAGCACTGTCAGCTGCCCTGGGGCCTGAGCCCTGAACCTCGCCTCCTGACAGTGTTTTTCCTGAATGGGACACATGGCTGTCCACCGTGCAGATCACAGTAGAGCCACAGAGCTTGTTTCACACTATTTGAGAGACAGATACAAGTAGAAGTGTATGTAATTTTTTTCTACTCCCCAGGAGATTACCTTGTACTTGATACTAAACAGGACCCTTTGTGATTTAATTTGACTTCTGCCTTTTCTCCAGTCTCTTCTGCTATCACCTTTTGTTCATAATTTAACAACATTCTCTTTTGCTTTTCCTGGCCCACTATCCCTTTCTACTCACTTTCTAATATACCTTGAATGCCTTTTCCTCCATCATCCCACACTTCCTTTTCCTGGTGAACTCCTATTTATCCCTAAATACCTTTCAGAGCTTGGCCCCACCCACACTCATCCTAGAGTGAGCCAGGTGCCCCTCTTATATAACCCCTGCATGCTTCGTGCCTATCTATAGCTACATTTACCATCTTGCATTGTCTACTTCTAAATTTGTCTACTTCTAAATCTGTCTCCCTCACTTGAGTGAGAGCCCCCTGAGAAAAGAGAGTATATCTCATTTATCTTTCTATGCCCAGGGCCTGGAAGAGTTCTGTGTGTTCTAAGATGTCTAGTAAATCAATAAATTTGTTAATTACTTGAGATAATGGCTGTGTGCCTGCAGTAGGCAGAAATGTCATCTGTGTAGCTGTAATAATTATGATAATCCCTCCATGGTTATGCTGGCAGAATCATCATCTGTGTCAATTTAGTTCAATGCCAGAGGTATTTATTGAGCTCCTGCTCAATGTCTAGCTTGGGAACAGTACTGTGGAAACTGCAGAGAAGCAGGATCTGGGCTTTCAGAGGTCTAGTTAGGGAGGAAAGCCCAGCATGTACTCATCTGAGCATTTAGTACAGGTTTCTCGGGCACCTGAATGCTATGCTATGCATAACAGGCAGTGGGGATGAGCAATGAGCAAAACAGACAAAATCCCTGTAGAGCTTGCATCTTAGTGGGAGAAATAAAAGTATACTAGGTCAGACGGTGATAAGTGCTATGAAGAAAAGTGAGACAAGGTAAAGAAGTTGGAGAGTGACTAGGGATGGAGGGGGTTCAGTTTTAGTAATGCGGGTAATGGTCAGGGGTAGGCTTCACGGAGGTAAGGGAGCTTGCTGTGGGGATGTCTGGCGGAAGAGTCTGAGCCAGAGGGATACTGTGAATGCAAAGACCCTGAGGCAGGGGTATCTTTGGCTTGCTGTGGAGCAGCAAGAAGTCCAACATGCCTCAGAGGCTTGGCTGGGAGGGGCAGGGGCAGGAGAGGAGGCCAGAGCAATGGAGAGGCCCAGCCAAGGGAGGCCTTGGGGGTGGTTCCAGGAACCCTATCTTGCACTCACTCTGAGTGCAATGCAGCAGAGGAGGGTTGAGATCTGACCTAGGATTTAGCAAGCGGAGAGTGGACTACACAGGGTCAGGGCCATGTGTGCAGAGGATCTGCAGTGAGGAGGCTCCTGTAAGAAGATATAGAGAGATGATGAGACACCTCTCTTGGGTCAGGGTAGCAGTGGTGAAGGAAGTGACACATGGTATGTTTCTGAATATATTTTGAAGGTAGTGTTGGCCAGATTTGCTAATCGATGAGGTTCAGGACAAGATGCAAGCTGAAAATGCTACAGCATCTGCAGTGTGTGTTGTGTGGGCCCCCCGAGGGCCTGGTGTCCCCTGCGTGTACACTTGATCCTTCTGTGTAACCCCATTGTAGTCCTACTGTGGCTGTGACTTCCCTTTTTCTACTCAGTCTCAAGGATGGAGAGAAGAGATGGGAGATGCATCTTTCCCTACATGCACATGCACCGACTCAAACCTTCTCCATCCTTCTCTTTTGTTCCATAAATTAGTTTGTCTAAGTAGCTTTTCAAGTTGAATGTTGTTGTTCTGGTTTCTCACTATTAATATTTAATTTAGAGGCACTTTGCATAATTTATCTTTAAATCATAATGAATGCATATAATAATAAACAGTGATGTGATTTATATGAAATATTTACCTGGGTTTTATCACAGAATATTGGATTTGCTCACCACTTTATCTTCAGGGCTTAAAATGGTCTGGGCACTCAAGAAGTTTTCTGTTGAATGAATGGATTGTGATGTATTACAAATGCAAATCTAAATTTTCTCTTAATTAAGGCAATGTATAAAGCTTGTATATGAAGTGATGTCTAATAACCATTCAGAATTGTCTTCAAGTATAGCAAATTTAAAGCCATTTTCCCTTGATCACTAAAAAATATTGAAGTCATATCAATTGAGAGATATTTTGCTGATTTGCATTGTTAAAGTGATGCTTTAACGGTTATTGCCTTTTCATTCATTTCTTCATTCTTGAAGAACCATTGTGTAAATGTGCAAAGCATATTGAGTTGAGAGGAAATGGAGCCATTTAAGCTTAATGATATTGCCATGAGACAAAGTACTATGGTGTTTTCAGCTGTAACATCATAATCCAATCCAAGTACAACAAAGCTAATTAAAACTGGTTTTGACAGTCATCTGTAGAATTTTCTAAGCAATCACCTATGTTTTCTTTGAGTTATGTTCTGTGTTTTCTTTGAGTTTAGGTGCTGAGTGTGACACCTAATGATGGCTTTGCTAAAGTCCATTATGGCTTCATCCTGAAGGCACAGAACAAAATTGCTGAGAGCATCCCATATTTAAAGGTAATGCTCACTGCTTCTCCTCTCCTTTCATCTTTCAAGTCCTTCGAGTTATTGGGACACACTTGCTTATTCCTTGTAGATTGATTGCATGCACTGCTGAGTATTTTCATCCTCAGGATGTCCACCCTCAGACCATGACATTCATAAGCAGCGTGGGCCTCCACTGTAACCAAAAGTGTCAGATGTCAGGATACCAACCACTTGAGCAGAGATGATTTGGAAAATATTTTATTTTAAAATTTATAAAACTGAAGTTGTTATTAGTTTTTAAATAAATGGCAAAGGCAGACAAAATTAGTGATACTTTAAATATTTTTAAATAAAGACAATAGGCCGGGTGTGGTGGCTCATGCCTGTAATCCCAGCACTTTGGGTGGCCAAGGTGGGTGGTCACCTGAGGTCAGGAGTTCGAGACCAGCCTGGCCAACATGGTGAATCCCTGTCTCTACTAAAAATACAAAAATGAGCCTGGTGTGGTGGTGTGCACCTGTAATCCCAGCTACTTGGGAGGCTGAAGCATGAGAATCACTTGAACCCAGGAGACGTTGGAGAAGTCTGGAGAACCCAGGAGAACCCTGGAGAAGTTGCACACCAGCCTGGGCAACAGAGTGAAACTGTGTCTCAAAAAATTAATAAATAAATAAATAAAATATATATATACACATATGTATTAAATATAGACAATGCATTATATGTTCCTTTTACAAGTTAATTATATATTTACTGTACTCAGAATAGTACTCTTAACTACCCACACAAAGTTAGGTAACAAATACTGGCTGAAAAGGTCATTGCTCAAAATATTCAAATTAAAATATGCCTTTTTTCTCATATCTAATTAAATCCTCATCAATTCAGCAGAATCACAGGTGGTGTAGACCAGGGCTTCCCAGTAGAATTTTCTGCTGTGGGCCAGGTGCAGTGGCTCCCACCTGTAAGCCCAACACTTTTGGAGACCAAGGTGGGAGAATCACTTGAGGATAAGAGTTTGAGACCAGCCTAGGCAACCTAGTGAGATTCCCATCTCTACAGAAAATTCTAAAAATCAACCAGATGTGGTGGCACATGCCTGTGGTCCCAGCTACTCAGGCCCAGGAGGTCGAGGCTGCATTGAGCTGTGAATGCATTACTGCCCTCCAGCGTGAGCGACAGACTGAGACCCTGTCTCTAAAAAATGTGTATAATATTAAAAAAACAAACAAACAAAAAAAACAGAGCAAGACCCAGTCTCTAAAAAAAAAGAATTTTCTACTGTGATGGAAATGTTTTTTATCTGTGTTCTCCAATATGATGGCCACTGGCCACATGTGGCCATTGAGCACCTGAAATGTGGCCACTGGGACTGAGGAAGTGAATTTTTCATTTTATTTTAATTTAGCAGTAATGTGTGGCTAGCAGCTACCATATTGGACATAGCTAATTAGATAGCTGTAGGCTTTTTTTTTAAGTATCAATATATTCCACTTTTATGATCTCTTTCTTTCACATGACTTAAATCAGAGATCCCAAATAGTAACCCACTGATTGCAAATAGCTTGCATGTTTTATTTGGCTGGCATGGTTCTATTAAAAACCATTTTAATTGCTTGCCTTATTTGAGAATCTGAGCATTTTTATATAATTATGCAGACTTCTAGTTTCTCTTGAAACGTCATATCTGGCTCACTTCCCTGCACACAGACAAGCAGTGATCCCCCCTTGGGATGGGGCTGTCCCTGGACCCCTGTCAAGCACTTCATATTTCCTGCCAGGGCCCTGTGGGCATGTGGGTTTCTGTGATTTAAAGTGTCTCCTTACATTTCCTTTGACATAGGATGGCTTACTGGTACTCTGCCTGCTTCAGAGATAGGGAAAGCAAGAGCTGGCCTGGTCAGTTATCAAGCAAGGACACTTGAGTGTTGGTCAATTAGAAGCCCTCGCCACAGCTCCCTTCCTCTCCTGAGTGATGATGCCTTTCCCATTCTATCGTGCAGCTTGCTCATTTCCAACATTATGTAAATACAATTTCTTCCTAGTGAAAGATAATAGGCTTCTTGTGAAGAGGCCTCAAGGATGCAGATTTTTAGAAAGAAGTCCTTGACATTTACATATTTTTAACTTTTGTCCTTCTGCTTTTCTAAACGCATTCTGTTGCTTTAATATTTTCTCTTTTCTCTTTGTGGGGACGGGAATGGGGTTCATCAATCTCAATTTCAGTCCTTGTGTGAGAAATCAGAGAATTAGGTAAATGTTTTAGAATAGGGATTTGTTTAATAAAAATTACATTTTTAAAGATTCAAATTGGCTTTAATTCTCCTGTATGTTTTGTAAAAAAAAAAAAAATCATTAAAAGGTAAGGACACATTTGTTTTGAATGGAAAGAAATAATGCTCGCAGTTGGACTGCCATCACTTCAAACATGAGCAGTTAAACATTTTGGTTTAGGAATAAAAAGCCTCTAGATGACATATGGTCAGATTTGGAGAGCAAAATAAATGTAAGAGCTATCCAGCCAGAGAAATTCTTCAAAATATTGAAATATGATTGTTCCCACACAGAAGGTACACAAAGTATCATACTAATTTTGTGGGCCATTCCACAGTGAATTAATGATGAATGCATTGTTAAATTTAGCTTTATGACCTCCTTTTGTTTTGGCATTGCAAATGTTGACCAGTAACCTCATTCCCAAAGTTTAATATGGAGATATATTTTTCTGGTTTTTAGGTTTTCATACGATGTGCCATAAGAAAAGCTATGTAAATCAATTAATGGAATCTGGTATTTAATTATTTTACCCATACTAACACTGTCCTTTCTACAGGAAGGAATAGAATCCGGAGATCCTGGCACTGATGATGGGAGATTTTATTTCCACCTGGGGGATGCCATGCAGAGGGTTGGGAACAAAGAGGTAATGGGTAT
Organism: Homo sapiens; assembly: GCF_000001405.40. Lineage (NCBI taxonomy): Eukaryota > Metazoa > Chordata > Mammalia > Primates > Hominidae > Homo > Homo sapiens. The sequence goes on along the minus strand of NC_000008.11, from coordinate 61,553,019 downwards.
ATGAATTTCTGATTCTCTCTAACAGAGGATGGAGTTGGGAGAATAATTATTTCTAGGAAAGTTAGAATTCAAAAAATATTTTGAGTGTGAACTTTCGAAAGCAGTGATATAAACTATTTAGTTACTTAAACTATCTTTGGAACAACCCAACAACTCCAGCTTAACCCTTTAAAGAATTTTTGGGATTTGGCTTTTATAGTTTCTTTCAAGAAATCAGCTAAGTAATCACAAAAGCAATCTCTAAGTTGGTACATGTCTGTGTATGTTTTTGTCTGTGTGTATCTGTGTGTGTGTGTCTGTGTGTGTACAGAGAGATAGAAATTGCCTTGGAAAAGTATTTTTTAAATTTTGAAATGAAGAGATGTCACTGAAATAATTTAAATTTTTAGAAATATTTTAACAGTTTGACTAGATTCATTTTTGTTTTATTTTGGACTTTTAAAAGTAGTTCTTTTTAGAATGAAGTCTTTATCAGCTGATTCCTAATCACACAGATCCTAATGGTTAGTTGTGTAACTTATCCTCTGAAATATTTAATACCAAGTTTAAGACGAACATTGTGGTGATAGTAATGATAGGGATTGACACAAAAAATGTAGTAGCTAAAAAAGTTCCATGTTTCCTTTGTAATGGTTACCTTTTTCTGAGTACAGTGTCTGCTTCTATAACCATAACATTGTCTCATTAATCATGACATCGCATGCTATAAATTTCAAAACTCTGTCACAGTCTACCATGATTTACGATTTATGCA